>NC_000023.11:110587542-111212542 GCF_000001405.40 Homo sapiens
TATTAACCAGATTGCACCATGGCCCTCTAGGACCTTTGTAATCAAGTTGTCTGTTTTGAGTCTTACTACAGTCGTGGGAATGCTCATTGTCCTGTGGTCTGCCACATTCAGGATAATTTCATGCTGCAAATGAACCATGTTGGAGAGCAAAAACCCTGTCTATTCTATTTTCCATTGTATCCACAGTGGCTGTATGGCACATATTAGGTGCTCAATAAATATATGATGAATGAATAAATTGATGGATAAATAGACAGCAGAATGAGTTGTGGCAAGACTTTGTAACTAGAAAGACTTGAAAATTTGAATCTCATGTCCACTACTTACTAGATATGCAACATCCAGCAAATCACTTAAATTCTCTCAAACCCAATTTCTTGTAAAATAGGGAAAATAATACCTCCTTCATAAGCAGTAAGTTTTAACTGAGGTAATACATGCTATGTGATAACTCAATAAATGTTAGTTTCCTTCCCTTTTCTTCCACCAATTAAAGAAGCCCTGAGGCACTGCAGCATTAACTACTGATAAATAGCTTTATGTTAAGTCCTGAGGTGGCAGTAAACATGAGCATTGACACTTTCCTAAGCACAAACTTAATGTCATGTGATATCTGTCCTCAATCGTGGAAGCTGGCAGTGAAATTTGAGCCCATAAAATGCCAGAATTGCGAGGGCTCTTAGTAAGAGATCATCTAGTTCAAGCACTATACTTGACAGAGAATTCTCAAATGCCACAACATTAGTGGGCCATTTGGAGACTCTGGCTTAATAAAAATGAGTAGGCAAAGAAGTAGCTGGCAAGGTGAATGGCAGACATCTGAGGGACCATTAGTGAGAAATTCCAGGAGTGATTTATTGTCCTCACCCCTGAAAAAGTCCCCTGTGATATTTGACAGCTTAATCACCATGTGTGTATTTATACAGGGTGAGGCAAAGGTCACTGTACAAGAGAGAACCACTAGAGGAACAGGTGTTGATCTTCAACCTTCTAAATATATTAGTCAAAGCTGAATGTCTGCAGCAGGGAAAAAAAACAGCATATCTATACAAGATCCTGCTTACACTTCAATTTTAAATTTTAAATTTGAAAAAGGACCAAATTTTAGTTTTATCATTCAATTTTGGACCTCATTTTCATATGAAGAAACTATCTAAATTTGGTTCCCTGGTGTCCAGTGAAAGGTGGGATACAACTAAAAGAGATAAATAATATCTTTATTATTAAGGTCCCAAATGGAGAATCAAAATGATAGCTAATGAAAGAAATAATTGGCTCATTTGGAAAGTAAATAAAAAATAATTAATTTACTAACTTGTTTTCCATAGTTAACTTCAAGTGTGACAGATATGTCTATTTTTATTGTATGGATAAAGTGTATGTCACAGAGTCTGTCTCTTTATTTATAAAATGCACAGAAGCATCAAGGATGATATTGGAAACCTAAGAGGAAAAACAACACTGGGAGGCAGTAGAGCCTAGTGGTTAGGAGCAAAGGCTTGTTATTCAGTCAAGATCAAAGTCCAGGTTGATGTAGGAAATAATCAAACATCCCATTGACATACACGCGCACACACACACACACACACACACACACCACAAACTCACACATTCCAGATACATAGAAATGCCTAATATTTAAAGTATAAGTATAGAGTCACACTTGAAAGTAAGAAAAGAAATCTCCAAGTGCCAGAAATAAAGAAAATACCCCAAATGGTATTTATTTTTTATGATTCATGACTCAAAGAGATAAGTGGACCAGATATAGTTCTTAGGGTCTGTAATTTTAATGCTTAAAAGAGGATGGGAATCAGAGTCCCAAGATCTGTATATGGCACAGTTAGAACAGGTATACCTGTGGAAGGATTGAGGAAAATGGAAAGGGTGTGTCTATTGAAAAAAAAAATCAAATCACTGGCCTAACGACAGCAATTATGTGGTCCTTGCTCCAAGTCACAGGTGGAAACAAAGTCAATCTAAAAAAGCAATGCTTCCAGATGATATGACATGAAGTGAGAAGAAAATAATCACAGAAAAAACATGGCAACCAGAAAATACAGAATAACATATGTTGCAATATATGTAAATGAATTAAAAACAACTTTTTTGAAGAAAGAGACATTGAGATTAGGTGTGAAAATTTCCACTATATGTGATCTACAAGAAAAGTACCTAAAACATGATGACAAAGAACAGTTAAAAGAAAAAGGGGGAGAGCAAAAGATATAACAGGCGAAATAGAATTTAAGGTGAAAAGCATTAAGACGAAGAAACACATCACTTAATGATTAAAAAATAGCCACCCACTAGGAAAAAGTTGATTTGTATGCATCTGAAAGTAATAGCTCCAAAATCTATAAAATGAAAGTTAACAAAATTTATATGAGAATAACCAAATCTATAATTATGGTGAGCGATTTTAACACACCTCTTTCAGAAACTAGTACATAAAGTAGACAAAAGTTACTAGGGATATATAAGATGGATAAAACAATAAAATTTAGCTAATAAATAGATACATAAAAACACTGACCAATCTGATAAGGACATATACTGTATAATTCCAACTATATGACATTATGGAAAAGGCAAAACTCTGGAGACAGTGAAAAGATCAGTGGTTGCCAGAGGTTTGCGGAAGGGAGGGATGAATAAGTGGTACATGGGATTTTTAGGGCAGTGGAACTATTCTGTATAATACTATAGTTGTGGACACATGTCATTATATATGTCAGTTGAGAAAAATGATGAAACAAGTCTCAATCACTTTAATAGGTTTATTTGCCAAAGTTAAGGACACACGCCCAGGAGACAGGTCTATGCCTTTCTCCAGAGATGATTTTCAGGGCTCCAAATTTAAAGGGGAAAGGGCGGGATATTGAGAAGCACACAATTGTTAGGTAAGGGGGGGGGGGTAGGGAAAAATAGTTATTCATGCCTTTGTCTGGCTCAGGGAATCTGCATTTTTACATAAGATGACATAGACAAAATGAGGCAGGGGAACAATCAGATATGCATTTGTGTCTGGTAGGCAGGGGGTGACTGCACCTGTAAAGATAAGCTATCAATTTACATTGCCATGGTGAAATTTTAACAGAAACACCTTAGGGTAAAGATCTTGCAGATCACTAGGAATTTCCTTGTGGGCAAAATATGGGGGAGATGTGGAGCTTTTCATTTTGTAGTCATCTAATATAGGAACCAAAAGGCAGGCAGGTTTGCATGACCCAGTTCCCAGCTTAACTTTTCCCTTTGACGTAATGAGTTTGGGGTCCCAAGATTTAATTTTCTTTCTCATTCCCCCCTCCCTTTTTCTTTAAAATCTTTTTGGAGAAAGCATTTTAGAAGGAATACGGGTTTCTGGCCTCAGGTTGCTTTTTCCTCCTTATTTTGAGCTGGTTTCTCATTGCTAGGATGGCTTATTTCTAGAAGTTCAGGTCCCACATTGCTAGGAAGGGTCATTGCTAGGCAATAGCATCCCACGTTGCTAGGAAGGCTCATTCCTAGGAAGTCATGTCCCACGAAGATAAAAAAAAATAGGTGGATGAAAGAAGGAAAAGGAAAGGAATATATATATATATAATATATATATTATATATATTATATTTATATATAACCATATGACTTTAGATATACTCACGGCAGCACCGGGGGCCCCTGCACCATCATAAAAACTGAATGTTGTGTTTATATTCCAGATGAATTGAAGAACAAAACACGATTTATGACTGATATGAAAACCCCGATAACCAACCTGTCAGATCCCAAACTCTCACTAATCGATTGAGTGGTTGGTTTGGATCCTGGAAAACTTGGTGGCAGAAGCTATTTCTTATAGTAGGAATAATAATAATAATTTGTGTTCTGTCCTGTTTCTGCTTACAATGTTATTATGGTATATGCTTGCAAATAAGTCATCATGCAACTGAAAGGGCTAGGGCAATGATTGCCCAGAGAATTGCTCTAACCGAGGAGGCAGTAATATAGCCTGACCCAGCTTCCAGGTTTGCTTCCCTCTGATTGCTATAAATCGGGCCTAGGACTATATAGGAACCAAAAGTGGGAGGCAGGTTTGCACGAACCAGTTCCCAGCTTAACTTTTCCCTTTGGCTTAATGAGTTTGGGGTTCCCAAGATTTAATTTCTTTTCATATGCGTTTGACAAAACTCACAGAACCTGCAACACCAAGGGTGAACCCTAATGTACACTAAGGAATTTAGGTAATGATATGTCAATGTTTGTTCAACTGCAACGAATGTACTACTGTGGTGTGTGATGTTGATGGTGGGGAGGTTATGTATGTGTGGGCAGAAGGAGTATATGGGAATCCTCTGTTACTTTCCTCTCAATTTTGCTGTGAACCTAAAACTGCTTTAAAAGATAAAATGTATATTTTTTAAAAAATACATGTTTCATCTACCAACTGAAAAACAAATATTTATTTCAAGCACACATGTGAAATTTGTAAAAATTGAATGCATTCTAGGCCAAAAAACTCAAAAAATTCACAAATATGAATATCATACCTCATTCTTCAACCATAATTCTGATAAATAAAAATCAATAACCAAAAGAAACCCCTCAAAAAACCAGAGACTTTAAAACTGCAAATATGCACTTCTAAATATACGTGTTACAGAATAAATCTCAATGAAAATTATCAAATATTTAGAAATGATTGATAAAATAAGTACTACATATCAGAAATTACAGCAAATAGCTAATCAGTGGCAGGCCACAGCTGGTTTGTACCACCTCCTAGGAGCTGGTTTTTAAATATTCAGGAATTTGCCATCCCATTGTTAAATGACTTGAAATCATCCATGATGGGAACATTTATACTATTGAAATCAGCAAACACTATAGATCAGGCTTTCTTTATTCAACTTTTTTTCTGTCATTTTTTGATTTCTTTTCCTTTTTTTTTCAAAGAGTCTGTTTACCAGTCCACCACTCGGAAGGAAATGTAAAGTTATAAATACCTTTATTAAAAAACAAGAAACACTGAAAATTAGTAAGCTAAATATTCAACTCAATAAGGTAGAATAAAAGAATAAAGCAGTGGTGTTAGCAAATGTGGAACAATCAGATTCGAATATAGTGCCATCATGAATGTTGGCAGATGTTTTCATTTATGCTAATGAGTAAGATGAAGTAAAACAACAAAGGCTTATTTTTGCACATCACTCATCAGTGATATGAGTGACTTATTTTCTGACTCAGACAATAGGTTCAAATACTGGAAGAATATTTTCTAATTTTTTGTGGTATTCAAAATAGAATAGCTACAGATACTGGCCGGGCAGGGTGGCTCACGCCTGTAATCCCAGCACTTTGGGAGGCCGAAGCAGGTGGATCACCTGAGGTCAGGGGTTCAAGACCAGCCTGGCCAACATGGCAAAACCCCATCTGTACTAAAAATACAAATGTTACTCAGGCGTTGTGGCGGGCGCCTGTAATCCCAGATACTTGGGTGACTAACGCACGAGAATGGCTTGAACCCAGGAGACAGAGGTTGCAGTGAGCCGAGATCACACCACTGCACTCCAACCTAAGCAACAGAGTGAGGCTCTGTCTCAAAAAATATATATGTAAATAGAATAGCTACAGATACAATACAGTTTTAAGTTCAAGCTGCATTATTAATATTTTCTTTAACGCCTTCATCACATTCTTAAGTCCAGAGAACTAACAAAACAATATATCAAGCCCTGTAACATTGACAGATTCCTGTAGTTTAATACCCTGATCATGGTAAATTTTATTATTTATTTATTTTGAGACGGAGTCTCACTCTGTCACCCAGGCTGGAGTACAATGGCATGATCTCGGCTCACTGCAACCTCTGCCTCCTGGGTTCAAGCGATTCTCCTGCCTCAGCCTCCTGAGTAGCTGGGATTACAGGCGTGCACCACCACACCTGGCTATTTTTTTGTATTTTTAGTAGAGGCAGGGTTTCGCCATGTTGGCCAGGCTGGTCTCGAACTCCCGACCTCCGGTGATCCACCTGCCTCAGCCTCCCAAAGTGCTGGGATTACAGGCGTGAGCCACCGCACCCGGCAAGTTTAATACTCTGACTATGGTAAATTTTAAGCTGCCATGACATTACTGGGAAAAGATGCACAATAGCATACCATTATATAGCATTTCCTCCATTCAGATACAATAGATGTAAATAACCTCTATATATAACATAAATAGTATAGAACATAAATACTAGTAAAACGTAAACTAATTAAGGAGTGACAGGTTTGGGGTGCAAATTCAGTTTGTTTTTAATATAATTTAATTGTAATTTTATAAAATGTAATTTTAATAATAGTTGTCTCAACAGCCAGATGGCAAATTTTCTGAAAACATTACAATTGATAATCACTAGCTGATATAAGCTGGCTCCAGCACACCACTGGTTAATCCAAAGAATGTATAAAGAAGGAAATGATAAAAGTGAAAGCAGAAATTAATAATTATTATTGTTTTGAGATGGAGTCTCACTCTGTCGCCCAGGCTGGAGTGCAGTGGCACGATCTCGGCTCACTGCAAGCTCCGTCTCCCGGGTTCACACCATTCTCCTGCCTCAGCCTCCTGAGTAGCTGGGACTACAGGCACTCGCCACCACACCCGGCTAATTTTTTGTATTTTTAGTAGAGATGGGGTTTCACCGTGTTACCCAGGATGGTCTTGAACTCCTGACCTCATTATCGCCCCCACTCGGCTTCCCAAAGTGCTGGGATTACAGGCGTGAGTCACTGCGCCCGGCCTTAATAAAATTTTAAAATGGACAAATTATAGGGGTGATGAACAAAACTAAAAGCTGCTTCTTTGAAAAGATTAATACAATAGTCAAATATTTGTCAAGACCAATGAAGAAAAAAGAAAAGATACAAATAACATTAGGAATGCAAAATGGGACAAATGCATACATATAAAGCAGAAAGTTTTAAATTATTAGAGAATACTATGTATGGCAATGATTTATGCTGATGATTAAGAGGAATGGATAATTTTCTAGAAAATTTTCATTTAACAAAATTGTCTCAAGAAACCAAAAATATGAATATACTAATGACCATTAAAGAAAATAGACTTGAAATTGAAAATATCACTCCAAATACAGATCTGCCCGGGCAGGTTTTGTGGGTGAATTTTACCAAACCCTCAAGGAACTGGTAATGTCATCTTTTAAAAACTATTCTATGAAATAGAAAAAGATGAAGAGATACCCATCTTATTTTATTTGCTGGTATAACCTTGATACTAAAACCGAACAAAAACAGAGTAAGAAAATATACATTGGGCTCCTTTATGATCAGAAACTAAAAACAAAATCCTAAATAAAATTTAAATAAAACTGACAAATCAAATCCATCAGTGTATAGACACAACCAACATCTTAACCAAATATATCCAGGAATGCAAGGATAATTCAACATTAGGAAATCTACCAAGTCACTGGATTACTAGAATCACTGAGAATTGGCCATTGCGGTTGCCATGTTGAACAGGTACCTTCACTAGAGCAGATTAATGTGGCTTCAGGTATATAGTTTGTATCCATTGATTTAGAACATGTATTATTTTCTATCCCCTTCAGAAAAGGGTATTGGAAACAGATTGCATTCACATGGAATGGAAAGAAATAAACATTTACAATTTTGCCCCAGGTACATTTTAACTCTTCTGCTTTCTGCCATAATACAGACTAAAGAGATCTGGACAGTCTTCACATTTCAGGACATCACATAGATTCATTGCACTTTTGACATCATGCTCATTGGGCAGAATGGGCAAAGAGGTGGCTTAATCACTGGAGGACTTGGCAAGACACAGGTGTGCTGCACATGGTGAAAGATAAATCCTACAAAGTTTCAGAGACCTGCCATTTTCTTAAAATTTTTAAGGTTCTGGTGGTGCCAAAATATCCATTCCATAGCAAAAGAATACTTGCAGCATCTTGCATTCCTTACCACAAAGGAGGAACCACAACACCTAATACGTCTGTTTGAGTTCTAGAGGTGACGCATTCTACAGTGACCCATATGCTGGATGACAGAGAATGCTGTCAGCTTTGAGTGGAACTAGGAGAAAAAGAGGGCTCTGCAACAGATTAAAGTTATGATTCAAGCAGCTCTTCTGTTTGAAGCATATTATTTGAAAGATCCTATGACATGGAAGTGCCAGTGGTAAGAAAAAAATCAATGTAAAATTAATGGCAAATTGTGGTGGAAAAATCACAGTGCTGGTCTCTGAGGTTCTGGAGCAAGACCATCTGCAGCAGAAAATTACATACCTTTTAAGAAACACCTCTTGGCATGTTGCTGGGCCCTAATAGAGATGGAGCACTTAACTATGTGACATTAAGTGATAATGAACCCAGAACTGCTTGTTATGGCCTGAGTTTTGTAATACTCACCAAGGCATAAAGTCAGTCTGGCCCAGCAGTAGTCCATCGTAAGACAGAAATTGTACTCCAGGATTGAGATCTAAAAGGATCAGAGGACAATAGTAAGTTACATGAACAGGTAAACTAGACCCCCCATCAAACACCACCACCATGTCACCGACGGTGCGCTAGCACTCTTCCTTTGGCTTGCTCCTATGGCTATACAGGTCATAGGTTGGGTATAGGTACCTAAATAATAAACAGATCACAGTATGTACAACATTTTTATGCAGTGTCTTCTAAAACTTTATTGAAGAACATAAAAGTAGACCTAAATAAATTGAGAGATAAACCATGACAATTATCTCAAGACTCTTCATAAATGTTAATCAATCCCAAGCAAAAATCTCAATAGCGTTTTTTGGTATAACTTGACAAACTGATTCTAAAATTTGTATGGAAGGATTCAGGTCCAAAAATAGCCAAGAAAATCATATAATGCCAAAGAAGAGCTTGCCTACCAAATAGCATGGATTTTTATAAGACAATATAGTGATGGAACAGGAATAGTCAAATAGATCGATACAACAGAAAAAAAATCCAGTAATAGAATCATATATATATATATATGAATTTCATGTACTATGCAAATAGTTTTATAGATCAGTGGAGAAAGGATAAACTGTTCAGTAATTGGTATTGGGATAAACTTTACTTTGTAAGGAAGCAAATCGATTTCCACATTGGCTAAATCATTTTACATGCCCACTAACAAAGTATGAGGATTCTGATTTTCTCCATACCTTTACCAACAACTTGTCTTAAAAATTTTTTTTTTGCTTACTACAGTTTTCCTAGTAAATGTGAAGTGATATCTATTTGTGGTTTTAATTTGTATTTCCATAGTGAGTAATAGACTAATGATGTTGGGAATTTTTTATGTGATTTTTGGCCATCTCTTTATCTTCTTTGGAGAAATGTGTCTATAAGTTCTTTAGCCATTTTTAAATTGGTTGTTTGTCTTTTTGCTGTTTAGTTATAGGAGTTCTTTCTATATTCTGGATATTAAACCATTACCAGATACATGATTTACCAACATTTTCCTCCACTCTACAGATTGCCTTTTCACTTTTTTATTTGTAATTTGTAATTTTTGTGGGCATACAGTAGATGTATATATTTATGGGTTACATGAGATATTTTGAAACAGGCATGGAATGTGAAATAATCACATCAGGGTAAATGGGGTATCCATCACCTCAAGCATTTATCCTTTGTGTTACAAACAATCTAACTATATGCCCTTTTAGTTATTTTTGAATGTACAGTTAAATTATTTTTTACTGTAGTCACTCTGTTGTGCTAGCAAATACTAAGTCTTATTCGTTTGTTCTATTTTTTGTACTCATTAACCATCCCCAATTTCCTCCCACTCCCTCCCCCACTACCCATCCCTGCCTTTGGTAACCATCCTTCTATTCTCTATTTCCATGTGTCCAGTTGTTTTCAGTTTTAGCTCCCACAAATAAGTGACAACATGCAACATGTGTCTTTCTATGCCTAGCTTATTTCACTTAACATAATGACCTCCAGGTTCATCCATGTTTTTGCAACTGAGAGGATCTCATTCTTTTTTATGCCTAAACAATATTCCACTGTGTATATGTACCACATTTTCTGTATTCATTCATCTGTTGATGAACTCTTAGATTGCTTCCAAATAATGGCTACTATAAATAGTGCCAAAATAAACATGGGAGTGCAGATATCTCTTCAACATACTGATTTCCTTACTTTTACATATATACCTAGGAGTGGGATTACTGGATTATATGCTAGCTATATTTATAGTTTTTTCAGGAACCTCCAAACTGTAATCCATAGTGGTTGTATTAACTTACATTTCCACCAACAGTGAATGAGGACTCCCTTTTCTCCACAACCTCCCCAGGCATTTGTTATTGCCCAACTTTTGAATAAAAGCCATTTTAACTGAGGTGAGATAATATCTCATTGCAATTTTGATTTTCATTTCTCTGATGATCAATGATGTTGAGTACATTTTCATATCTGTTTGCCATTTGTATGACTTCTTTAGAGAAATATCTAGTAAGATTTTCTGTCCGTTTTTAATCAGATCATTAGAATTTTTCCTATAGAGTTGTTTGAGCTCTTTTTATATTCTGGTTATTAAACACTTGTCAGACAGGTAGTTTGCAAATGTATCCTCCCATTCTGTGGATTGTCTCTTCACTTTGTTAATTGTCTCTTTTGCTCTGCAGAAGCTTTTTTACTTGATGTGATCCCATTTGTCCATTTTTGCTTTGGTTGCCAGCACTTGTGGAGTATTACTCAAAAGGTCTTTTTGTTGTTGTTGTTTTTGTTTTTGTTTTTGTTTTTTTTGAGACAGGGTCTTACTCTGTCACCCAGGCTGGAGTGCAATGGTGCAGTGGTGTAATCTCCACTCACTGCAACCTCTACCTCCTGGGCTCAAATGATCCTCATGCCTCAGACCCCCAAGTAGCTGGGACTACAGGCATGTGCCACCATGCCTGGCTACTTTTTGTGTTTTTTGTGGAGACAGGGCTTCACCATGTTGCCTGGGCTTGTCTTGTACTTCTGGATTCAAAGGATCAATCCACCTCGGCCTCCCAAAGTCCTAGGATTACTGACATGCGCCACTGTGCCCAGCCTACTCAAGAAATGTTTGCCCAATCCAATGTCCTTGGGAGTTTCCCAATGTTTTCTTATTGTAGTTTCATAGTTTGAGGTCTTAGATTTAAGTCTTTAATCCATTTTGATTTGATTTTTGTATATGGTAAGAAATATGTGTCTAGTTTCATTCCTCTGCATATGGATAGCCAGTTTTTCCAGCACCATTTATTAAAGAGACTATGATTTCCCCAATGTATGTTCTTGGCATCTTTGTTAAAAGTGAGTTTGCTGTAGATGTATGAATTCATTTCTGGGTTCTCCATTCTGTTCCACTATCTATGTGTGTGTGTTGGTGTCAAAACCATGTTGTTTTGGTTATTACAGCTCTGTAGTATAATTTAAAGTCAGGTAATGTGATTCCTCCAGTTTGGTTCTGTTTGATTAGAATAGCTTTTGCAATTCTGGGTCTTTTGTGGTTTCCTATAGATTTTAGGAGTGTTTTTCTATTTCTGGGAAGAATGTCATTGGTATTTTGATAAGGATTGCATTAAGTCTCTGCTTTGCTTTGGTAGTATAAACATTTCAATAATATTAATTCTTCTAATCCATGAACATGGAATTTTCTTTTCCTTTTGTGTGTGTCCTCTTTGATTTCTTGTGTCAATATTTTATAGGTTTCATTTTAGAGATCTTTCACTTCTTTATTTTTATTTTTATTTATTATTTTTTGAGATGGAGTCTTGCTCTGTTGCCTGGGCTGGAGTGCAGTGGCGCGATCTCGGCTCACTGCAAGCTCTGCCTCCCAGGTTCACGCCATTCTCCTGCCTCAGCCTCCCAAGTAGCTGGGACTACAGGCGCCCACCACCACGCCCAGCTAATTTTTTTTTTTTTGTATTTTTAGTAGAGACGGGGTTTCACCATTTTAGCTAGGATGGTTGTGATCTCCTGACCTTGTGATCCGCCTGCCTCGGCCTCCCAAAGTGCTGGGATTACAGGCATGAGCCACTGCACCCAGCCTCTTTCACTTCTTTAGTTAAAATAATTCCTAGGTATTTTATTTTATTTGTAGCTATTGTAAATGGGATTACTTTTTTTATATTGTTTGCTGATGGCATATAGACATACTATTAATTTTTGTATGTTGATTTTTGTATCCTGCAACTTTATTTAGTTTGTTTATCAGTTATAATAGTTTTTTTCAGTGGAGTCTTCAGATTTTTCCAAACATAAGATAATATCATCTGCAAACAAGGATAATTTGACTTTTATTTTTCCAATTTTGATGCCCTTTACTTCTTTCTCTTGTCTGATTGCTCTAGCTAGGACGTGCACTACTATGATGAATAACATGAGTGGCAGTGGGCATCCTTGTCAGGTTCCAGATCTTAGTGAAAAGGCTTTCAGTTTTTCCCTATTCAGTATGATATGAGCTGTGGGTCTGTCATATACGACATTTATTATAGTGAGGTATGTTTCTTCTATACCTAGGTTTTTCAAGGATTTAACATGAAGAGATGTTGAATTTTAACAAATGATTTTTCAGCATCAACTGCAAATGTTATATGATTTTTCTCCTTTATTTTTTTGATATGATGTATTACATTAATTGAATTGCAAAGATTCAACCATACTTGCATCCCTGGGATAAATCCTACATCATCATGATGAATAATTTTTTTACTATGTTGTTGAATTTTGTTTTCTAAAGTTTTGTTGAGGATGTTTGCATCAATATTCATCAGTGATATTGGCCTATAGTTTTCTTTTGTTGATGTGTCTTTGTTTGGTTTTGGTATCAGGCCTCATAGAATAACTTTGGAAGTATTCCCTCCTCCCCTATTTTTCAGAATAGTTTGAGTAGGATTGGTATTAGTTCTTCTTTAAATATTTGGTAGAATACAGTGGGGCAGGGCCAAGATGGCCTACTAAAAACAGCGGCATTCAGAGGCTCCCATTGAAAAGAATCGTAATAAGCATGTGAATCCTTCACCGGAAACTAAGGTATCCAGGTTCTCTCATCAGAACTGACTAGGAGGCTGGCGTGATCCATGGAGAGGAAGGAAGAACAGTGTGGTGTGGTGGCCCACCTGAGAGCCACATGGGACAGGGGAGCCCCCTCCCCCCAACCAAGGGAGGCAGTGAGTGAGCATGCTACCCAGTTTTTCCACAGAACTGTGCAACCCACGGAACCGAAGATCCCACTCATGCACCCACGCCATCAGGGCCTAGTGTCCCAATCCTGGAGCTGTGCAGATTTTCAAATGCCTCTCAGCTAGAATCTGCTTAAGCCTACTGACATACTGGGGGAAGGGGTGACCAGCACCACAGCTGTGGCAGCCTGCTGTCTAAGCCATTTGAGTTCCTTGGGGGAAGGGCAGCAGCCAGCGCTGGGACTCACAACTGTCTAACAAGCTAAGCTCCCTGGGCAGGGGAAGGGAAGCATCCATCTCTATAGCTCCAGGCTGCGTTTTTCCCTTGCTGGAGACAGGGAGGCTGGATGTCTTGGTCCGAAGATGTGTCACCCACAGCCCAACGCACCAGCTGTGGCAGACTGTGGCCAGAGTGCCCCTTCAGGCCTAACCCTGACTCATCCTTCCTCATTGGGTGGGGCTTCCTTGCAGGAACTCCAGTAACTCCAGCCAGATGCTCAGGGACAGAACACGGATTTCCCTGAACCTGAGCTCATAGGGGGAGGGGTGCCCACAGTCTCTGTGGACCAGCAGACTTATCCTTTCCTCCTGGTAGTTCTGAGGAATCTGAGCAACCAGATGAGTGGGTTTTCCCCCAGTGAAGCACACCACCTCCACCAAGTGACAAAGTGCTTCACTAAATGGGTCCTGTTCCCTGTGCCACCAAACTGGGTGAGACACTCCAATAGGGGATGTCAGACACCATATACAGGAGTGATCCTACTGGCATCAGATTGGTGCCCCTTGAGGTCAGAGGAGTAGGCACCCATTTTTGCTGTTCTCCAGCCTCCTCAAGTGACATCTCCAGGTGCGTGAGTGAACCAGATTAATAGGGCCTGAATGAACCCCCGGAAAACAACAGGAGCCCTACAGAAGAGGGAGCAGACCATTGGAAAAAAAACCAACAAACCAGGAAGCAACAACAACAGCATCAACAACAACAAAGCCCCCACAAAAACTCCATCCAATTGTCAGCAGCTTCAAAGATCGAAACTAGACAAACTCACGAAGATGAGAAAGAATAAACGAAAAAACGCTGAAAACCCAAAAGACTAGAGTGCCCCTTCTCCAAATGATCACAGTGCCTTTCCAGCAAGGACACAGAACTGGACAGAGGATGAGATGGATGAAGTGACAGAAGTAGGCTTCAGAAGATGGGTACTAAAAAACTATGTTGAGCTAAAGGAGCATGTTCTAACCCAATGCAAAGAAGCTAAGAACTTTGATAAAAGGTTACAGGGGTTGCTAACTAGAATAACCAGTTCAGAGAAAAACATAAATGACCTGATGGAGCTGAAAAACAGCACGAGAACTTCATGAAGCATACACAAGTATAAATATCTGAATTGACCGAGTGGAAGAAAGGATATCAGAGGTTGAAAACCACCTTGCTGAAATGAGGCATGCAGACAAGATTAGAGAAAAAAAGAATGAATAGGAATGAACAAAGCCTCAAGAAATATGATACTTCATAAAAAGACAAAATGTAACATTGATTAGGGTACCTGAAGGAGATGGGAAGAATGAAAACAAGTTGGAAAACACACTTCATGGTATTATCCAGGAGAACTTTCCCAACTTAGAAAGACAGGCCAACAAGCAAATTCAGGAAATACAGAGAACACAACTAACATACTCCATGAGAAGTTCAACCCAAAGACACATAATCATCAGATTCTCCAAGGTCAAAATGAAAGAAAAAATGTTAAGGGCAGCCAGAGAAAAGGCCAGATCACTTACAAAGGGAAGCCCATCAGACTAACAGTGGAAATCTCAGCAGAAACCATACAAGCCAGAAGAGGCCACCCTAAAGAAAAGAATTTTCTTTTTTTTATTATTATTATACTTTAAGTTTTAGGGTACATGTGCACAACGTGCAGGTTTGTTACATATGTATACATGTGACATGTTGGTGTGCTGCACCCATTAACTCGTCATTTAACATTAGATATATCTCCTAATGCTATCCCTCCCCCCTCCCCCCACCCCACAACAGGCCCCGGTGTGTGATGTTCCCCTTCCTGTGTCCATGTGCTCTCATTGTTCAATTCCCACCTATGAGTGAGAACATGCGGTGTTTGGTTTTTTGTCCTTGCGATAGTTTGCTGAGAATGATGGTTTCCAGCTTCATCCATGTCCCCACAAAGGACATGAACTCATCATTTTTTATGGCTGCATAGTATTCCATGGTGCATATGTGCCACCTTTTCTTAATCCATTCTATCATTGTTGGACATTTGGGTTGGTTCCCAGTCTTTGCTACTGTGAATAGTGCTGCAATAAACATACGTGTACATGTGTCTTTATAGCAGCATGTTTTATAATCCTTTGGGTATATACCCAGTAATGGGATGGCTGGGTCAAATGGCATTTCTACTTCTAGATCCCTGAGGAATCGCCACACTGACTTCCACAATGGTTGAACTAGTTTACAGTCCCACCAACAGTGTAAAAGTGTTCCTATTTCTCCACATCCTCTCTAGCACCTGTTGTTTCCTGACATTTTAATGATCGCCATTCTAACTGGTGTGAGATGGTATCTCATTGTGGTTTTGATTTGCATTTCTCTGATAGCCAGTGATGATGAGCATTTTCTCATGTGTCTTTTGGCTGCATAAATGTCTTCTTTTGAGAAGTGTCTGTTCATATCTTTCACCCACTTTTTGATGGGGTTGTTTGTTTTTTTCTTTTCTTTTTCTTTTATTATTATTATACTTTAAGTTTTAGGGTACATGTGCACAATGTGCAGGTTAGTTACATATGTATACTTGTGCCATGCTGGTGCGCTGCACCCATTAACTCATCATTTAGCATTAGGTATATCTCCTAATGCTATCCCTCCCCCCTCCCCCGACCCCACCACAGTCCCCAGAGTGTGATGTTCCCTTTCTTGTGTCCATGTGTTCTCATTGTTCAATTCCCATCTATGAGTGAGAACATGCAGTGTTTGGTTTTTTGTTCTTGTGATACTTTACTGAGAATGATGATTTCCGATTTCATCCATGTCCCTACAAAGGACATGAACTCATCATTTTTTATGGCTGCATAGTATTCCATGGTGTATATGTGCCACATTTTCTTAATCCAGTCTATCATTGTTGGACATTTGGGTTGGTTCCAAGTCTTTGCTATTGTGAATAGAGCCGCAATAAACATACGTGTGCATGTGTATTTATAGCAGCATGATTTATAGTCCTTTGGGTATATACCCAGTAATGGGATGGCTGGGTCAAATGGTATTTCTAGTTCTAGATCCCTGAGGAATCGCCACACTGACTTCCACAATGGTTGAACTAGTTTACAGTCCCACCAACAGTATAGTTCATTGTAGATTCTGGATATTAGCCCTTTGTCAGATGAGTAGATTGCAAAAATTTTCTCCCATTCTGTAGGTTGCCTGTTCACCCTGATGGTAGTTTCTTTTGCTGTGCAGAAGCGCTTTAGTTTAATTAGATCCCATGTGTCAATTTTGGCTTTTGTTGCCATTGCTTCTGGTGTTTTAGACATGAAGTCCTTGCCCATGCCTATGTCCTGAATGGTATTGCCTAGGTTTAAAGAAAATAATTTTCAATCCAGAATTTCATAACCAGCCAAACTAAGCTTCATAAATGAAGGAGAAATAAAATCCTTTACAGACAAGCAAATGCTGAGGGATTATGTCACCACCAGGCTTCCCTTGCAAGAGCTCCTGAAGGAATCACTAAATACGGAACAGAAAAACCGGTACCAACCCCTGCAGAAACACATGAAAATATGAAGACCAATGACACTATGAAGAAACTGCATCAACTAGTCTACAAAATAACCAGCTAGCATCATGATGACAAGATCAAATTTACACATAGCAATATTAACCTTAAATGTAAATGACTACATGTCCCAACTAAAAGACATGGACAGGCAAATTGGATAAAGAGTGAAGACCCATCAGTGTTCTGTATTCAGGAGTCCCATCTCATGTGCAAAGACACACATAGGCTCAAAATGAAGGGATGGAGAAAAGTTTACCAAGCAAATGGAAAGCAAAAAAAAAAAAAAAAAAAAAAAAAAAAAAAAAGCAGAGGTCGCAATCCTAGTCTCTGACCAAACAGGTTTTAAACCAACAAAGATTCAAAAAAAAAAAAAAAAAAAAAAAAAAAAGACAAAGAAGGGCATTACATAATGGTAAAGGGAAAAATTCAACAAGAAGAGCTAACTATTCTAAATACACAGGCACCCAATATAGGAGCACCCAGATTCATAAAACAAGTTCTTAGAGACCTACAAAGAGACTTAGACTCCCACAAAATAATAGTGGGAGACTTTAACAACCCACTGTCAACATTAGACAGATCAACAGACAGAAAATTGACACAGATATTCAGGACTTGAACTCAGCTCTGGACCAAGAGGACCTAATAGACATTTACAGAACTCTCCACCCCAAATCAACAGAATATACATTCTTCTCAGCACCACCTAGCTCTTATTCTAAAATCATCCACATAATTGAAAGTAAAACACTCCTCAGCAAATGCAAAAGAATGGAAATCATAACAGTCTCTCAGACCGCAGTGCAATAAAATTAAAACTCAGGATTAAGAAACTCACTCAAAACTGCACAACTACATGAAAAAGGAACAACCTGCTCCTGAATGACTGGGTAAATAAGAAAAAGGAAGGCAGAAATAAAGATGTTCTTTGAAACCAAACAGAAAAAAGACACAAAGTACCAGAATCTCTGGGACACATTTAAAGCAGTGTGCAGAGGGAAATTTATAGCACTAAATGCTCACAAGAGAAAGCAGAAAAGATCTAAAATTGACACCCAACATCACAATTAAAAGAACTAGAGAAGCAAGAGCAAACAAATTCAAAAGCTAGCAGAAGAGAAGAAATAACTAAGATCAGAGCAGAAGTGAAGAAGATAGAGACACAAAAAAAACCTTCAAAAAATTAATGAATCCAGGAGCTGGTTTTTTTTGAAAAGATCAACAAAATAGATAGACTGCTAGTGAGACTAGTAAAGAAGAAAAGAGAGAAGAATCAAATAGCTGCAATAAAAAATGATAAAGGGGGTGGAGGAGCCAAGATGGCCGAATAGGAATAGCTCCGGTCTACAGCTCCCAGTGTGAACGACGCAGAAGACAGGTGATTTCTGCATTTCCATCTGAGGTACTGGGTTCATCTCACTAGGGAGTGCCAGACAGTGGGCGCAGGTCAGTGGGTGCGTGCACCGTGCATGAGCTGAAGCAGGGCGAGGCATTGCCTCACTCAGGAAGCGCAAGGGGTCAGGGAGTTCCCTTTCCTAGTCAAAGAAAGGGGTGACAGATGGCACCTGGAAAATCGGGTCACTCCCACCCAAATACTGCGCTTTTCCAACGGGCTTAAAAAACGGCACACCAGGAGATTATATCCCGCACCTGGCTCAGAGGGTCCTACGCCCACGGAGTCTCGCTGATCGCTAGCACAGCAGTCTGAGATCAAGCTGCAAGGTGGCAGGGAGGCTGGGGGAGGGGCGCCCGCAATTGCCCAGGCTTGCTTAGGTAAACAAAGCAGCCGGGAAGCTCCAACTGGGTGGAGCCCACCACAGCTCAAGGAGGCCTGCCTGCCTCTGTAGGCTCCACCTCTGGGGGCAGGGCACAGACAAACAAAAAGACAGCAGTAACCTCTGCAGACTTAAATGTCCCTGTCTGACAGCTTTGAAGAGAGCAGTGGTTCTCCTGGCACACAGCTGGAGATCTGAGAATGGGCAGACTGCCTCCTCAAGTGGGTCCCTGACCCCTGACCCCCGAGCAGCCTAACTGGGAGGCACCCCCCCAGCAGGGGCAGACTGACACCTCACACGGCTGGGTACTTCAACAGACCTGTAGCTGAGGGTCCTGTCTGTTAGAAGGAAAACTAACAAACAGAAAGGACATCCACACCAAAAACCCATCTGTACATCACCATCGTCAAAGACCAAAAGTAGATAAAACCACAAAGATGGGGAAAAAACAGAGCAGAAAAACTGGAAACTCTAAAAATCGAGCACCTCTCCTCCTCCAAAGGAACGCAGCTCCTCACCAGCAATGGAACAAAGCTGGATGGAGAATGACTTTGACGAACTGAGAGAAGAAGTCTTCAGACAATCAAATTACTCTGAGCTACGGGAGGACATTCAAACCAAAGGCAAAGAAGTTGAAAATTTTGAAAAAAATTTATAAGAATGTATAACTAGAATAACCAATACAGAGAAGTGCTTAAAGGAGCTGATGGAGCTGAAAACCATGGCACGAGAACTACGTGAAGAATGCAGAAGCCTCAGGAGCTGATGCAATCAACTGGAAGAAAGGGTATCAGCGATGGAAGATGAAATGAATGAAATGAAGTGAGAAGGGAAGTTTAGAGAAAAAAGAATAAAAAGAAATGAACAAAGCCTCCAAGAAATATGGGACTATGTGAAAAGACCAAATCTACATCTGATTGGTGTACCTGAAAGTGACGGGGAGAATGGAACCAAGTTGGAAAACACTCTGCAGGATATTATCCAGGAGAACGTCCCCAATCTAGCAAGGCAGGCCAACATTCTGATTCAGGAAATACAGAGAATTCCACAAAGATACTCCTCAAGAAGAGCAACTCCAAGACACATAATTGTCAGATTCACCAAAGTTGAAATGAAGGAAAAAATGTTAAGGGCAGCCAGAGAGAAAGGTTGGGTTACCCTCAAAGGGAAGCCCATCAGACTAACAGCGGATCTCTTGGCAGAAACTCTACAAGTCAGAAGAGAGTGGGGGCCAATATTCAACATTCTTAAAGAAAAGAATTTTCAACCCAGAATTTCATATCCAGCCAAACGAAGCTTCGTAAGTGAAGGAGAAATAAAATACTTTACAGACAAGCAAATGCTGAGAGATTTTGTCACCACCAGGCCTGCCCTAAAGGAGCTCCTGAAGGAAGCGCTAAACATGGAAAGGAACAACCGGTACCAGCTGCTGCAAAATCATGCCAAAGTGTAAAGACCATTGAGACTAGGAAGAAACTGCATCAACTAATGAGCAAAATAACCAGCTAACATCATAATGACAGGATCAAATTCACACATAACAATATTAACTTTAAATGTAAATGGACTAAATCCTCCAATTAAAAGACACAGACTGGCAAATTGGATAAAGAGTCAAGACCCATCAGTGTGCTGTATTCAGGAAACCCATCTCACGTGCACAGACACTCATAGGCTCAGCATAAAAGGATGGAGGGAGATCTACCAAGCAAATGGAAAACAAAAAAAGGCAGGGGTTGCAATCCTAGTCTCTGATAAAACAGACTTTAAACCAACAAAGATCAAAAGAGACAAAGAAGGCCATTACATAATGGTAAAGGGATCAATTCAACAAGAAGAGCTAACTATCCTAAATATATATGCACCCAATACAGGAGCACCCATATTCATAAAGCAAGTCCTGAGTGACCTACAAAGAGACTTAGACTCCCACACAATAATAATGGGAGACTTTAACACCCCACTGTCAACATTAGACAGATCAATGAGACAGAAAGTTAACAAGGATATCCAGGAATTGAACTCAGCTCTGCACCAAGCGGACCTAATAGACATCTACAGAACTCTCCACCCCAAATCAACAGAATATACATTTTTTTCAGCACCACACCACACCTATTCCAAAATTGACCACATACTTGGAAGTAAAGCTCTCCTCAGCAAATGTAAAACAACGGAAATTATAACAAACTATCTCTCAGACCACAGTGCAATCAAACTAGAACTCAGGATTAAGAATCTCACTCAAAACCGCTCAACTACATGGAAACTGAACAACCTGCTCCTGAATGACTACTGGGTACATAACGAAATGAAGGCAGAAGTAAAGATGTTCTTTGAAACCAACGAGAACAAACACACAACATACCAGAGTCTCTGGGACGCATTCAAAGCAGTGTGTAGAGGGAAATTTATAGCACTAAATGTCCACAAAAGAAAGCAGGAAAGATCCAAAATTGACACCCTAACATCACAATTAAAAGAACTAGAAAAGCAAGAGCAAACACATTCAAAAGCTAGCAGAAGGCAAGAAATAACTAAGGTCAGAGCAGAACTGAAGGAAATAGAGAAACAAAAAACACTTCAAAAAATTAATGAATCCAGGAGCTGGTTTTTTGAAAGGATCAACAAAATTGATAAACCGCTAGCAAGACTAATAAAGAAAAAAAGAGAGAACAATCAAATAGATGCAATAAAAAATGATGAAGGGGATATCACCACCAATCCCACAGAAATACAAACTACCACCAGAGAATACTACAAACACTTCTACTCAAATAAACTAGAAAATCTAGAAGAAATGGATAAATTCCTCGACACATACACTCTCCCAAGACTAAACCAAGAAGAAGATGAACTTCTGAATAGATCAATAACAGGATCTGAAAATGTGGCAATAATCAATAGCTTACCAACCAAAAAGAGTCCAGGACCAGATGGATTCACAGCCGAATTCTACCAGAGGTACAAGGAGGAACTGGTACCATTCCTTCTGAAATTATTCCAATCAATAGAAAAAGAGGGAATCCTCCCTAACTCATTTTATGAGGCCAGCATCATCCTGATACCAAAGCCGGGCAGAGACACAACAAAAAAAGAGAATTTTAGACCAATATCCTTGATGAACATTGATGCAAAAATCCTCAATAAAATACTGGCAAAACGAATCCAGCAGCACATCAAAAAGCTTATCCACCATGATCAAGTGGGCTTCATCCCTGGGATGCAAGGCTGGTTCAATATATGCAAATCAATAAATGTAATCCAGCACATAAACAGAACCAAAGACAAAAACCACATGATTATCTCAATAGATGCAGAAAAGGCCTTTGACAAAATTCAACAACCCTTCATGCTAAAAACTCTCAATAAATTAGGTATTGATGGGACATATCTCAAAATCATAAGAGCTATCTATGACAAACCCACAGCCAATATCATACTGAATGGGCAAAAACTGGAAGCATTCCCTTTGAAAACTGGCACAAGACAGGGATGCCCTCTCTCACCACTCCTATTCAACATAGTGTTGGAAGTTCTGGCCAGGGCAATCAGGCAGGAGAAGGAAATAAAGGGTATTCAATTAGGAAAAGAGGAAGTCAAATTGTCCCTGTTTGCAGACAACATGATTGCATATCTAGAAAACCCCATTGTCTCAGCCCAAAATCTCCTTAAGCTGATAAGCAACTTCAGCAAAGTCTCAGGATACAAAATCAATGTACAAAAATCACAAGCATTCTTATACACCAACAACAGACAAACAGCCAAATCATGAGTGAACTCCCATTCACAATTGCTTCAGAGAGAATAAAATACCTAGGAATCCACCTTACAAGGGATGTGAAGGACCTCTTCAAGGAGAACTACAAACCACTGCTCAATGAAATAAAAGAGGATACAAACAAATGGAAGAACATTCCATGCTCATGGGTAGGAAGAATCAATATCATGAAAATGGCCATACTGCGCAAAGTAATTTACAGATTCAATGCCATCCCCATCAAGCTACCAATGACTTTCTTCACAGAATTGGAAAAAAACTACTTTAAAGTTCATATGGAACCAAAAAAGATCCCACATCCCCAAGTCAATCCTAAGCCAAAAGAACAAAGCTGGAGGCATCACACTTCCTGACTTCAAACTGTACTACAAGGCTACAGTAACCAAAACAGCATGGTATTGGTACCAAAACAGAGAAATAGACCAATGGAACAGAACAGAGCCCTCAGAAATAACGCCGCGTATCTACAACTATCTGATCTTTGACAAACCTGAGAAAAACAAGCAATGGAGAAAGGATTCCCTATTTAATAAATGGTGCTGGGAAAACTGGCTAGCCATATGTGGAAAGCTGAAACTGGATCCCTTCCTTACACCTTATACAAAAATCAATTCAAGATGGATTAAAGACTTAAACGTTAGACCTAAAACAATAAAAACCCTAGAAGAAAACCTAGGCATTACCATTCAGGACATAGGTATGGGCAAGGACTTCATGTCTAAAACACCAAAAGCAATGGCAACAAAAGCCAAAATTGACAAATGGGATCTAATTAAACTAAAGAGCTTCTGCACAGCAAAAGAAACTACCATCAGAGTGAACAGGCCACTTATAAAATGGGAGAAAATTTTTGCAACCTACTCATCTGACAAAGGGCTAATATCCAGAATCTACAATGAACTCAAACAAATTTACAAGAAAAAAACAACCCCATCAAAAAGTGGGTGAAGGACATGAACAGACACTTCTCAAAAGAAGACATTTATGCAGCCAAAAAACACATGAAACAATGCTCACCATCACTGGCCATCAGAGAAATGCAAATCAAAACCACAATGAGATACCATCTCACACCAGTTAGAATGGCAATCATTAAAAAGTCAGGAAACAACAGGTGCTGGAGAGGATGTGGAGAAATAGGAACACTTTTACACTGTTGGTGGGAATGTAAACTAGTTCAACCTTTGTTGAAGTCAGTGTGATGATTCCTCAGGGATCTAGAACTAGAAATACCATTTGACCCAGCCATCCCATTACTGGGTATATACCCAAAGTACTATAAATCATGCTGCTATAAAGACACATGCACATGTATGTTTATTGCGGCATTATTCACAATAGCAAAGACTTGGAACCAACCCAAATGTCCAACAATGATAGACTGGATTAAGAAAAGGTGGCACATATACACCATGGAATACTATGCAGCCATAAAAAATGATGAGTTCATGTCCTTTGTAGGGACATGGATGAAATTGGAAATCACCATTCTCAGTAAACTATCGCAAGAACAAAAAAACAAACACCGCATATTCTCACTCATAGGTGGGAACTGAACAATGAGAACACATGGACACAGGAAGGGGAACATCACACTCTGGGGACTGTTGTGGGGTGGGGGGAGGGTGGAGGGATAGCATTGGGAGATATACCTAATGCTAGATGACGAGTTAGTGGGTGCAGCACACCAGCATGGCACATGTATACCTATGTAACAAACCTGCACATTGTGCACATGTACCCTAAAACTTAAAGTATAATAATAATAAAATAAATAAATAAATAAATGATAAAGGGGATATCACCACCAATCCCACAGAAATACAAACTACCATCAGTGAGCACTATACACACCTCTACACAAATAAACTAGAATATCTAGAAGAAATGGATAAATTCCTGGACACATACACCCTCCCAAGACTAAACCAGGAAGAAGTTGAATCCCTGAATAGACAATAACAAATTCTAAAATTGAGGCAGCAATTAATAGCCTACCAACAACAACAAAAAAAGTACAGGACCAGACGGATTCACAGCCAAATTCTACCAGAAGTACAAAGAGAAGCTGCTATCATTGCTTCTGAAACTATTCCACACAACAGAAAAAGAGGGAATCCTCCCTAACTCATTTTATGAGGCCAGCATCATCCTGATACCAAACCTGGCAGAGACACAACAAAAAAGAAAACTTCAGGCCAATATCCCTGATGAATATCAATGCAAAAATCCTCAATAAAATACTGGCAAACCGAATCCAGTAGCACATCAAAAAACCTATCCACCACGATCAAGTCGGCTTCATCCCTGGGATGCAAGGCTGTTTCAACATACAGAAATCAATAAACATAATCCATCACATAAACAGAGCCAATGACAAAAACCATATGATTATCTCAATAGATGCAGAAAAGGGCTTCAACAAAATTCTACACCTCTTCATGCTAAAAACTCTCAATAAACTAGGTATGGATGGAACGTATTTCCAAATAATAAGAGCTATTTATGAGAAAGCCACAGCCAATATCATACGGAATGGGCAAAAACTGAAAGTATTCCTTTTGAAAATTGGCACAAGACAAGGATGCCCTCTCTCTCCACTCCTAATGAACATGGTATTGAAAGTTCTGGCCAGGGCAATCAGGCAAGAGAAAGAAATAAAGGGTATTCAATTAGGAAAACAGGAAGTCAAATTGTCTCTCTTTGCAGATGACATGATTGTCTATTTAGAAAACCCCATCATCTCAGCCCGAAATCTCCTTAAGCTGATAAGCAACTTCAGCAAAGTCTCAGGACACAAAATCAATGTGCAAAAATCACAAGTATTCCTGTACACCAATAATAGACAAACAACCAAATCATGAGTGAATTCCCATTCACAATTGCTACAAAGAGAATAAAATGCCTAGGAATACAACTTAAAAGGGATGTAAAGGACCTTTCAAGGAGAGCTACAAACCACTGCTCAAGGAAATAAAAGAGGACACAAACAAATGGAAAAACATTTCATGCTCATGGATAGGAAGAATCAGTATCGTGAAAATGGCCATACTGCCCAAAGTAATTTATAGATTATATGATATCCCCAGCAAGCTACCATTGACTTTCTTCACAGAATTGGAAAAAACTACTTTAAATTTCTTATGGAACCAAAAAAGAGCCCGCATTGCCAAGACAATCCTAAGCCAAAAGAACAAACCTGGAGGCATCATGCTACCTGACTTCAAACTATACTACAAGGCTACAGTAACCAAAACAGCATGGTACTGGTACCAAAACAGATATATAGACCAATGGAACGAACAGAAGCCTCAGAAATAGCCCCACACATCTACAACCATCTGATCTTTGACAAACCTAACAAAAACAAGCAATGGGGAAAGGATTCCCTATTTAATAAATGGTGCTGGGAAAACTGGCTAGCCATATGCAGAAAGCTGAAACTGGATCCCTTCCTTACACCTTATACAAAAATTAATTCAAGATGGATTAAAGACTTAAATGTTAGACCTAAAACCATGAAAACCCTAGAAGAAAACCTAGACAATACCATTCAAGACATAGACATGGGCAAAGACTTCATGACTAAAACACCAAAAGCAATGGCAACAAAAGCCAAAATTGACAAATGGGATCTAATTAAACTAAAGAACTTCTGCACAGCAAAAGAAACTATCATCAGAGTAAACAGGCAACCTGCAGAATGGGAGAAAATTTTTGCAATCTATCCATTTGACAAAAGGCTAATATCCTGAATCTACAAAGAACTTAAACAAATTTACAAGAAGAAAACAATCCCATCAAAAAGTGGGCAAAAGATATGAACGGACACTTCTCAAAAGAAGACATTTATGCAGCCCACAAATATATGAAAAAAAGCTCATCATCACTGGCCATTAGAGAAATGCAAATCAAAACCACAATGAGATACCATCTCATGGCAGGTAGAATGGCAATAATTAAAGTCAGGAAACAATGGATGCTGGAGAGGATGTGGAGAAATAGGAACGCTTTTACACTGCTGGTGGGAGTGTAAATTAGTTCAACCATTGTGGAAGACAGTGTGCCAATTCCTCAAAGATCTAGAACTAGAAATACCATTTGACCCAGCAATCCCATTACTGGTTATATACCCAAAGGATTATAAATCATTCTCCTATAAAGACTCATGCACACATATGTTTATTGCAACACTGTTCACAATAGCAAAGACTTGGATCCAACCCAAATGCCCATCAATGATAGACTGGATAAAGAAAATGTGGCACATATACACCATGCAATACTATGCAGCCATAAAAAAGGGTGAGTTCATGTCCTTTGCAGGGACATGGATGAAGCTGGAAACCATCATTCTCAGCAAACTAACACAAGTACAGAAAACAAAACACTGCATGTTCTCACTCATAAGTGGGCATTGAACAATGAGAACCCATGGACACATGGAGGGGAATATCACACACCGGGGCCTGTCAGGGGTCAGAGGGCTAGGGGTGGGTCCATGGGTGCCTGTGGAAGCCAGAATCTATAGCCAAAAACCTTAAAAGTCTACCTAGTGTTCTATTGTGCTGTGGCTGATCTGGCACTCAAACTATAAGATGCAGCCCTTCCCACACTTTCCTCCCCTTTCCAAAGGCAATGGATTCTCACCTCATGGCCACCACACCATAGGCCCAAAGGGAGTACTCCCAGGCTACAACTCATGCTCACTTAAGGTCCAAGGGCTCATCAGTCATCTTGTGGTGAATGCTTCCTGGCATGTGACTCACCCTTCAGAGCAGTGGGCTCCCCTGTGGCCCAGAGCAGGTCCAGAAATGCTGTCCAAGAACCATGGCCTGGAATCCTGGACCCCAAGAGCCTACTTGGTACTCTACTCCCTGCTTAGCTGGTACCTAAGATGTAAACAAAGTCTCCTTTAGTTTTTCTTCTGCTTTTCTCAGGCAGGAGTCTCTCCTCAGAGCCACCACAGCTGGGAATGTGTACAGTCCCACCTTAACCCAGCAAGTTTCAGGGACTCACCAAAGGGTCTCAATGTGATATCTAGGTATTGCTGCTTTCTATTCAGGGTCCAAGGGCTCTTCAGTTAGCAAGTGATCTATCCTGCCATGACTGGGTTCTTCCCTTCAAGGCAGTAGGTTCTCTTTTTTTCCCAGAGTGTGTCTAGAAATGTCTGGGACCTAAGACCTGGAACGGGGCCCTCATGGCTCTGCCCAGTGCAACATCCTGCTGTGACTGAGCTGGTATCCAAGATGCAAGAAAAAGTGTTCCTCACTTTTTCATCTCCTTTCCTCAAGCAGAAGGAAAGTGTCTCTTTTGGATCCATGAGCTATGCAACCTGGGGTTAAAGGAGGGGTGTTGCCACCATTCCCTTAGGCACCCTGGCTGGTGTCTCGGTACATCGTGTGCCTCCAAGTCTACTGCCTCTGAGCCCTGTTCAGCATTAGGACTCACCTAGGATTTGCAGTCCTTGTGGCCTAGACTCCCTTTCAAGTTTATTAACAGCCCCATCTTGCTTTAGCTCATGGTGGTGAGGCTTGTGGGAACTCAAGTTTGGACTGCTTGGATTGGCCATTCCTTTCTCACTAAGGCTGTCTTAAATGCTCCCTCCATGGGTAAGTGTCAGCTGAGTTTGGTCTGGTTTTGTTTTCTGTCATAATAGGGCAGCACTGAGTTCAGTGCAATGCCTCACAATCCCCGCCTACAATAAATATCAAACTCTTCAATGCCCAGGCACCAACAAACATTCACAAGCATCAGGACCATCCAGGAAAACATGACCTTACAAAATGAACTAAATAAGACACCCAGGGACTGACTTATCCTGGAGAGGCAGAGATATTGTACTTTTCAGAAAAAGAATTCAAAATAGCTATTTTTCTTAAGATAGGAAGATAGTTTTATTTTTTTGTTTATTGTTTTTTAATTTCCATAGGTTTTTGTTGAATAGGTGGTATTTGGTTACATGATAAGTTCTTTAGTGGTGATTTGTGAGATTTTGGTTCACTCATCACATGAGTAATATACACTGAACCCAGTTTGTAGTCTTTTATTCCTCACCCCCTTCCCATCCTTTCCTCTGAGTCCCCAAAGTCCATTGTATTATTCTTATGCCTTTGCATCCTCATAGCTTAGCTCCCACTTATGAGTAAGAACATATGATGTTTGGTTTTACATTCTTAAGTTACTTCACTTACAATAATAGTCTCCAATTTCATCCAGGTCATTGCAAATGCTGTTAATTCATTCATATTTATGGCTGAGTAGTATTCCATCATATATATATATATATATATATATATAAATAAAATTCCATCATATATATATATATCATTCCATCATATATATATATATCACAGTTCATTGATTAGTTGATTGATGGGCATTTGAACTGGTTCCATATTTTTCACAATTGTGAATTGTGCTGCTATAAACATACGTGCGCAAGTATCTGTTTTTGTATAATTACTTCTTGTACTCTGGGTAGATACCCACTAGTGGGATTGCTGGATCAAATGGTAGTTCTACTTTTAGTTCTTTAAGGAATCTCCACACTGTTTTCCACAGTGGTTGTACTAGTTTACATTCTTACCACTAGTATGGAAGTGTTCCCTTTTCACTGCATCCACGCTAACATCTATTATTTTCTAATTTTTTGATCATGATCATTCTTGTGGGAGTAAGGTGGTATCGCATTGTGGTTTTGATTTGCATTTCCCTGATAATTAGTGATGTTGAACATTTTTTTATATGTTTGTTGGCCAAATGTATATCTTCTTTTGAGAATTATCTATTCATGTCCTTAGCCCACTTTTTGATGGGATTGTTTGTCTTCGTTCATTGTAGATTCTGGATATTAGTCATTTGTCAAATGTACAGATTGTGAAGATTTTCTCCAACTCTGTGGTTTGTCTGTTTACACTGCTGACTCTTTCTTTTGCCATGCAAAAGCTCTTTACCTTAATTAAGACTCACCTATTTATCTTTGTTTTTGTTGCATTTGCTTTTGGGTTCTTGGTCATGAAATCTTTGCCTAAGCCAATGTCTAGGAGGATTTTTCCAAAGTTATCTTCTATAATTTTTATAGTTTCAGGACTTAGATTTAAGTTGTTGATCCATCTTGAGTTGATTTCTTTATAAGGTGAGAGATAAGAATCCAGTTTTATTCTCCTACATGTGGCTTGCCAATTATCCCAGCACCATTGGTTGAATAGCGTGTCTTTCCCCCACTTTATGTTTTTGTTTGCTTTATCAAAGATCAGGTGGCTGTAAGTATTTGGCTTTGTTTCTGGGTTTTCTTTTCTGTTCCATTGGGCGATGTGCCCATTTTTATACCAGTATCATGCTGTTTTGGTGACTATGGCCTTATAATATAGTTTGAAATCAGGTAATGTGATGCCTCTAGATTTGTTCTTTTTGCTTAGTCTTGCTTTGGATATGCAGGCTCTATTTTGGTTCCATATGAACTTTAGGAGTGCTTTTTCTAGTTCTGTGAGGAATGATGGTGGTATTTTGATGGGAATTGCATTGAATTTGTAGATTGCTTTTGGCAGTAAGTTCATTTTCACAATATTAATTCTACCCATCCATGAACATGGGATGTGTTTCCATTTGTTTGTGTTGTCTATGATTTCTTTCAGCAGTTTTTTGTAGCTTTCCGTGCAGAGGTCATTCACCTTCTTGTTCAGGTATATTCTTAAGTATTTTATTTTTTGCAGCTATTGGGAAAGGGATTGACTTCTTGTTTGAGTCTCAGCTTGGTTGCTGTTGTTGTATAGCAGAGCTACTGATTTGTGTCCATTAATTTTGTATCCTGAAACTTTGCTGAATTCATTTACCAATTCCAGAAGCTTTTTAGATGAGTCTTTAGGGTTTTCTAGGTATACAATCATATCATCAGCAAACAGCAACAGTTTGGCTTCCTCTTTACAGATTTGGACGCCATTTATTTCTTTCTGTTGTCTGATTGCTCTGGCTAGGACTTTCAGTACTATGTTGAATAGAAGTGGTGAGAGTGGGCATACTTGTCTAGTTCCAGTTCTCAGAGGGAATGCTTTCAACTTTTACCCATTCAGTATAATGTTGGCTCTGGATTTGTCATGGATTGCTTTTATTACATTGAGGTATGTCCCTTGTGTAACAATTTTGCTGAGTGTTTTAATCATAAAGTGATGCTGGATTTTGTCAAATGCTTTTTCTGCATCTACTGAGATGATCATGTGATTTTTGTTTTTAATTGTGTTTATGTGGTGTATCATACTTACTGACTTGCCTATATTAAACCATCCCTGCATCTCTGCTATGAAACCCACTTGATCATAGTGGATTATTTTTTTGATATGCTGTTGGTTTCAGTTAGCTAGTATTTTGTTAATAAATTTTGCATCTATGTTCATCAGAGATATTGGTCTTTAGTTTCTTTTTTTTGTTATGTCCTCTCCTGGTTTTGATATTAGGGTGATACTGACTTCATAAAATGAATTAGAAAGGATTCTGTTTTTCTCTATCTTGTGGAATAGTGCCAATAGGATTGGTACCAATTCTTCTTTGAATATCTGGTAGAATTCAGCTGTGAATCTGTCTGGTCCTGGACTTTTCTTTGTTGGTAATGTTTCTATTACCATTTCAATCTTGCTGCTTGTTACTGGTATGTTCAGGGTTTCTAATTTTCCCTGATTTAAGCTTGGAGGGTTTTATCTTTCCAAGAATTTATCCATCTCCTCTAGGTTTTCTAGTTTACATACATAAAGGTATTAATAGTAGCCTTGAATGATCTTTTGTATTTCTGTGGAGTTGGTTGTAACATCTCCCATTTCATTTCTAATTGAGCTTATTTGGATCTTCTCTCTTCTTTTCTTGGTTAATCTCACTAATGGTCTATCAATTTTATTTATCTTTCCAAAGATCCAGCTTTTTGTTTCATTTATCTTTTGTATTGCTTTTTCGTTTCAATTTCATTTAGTTCTGCTGTAATCTTGGTTATTTCCTTTCTTCTGCTGGGTTTGGGTTTGGTTTGTTTTTGTTTCTCTAGTTCCTTCAGGTGTAACCTTACATTGTCTATTTGTGCTCTTTCAGACTTTTTGATGAAGGCATTTAGGCCTATGAACTTTCTTCTTAGCATTGCGTTTGCTCTAGCCCAGAAGTTCTGATAGGTGGTGTCACTGTTGTTGTTCAGTTCAAAGACTTTTTTAACTTCCATCTTGATTTCATTGTTAACCCAATGATCACTCAGGAGCTGTTTATTTAATTTCCATGTATTTGCATGTTTTTGAAGGTTCCTTTTGGAGTTGATTTCCCATTTTATTCCACTGTGGTCTGAGATAGTACTTGATTAATTTCAATTTTCTTAAATTTATCAAGACTTGTTTTGTGACCTATTATATGGTCTATCTTCGAGAAAGTTCCATGCACCAATGAATAGAATGTCTATTGTGTAGTTGTTGGGTAGAATGTTCTGTAAATATCTGTTAAGTCCCTTTGTTTCAGGGTATAGTTTAAATACATTTTTTATTTGTTGACTTTCTGTCTTGATGACCTGTCTAGTGCTGTCAGTGGAGTATTGGAGTCTCCCACTATTATTGTGTTGCTGTCTATCTCATTTCTTAGGTGTAGTAGTAATTGTTTTATAAATTTGGGAACTCCAGTGTTAGGTGCGTATATATTTAGGATTGTGGTATTTTCCTGTTGGTCAAAGCTTTTTATCATTATATGATGTCCCTCTTTGTCTTTTTTTGAGTACTGTTTCTTTAAAGTTTGTTTTGTCTGGTATAAGAATATCTACCCCTGCTCACTTTTGGTGTCCATTTTCATGGAATGTCTTTTTCCACCCCTTTACCTTAAGTTTTTGTGAGTCCTTATGTGTTAGGTGACTCTCTTGAAGGCAGCAGATACTTGGTTGGTGAATTCTTATCCATTCTGTCATTCTGTATCTTTTAAGTGGAGCATTTAGGCCATTTGCACTTAATGTTAGATTGAGATGTGAGGTACTAGTCCATTCATTGTGCTATTTGTTGCCTGTATACTTTGTTGTTTTTTTAATTGTATTTTAGTTTTATAGGTCCTGTGAGTTTTATGCTTTAAGGAGGTTCTGTCTCAATGTGTTTTCAGGATTTGTTTCAAGATTTAGGGCTCCCTTTAGCAGTTCTTGTAGTGCTGGCTTGACAGTGGCAAATTCTCTCAGCATTTATTTGTCTGAAAAAGACTGTTTCTTTCCTTCTCTTATGAAGCTTAGTTTCACTGGATACAAAATTCTTGGCTGATAAATGTTCTGTTTAAAGAGGCTGAAGATAGGGCCCCAATCCCTCCTTACCTGTAGGGTTTCTGCTGATATGTTAATCTGATAGGTTTTCCTTTACCAATTACCTGGTGCTTTTGCCTCACAGTTCTTAAGAAAATTTCCTTCATCTTGACTTTAGATAACCTGATGACTATGTGCCTAGGCAATGATCTTTTTGTGATGAATTTCCCAGGGGTTTGTTGAACTTCTTGTGTTTAAATACCTAGGTCTCTGGCAAAACCAGGGAAGTTTTCCTCAATTATTTCCTCAAGTCTGTTTTCCAAACTTTTAGATTTATCTTCTTCCTTGGGAACACCAATTAGTATTATGTTTGGTTGTTTAACATAATCCCAAATTTCTTAGAGGCTTTGTTCATATTTTAAATACTTTTTTCTTTGTTTTTGTTGGATTGGGTTAATTCAGAAACCTTGTCTTTGAGCTCTGAAGTTCTTTCTTCTGCTTGTTCAATTCTATTGCTGAGGCTTTCCAGTACATTTTGCATTTCTCTAAATGTGTCATTTCCTAAAGTTGTAATTGTCTTTTATTTATGCTATTTCACTGTATATTTCTCCCCTCATATTTTGTATCATTTTATTGATTTTCTTAAATTGGACTTCACCCTTCTCTAGTGCCTCCTTGATTAGCTTACTAATCACACTTCTGAATTCTTTTTCAGGTAAATCAAGGATTTCTTCTTGGTTTGGATCCATTGCTTGGCAAGCTGGTGTTATTTCGGAAGGTGTTAAAGAACCGTGTTTTGTCATATTACCAGAATTGTTTTTCTGGTTCCTTCTCATTTTGGTAGGCTGTGTCAGTGGGAAGATTCAAGACTGCTGGGGCTCAAGGCTGCTGTTCAGATTCTTTTGTCCCACAGGGTGTTCCATTGATGTAGTATTCTCCCCCCTTTCCTAGGGTGTGGCTTCCTGAGAACCAAACTCTAGTGATTGTTATTTCTCTTTTGGATCTAACCACCCAGCAGGGCTACCAGGCTCCAGGATGGCACTGGGGGTTGTCTGCACAGAGTTCTGTGATGTGAACGGTCTTCAGTTCTCTCAGCTGTGGATACCAGTACCTGCTCCAGTGGAGGTGGCAAGGGAGTGAAATGGACTCTGTGAGAGTCCTTAGTTTTGGTTGTTTAATGCAACATTTTGTGCTGGTTAGCCTTTTGCCAGGAGGTAGTGCTTTCAAGAGAGCATCAGCTGTGGTATTATAGGGACGATCAGGTGGTGAGTGGGGCCCTAGAACTCCCAAGAGAATATGTCCTTTGTCTTCAGCTACCAGGGTGGGTAGGAAAGGACCATCAGGTGGAGCCACAGTTAGGTGTGCCCCCCACAACAGCACCGAGTTTGTTTTCAGGCAGTGGGTGAGCAGGGCTGAGAACCTGCCCCAGGATTCCAGCCTCCCAACTGAAAAAGCAAGCAGTACTTCTGCACCTCCCCACCTGTCAAGTCTGCACACCAGTTTCATGCCCTCCCCCAAGTTCTGGTCAGGAGATTTTGTATTCAGTTGGAATTGTTACAAAGTTCAGCTGGAAGTTTCTCCCTGTGGTCTTTTCCCAGTTCCTCTGGCAGCCCTCCCCAAGGACCCCTGTGAGACAAGTCTGAAATGGCTTCCCTGGGGACTCAGAGAGCCCACAGGGCTTTTCCCACTGCTTCCTCTACCCCTGTATTTCATTTGGCTGTCTAAATTGACTCAGCTCCAGGTAAGGTCAAACCCTTCTCCAGTTATCTAGACTTTTGGGTTCCCCAGTGAGGGTGTGTGTTCGGAGGCCAACGATCCCCCTTTCCCACTGTCACAGCTTGGACACTGACAGTATTTGGGCTGTCTCCTGGGTCCTGCAGGAGAAATCCACTTCCTTCAAAGGGTCTGTGAATTTTCTCAGCTTTCCTGGTATATTCCTGCAGTAGTTCTGGAGCAAAAGTTCATGATGTGAGTCTCCACATGCTGCTCTGTCCATCCAAGCTGGAGCTGCAAGCTAGTCCTGCCTTCTATCTAATATCTTCCCAAGAAGTCCAAAATAGCTGTTTTGAGGAAACTCAAAGAAATTCAAGATAAATCAGAGAAGGAATTCAAAATTCTATAAGATAATCTTAACAAAGAGGTTGAAATAAATAGAAAGAATCAAGCAGAAATTGTGGAATTGGCAAATGCAATGACATACTGAAGAATGTATCAGAGACTTTTAATAGAAGAATTGATCAAGCAGAAGAAAGAATTGGTGAGCTTGAAGACAGGCTATTTGAAAATACAAAGTCAGAGGAGACAAAAGGAAAAATAATAAAAAACAATGAAGTACACCTATGGGACTTGGAAAATACCATCAAAATGGCAAATCTAAGAGTAACTGGCTTTAAAGAGGAGTTACATGAGCGATATGCTTAGAAAATTTATTCAAAGTGATAATAACTGAGAACTTCCCAAATCAAAAGAAACATAGCAATATCCAAGTATAAGAAGGTTATAGAACACCAAACAGATTTAACCCAAAGAAGACTATCTCAAGGCATTTAATAATCAAACTCCAAAAGGTCAAGGATAAAGAAAGGATTCTAAAAGCAGCAAGAGAAAAGAAATAACATACCATGGAGTTCCAATATGTCTGGCAGCAGACTTTTCAGTGGAAACCTTACAGATCAGGAGAGTGGCATGAGACATTTAAAGTGCTGAAGGAAAAAAAATCTTTTACCCTAGAATAGTTTATCTGCTGAAAATAATCTTCAAACATGAAGGAGAAATAAAGACTTTTCTAGACAAACAAAAGCTGAATGATTTTATCAACATGAGACCTGTCCTACAAGAAATGCTAAAGGAAGTACTTCAGTCAGAAAGAAAAGAGTGTTAATGAGAAATAAGCAATCATCTGAAGGTACAAAACTCACTGGTAATAGTAAGCACACAGAAAAACACAGTGTATTATGCCATTGTAACTGTAGTGTGTGAACTCCACTTATCCTAAGTAGACATACTGAATGATGAGCCAAATAAAAATAATAACTACAACTTTTCAAGACATAGACAGCACGATAAGATAGAAATAGTAAAAAGTTAAAAAGTGGGGGACAAAGTTAAAGTGTGGAATTTTTATTAGTTTTCTTTTTGCTTTTTTGTTTGTTTAGGCAAACAGTGTTAAGGTTTTTTCCAGCTTAAAATAATGAGTTATAAGATAATATTTAAAAGCCTCATGGTATCCTCAAGTCAAAAAAATACAAAAGATACACAAAAAATAAAACAGAAGAAATTAAATCATACAATTAGAGAAAATCACTAAAAGTCAAACAAGAAGGAAGGAAAGAAAGAAGATTACAATCAATCTGAAAACAAGTAACAAAGTGGCAGAAGTAAGTTCTTAATTATCAATAATAATATTGAATGTAAATGGACTAAACTCTTCAATCAAAAGACATAGAGTAGCTGAATGGATTAAAACAAACAACAACAAAAAAATAAGACCCAATGATCTGTTGCCTACAAGAAACACAGTAGACTGAAAATAAAGTGATGAAAACATATATTCCATGGCAATGGAAACGAAAAAAGTAGGAGTAGCTATACCTATACCAGAAAAAATAGATTTCAAGACAAAAACTATAAGAAGAGACAGAGAAGGTCATTATATAATGATAAAGGAGTCAATTCAGCAATAGGATATAAAAATTTCATATATGTATGCATGCAACAATGAAGCACCCAGATATATAAAGCAAATATTATCAAAGCTGAAGTGAGAGATACACCTCAATACAATAATACCTGGAAACTTCAACACCCCACTTTCAGCACTGGCCAGATCTTTCAGACAAGAAACTTCTGACTTAATCTGCACACTGTAGAACAAATGGACCTTAATAGATTTTTACAGAACATTTTATTGAATGACTGCAGAATGCACCTTCTTTTCCTCAGTACATGGATCATTCCCAATGATAAACCATATGTTAGGTCACAAAACAAGTCTTAAGACATTCAAAAAATTTGAAATAATCTCAAGCATCTTCTCTGACCCCAAAAGAATGAAACTAGAAATCAAAAAAAAGAGGAATTTTTGAAAACTCTAAAACATATCGATATTACACAATATGCTTCTTAATGACTAGTGGGTCAATGAAGAAATTAAGAAGGAAATTGAAAAATTATTTGAAACCAATGATAATGAAAACACAACAGACCAAATCCTAAGAGATACAGTGAAAGTAAGAGGGAAGTTTATAGCTGTAAGTGCCTCACATCAAAAAGAAGAAAAAGTTCAAATGAACAACTTAACAATGCATGTTAGAGAACCAGAAAAGCAAGACAAACCAAACCCAAAATTAGTACAAGAAAAGAAATAGTAAAGATTGGAGTAGAAATAAATCAATTTGAAATGAAGAAAACAATAGAAAAGATAAATTAAACAAAAGTTGTTTTTTTAAGTTAAACAAAATCAACAAACCTTTAGTCAGAATAAGAAAAAAACAGAGAATATTCAAATAAATAAAATCAAAGATGAAAAAGGAGATGTTACCACTCATAATGCAGAAATTCAGAGAATAATTAGTGGCTACTATGAGCAAATATATGCCAATAAATTGGAAACTCTAGAAGAAATGGACAAATTTCTAGACACATACAACCTAACAAGATTGAACCATGAAGAAACCCAAAACCTGAACAGACCAATATCAAATAACATGATCAAAGCCATAATAAAAAGTCTCCCAGCAAAGAAAAGAATGGGATCTAATTGGCTTCACTCCTAAATTATACCAAACTTTTAGAAGGACTGATTCTAATCATACTCAAACTATTCCAAAAATAGAAGAGGAGGGAATATTTCCAAAGTCATTCTTCAAAGGCAGTATTACTCTGATTCCAATATCAGACAAAGACACATGAAAAAAAAAGAAAAAATAGGTCAATATCACTGATGAATATTGATGCAAAAATCCTCAGCAAAATACTGCCTTTGTCTGATTTTTGTCTGATACTGTCAGCCAGTATTTTGCTGAGGATTTTTGAATCAATATTCACCAGTGATGTTGGCCTATTGTTTTCTCTTTTTTTTTTGATGTGTCTTTGTCTGATTTTGGTATTAGGGTAAATCAAATTTAATAACACATAAAAAAGTTCATCCATCATGACCATGTTGATATCCCAGGGATCCAAGGATGGTTTGACATACACAAATCAATCAATGTGATACATCACATCAACAGAATAAAGGACAAAAAACCATATGATCATTTCAATTGATTCTGAAACAGCATTTGGTAAAGTTCAACATCCCTTCATGATAAAAACCATCAAAACACTGAGGATAGAGGGAACACACCTCAACATAATAAAAGCCATATATGACAGACCCACAGCTAGTATCATACGGAATAGGGAAAAACTGAAAGGCTTACCTCTAAGATCTGGAACATAACAATGATGCCCACTTTCACTGCTGATATTCAACCTAGTACTGTAAGTAATAGCTAGAGCAATCAGACAGGAGAAAGTTATAAAGTACATCCAAATTGGAATGGAAGAAATCAAATTATCCTTGTTTGCAGATGTTATGATCTTATATTTGGAAAATCAAAAAGATTCCATGAAAAAACTATTACAACTGATAAACAAATTCAGTAAAGTTGCAGAATACAAAATAAACATACAAAAATTAGTAGCATTTCAGGTGGTGGGCAAGATGGATGAATAGAAACAGCTCTGGTCTGCAGCTCCCAGAGAGATCAACACAGAAGGTGGGTGATTTCTGCATTTCCAACTGAGGTATACAGCTCATCTTATTGGGACTGGTTAGACAGTGGGTGCAGCCCATGGAGGGTGAGCCAAAGCAGGGTGGGGCATCACCTCACCCAGGAAGCACAGGGGATAGGGGAACTCCGTTCCCTAGCCAAGGGAAGCCACGAGGGACTGCGCCATGAGGAATGCTGCACTCCAGCCCAGACACTATGATTTTCCCATGGTCTTCACAACCCACGAACCAGGAGATTCCCTCAGGTGCCTACACCATCAGGGCCCTGGGTTTCAAGCACAAAACTGGGTGGCCATTTCGGCAGACACCAAGCTAGCTGAAGGAGTTTTTTTTTTTTTTCATACCCCAGTGGCAGCTGGAATGCCAGTGAGACAGAACCATTCACTCCCCTGGAAAGAGTGCTGAAGCCAGGGAGCCCAGTGGTCTATCTCAGTGAATCCCACCCCCACAAAGCCCAGCAAGCTAAGATCCACTGGCTCGAAATTCTCACTGCCAGCACAGCAGTCTGAAGTCAACCTGGGATGCTGGAGCTTGGTGCCTGGAGGGGTGTCCACCATTACTGAGGCTTGAGTAGGTGATTTTTCCCTCACAGTGTACACAAAGCCACCAGGAAGTTCGAATTGGGTGGAGCCCATGGCAACTTGGCAAAGCTGCTGTAGCCAGACTGCCTCTCTAGATTCCTCCTCTCTGAGCACGGCATCTCTGAAAAAAAGGCAGCAGCCTCAGTCAGGGGCTTATAGATAAAACTCCCATCTCCCTGGGACAGAGCACCTGGGGGAAGGGGTGGCTGTGGGTGCAGCTTCAGCAGACCTAAACATTCCTGCCTGCCAGCTCTGAAGAGAACAGTGGATCTCCCAGCACAGTGCTCGAGTTCTGCTAAGGGACAGACAGCCTGCTCAAGTGGGTCCCTGACCCCCATGCCTCCTGACTGGGAAACACCTCCCAGCAGGGGTCAACAGACACCTCATACAGGAGAGGTCTGGCAGGCATCTGGCAGATGCCCCTCAGGGATGAAGCTTCCAGAGGAAGGAACAGGCAGCAAACTTTGCTGTTCTGCAGCCTCCACTGGTGATACCCAGGCAAACAGTGTCTGGAGTGGACCTCCAGCAAACTTCAGGAGACCGGCAGCAGAGGGGCCTGACTGTTTAAGGAGAAGTAACAAACAGAAAGGAATGGACTCAACATCAACAAAAAGGACGTCCACACCAAAACCCCATCGGAAGGTCACCAACATCAAAGACCAAAGGTAGATAAATCTATGAAGATGAGGAAAAACCAGCGCAAAAAGCCTGAAAATTCCAAAAACCAGAATGCCTCTTTTCCTCCAAAGGATCACAACTCTTTGCCAGCAAGGGAACAAAACTACATAGAGAATGAGTTTGATAAGTTGACAGAAGTAGGCTTCAGAAGGTGGGTAATAAACTCCTCTGAGCTAAAGGAACATGTTCTAACCCAATGCAAGGAAGCTAAGTACCTTGAAAAAAAGGTTAGAGGAATTGCCAACTAGAATAACCAGCTTAGAGAAGAAAATAAATGACCTGATGTAGCTGAAAAACTCAGCACAAAAACTTTGTTAAGCATACACAAGTATCAAAGCTGAATCAATCAAGTGGAAGAAAGGATATCAGAGACTGAAGATCAACTTAATGAAATAAAGCATGAAGACAAGATTAGAGAAAAAAGAATGAAAAGGAATGAGCAAAGCCTCCAAGAAATATGGGACTATGTGAAAAGACCAAACCTACATTTTTTTGGTGTACCTGAAAGTGACAGGGAGAATGGAACCAAGTTGGAAAACACTCTGCAGGATATTATCCAGGAGAACTTCCCCAACATAGCAAGACAGGTCAACATTCAAATTCAGGAAATACAGAGAATACCACAAAGATGCTCCTTGAGAAGAGCAACCCGAAGACACATAATCATCAGATTCACCAAGGTTGAAATGAAGAAAAACATGTTAAGGGCAGCCAGAGAGAAAGCCTATGTTACCCACAAAGGGAAGCCCATCAGACTAACAGTGGGTCTCTCTGCAGATAGCCTACAAGCCAGAAGAGAGGGGGTGCCAATATTCAACATTCTTAAAGAAAAGAATTTTCAACCCAGAATTTCATATCCAGGCAAACGAAGCTTCATAAACAAAGGAGAAATAAAATCCTTTACAGACAAGCAAATGCTGAGATATTTTGTCACCACCATGCCTGCCTTACAAAGCTACTGAAGGAAGCACTAAATATGGAAAGGAAAAACTGGTACCAGCCACTGCAAAAACATACCAAATTGTAAAGTCTATCAACACTATAAAGAAACTGCATCAACTAACAGGCAAAATAACCAGCTATCATCATAATGACAGGATCAAATTCACACATAACAATATTAATCTTAAATGGAAATGGGCTAAATGCACCAATTAAAAGGCACAGACTGGCAAATTGGATAATGAGTTAAGACCCATCGGTGTGCTGTATTCAGGAGACCCATCCCACATGCAAAGACACACACAGGCTCAAAATAAAGGGATGCAGGAATATTTACCAAGCAAATGAAAAGCAAAAAAACCCATTGGTTTCAATTCTAGTCTCTGATAAAACAGACTTTAAACCAAGAAAGATCAAAATAGATGAAGAAGGGCATTACATAATGGTAAAGGGATCAATGCAACAAGAAGAGCTAACTATCCTAAATATATATGCACCCAATACAGGAGCACCCAGGTTCATAAAGCAAGTTCTTAGAGACCTACAAAGAGACTTAGACTCCCACACGATAATAGTGGGAGATTTAAAACCCACTGTCAATATTACACAGATCAACGAGACAGAAAATTAACATGGATATTCAGGACTTGAATGCAGCTCTGGACCAAGAGGACGTAATAGACATCTAGTGAACTCTCCACCCCAAATCAGCAGAATACACATTCTTCTCAGCACCATATCATGCTTATTCTAAAATTCACCACATAATTCAAAGTAAAACACTCCTCAAAAAATGCAAAAGAATGGAATTCATAACACATAGTGTCTCAGACCACAGTGCAATCAAAGTAGAACCCAGGAGTAAGAAACTCACTCAAAACTGAACTACAGGGAAACTGAACAACTTGCTCTTGAATGACTCCTGGGTAAATAATGAAATTAAGGCAGAAACAAGTAAGTTATTTGAAACCAATGAGAACAAAGACACAATGTACCAGAATCTCTGGGACACAGCTAAAGCAGTGTTTAGAGGGAAATTTATAGCACTAAATGCCAACAGGAGAAAGTGGGAAAGATCTAAAGTCAACACTCTAACATCATAATTAAAAGAACTAGAGAAGCAAGAGCAAACAAATTCAAAAGCTAGCAAAAGAGAAGAAATAACTAAGATCTGAGGAGAACTGAAGGAGATAGAGACATGAAAAACCCTTCAAAAAACATCAATGAATCCAGGAGACGGTTTTTTTGAAAAGATTAACAAAATAGATAGATGCTAGCAAGACCAATATGAAAACAGAGAAGAATCAAATAGATGCAATGAAAAATGATAAAGGGGAGATCACCACTGATCCCACAGAAATACAAACTACCATCAGAGAATACTATAAACACCTCTGTGCAATTAAACTGGAAAATCTACAAGAAATGAATAAATTCCTGGAAGCATACACCCTCCCAAGACTAAACCAGGAAGAAGTTGAATCCCTGAATATACCAATAACAAATTCTGAAATTGAGGCAGTAATTAATGGCCTACCAACAAAAAAAAGTCCAGGACCAGAAGGATTCACAGCTGAATTCTACCAGGGTACAAAGAGGAGCTGGAACCATTCCTTCAGAAACTATTCTAAACAATAGAAAAAGAGGGAATCATCCCTAACTCGTTTTATGAGACCAGCATCATCCTGATACCAAAACCTGGCAGAGACACAACAACAAAAACAAATTTCAGGCCAATATCCCTGATGAGCACCGATGCAAAATCCTCAATAAAATACTGGCAAATGGAACCCAGCAGCATATCAAAAACTTATCCACCACAATCAAGTCAGCTTCATCCCTGGGATGCAAGGCTGCTTCAATATATGCAAATCAATAAACATAATTCATCACATAAACAGAACCAATGACAAAAAACAAATGATTATCTCAATAAATGCAGAAACGGCCTTCAATAAATTTCAACACCCCTTCATGCTAGAAACTCTCAATAAACTAGGTATTGATGGAATGTATCTCAAAATAATCAGAGCTATTTATGACAAACCCACAGCCAATATCATACTGAATGGGCAAAAGCTGGAAGCATTCCCTTTGAAAAATCCACACAAGACAAGGATGCCCTCTCTCACCACTCCTATTCAACATAGTATTGGAAGTTCTGGCCAGGGCAATCAGGCAAGAGAAAGAAATAAAGGGCATTCAAATAGGAAGAGAGGAAGTCAATTTGTCTCTCTTTGCAGAGGACATGATTGTATATTTAGAAAACCCCACCTTCTCAGCCCAAAACCTCCTTAAACTGATAAGCAACTTCAGCAAAGTCTCAGGATACAAAATCAATGTGCAAAAATCACAAGCATACCTACATGCCAATAATAGACAAACAGAGAGCCAAATCATGAGTGAACTCCCATTCACAGTTACTATAAAGAGAATAAAATACCTAGGAATCCAACTTACAAGGGATGTGAAGGACCTCTTCAAGGAGAACTACAAATCACTGCTCAAGGAAATAAGAGAGGACACAAACAAATGGAAAAGCATTCCATGCTCATGGATAGGAAGAATCAATATTGTGAAAATGGCCATACTACCCAGAGTATAGATTCAATGCTGTCCCCATTAAGCTACCATTGACTTTCTTCACAGCATTAGAAAATACTACTTTAAATTTCATGTGGAACCAAAGAAGAGCCCGTATAGCCAAGACAATTCTGAGCAAAAAGAACAAAGCTGAAGATACCATGCTACCTGACTTCAAACTATATTACAAGGCTACAGTAACCAAAACAGCATGGTACTGGTACCAGAACAGATATATAGACCAATGAAACAGAACGGAGGCCTCAGATGTAACGCCACACATCTGCAACCATCTGATCTTTGATGAACCTGACAAAAACAAGCAATGGGGAAAGGATTCCCTATTTAATAAATGGTGCTGGGAAAACTGGCTAGTCATATGCAGAAAACTGAAACTGAACCCCTTCCTTACATCTTATACAAAAATTAACTCAAGATGTATTAAAGGCTTAAATGTAAGACCTAAAACCATAAAAACCCTAGAAGAAAACCTAGGCAACACCATTCAGGGCATAGGCATGGGCAAAGACTCCATGACTAAAACACCAAAAGCAATGGCAACAAAAGGCAAAATTGACAAATGGGATCTAATTAAACTAAAGAGCTTCTGCACAGCAAAAGAAACTATCTTCAGCATGAACAGGCAACCTAAAGAATGGGAGAAAATTTTTGCAATCTATCAATCTGATAAAAGGCTAATATCCAGAATCTACAAGGAACTTAAACAAATTTACAAGAAAAAAACCTCTCCATCAAAAAAATGGGTGAAGGATATGAACAGACACTTCTTAAAAGAAGACATTTATGTGGCCCACAAACATATGAAAAAAAGTTCATCATCACTGGTCGTTAGAGAACTGCAAATCAAAACAACAATGAGATACCATCTCATGCCAGTTAGAATGGAGGTCACTTAAAAATCAGGAAACAACAGATGCTGGAAAGGATTTGGAGAAATAGGAATGCTTTTACACTGTTGGTGAGGGTTTACACTAGTTCAACCATTGTGGAAGACAGTGTGGTGATTCCTCAATGATGTAGAGCCAGAAATACCTTCTGACCCAGCAATCCCATTACTGGATATATACCCCAAGGATTATAAATCATTTTACTCTAAAGACACATGCGCATGTATGTTTATTGCAGCACTGTTCACAATAGCAAAGACTTGAAACCAACCCAAATGCCCATCAATGATAGACTAGATAAAGAAAATATGGCACATGTATACCATGGAATACTATGCAGCCATATAAAAGGATGAGTTCATGCCTTTTGCAGGGACATGGATGAAGCTGGAAACCATCTTTCTCAGCAGACTAATACAGGAACAGAAAACCAAACACTGCATGTTCTCTCTCATAAGTGGGAGTTGAACAATGAGAACTCATGGACACAGGGAGGGGAACATCACACACCAGGGCCTGTCAGAGGCTGCATGGCTAGGGGAGGGATAGCATTAGGAGAAATACCTAATGTACCTGACAGGTTGATGGGTGCAGGAAACCACCATGGCACATGTATACCTATGTAACAAACCTGCACGTTCTGCACATGTATCCCAGAACTTAAAGTATAATAATAAAAAAAGAACAAAAAATTAATAACATTTCTATGTGCCAACAGTGAACAATATGAAAAAGAAATTAAAAGGTAATCCCATTTCCAATAGCTGTAAAAAAAAATAAAATATCTAGTAATTATCAAACAAGTGAAAGATCTCTACAATGAAAACCATCAAACATTGATGCAAAAAATTGAAGAGGACACACACAAAAATGGAAAGATATTCCATGTCCATGTGTTGTAAGAATAAATATTGTTAAAATGTCCATGCTACCCAAAGCAATCTATAAATTAATTGCAATCCCTATGAAAATACCAATGACGTTCTTCACAAAAATAGAAAAAGCTCTAAAATCTATGTTGCACCACAAAAGACCCAGAATACCCGTAACTATCCTAAGCAAAAAAAGAAAAAAAAAACTGGAGGAATCATATTACCCGACTTTAAATTATACTGCAGAGCTATAATAACCAAACAGCACAGTAGTGGCAGAAAAACAGACACATAGACTAGACCCATGAAACAGAGTAGAGAACCCAGAAACAAATCCATACATCTACAGCGAACTCACTTATGATAAAGATGCCTAGGACGTACATGGGGTAACAAACAGTATCTCCAATACTGAGAGAAAAACTGGATACTGAGAAAACTGGATACTCATATGCAGAAGAAGGAACTAGACCCTATCTCTTGCCATATACAGAAATCAAATCAAAATGAACTAAAGACTTAAATCTAAAACTTCAAACCATGAAACCACTATAAGAAAACATTGGAGAAACTCTCCAGGACACTGAACATGGCAAAGATTTCTTCAGTAATACCCCACAAGCACAGGCAACCAAAGAAAAAATGGACAAATGGGATTGCATCAAGTTAAAAAGCTTCTGCACAGCAAAGGAAACAATCAGTCAATAAAGTGAAGAGACAACCCACAGAATGAGAGAAAATATTAGCAAACTACCCATTTGTCAAGAGATTAATAACCAGAATAAGTAAGGAACTCAAGCAATTATATAGGAAAAAAAATCTTATAATCCAATTAAGAAAAAGATCCCAAGATCTGATACACATTTCTCAAAAGAAGACATACAAATGGCAAATGGGTATATAGGAGGGTGGCCAACATCATTGATCATCAGAGAAATGCAAATCAAAACTACAATGAGATATCAACTCACCTCAGTTAAAATGGCTTTTATCCAAAAGTCGGCCAATAACAAATGCCTGGGGAGGATGTGGAGAAAAGGGAACCCTCGTACACTGCTGGTGGAAATGTAGGTTAGTAAAACCGCTATGGATTACAGCTTGGAGGTTCCTCAAAAAATTATAAATATAACTACCATACAATCCAGTAATTCCACTCCTAGGTGTGTATGTAAAAGTAAAGAAATTAGTATATCAAAGAGATCTGCATTCCCATGTTTATTGAGGCACTATTTACAATAGCCATGATTTGAAAGCAATCTAAGTGTCCATCAACAGATTAATGAATAAAGAAAATGTGGTACATATACACAGTGCAGACCTATGTAGCCATAAAAAGAATGAGATACAGTCATTTGTAACAACATGGATCGAAGTGGAAGTCATTATGTTAAGTGAAATTACTCAGGAACAGAAAGACAAACATCGCATATTCTCACTGATTTATGAGGGCTAAAAATTAAAACAGTTGAACTCATGGAGACAGAGTGTAGAAGGCTAAGAAGGGAAATCAGGGGGTGGAGGGGGATTCAAGAGGGTTAATAGGTACAAAAAGTAGTAGAAAGAATGAATGAGACCTAGTATTTCCTAGCACAACAGCATGACTATAGCCAAAAATAATTTAATTGTACATTTAAAAATAAGTAAAAGTATAATTGGATTGTTTGTTACACAAAGGATAAATGCATGAGGTAATGGGAACCCCATTTACCCTGATGTGATTATTATGCATTGCATATCTGTATCAAAATATCTCATGTAACCCATAGAAATATGCACCTACTATGCACCCAGAAAAAGTTAAAATTAAAAATTTTAAAAACCCAGTTATACAGAAATCATACACAAAAATGTGCATACTATGTGATTCCATTGGTACAAATTGCTGAAACAGGCTAAAGTAATCTAAGATGATAGCGGTCAGAACAGTTGCTTGTTCTGGAATGGGGACGTATTGATGAGGAAGAGGATAAGGGAACTTTTTGGAATGTTGGAAATGTTTGATATCTTGTTCTGGGTAGTAGTTAAAAAGTGTATACATATGTAAAATGTTATCAAAGTAAAACAAAAGCTAGAAAAAGCAGTGGTAGTCAGTACTTTGTTTTCCACCCATCTGCTATGTACCTTCCCATACAGGGCTTTCCCAAATTCACCAATTTCAATATTTATACCAGAATGAATACCAACAAGTTTTGTGTATGCTCTGACAACTTGGTTTCCCCCTTGTCCCTGAGCTGCCCAGACAAGGAAATAACCTGGGTACTTGTTAAAACACTTGTAATCAATTTCAGCAAAGTTAAAAAAAAAATAAAAAACTTAGCCCCTAATGTAACTGACCATATAGCCCTCCCCAGTGTACAGAGCTTTATGTGCTGTGCCTGGACTATGTAAAGAAAATTAAAACTGGATTTGTAACAAAAGGGCTAAAGTGTCAAACCACTAAAAGCAGAAAATTCCCATTGCAACACAATGCCAACTCTCACACTGGTTTATGATGAGAGAAAGCAAAGATTTACAATATACTTCTCATAAAGTTTTGACAGTCACTGAACTGGGACCTCAGGGGGCCAGCTCAGAGGTTCTACATCATTACCTATAGAGAGGGGGCAAAGAGAGAGACTGCTTAGTCACAGAAGAGTCTTTGTCTTTAGAGGACTCTCACACCTGGACTTCCTGAGCTCTGTGACTTGGGATTTTCAATATTTATACCAGAATCAAAGCAAGAAGTGAGTTGGACCCTCAGCCCAAGCTCAGAGTTGTCATGTACTGTGTTAGTCCATTCTCGCACTGTTATAAAGACATACCCGAGACTGGGGGTAATTTATAGAGGAAAGATGTTTAATTGTTTAATTGACAGTTCCACATTGCTGGGCAAGCCTCAGGAAACTTATAATCATGGTGGAAGTTGAGAGAGAAGCAAAGGCATGTCTTACATGGCAGCAGGTGAGAGAGAGTGAGAGAGTGAAGGGTACGAGCCCCGTCTAAAACCATCAGATCTTGTGAGAACTCACTCACTATGTGAACAGCATGGGAGAAACCACCCCCAGGATCCAATCATCTCCCACCAGGTCCTGCCCTTGACAAATGGTGATTATGGGGATTACAATTCAAGATGAGATTTGGGTGGGGCACTGAACCTAACCATATCATATACCAACTGCAGATGAATTGCTTATAGTCACTCTTCTGGCATCCTTGGAAGCTTTACAAGCTAGGTTATGCTTCAGTAAGAAGCAATCTCAAAATTTCAGTGGCTTATAATAAATGTTTGCTTCTTGCCATACTACATGTCCAAAATAGGTTGGTAGAAGGGCAGTGTAGATGGTTCTACTCATAGTAGATCTTAGTTGACCTCACTCTGGGACACTAGTCAATAGAAAAGGAACCATCTGGGATGTTGCCAGTCAACAAAGCATATGGGAAAGGGAATGTGGCAAAGCAAGCACTGTTTCTTTAAGCTTCCACCTAGAAGTCACACATGTCACTTCTGCTCATAGTTCGTTGACTGAAGCAAGTCATATGTCTAAGCCTGATTTTTGAAGGAGTAGGGAAGTATAACCCTTCTAAAGGCAGAGATGCTGCAGGGAGGGACACTGAATATGGATGAACAATGTAATAATCTACCAGAGAAGTCATAACAAATATGTGTTAAATCTTGAATAAATTACATAATAGATACTCTCTGAACATGAAAGTCTAGGCAGCTCATGAAAATACCCACTGCCCACTGGCTGGCTGCTTACTGTGCCTCAGAAACCACCAGTGGCACAAAATTCATTTTGTGGGGCTTAAAATATTGCACTACCAGAAGTCATTGGCTACCAGAGAGCAAAACCCCAGGGTAAGCAAGCTAGCAAATCCCTGAGGTAGTGACTGCACATTAACCTGTATCAAATTAGTATAATATTCATATTCATTGTCCTACAATGTGCTGTTATCATTGAAAGCGGACAGCACAGCCTTAGACATTTTATTTAATGCCTACTATATGCCAGGCACTATGTAGGCTATTTCACATCTATATCTTTCTTTCTTCTCTTGCCAATTCCAATTTAAATATAATGCAAAAGGTTATGAGTTGACACTGACTCTAGGACTGGGGTTCACATCTAGCCCCATGTCCCAGCCTCAGACAGGTATTTGCTGGAGAATTCTGAGACTTTCCTATTCCCCTTGCCTGTAGCAAGATGTCCCTTTTCTACAGCTACCAAAAGGCTAGACTGCCACTGTTGCTACTCCTGGCTGTGGCAGAAAGACAGTGCTGTCACACCAAAGAAAAAACCTGTGACCTGGTAGAGAAAAAGGTAAAGAGTCAGGGAACAAGTTGGCTCTACTGAAGTGGCTGAAACCAGTGTTTAACAAAAGCTTTGAGAGCACTGTGGACCAGGGCCCAGATATATACATATACATGTTCAGGGCATGCTGGGAAGCTAGTAATCACATATCTGGGGCAGGCCTAGTGCCAATCAATAAAAGTAACAGGGAGGAGGTAGGCAGACCCAACCAGACTCATGTCTTCAATGGAAGTAACTGGATCATGCTGATCTATAAAGAGGGTGATGAATACAACAACCACTGTAGCCAGAAGCAGCATTGTCATGCAGCAGTGATAATAGGAGTAAAGACTATCAACACACCCTAGTGGGCAATTTTAACCCTGTGTCTGAGGAGGAAGACAAAGTCCAAGATTGTTTCTACCTCTTTGAGATGGATAGGAGCCTGGTCTATTCCCCGGAGATCTCCCACCTCGGGATGGGTTCTGTCTTACTTATCATGTTTGCATCACTGATGGCTGTCTATGTCATTAGGGGGTTCCTATTCCAGCAACTGATGGTGGGAGCCAATGGAATTGAACAGATTCCCTGGCTTAGCCTTCTGGCAAGCTCTTCACAACCTTGTAAAAGATGGTTGTTACTTGGTGTGTCATTCTAAGCCCTGAAATGTGCCTGCTGTATATGGTTGTGTGAGGGATGACCAGTTGGGGAAGGAGTCACAAGAAAAGGATGGTCATTTATCACCAATGGGATTGTACTTTAAATATCTAACCTCTTCTTCAATTTCCCAAACCAGAGCATACTCTGACGTATTTCTCAAGCATCTCCACTTCAGTCTCTCACCACACCCTTAATATCGCTCTTGCTTTCCAGTTTGCTTTTAATTTGCATCCTCTTTTCATTAGTCAAATTGCCTTACCTTTGTTCCCTATTTTCTATTTTTTTCTCTAGAGAGTTACAGTTTAGAATAGAGCTAATATAGTGGAAGACAGTGTGGCGATTCCTCAGGGATCTAGAACTAGAAATACCATTTGACCCAGCAATCCCATTACTGGGTATACACCCAAAGGAATATAAATCATGCTGCTATAAAGACACATGCACACATATGTTTATTGCAGCACTACTCACAATAGCAAAGACTTGGAACCAACCCAAATGTCCAACAATGGTAGACTGGATTAAGAAAATGTGGCACATATACACCATGGAATACTATGCAGCCATAAAAAAGATGAGTTCATGTCCTTTGTAGGGACATGGATGAAGCTGGAAACCATCATTCTCAGCAAACTATAGCAAGGACAAAAAACCAAACACCGCATGTTTTCACTCATAGGTGGGAATTGAACAATGAGAACACTTGGACACAGGAAGGGGAACATCACACACTGGGGCCTGTTGTGGGGTGTGGGGAGAGGGGAGGGATAGCATTAGGAGATACACTTAATGTACATGACGAGTTAACGGGTGCAGCACACCAACATGGCACATGTATACATGTGTAACAAACCTGCGCGTTGTGCACATGTACCCTAGAACTTAAAGTATAATAAAAAATATAAAAAAAGAATAGAGCTAATATAGTAAGTCCTATAAAAACAGAGGCTATTGTACTATCTCTTGATATCAGTAGGTACTTGTAGTGGGCAAAATGGTGTGGCAGTCTCCCTGACTCTGCTTTTAAATATATTTTCACAAGTTTTTGAAACACAGGATTTCTTTAATTTAAAAGAAAAATTGTCATGTACTGCCCATAGTCACAAAGCTAGTCCAATAAGTCATAACAAGTGCAGGGGAAGAGCAACACTTATGATGCCACCTGGAGAGAGAAATGTACAGGGACAGCAGCAAGACATTGGGTGCTGGGAGTGAGGGGCAGTATGCACTTCATAAGGCAGAAGAAATCTGCCCAAAGAAAAAAATTCCAATAATAGATTTGGCCTACTTTATACTTCTTCCTAGAACCACTTCTTTCTTAATCTGCACGTGGGATTGGGTAGTGTTTTGTTTCTTTATTTTTTTTTAATATGAGGGAAATAACCAACCCGATTATCCAGAGGGGTCCTTTGCAGAATCATCTCCAGGGAGCTGTAGAAATTTCTTTCAGAAGACAACTGTCATGGAGTCTAGCCTGCCAATCAATCAGCTTCCTGCCAGTGGCTACTGGCACACTTGCGTGATTATGCATTTATTGAATTATAAAGCCTGCCAGAGTGGTTTTAGCCCTTTCTACCACATAATGGATAACTCAGCAGGAAAGTGAAGTTTAAAAGCCATGTATGGTAGGTCACACCTGATCATGGCACCTTCCCTTCCAGAAAGAAGAAAAAAATAGAACATGGATTGCAAAGTTAATGAAGATTAATAAGAGGATTTCTCACCAAAAGGACAGCACCAGTGGGGTCCTCAGGTGTTTAGCAAATCCTTTCCATACCACACACGCATTCTTCTTATTCATTTATCCATTCATTCAACATATATTTATTGAGCATCTATTGTGTTCCAGGCATTGCGTTAGGTGCTAGAGAGGAAACAGTAGACAAAATAGATCTGACCCCCACCTTTATCAAGCTTACAGTCCAGTGGAAATATGCTACAGACATAACAAATGCACAAATAGATATGTCATCACAAATTAGGGTGAGTGCTGTGAAGAAATTGGACAGGGTTGCAATTGAAAGCAAAAGAAGGAGGCCCATTTTAGAGATGGTCAAGGAAGATATCTTTGAGGAGGTGACATTTAGGCTGAGACAGGAAGGATACAAAGCACCCAACATGATAAGCAGCTAAATGTTTACACAGCTTTAAGGTGTCTCTCCACAGATTGCATACTAATAACTAAGGAAAAAGTAGTAAATTTGTAAGGGAGAAACCAGGTAACCTCTTGAACAGAAGATCAAAATTAATATCACCAATGAGGACAAGATGAATATTTTGTGCCTTCATATGTGATATCCCAAGATGAACACAACATTGCTTATATAGTATTCTGGCATAACCTGAATTTAGTAGTGAGAAATAACAAACCCAAAATGAGAAGCATTTTATTTTATTTTTTTAGGGCATTTTATTTTATTTTATTTTTTATTTTTTATTATACTTTAAGTTTTAGGGTACATGTGCAAAACGTGCAGGTTTGTTACATATATATATGTGGCCATGTTGGTGTGCTGCACCCATTAACTCATCATTTAACATTAGGTATATCTCCTAATGCTATCTCTCCCCTCTCCCCACACCCCACAACAGGCCCCAGTGTGTGATGTTCCCCTTCCTGTGTCCAAGTGTTCTCATTGTTCAATTCCCACCTATGAGTGGGAACATGCGGTGTTTGGTTTTTTGTCCTTGCTATAGTTTGCTGAGAATGATGGTTTCCAGCTTCATCCATGTCCCTACAAAGGACATGAACTCATCATTTTTTATGGCTGCATAGTATTCCATGGTGTATATGTGCCACATTTTCTTAATCTAGTCTACCATTGTTGGACAATTGGGTTGGTTCCAAGTCTTTGCTATTGTGAGTAGTGCTGCAATAAACATATGTGTGCATGTGTCTTTATAGCAGCATGTTTTATAATCCTTTGGGTATATACCCAGTAATGGGATGGCTGGGTGAAATGGTATTTCTAGTTGTAGATCCCTGAGGAATCGCCACACTGTCTTCCACAATGGTTGAACTAGTTTACAGTCCCACCAAAAGTGTAAAAGTGTTCCTATTTCTCCACATCCTCTATAGCACCTGTTGTTTCCTGATTTTTTAACCATCGCCATTCTAACTGGTGTGAGATGGTATCTCATTGTGGTTTTGATTTGCATTTCTCTGATGGCCAGTGATGATGAGCATTTCTTCATGTGTCTTTTGGCTGCATAAATGTCTTCTTTTGAGAAGTGTCTGCTCATATCCTTTGCCCACTTGTTGATGGGGTTTTTTTTGTTTTTCTCTTGTAAATTTGTTTGAGTTCATTGTAGATTCTGGATATTAGCCCTTTGTCAGATGAGTAGATTGCAAAAATTTTCTCCCATTCCATAGGTTGCCTGTTCACTCTGATGGTAGTTTCTTTTGCTGTGCAGAAGCTCTTTAGTTTAATTAGATCCCATTTGTCAATTTTGGCTTTTGTTGCCATTGCTTTTGGTGTTTTAGACATGAAGTCCTTGCCCATGCCTATGTCCTGAATGGTATTGCCTAGGTTTTCTTCTAGGGTTTTCATGGTTTTAGGTCTAACATTTAAGTCTTTAATCCATCATGAATTAATTTTTGTATAAGGGATAAGGAAGGGATCTAGTTTCAGCTTTCTACATATGGCTAGCCAGTTTTCCCAGCACCATTTGTTAAATAGGGAATCCTATCCCCATTTCTTGTTTTTGTCAGGTTTGTCAAAGATCAGAGGGTTGTAGATATGTGGCATTATTTCTGAGGGCTGTGTTCTGTTCCACTGGTCTGTTCCATATATCTGTTTTGGTACCAGTACCATGCTGTTTTGGTTACTGTAGCCTTGTAGTATAGTTTGAAGTCAGGTAGCGTGATGCCTCCAGCTTTGTTCTTTTGGCTTAGGATTGACTTGGCAATGTGGGCTCTTTTTTGGTTCCATGTGAAATTTAAAGTAGTTTTTTCCAATTCTGTGAAGAAAGTCATTGGTAGCTTGATGGGGATGGTATTGAATCTATAAATTACCTTAGGCAGTATGGCCATTTTCATGATATTGATTCTTCCTACCCATGAGCACAGAATGTTCTTCCATTTGTTTGTATCCTCTTTTATTTCATTGAGCAATGGTTTGTACTTCTCCTTGAAGAGGTCCTTCACGTCCCTTGTAAGCTGGATTCCTAGGTATTTTATTCTCTTTGAAGTAATTGTGAATGGGAGTTCACTCATGATTTGGTTCTCTGTTTGTCTGTTGTTGGTGTATAAGAATGCTTGCGATTTTTGCACATTGATTTTGTATCCTGAGACTTTGCTGAAGTTGCTTATCAGCTTAAGGAGATTTTGGGCTGAGACGATGGGGTTTTCTAGATATACAATCATGTCATCTGCAAACAGGGACAATTTGACTTCCTCTTTTCCTAATTGAATACCCTTTATTTCCTTCTCCTGCCTGATTGCCCTGGCCAGAACTTCCAACACTATGTTGAATAGGAGTGGTGAGAGAGGGCATCCCTGTCTTGTGCCAGTTTTCAAAGAGAATGCTTCCAGTTTTTGCCCATTCAGTATGATATTGGCTGTGGGTTTGTCATAAATAGCTCTTATTATTTTGAGATACGTCCCATCAATATCTAATTTATCGAGAGTTTTTAGCATGAAGTGCTGTTGAATTTTGTCAAAGGCCTTCTGTGCATCTTTTGAGATAATCATGTGGTTTTTGTCATTGGTTCTGTTCATTTGCTGGATTACATTTATTGATTTGGGTATGTTGAACCAGACTTGCAACCCAGGGATGAAGCCCACTTGATCATGTTGGATAAGCTTTTTGATGTGCTGCTGGATTTGGTTTGCCAGTATTTTATTGAGGATTTTTGCATCGGTGTTCATCAGGGACATTGGTCTAAAATTCTCTTTTTTTGTTGTGTCTCTGCCAGGCTTTGGTATCAGGATGATGCTGGCCTCATAAAATGAGTTAGGGAGGATTCCCTCTTTTTCTATTGATTGGAATAGTTTCAGAAGGAATGGTACCAGCTCCTCCTTGTACCTCTGGTAGAATTCAGCTGTGAATCCGTCTGGTCCTGGACTTTTCTTGGTTGGTAAGCTGTTAATTATTGCCTCAATTTGAGAGCCTGTTATTGGTCTATTCAGAGATTCAACTTCTTCCTGGTTTAGTCTTGGGAGAGTGTATGTGTCGAGGAATTTATCCATTTCTTCCAGATTTTCTAGTTTATTTGCATAGGGGGGTTTATAGTATTCCCTGATGGTAGTTTGTATTTCTGTGGGATCGGTGGTGATATCCCCTTTATCATTTTTCATTGCATCTATTTGATTCTTCTCTCTTTTCTTCTTTATTAGTCTTGCTAGCGGTCTATCAATTTTTTTGATCTTTCAAAAAACCAGCTCCTGGATTCATTGATTTTTTGAAGGGTTTTTTGTGTCTCTATTTCCTTCGGTTCTCCTCTGATCTTAGTTATTTCTTACCTTCTGCTAGCTTTTGAATTTGTTTGCTCTTGCTTCTCTAGTTCTTTTAACTGTATTGTTAGGGTGTCAACTTTAGATCTTTCCTGCTTTCTCTTATGGGCATTTAGTGCTATAAATTTCCCTCTACACACTGCTTTGAATGTGTCCCAGAGATTCTGGTATGTTGTGTCTTTGTTCTTGTTGGTTTCAAAGAACATCTTTATTTCTGCCTTCATTTCGTTATGTACCCAGTAGTCATTCAGGAGCAGGTTGTTCAGTTTCCATGTAGTTGAGTGGTTTTGAGTGAGATTATTAATCCTGAGTTCTAGTTTGATTGCACTGTGGTCTGAGAGACAGTTTGTTACAACTTCTGTTCTTTTACATTTGCTGAGGAGTGCGTTACTTCCAACTATGTCATCAATTTTGGAATAGGTGTGATGTGGTGCTGAAAAAAATGTATATTCTCTTGATTTGGGGTGGAGAGTTCTGTAGATGTCTATTAGGTCCGCTTGGTGCAGAGCTGAGTTCAATTCCTGGATATCCTTGTTAACTTTCTGTCTCGTTGATCTGTCTAATGTTGACAGTGGGGTGTTAAAGTCTCCCATTATTATTGTGTGGGAGTCTAAGTCTCTTTGTAGGTCACTCAGGACTTGCTTTATGAATCTGGGTGCTCCTGTATTGGGTGCATATATTTAGGATAGTTAGCTCTTCTTGTTGAATTGATCCCTTTACCATTATGTAATGGCCTTCTTTGTCTCTTTTGATCTTTGTTGGTTTAAAGTCTGTTTTATCAGAGACTAGGATTGCAACCCCTGCCTTTTTTTTTGTTTTCCATTTGCTTGATAGATCTTCCTCCATCCCTTTATCTTGAGCCTATGTGTGTCTGTGCACGTGAGATGGGTTTCCTAAATACAGCACACTGATGGGTCTTGACTCTTTATCCAATTTGCCAGTCTGTGTCTTTTAATTGGAGCATTTGGCCCATTTACATTTAAGGTTAATATTGTTATGTGTGAATTTGATCCTGTCATTATGATGTTTGTTGGTTATTTTGCTCGTTAGTTGATGCAGTTTCTTCCTAGCCTCGATGGTCTTTACAATTTGGCATGTTTTTGCAGTGGCTGGTACCAGTTGTTCCTTTCCATGTGTAGTGCTTCCTTCAGGAGCTCTTTTAGGGCAGGCCTGGTGGTGACAAAATCTCTCAGCATTTGCTTGTCTGTAAAGGATTTTATTTCTCCTTCACTTATGAAGCTTCATTTGGCTGGATATGAAATTCTGTGTTGAAAATTCTTTTCTTTAAGAATGTTGAATATTGGCCCCCACTCTCTTCTGGCTTGTGGAGTTTCTGCCGAGAGATCCGCTGTTAGTCTGATGGGCTTCCCTTTGTGGGTAACGTGACCTTTCTCTCTGGTTGCCCTTAACATTTTTTCTTTCATTTCAACTTTGGTGAATCTGACAATTATGTGTCTTGGAGTTGCTCTTCTCGAGGAGTATCTTTGTGGCGTCCTCTGCATTTCCTGAATTTGAATGCTGGCCTGCCTTGCTAGATTGGGGACGTTCTCCTGGATAATATCCTGAAGAGTGTTTTCCAACTTGGTTCCATTCTCCCCGTCACTTTCAGGTGTAGCAATCAGACGTAGATTTTGTCTTTTCACATAGTCTCATATTTCTTGGAGGCTTTGTTCATTTCTTTTTATTCTTTTTTCTCTAAAGTTCTCTTCTCACTTCATTTCATTCATTTCATCTTCCGTCACTGATACCCTTTCTTCCAGTTGATCGAATCGGCTACTGAGGCTTGTGCATTCATCATGTAGTTCTCGTGCCATGGTTTTCAGCTCCATCAGGTCCTTTAAGGACTTCTCTGCATTGGTTATTCTAGTTAGCCATTCGTCTAATCTTTTTTCAAGGTTTTTAACTTCTTTGCCACGGGTTTGAACTTGCTCCTTTAGCTCGGAGAAGTTTGATCATCTGAAGACTTCTCTCAACTCATCAAAGTCATTCTCTGTCCAGATTTGTTCCTTTGCTGGTGAGGAGCTGCGTTCCTTTGGAAGGGGAGAGGTGCTCTGATTTATATAATTTTCAGCTTTTCTGCTCTGTTTTTTCCCCATCTTTGTGGTCTTATCTACCTTTGGTCTTTGATGATGGTGACTTACAGATGCGGTTTTGGTGTGGATGTCCTTTCTGTTTGTTAGTTTTCCTTCTAACAGTCAGGACCCTCAGCTGCAGGTGTGTTGGAGTTTGCCAGAGGTCCAATCCAGACCTTGTTTGCCTTGGTATCAGCAGCAGAGGCTGCAGAACAGTGGATATTGTTGAACAGCAAATGTTGCTGCCTGATTGTTCCTCTGGAAGTTTTGTCTCAGAGGAGTACCCCGCCATGTGAGGTGTCAGTCTGCCCATACTGGGCTGTGCCTCCCAGTTAGGCTACTCGGGGGTCAGGGGCCCACTTGAGGAGGCAGTCTGTCTATTCTGAGATCTAAAGTTGTGTGCTGGCAGAACCACTACTCTCTTCAAAGCTGTCAGACAGGGACATTTAGGTCTGCAGAGGTTTCTGCTGCCTTTTGTTTGGCTATGCCCTGCCCCCAGAGGTGGAGTCTACAGAGGCAGGCAGGCCTCCTTGAGCTGCGGTGGGCTCCACCCAGTTCGAGCTTCCCAGCCACTTTGTTTACCTACTCAAGCCTGGGCAATGGCAGGTGCCCCTCCCCCAGCCTCACTGCCGCCTTGCAGTTTAATCTCAGACTGCTGTGCTAGCAATGAGTGAGGGTCCATGGGCATAGGACCCACCAAACCAGGTGTGGGATATAATCTCCTCATGTGCCATTTGCTAAGATTGTCAGAAAAGCACACTATTAGGGTGGGAGTGACCCGATTTTCCAGGTGCCATCTGTCACCCCTTTCCTTAGCTAGGAAAGAGAATTCCCTGACCCCTTGCACTTCCTGGGTGAGGTGATACCTCGCCCTGCTTCGGCTCAGGCTCAGTGCACTGCACCCACTGTCCTGCACCCACTGTCTGACAATCCCTAGTGAGATGCACCCAGTACCTCAGTTGGAAATGCAGAAGTCATTCATCTTCTGCGTCGCTCACACTGGGAGCTGTAGACTGGAGCTGTTCCTATTTGGCTGTCTTGGCTCCACCCCTTATGTACCTTTTTCTATTTCTCCTACTTTAAACTGGATTAATTTTAATTTATTTCTATGTAGCCAATTAATGTGTAAGTATCCTAAAATGAATTAGTCAACTACTGGTACAGCCAAGTAAGCTTCTATCAGATTCAACCCTCTTGAAAATAACAGAGTAAGGTTTGGCAAACCATGGACCACAGGCCAAATTTGCTTGTCACTTGTCTTTGTAAATAAGGCTTTATTGGAATACAGCCACACCCATTCATTTATATATGCATTTCTGCTCTCATGTTATAGTGGCAGAATTGGGTAGTTATGACAGACTGTATGGTCCACAAAGCTTAAAAATATTTATTATCTGGCCCTTTATAGAAAAAGTTTGCCATCAACTGCTCTGAAGAAAATACAATAAATAATGACACAAAGGACTGCTGAGTGAGCAAAAACCATGGACATGAAAAAAAAGAAGTGAGGGAGAGAGTTTCCCATGTTTTACTCCTTTTAGCCTGAGGGTAGGCCAATGTTTGGATTGTGGGAATCGATTAACACTCTGACAGATAGCCAGTAGTCTTTCTGAACTGAAGAACCAGAAGACAGAGCTCTGGACAACCACAGCCACTGGAAAGTGAGAGGATAATTCCAGAAAAGACAGACTCAGAGATGGGGCCATCAAATTCCTCTCAAGTCCATTACTTACCCCTGAACCATGTATATGTGGGACAGATGCAAAGCAGCCGGGCTAAATAATTAGAATTGGCAGCTTCAGTCCAATCATGTTAATTTACTGCTAAAACAAAAATATCAATATTCTTTAAGAGAATGCATGAGAATCTCAGAGCCTCTAAAACCTAGCATTCATAATGTCCAAGCTGTAATACAAAATTGCTTGACGTATGAAGAACCAGGAAAATATGATCGTGTTTCAAGAAAAAAAGACAACCATTGAAACCAGCCAAGAGATATCATGATGTTGGAATTAGTGGATGCTCTAGACTGAATGTTTGTGTCTCTTCCAAATTGACAGCAGGTTGAAACTTGATCCCCAATGTGTTGGTATGTGGAAGTGGGGCTTTTGGCAGGTAATAAGGTCATGATATGAGGGTAGAGCCCTTGTCAATAGGATTAGTTCTCCTATGAAAGAGACCTCAGAGAGCTTGTTCATTCCTTCCACCATTTGAGGACACAGCTAAAAGATGCTTTCTATGAATCAGAAAACAGGCCTTCACCAGACACTGAATCTGCTGGCAACTTCCCCTTGGACTATCTAGCCTTCAGACTTGTGAGAAATAAATTTCTGTTGTGTATAAGCTACCCAGTTTTGGTATTTTGTTATAGCAGCCGAGTTGGGCTAAGACAGTTGACAAGGAATATAAAGCAGCAATTACAACTGTGCTCAATTAAGTGACAAAAATATGCTTGTAACCAATGAAATAATAGCATATATCAGCAGGGAAATAAACATTTTTTTGAAGAGAGCAAAATGGAAATTTAAAACTGAAAAACACTACATAAGAAATACAAATTCACTGCATAAGCTTAATAGCAGAAAGCAAATGACAGAGGAAAGAACTAGTAAACTTGAAGATTGTGTAATAAAAATTATCCAGTGTGATGCAAAGAGAGAAATAAGATGGGAAAAAACCTATAGTCTTAGGGACCCATAGGACACTACCTTAAGGCCTAACACAAATGTAACTGGAGTCCCAGGAGAGAATAGAATGAGTGGAAAAAATACGTTTGAAGATATAATGGCCAAAAATACAACAAATTTGGTGAAGGATTCCAGAAACTCAGTGAACCTGAAGTAGGATAAATAGAAAGAAAATCATGCATAGATACATCATAGTCATATTTCTAAAAACCAAAGATAATATCTTGAAGAGAATAGAAAATAATACCAGAATAAACTTGAATTTTCAAGGATGAAGGAAGAACAAGAGAAATGGTACCTATGTGGGTAAATATAACTATTATTCTTCTCTTTAGTTTTAAAAATCTCTTATAATGTTTGAAAACAAAAATTATAACACTGTCGGATGGGGTTTTTGATGTATGTAAATGTAATACAGACATATCTCAGAAATATTGTAGGTTCAGTTCCACACCACTTCAATGAAGCAAATATCACAAATTGTTTTGTTTCCCAGCATATATAAAAGTTACTTTTCTATTATACTGTAGTCTATTAAGTGTGCAATATAATTATGCCTAAAACATACCTTCATTTAAAAATACTTTATTGTTAAAAAATGCTAACAATCACCTGAGCCCTCACCAAGTCATTTGCTTTTTGCTGATGGAGGGTCTTCCCTCAATGCTGATGGCTGCTAACTGATCAGGGTGGTGGTTGATTAAGGCTGGGGTGACTATGGCCATGACAACAATGAAATTTGCTGCATCAATGGACTCTTTCACAAAAGATTTCTTTGTGAGTGTAATGCTGTTTTGTAGCATTTTACCCACAGTAGAACTTCTTCCAAAATTGGAGTCAATTCTCTCAAGCCCTGCTGCTGCTTTATCAATTAAGTTTATATAATATTCTAAATCCACATTCCAGCAATATTCACAGCATCTTCACCAGGAGTAGACTCCGTCTCAAGAAACCACACTCTGCTCATCCATAAGAAGCAACTCGTCATTCATTCAGTTTTATGAGATTATAGCAATTCAAACATATCTTCAGGCTCCATTTCTAATTCAGGTTCTCTTGCTATTTTCACCACATCTGTGGTGACTTCCTCCACTGAAGCCTTGAACCCCTCAAAGTCATCCATGAGGGTTGGAATCAACTTCTTCCAAACTGCTATTAATGTTTATATTTTGACCTCCTCCCATGAATCACAAATGTTCTTAATGGCATCTAGAATGGAGATTTATTTCCAGAAGGTTTTAGATGTACTTTGCTCAGATCCATCAGAGTAATCACTATCAATGGAAGCTAGAGGCTCACAAAATGTATTCCTTAAATAATAATACTTGAAAGTAGAAATGACTCCATGATCCATGGGCTGAAGAATAGATATTGCATTAGCAGGCATGAAAACAACATTAATCTCCTCATAAATCTTCATCAGAACTCTTGAATGGTCAGGTGTATTGCCAATGAGCAGTAACATTTTGAAAGGAATCCTTTTCTCTCAGCAGTAGGTCTCAGAAGTGGGCTTAAAATATTCAATAAACCACATTGTAAACAGACGTGCTGTCATTCAGGCTTTGCCCTTCCATTGGTAGAGTATGGGCAGAGTATATTTAGCATAATTCTTAAATATACTCTGCCTGTACTACAATTTTTGGAATGGTTAAATAAGCACTGGCTTTAACTTAAAGTAACAAGTTGCATTAGCCCCTAACAAGAGAATCTTCCTGTCCTTTGAAGCATTGAAACCAGGCATTCATTGACTTTTTCTTTCCAGCTATGAAAGTCCTAGATGGCATCTTCTTCTGATATAAGTCTGTACTGTCTATATTGAAAATTTGTTGTGTGTAACTATCCTAATCAATAATCTTAGTCAGGTCTTTTATTTTAAAATTTGCTTTAGATTCAGAAGCACATGTGCATGTTTGTTACATGGGCACATTACATAGTATCTTACATAGTGGTGGGGATTTGGCTTCTAGTGGACCCATAAACCAAATATTGAACATTGTACCCAATAGGTAATTTTTTAACCCTCATTCCTCTCCCACCCTACCCTGTTTTGGAGTCCCCTGTGTCTACTATTTCCATCTTTATGCCCATGTGTTCCCATTGTCTAGCTCCCACTTATAAGTAAGAATATGTGATATTTGATTTTCTTTTTCTGAGTTAGTTCACTTAGGATAATGGCCTCCAGCTCCATCCATGTTGCTGCAAAGGACATGATTTCATTCCTTCTTATGGCTGCATAATATTCCATGGGGTATATATACTAAATTTTCTTTATCCAATCAACCATTGATGGACACTTAGGCTGGTTCCATGACTTTGCTATTGTGTATAGTGTGGCAATAAAAGTACAAGTGCAGATAAATTTTTACTGTAATGATTTATTTTCCTTTGGGAAAGGAAAAGAACCCAGTAGTCGAATTGTTGGCTTGAATAGTCCTATTTTTAGTTCTTTGAGATATATCTACCCTGTTTTCCATAGAAGTTGAACTAATTTACATTCCCTCCAAGTCTCTAACCTTTCCCTTTTCTCGCATCTATACCACCATCCATTGTTTTTTGACTTTTTAATAATAGACAATATGATGATGTAAGATAATATCTAAGTGTGGTTTTAATGTGAATTTTTCTGATGATTAGTGATGTTGAACATTTTTTATGTGTTTTTGGCTGCTTGTATTTCTTCTTTTAAGAAATGTCTATTCATGTAATGTGCCCATTTTGTAATGGGGTTGTTTTTTTCTTGTTGAGTTGTTTGAGTTCCTTGTATATTCTGGATATTAGTCCTTTGCCAGAGGTATAATTTGCAAATATTTTCTTCCATTATGTAGGTTGTCTGTTCACTCGGTAAATTGTTTCTTTTGTTGTACAGAAACATTTTAGTTTAATTAAATCCCATTTGTCTATTTTTGTTTTGTCGTATTTGCTTTTCGGGTCTTCATCATAATTTCTTTGCCTAGGCCTATGCGCAGTAGAGTTTTTCTTTAGCTATTAATAGATATTGTGGATAGCTTGCTACAGCTTCTGCATTAGCACTTGCTGCTTCATCTTACATTTTTACGTTGTAGAGTTGGCTTCTTTCCTTAAACCCCATGAACCAACCTCTGCTAACTTCAAACTTTTCTTCTGCAGCTTCTTCACCTCTCTCAGCCTTCATAGAATTGAAGAGAGTTAGGGCCTTACTCTGGAATAGGATTTGGTTTAAGAGAATGTCTTAGCTGGGTCTGATCTTTTATCCAGACAAGTGAAACTTTCTCTGTATCAGCAATAAGGCTATTTTAATTTCTTATCATTTATATGCTCACTGAAGTAGCACTTTTAATTTCCTTCGAGAACTTTTTCTTTGCATACAACTTGGCTAATTGTTTTGCTCAAGAGGCCCAACTTATGACCTATCTCAGCTTTTGGCATACCTTCCTCACTAAGCTTAATCTTTTCTAGCTTTTGACTTAAAGTGAGAGATATGTGACTCTTCCTTTTACTTGAACACTTAGAGACCATTGTGGGTTTATTAATTGGCCTAATTTCAATATTGCTGTGCCTCAGGAAATAGGAAGGCCTGAGGAGAGAGGGAGAGAGATGGGAGGAAAGTTGGTAAGTGTAGCAGTCAGAACACACACAGCATTTCTCGATTAAGTTTTCCATCTTATATGGGCATGGTTTGTGGTGCCCCAAAACAATTACAATAGTAACATCAAATATCAGTGATCACTGATCACCATAATAGATGTAAGAAAGAAAAGGTTTGAAATATTGTGAGAATTATAAAAATGTGGCACACAAAGTGAGCACATGTTGTTGGAAAAATGGGCATCGATATACTTGTTAATACAGGGTTTCCACAGATCTTCAATTTGTAAAAAACACATTATCTGTGAACTGCAATAATGTGAAGCACAATAAAACAAAGTTCGTCTGTATATATATGTAATGACTACAACATACAGAGAGAGTGTAAGGGGATCCATACAGTGGAAAGATTTCTATAGTACACTTGAAATGATAAAATATTAATTTTACAATTAAAATTTTGGAAAGTTAACTGTGTATATTTTAATATCTACAGGAATTACTAAAAATATACAAATATATTTATTAAAAGTCCAATGGACAAATTAAAATGGAATACTGAAAAATATTCAAATGATTACAAAAGAAAGCAAGAGAGTAGAAACAGAGGAACAACCACAGAAAATAATAAAATCATGGACTTAAATTCTTCCATATTACTAATTGCATTTAATGTAAGTGGTGCAAAACACACTTATCAAAAGACAGAGAACCAAGAAAGTGAAATATCTGTACCCTGGAAACTATAAAAAATTGATGAAAGAAACTGAAGAAGACAAATAGATGGAAAAATATTTGTGTTCATGAATTGGAAGAATTAATATTGTTAAAATGTCCATATTACTGAAAGTGACTTACAGATTCAAAATAATCTCTATCAAAATACCAAAGGCATTTTCCACAGAAATAGAAAAAACAATCCTAAAGTTTGTGTGGAACCACAAAAGAGCCAAAATATCCAAGCAATCTTGAGCAAAGAGAACAAAGCTGGAGGCATCACACTACTTGTTCTCAAAATCTACTTCAAAGCTATAGTAATCAAAACAGCATGGTACTGACATAAAAACAGACATACAGACCAATGAAATAGAATAGAGAGCACAGAAATTAGTCCATACATTTTACATCCAACTGATTTTTGACAAAGGTACCAATAATATGCAATGAGAAAAGAATAGTACCTTCAACAATTGGTGTTGGAAAAACTAAATATCCACATGCAAAAAAAAAAAAAAAAGAAAGAAAGAAAGAAAAAGAAATTGGACTTTTATCTAAGACCACACACAAAAATCAACTCAAAATGGATTAAAGATTTAGACATAAGACCTGATGCTGTAAAACTACTAGAAGAAAATACAGGTGAAAAGTTTCTTGACATTAATTTGGGCAATGATTTCTTGGCTATCACACCAAAAGCACAGGCAAAAAAAGCAAAAATATACAAATGGCACTGCATCAAACTAAAATGCTTCTGCATAGCCAAGGAGACAGTCAAGAGAGCAAAGAGACAGCCAACAGAATGGGAGAAAATATTTGCATATATTGGATAAGAGGTTAATATCCAAAATATATAAAAAAACTCAAACAACTTAGCAGCAAGAAAAATCACCCGATTAAAGAATGATAATTGAGTAGACATTTCTCAAAAGAAGACATACAAATGGCCAACAGGTGTATAAAAAATGCTCAGCATCACTAATCATCAGGAAATACAAATGAAAACCACAATGAGATATCACCTCACACCTGCTTTTATCAAAATGACAAAAGATAACAATTGCTGGTGAGGAAGTGGAGAAAAGGGAACCCTTACACACTGTTGGTGGGAATGTAAATTAGCATATTCACTATGGAGAACATTACAGAGATTCCTAAAAAATAAATCTACCATATGATCCAGCAATCTCACTTTTGGGCATATATCCAAAAGAAAGGAAATCAGTATGTCGAGGAGATATCTGTACTCCCATGTTCATTGCAGAATTGTTTACCATAGTCAAAATTTGGAAGCAATCTAAGTGTCCATTGGCAGATGAATAGGTAAAGAAAATGTAATACACACACGTATATACACACGGTGGAAAACTATTCAGCCTTTAAAAAAAGAAAGAAAGCCTATCATTTGTGAATACATGGATGAACCTGGAAAATATTAGGCTAAGTAAAATAAAGTAGGCACAGAAAGACAAATACTGTATGATCTCATTTATATGTGGAATCTAAATCAAAGAGTACAGTGTTTCAATTAGACAGGGTGAATAAGTTCTGGAGATCCATTGTACAGAGTGGTAACTCCAGTGAATAATGTATTGTACACTTGAAAATTGTTAAGAGAGTAGATCTTAAATATCCTCACCACAAAAAAAGATAAGTATGTGAGCTGAATATCTAAATTAGCTTGATTTAACCATTTCATAGTGTATACACACACATACCAAAACAATCACATTGTGCACCATAAATATATACAATTTCTATTTGTCAAAAAAGGAGATTTTCAGAATGCAAAGAAACACAAGAGTCAACTATGTGCTGTCTATATGAAACCCAGTTTAATATAAAAACACAGGTTAAAAAGTAAAAGGATGGAAGATCATATACATGTAAACACTAAACAAAATAAATCTGGAAGTTTCAAAGAGGACCTGGTACCATTTCTTCTGAAACTATTCCAAACAATTAAAAAGAAGGGACTCCCCCCTAACTCATTTTATGAGGCCAGCATCATCCTGATACCAAAACCTGGCAGAGATACAACAAAAAAAGAAAACTTTAGGTCAATATGCCTGATGAACATTGATGCAAAAATTCTCAATAAAATACTGGCAAACTGAATCCAGAAACACAACAAAAAGCTTATCCACCACAATCAAGTTGGCTTCATCCCTGAGATGCAAGTCTGGTTCAACATATGCAAATCAATAAACATAATCCATCACATAAACAGAACCAATGACAAAAAACATATGGTTATCTCAATATATGCAGAAAAGGCCTTTGATAAAGTTCAACATCCCTTCATGTTAAAAACTCTCAATAAACTAGGTATTGAAGGAAGATACCTGAAAATAATAAGAGCCATATATGACAAACCCACAGCTAATATGCTGAATGTGCAAAAGCTGGAAGCATTCCCCTTGAAGACCTGCACAAGACAAGGATGTCCTCTCTTACTACACTTATTCAACATAGTATTGGAAGTTCTGGCCAGGGCAATCAGGCAAGGGAAAGAAATAAAGCATATTCAAATAGGAAGTGAGGGAGTCAAATTGTCTTTGTTTGCAGATGACATGATCCTATATCTAGAAAACCCCATTGCTTCAGCCCAAAAGCTTCTTAAGCTGATAAACAACTGCAGTAAAGTCTCAGGGTACAAAATCAATGTGCAGAAACAACAAGCATTCCTATACACTAACAATAGACAAGCAGAGAGCCAAATTATGAATGAACTCTCATTCACAATTGCTACAAAGATAATACAATACCTAGGAATACAGCTAATGAGGGATGTGAAGAACCTCTTCAAGAAGAACTACAAACCACACCTCAAGGAAATCAGATAGGACACAAACAAATGGAAAAACATTTCATGCACATTGATAGGAAGAATCAATATCGTGAAAATGGCCATACAGTCCAAAGTAATTTATAGATTCAATGCTATTCCCATGAAACTACCATTGACATTTTGCACATAATTAGAAAAAAACTATTTTAAAATTCATATGGAACTAAAAAAGAGCTCGTATAGCCAAGACAATCCTAAGCAAAAAGAACAGACCTGAAGGCATCACACTACCTGACTTCAAACTATACTACAGGGCTACAGTAACCAAAACAGCATGGTACTGGTACAAAAACAGAGACATAGACCAATGGAATAGAATGGAGAACTCAGAAATAAGACTGCACATCTACAAACATCTGATCTTTGACAAACCTGACAAAAACAAGCAATGGGGAAGAGATTCCCTATTTAATAAATGGTGCTGGGAGAACTGGTTAGCCTTATGCAGAAAATTGAAACTAGACCCTTCCTTACACCATACACAAAAATTAACTCAAGATGGAATAAAGACTTAAATGTCAAACTCAAAACTATAAAAAACCTAGAAGAAAATCTAGGCAATACCATTGAGGACGTATGTATGGGCAAATATTTCATGACAAAATCGCCAAAAGCAATTGCAACAAAAGCAAAAATCGACAAATGGGATTTAATTAAACTAAAGAGCACAGCAAAAGAAACTATCATCAGAGTGAACAGACAACCTACGTAGTGGGTTGTGCAATCTATCCATCTGGCATCTGTGCATAGTGGATAGTGCAATCTATCCATCTGGCAAAGGTCTAATACCCAGAATCTACAAGGAACTTAAGCAAATTTACAAGAAAAAAAACAACCCCATTAAAAAGTAGACATGAACAGACACTTCTCAAAATAAGACACTTATGCAGCCAAAAAAAATATGAAAAAAAGCTCAACATCATTCATCATTAAAGAAACGCAAATCAAAACCACAATGAGATACCATCTCACACCAGTCAGAATGGCGATTATTAAAAGGTCAAGAAACAACAGATGCTGGTGAGATTGCAGAGAAATAGGGACACTTTTACATTATTGGCGAGAGTGTAAATTAGTTTAACCATTGTAGCAGACAGTTGGTGATTCCTCAAAGATTTAGAACAAGAAGTACCATTTGACTCAGCAATCTCATTACTGGGTATATACCCAGAGGAATTTAAATCATTCTATTTTAAAGATAGATGCATGCATATGCTCATTGTAACACTATTCACAACAGCAAAGACATGGATTCAACCCAAATGCCCATCAGTGATAGACTGGATAAAGAAAATGTGGTACATATACACCATGGAATACTATGAATACTATGCAGCCATAGAAAGGAACATGATCATGAGTTTTGCAGGGACTTGGATGGAGCTGGAAGCCATTATCCTCAGCAAACTAACGCAGGAACAGAAAAACAAACACTGCATGTTATCATTTATAAGTGGGAGCTGAACAATGAGAACACATGGACACAGGAGAGGAACAACACACACTGGGGCCTGTTAGGGGGACAGGGGGAGGTGGAGCATCAGGAAAAGTAGCTAATGGATGCTGGGCTTAATATCTAGGTAATTGGATGATCTGTGCAGCAAAACACCATGGCACATGTTTACCTGTGTAACAAACAGGCACATCCTGTACATCCTGCACATGTATCCCAGAACTTAAAATTTAAAAAAAATCTGGAATATTGATACCAGATAAAGTAGACTTCAGATCAAGGAATATTATTAGAGATACTGAGAGACATTCTGTAATTATAAAGGGGTCAATTCTCCCTGAAGATATAACAATTTAAAATATGTATGCATCTAACACAGAAGTTTAAATACTTGAGCAAAAATTGATAGAAATAAAGATAAATAGACAATTATTTTTGGAAACTTCAATATTCCTCTCTCAGTAACTGATAGAACAAGTATACTGAATGTCATTAAAGATACAGAAGACTGGAGGGCATTTCCAAGATGGCCGAATAGGAACAGTTCCAGTCTGCAGTTCCCAGCGAGACTGATGCCGAAGACGGGTGATTCCTGCATTTCCAACTGAGGTACCTGGTTTATCTCATTGGGAGTGGTTGGACAGTGGGTGCAGCCCACAGAGGGCAAGCTGAAGCAGGGCAGGGCGTGGTCTCACCCAGGAAGTGCAAGGGGTCTGGAAATATCCCTTTCCCAGCCAAGGGAAGCTGTGATAGACTGTACCTGGAGAACGGTACACTCCTGACCAATTATTGTGCTTTTTCTGCAGTCTTAGCAACTGGCAGAGCAGGAGATACCCTTGTGTGCCTGGCTCGGCGAGTCCCACGCCCACACGTTGCTCACTGCTAGCACAGCAGTCTGAGATCGATCTGCAATGCTGCAGATTAGTGGGGGGAGGGGTGTCCACCATTGCTGAGGCTTGAGTAGCTTACAGTGTAAACAAAGAGACCTGGAAGCACAAACTTGGCAGAGCCCACCACAGCTCAGCAAGGCCTACTGGCTCTATAGATTCCACTTCTGGGGGCAATGCATAGTAGAACAAAAGGCAGCAGACAGCTTCTGCAGACTTAAACGTCCCTGTCTGACAGCTCTGAAGAGAGCAGTGGTTCTCTCACCACTGCATTTGAGCTCTGAGAATGGATAGACTGCCTCCTCAAGTGGGTCCCTGACCCCCATGTAGCCTGACTGGGAAACACCTCCCAGTAGGGGCTGACAGACACCTCAAACAAGCGGGTGCCCCTCTGGGATGAAGCTTCCGGAGGAAGGATTAGGCAGCAATATATGCTGTTCTGCAGCCTCTGCTGGTGTTACCCAGGCAAATAGGGTCTGGAGTGGACCTCCAGCAAACTCCAACAGACCTGCAGCTGAGGGGTCTGACTGTTAGAAGGAAAAGTAACAAACAGAAAGGAATAGCATCAACATCAACAAAAGGACATCCACACCAAAATCCCATCTGTAGGTCAACAACATCAAAGACCAAAGGTAGATAAAACCACAAAGATGGGGAGAAACCAGAGGAGAAAAGCTGAAAATTCCAAAAAACCGAGCACCTCTTCTCCTCCAAAGGATTGCAGCTCCTCGCCACCAAGGGAACACAACTGGCTGGAGAATGTGTTTGACAAGTTGACAGAAGTAGGCTTCAGAAGGTCGGTAATAACAAACTTCACTGAGCTAAAGGAGCATGTTCTAACCCATCACAAGGAAGCTAAAATCTTGAAAAAAGTTAGACGAATGGCTAACTAGAATGAACAGTGCAGAGAAGACCTTAAATGACCTGATGGAGCTGAAAACCACAGCACGAGAACTTCGTGATGCATGCACAAGCTTCACTAGCTGATTCGATCAAGTGGAAGAAAGGATATCAGTGATTGAAGATCAAACTAATGAAATAAAGCAAGAAGACAAGATTAGAGAAAAAAGAGTGAAAGGAAATGAACAAAGCCTCCAAGAAATATGCGACTATGTGAAAAGATCAAATATACGTTTGATTGGTGTACTGGAAAGTGATGAGGAGAATGGAACCAAGTTAGAAAACACTCTTCAAGATATTATCCAAGAGAGCTTCCCTAAACTAGCAAGGCAAGCCAACATTCAAATTCAGGAAATACAGAGAACACCACAAAGATACTCCTCGAGAAGAGCAACCCCAAGACACATAATTGTCAGATTCACCAAGGTTGAAATGAAGGAAAAAATGTTAAGGGCAGCCAGAAAGAAAGGTCAGGTTACCCACAAAGGGAAGCCCATCAGACTAACAGCGGAACTCTTGGCAGAAACTCTACAAGCCAGAAGAGAATGGGGGCCAAATTCAACATTCTTAAAGAAAAGAATTTTCAACCCAGAATCTCATATCCAGCCAAACTAAGCTTCATAAGTGAAGGGGAAATAAAATCCTTTACAGATAAGCAAATGCTGAGAGATTTTGTCACCACCAGGCTTGCCTTACAAGAGCTCCTGAAGGAAGCACTAAACATGGAAAGGAACAACAGGTACCAGCCACTGCAAAAACATGCCAAATGGTACAGAACATTGACCCTATAAAGAAACTGCATCAACTAATGGGCAAAACAGCCGGCAAACATCATAATGACAGGATCAAATTCAAACATAACAATATTAACCTTAAATGTAAATGGGCTAAATGCCCCAATTAAAAGACACAGACTGGCAAACTGGATAATGAGTCAAGACCCATTGGTGTGCTGTATTCAGGAGACCTATCTCACATGCAAAGATGCACATAGGCTCAAAATAAAGGGATGGAGGAATATTCACCAAGCAAATGGAAAGAAAAAACTCAGGGGTTGCAATCCTGGTCTCTGATAAAACAGACTTTAAACCAACAAAGATCAAAAGAGACAAAGAAGGCCATTACATAATGGTAAAGAGATCAATTAAACAAGAAGAGCTAACTATCCTAAATATATATGCACCCAATACAGGAGCACCCAGATTCATAAAGCAAGTCCTTAGAGTCCTACAAAGAGACTTAGACTCCCACACAATAATAATGGGAGACTTTAACACTCCACTGTGAATATTAGACAGATCAATGAGACAGATGGTTGACAAGGATATCCAGGAATTGATCTCAGCTCTGCACCAAGTAGACCTAACAGACATCTACAGAACTCTCCACACCAAATCAACAGAATATACATTCTTCTCAGCACCACATTGCACTTATTCTAAAATTGACCACGTAATTTGTAGTAAAACACTCCTCAGCAAATGTAAAAGAACAGAAATTACAACAAACTGTCTCTCAGACCACAGTACAATCAAATTAGAACTCAGGATTAAGAAACACACTCAAAACTGCACAACTACATGGAAACTGAACAACCTGCTCCTGAATGACTACTGGGTAAATAACAAAATGAAGGCAGAATTAAAGATGTTCTTTGAAACCAATGAGAACAAAGACACAATGCACCAGAATCTCTGGGACACATTTAAAGCAGTGTGTAGAGGGAAATTTATAGCACTAAATGCCCACAAGAGAAAGCAGGAAAGATCTAAAATCAACTCCCTAACATCCAAACTAAAAGAATTAGAGAAGCAAGAGCAAACAAATTCAAAAGTGAGCAGAAGGCAAGAAATAACTAAGATCAGAGCAGAACTGAAGGAAATAAGAGACGCAAAAAACCCTTCAAAAAATCAATGAATCCAGGAGCTGGTTTTTTGAAAAGATCAAAAAAATTGATAGACCACTAGCTAGACTAATAAAGAAGAAAGCAGAGAAGAATCAAATAGACGCAATAAAAAATGATAAAGGGGATCTCACCACCAAACCCACAGAAATGCAAACTATCATCAGCGAATACTATGAACACCTCTATGCAAATAAACTAGAAAATCTAGAAGAAATTGATAAATTTCTGGACAAATACACCCTCCCAAGACTAAACCAGGAAGAAGTTGAATCCCTGAATAGACCAATAACAGGCTCTGAAATTGAGGCAATAAGTAATAGCCTACCAACAACAATAGTCCAGGACCAGATGGATTCACAGCCGAATTCTACCAGAGGTACGAAGAGGAGCTGGTACTATTCCTTCTGAAAATATTTCAATCAATACAAAAAGAGGGAATCCTCCCTAACTCATTTTATGAGGCTAGAACCATCCTGATACCAAAGCCTGGTAGAGACACAACAAAAAAAGAGAATTTTAGGCCAATATCCTTGATGAACTTTGATGCGAAAATCCTCAATAAAATACTGGCAAACTGAATCCAGTAGCACATCAAAAAGCTTATCCAACATGATCAAGTCAGCTCCATCCCTGGGATGAAAGGCTGGTTCAACACACACAAATCAGTAAACGTAATCCATCACATAAACAGAGCCAATGACAAAACCCACATGATTATCTCAATAGATGCAGAAAAGGCCTTTGACAAAATTCAACAGGCTTTCATGCTAAAAACTCTCAATAAACTAGGTATTGATGGAACGTAGCTCAAAATAATAAGAGCTATTTATGACAAACCCTCAGCCAATATCATACTGAATGGGCAAAAACTGGAAGCATTCTCTTTGAAAACTGGCATAAGACAAGGATGCCCTCTCTCACCACTCCTATTCAACATAGTGTTGGGAGTTCTGGCTGGGGCAATCAGGCAGGAGAAAGAAATAAAGGGTATTCAATTAGGAAATGAGGAAGTCAAACTGTCTCTGTTTGCAGATGACATAATTGTATATTTAGAAAACTTCATCATCTCAGCCCAAAATCTCCTTAAACTGATAAGCAACTTCAGCAAAGTCTCAGGATACAAAATCAATGTGCAAAAATCACAAGCATTCCTATACACCAATACCAGACAAACAGAGAACAAAATCATGAGTGAACTCCCATTCACAATTACTACAAAGAGAATAAAATACCTAGGAATCCAACTAACAGGGGATATGAAGGACCTCTTCAAGGAGAACTACAAACCACTGCTCAAGGAAATAAAAGAGGACATAAATAAATGGTAGAACATTCCATGCTCTTGGATAGGAAGAATCTATATGTTGAAAATGGCCATACTGCCCAAGGTAAATTATTGATTCAATGCTATCCCCATCAATCTACCCCTGACTTTCTTCACAGAATTGGATAAAACTGCTTTAAAGTTCATATAGAACCAAAAAAGAGCCTGCAAAGCCAAGACAATCCTAAGCAAAAAGGACAAAGCTGGAGGCATCATGCTACCTGACTTCAACGTATACTACAAGGCTACAGTAACCAAAACAGAATGGTACTAGTATCAAAACAGATATATAGACCAGTGGAATAGAACAGAGGCCTCAGAAATACCACCACACATCTACAACCATCTGATCTTTGACAAACCTGACAAAAACAGGAAATGGGAAAATGATTCCCTATTTAATAAATGGTGCTGGGAAAACTGGCTAGCCATATGTAGAAAGCTGAAACTGGATCCCTTCCTTACATCATATACAAAAACTAACTCAAGATGGATTAAAGACTTAAATGTAAGACCCAACACTATAAAAACCCTAGAAGAAAACCTAGGCAACACCATTCAGGACATAGGCATGGGCAAAGACTTCATGACTAAAACACCAAAAACAACATCAACAAAAGCCAAAATAGACAAATGAGATCTAATTAAACTAAAGGGCTTCTGCACAGTTAAAGAAACTACCATCAGAGTGAACAGGTAACCTACAGAACGGGAGAAAATCTTTGCAATCTACCCGTCTGACAAAGGGCTAATATCCAGAATCTACAAAGAACTTAAACAAATTTACAAGAAAAAAATAAACAACCCCATCAAAAAGTGGGTGAAGGATATGAACAGACACTTCTCAAAAGAAGACATTTATGCAGCCAACAAACATATGAAAAAAACCCTCATCATCACTGGTCGTCTGAGAAATGCAAATCAAAACCACAATGAAATACCATCTCATGCCAGTTAGAATGGCAATCATTAAAAAGTCAGGAAACAACAGATGCTGGAAAGGATGTGGAGAAATAGGAACACTTTTACACTGTTGGTGGGAGTGTAAATTAGTTCAACCATTGTGGAAGACAGTGTGGTGATTCCTCAAGGATCTAGAACTAGAAATACCATTTGACCCAGCAATCCCATTACTGAGTATATACCCAAAGGATTATAAATCATGCTACTATAAAGACACATGCACACATATGTTTATTGTGGCACTATTCACAATAGCAAAGACTTGGAACCAACCCAAATGTCCATCAATGATAGACTGGATTAAGAAAATGTGGCACATATACACCATGGAATACTATGCAGCCATAAAAAGGATGAGTTCATGTCCTTTGCAGGGACATGGATGAAGCTGGAAACTATCATTCGAAGCAAACTATCACAAGGACAGAAAACCAAACACCACATGTTCTCACTCATAGGTGGGAGTTGAACAACGAGAACACATGGACACAGGGCAGGAATCATCACACACCAGGGCCTGTCAGGTGGTGGGGGGCTGGGGGAGGGATGGCATTAGGAGAAATGCCTAATGTAAATGATGAGTTGATGGGTGCAGCAAACCAACATGGCACATGTATACCTATGTAACAAACCTGCATGTTGTGCACATGTACCCTAGGACTTAAAGTATAATAAAATAAATAAATAAATAAAATATAAAAATAAAAAAAAATACAGAAAACCAAAACAGCACTATCAACCACTTGACCTAACTTTCATTTGTAAAAAACTTCACCCAACAACAGGAGAATATGCATTCTTTCCAAGTGTATATGGAACACATATACCCAAGAGAGGGCATATTGTGGGACCTGCATATGTACCCCTGAATCTAAAATGAAAACTATATAGATATAGATAAAGTAGCAAAAAAGAAGACATTTAAAGGAATAGAAATCATTCAATGATATTCATAGAATAAATTAAAATTCAATAACAAAGATATCTAGAAAATATTCAAATATTCAGAGATGAAAGAAAACACTTCTATATAAAGCAATGTCAGGAGGCAGGAGCAAGCAATGTGATAAAACACATTGATTTAAAATATGAAGCTCACAGAGATGCATTGACATACCCAAAGTCACACAGCAAGGACAGGGAACCAGGCTGACTGATTTCAGTGTTGGTGTTTTAACCCCTCCACTCTCCTTTACTATCTGATGTTTTTCATCATCATCATCTCCTCTCAGAATATACAAAGGCAGATAGACAATATCAGTAAGAGTCAACCTTCTGCGGAGCTGAGGATAGCCTAAATTCACAGGCCCTGGATATTGGAGGTACAAGGTGCTCAGATATGGGGAACTTAATATTGGCAAGTGTGTTGAACTAAGTGCTCCTGATGATACTCATTTTGTTTTTAAAATAACACTTTTATTGAGCATAATTCATATGTCATACAATTTACCCCTTCAAAGTGTTCAATTAAGCGGGTTTTTGTATATTCACAGAGTTGTGTGGGTTTTCTCCATTAGCCCTGTTTGGGGAAATTGATTCTTTTGTATTTGTGATGGTAGCCAAACTTTAATGAATGGCCTATTGTTTGGCAATCTCTACTTCCAAAAGTTAAACCCTGAATGTTCCACCAGCTTCATTGGTCTCTGTGGAAGTTATTCACATGAGCACTTAGGGTGGCTCCCTGAAACAGGAACATTACTTTATTTTTATTTTGTTAGCTATTAACTAGCCCTGCCCAGACCTCCTACAGAAAATACATCTGTGAGGTACTGGGGAGAGGCTCTATCCTACCCTCCTGACATTAAAGTATCTTCAGTATGAAGCTTTAAAAGAGATTTAAAGTTTCTGCTTCAATCATTTTTGTTCTCGTTCAGACAGTGGTTCTTAATCTGGGGCCACAACACTCTGGGGAGCCAAGGAGTTATGTGAGAAACCTGCAAATCAGCTTGTGAACGAGGCTTTTATTTTGATTAAATATATCTTACACACGTTTGCTACTATTTCTCAATCATACATGGGTACTGTTGTGATTAATAAAGGAAAAAAATCTTCTGCATATGTAACTTTTTTATTATATAGTAACCTTTTTCATTATATATTTTCTCAATCAGCAGACACTAGGAGTGCAACTACTGTCATGGGATAATCAGATAGTTTTGATTGATAAAATAAGTTATATGGACCCAAAATGTTTAGGAACCACTAAATTAAACAAAGACCTTTCTTCATAGGGTACAAATGTTTCATTTAGTAGGGCATCAACGTATTAGCAGTCATTAACACATTAGCCTGAATTAATCAGCTTGCTTCAGGGTAGGGCATTGAACACTTTCATCCTAAAAGCAGAGTGGGGATCAGCAATGGCTCCAAGCAGGTCTAGTGGGTTAGAATTAGTCTTTTGGGTGCCATGTGTGCTTCAGGAATTCGACAGTTTTTATACTTATAATAGTAGTCAAACTTTGATAGATGAATTATTGCTTGGTTAGTACCACTCCAAAGAGCCAAACCCCAAATGTTCTCCAACTTCTACCAATGTTGGAAAACACTCCAAGGGAAAAAAGAGGGCGCTGAGCACCAGAGATGGGAGCTAAAAGGTAGGAGGGGACAGCAAAATATGTGGCCAAGACCAAATTTGTCTACTTCTTAGTTTGTTGGGAGGACAAGGAGATAGTCATATCTACCCCAAAACTTTAGCAGACTACAATCTTGAAAAGACGTTTAGAATTCCTTTACTTTTGAGGTCCTCCCTTCCTTTTGCTCTGTCCCAGAACCTCCTTCGCCTATACTTGCTGACAAACTTTCCCCTCTCATCCAACACAGAGTCCCATTTTGTATCCAAAGCCATTCAATCAGCTCGAATTGTCTGTGTTTTTCTGGAGGGGTTCCCTCTCCAAACTTGCCAGAATGTCTCAATATTCTTGGAGCTTGTCCTCAGTTTCCGAAACTTCAGGGCATCCCATAGGCCACAGTTTTGACTTCAAATGCAAACTGACCTTTTCCTTTCACCCAAACACCCTCCTCCTTACCCACTGCATTGCATCAGAGCATTCTCAAGCCTGTTGTCTTGCTCCAGACATCCCCTTGTCTGTGGCTTGGGGTTAATATCTGGTCCTTTCCAATCCTACCCCATGTGATTATGCCTTTGTTTCAGATCCAGGAGAGTAATCATACTCAGACTAGGTCTCCACTAACCAAAGCAAAAGGGACATTTGAGAAAACAATCAGTTAGTCCTTGCAGAAGGGGTTTTTGGTTGCCTGACAACCAGATAGTTGCCTAAATTCTCCCCTCTGCCTGACATGAGTTCAGGGCCATAAGTGGCTACTTTCCCCTGCACAAACACGGCAAGTGTACAATAATGACTTCAGCTGTTTGAGAAGAGGCCATATCCCAAGAGGTACTCCAGAGAGCTGATTTTCTTAGAATTGCAGAGCAAAGGGCTCCGGAAAACTGGGCTGAATACTACTAGTGTTTGCCTTTCTCCAACTTCTGTGTGACTGCCATCTAGTGGCATGCAGGGTGGTGGTGGGGGGTGGTGGAGAGTGCTCCAACAGGGTTCAGTCAATAAGCAGGTGCATTGTTTATGAATAATTTAAAAACAATATTAAAACTGACTAAAGTTGGTCAGACTTTTATTATAACCACATGCTGGCAATTCTAAACAGTCATTGATAAAATACTTCTCACTTTGGTATACCACTGCCCCCACCCCAGCACCTAAGTGATTCCCTCATCTCCCCTTGGAGAGCCATATTTAAGCCTGACTTTTCAGGTAATACTTCAGATTTATATCCCTTCCCTCTATCAAAATGTTCCTGTCTTGTGCTCTAACCCCCTAAGGCTGTGCTTTTTATTTTCCTTGGTGGAATTTATTTATAGGGAAATATTTATAGGGGTTACCAGCTGTCTCTACCAGGGGCACCTATGTTATAACAGAAGTTACCTGAAGAATCAACGCTTTAGTCCAATGGTGTTCTAACTCTTTTAAGGCAGTGAAACACTGTTTTCAAACAAAATATGGTATGGAACCCCATCTCCTAACTCTTCTTTAAGTCTCACCTTCAGTGTCATTTCCTCTGGAAGGTCTTCCTTGTCTCTCCATGATGAGGACAAGTCCCCATGACTTAGTCACAGCACCTTGGACTCGCCCTTTCATACTACCCATCACACGTGTTATAACTTGTCTAGTGTCTGTATTCCTTAGTAGACTGTAACCTCCATGTGGGCAGATACTGCATCTATCTTGTTCACCATTGGAACCCCAGAAGCAAGTGTTGTGCTTGGCCCACTGTATGTGGTCCGTAAATAGCTGATGAATGAATGAAAGCCCTTCTGTTATTATAGCCTATGAGTAAATGAACATTGGAAATAACCATGTCACGTGTTATATTGTGGGTTTTTATTGAAATTATGGTCAAAAACAACCCCAAGATCATTTTTTTTTTTTGGAAAAAAAGTGTGGTTAACCAGTTTTCCCACCTTGTAGTCATGTGAGTAAAACTAAATGCAACAGCCACAACTCCCAATTTCTAGTGTGTAGATTTTTCCTCCTCTCTTTGGCACTAAAGTCAGGTTCTTCTTCTTACTAAGTTTTGGCTGAAGCTCTGCAGGGACAGTCTCCTCTTCTGTTTTATACCAGGACCCCCCAAAAGGCTTCTCCTAGTTGGCCATCTCAGGTTGGCACTTCCTTCAAAGACGTGCTTAAGTTCCACTGTCTGATTGAAGTTAACCCAGCCTGAGACTGCTTTCCTTTTTCTTTTAACTACTAGAGATCATGAACAAAGTGTTCACCTAGTTTTTTAAATTTATTTTTATTTATTATTATTTTTTTAGAGACAGCGTCTTGTTCCGTCCTTCAGGCTGGAGTGCAGTGGGCATGATCACTGCAGCCTTGAACTTCTGGGCTCAAGTGATCCTCCTGCCTCAGCCTCCAAGTAGCTGGGACTACAGACATGTGCCACCATACACAGCTAATTTATTTTTAACTTTTTTAGAGATGGGGTTTTGCTATGTTGCCCAGGCTGGTCTCTAAGTGATTTTCCTGCCTTGGCCTCCCAAATTGCTGGGATTACAAGCATAAGCTATCACACCTGGTCTAATTTTTTTAAAAGGCATTTACTGTGCATTTATACATCAGTCACTCTCATGAACACTTTATTAACTCATTTAAGCCTGACAAGAAACCTATGGGATAGAGATTATTCTTATCCTTATTTTACAGATGAGGGAACGAAGATTAAGAGATGTAGGAAACAAGAAATACGAATTGTTTGCGTGTATTAACTCTGTCTTCTCCTGATTCCCTGATTGGAGTGAACCTCTCAATAGTTTTGACCCCAAAGTTATTTTGTTATTAATTTTGGTGATAAGTTGAACAGAGGTAAACAGGTTTATTGAAGGACTGAAAAGGGCCAATGCCCTTCTGCAGCGTTTCCTTCCCCTCCCCCACTTACCTCTTGAGGAAGAGGGCTCCCTATGCGGATGCATTCCAGAGCTTCAGAATTCCTCTCTGAGCTGCTCCCTCCTATGGCAACGCCCACGTGAATGCCAGAGGACAATGGCACAGACAGTTTTCAGGAACACGTGTAGACCATCAGCCCCTTCCTCCTCACCAGGGCCTCTGGCTGCCATGCAAGCTGCTACATCTCACAATAAACCCAAACCCCTGGCATTTTAGAGAAGTAGCAGGTTCAGAAGTGAAAGAAAGAGAAAGTCGGAAGAGCAGGAATAACATTAGCACTCTTTGTAAGGGGAGAAGGCCTGGATTACATTACAGATGCTTAGGAAGGACAGGTATGGCCTATTTAGTTGGTGCTGCCTACTTCTATCATCACCCAAAATCTCATCCCTCTCATTCCCAAAACTCCCTTCTATTGCTTCCACTGCCAGAAGGTTTTCACTCACTTTAGCCCTCTGCCTTTATTTTTGTAATTGGGGAATGCATTTTGAGGGTAATAAAGAATAATAAAGTATTTAAAAGTGAAAAGGTATCTGAGGGTTAAGCAATTATCATTTATTTCACTTAAGTTGCTTCCTTCCTAATGCCAGACAGCTGCCCTGGAGGGATTTAGGTTTTGATTGTTGTGTGAGGTGGTTAATGGCGGAGCCTGAGGTTCTTTGTGGAACAAGGCAGGTGGGATAGCTGGATCTGAAGGGAGGAATGAGGGCACTGAGAATCCAGAGAGTGCATGATGACATGGAGAGAGGAAGCTGTCAAGTACAAACTTTGTCTTCTTTGAGGTTTTGCCTAGGACCTGTGCCTTGCCTCCCTCCCATCCATCCCATCCAGAAAAGTGAGAGGAAACTCCCTGCTCACTCCTCTCCTCACCACCTGCCCCTGCCCCCAGGATGGAGCTTAAGCGGGTACTAATTAGTACTATATATAACTTGGCTACATTCAGGGTTCAAGAGACTTGTGTGGACTGGCCTGGGAATCTGAGGATCAAATAGAATGATATTTCAATAAGAAAATGCATACTGAATTCTAAACTTTTGGCCAATATGTTATTCTTACATTGGGGACTGCTTATACTGGGAGGCAATTTAGAATTCCTTCTGTCTACATTAACTTGAAGTCAGGCATTGGGTCTCTTGTGTGGGCCATTTTGTGAAGGCTCCATACACACCACGTTGGAGCGTAAGTATTCATACACACAGAGAGAAAGATATAAAGATATATAAGTATTGTTTTATATATATATATATTTATATATATATTTATATATATATATATATATATATATATATATATATATATGAAACAGGAGCTTGCTCTGTCACCCAGGTTGGAGTGCAGTGGCATGATCGGCATGATCATAGATAACTGCAGCCTTGAACTCCTGGGTTCAAGTGATCCTTCTGCTTCAGTCTTCTGAGTAGCTGGGACTATAGGCATGTGCACCATGCTCAGCTATTTTTTAAATTTTTGGTAGAGATGGGTGTCCCACTATGTTTCCCTTACAGGCATAAGCTAACATGTCCAGCCTGTAATATATATTATAGCTATTATAAATATTATATATTATAGATAGCATATGTAGAAATATAGATATTACTTATCCACAATATTGAAGTCTTAGCAAAAATCCTTCACAGCTTAGTATTACTGTGAAGCCTATGCCACACATGCAAGGACATTTTGCTTTAAGCATTTAGAAAAATCGATGTATAAATCTAATATTTATCATTTATTTTGAAAGACATCTTATGGCAAATCAGTTTACAAAGCAAATAAGACCTTTTTTTCATTTGTACTTATTAACACAGGTTTTATTAGTTTTCTTTGGAGTAGGGTACAGAGAAAATGTCCTGAAAATCTGCCTAGCCTCTGCATATTTATGTATTCCCTGAACTGCTTGCTCTCCCAAATGGAGAAAGAATCTCACCAGATGGACTCTTCACTTGGCAAATATTTACTGAATGTCTGGACGTGCTGGACATTGGGTCCCTAACTTCTCAGAGCCTTCCAATCTAATCATGGAGACCATGACTGAGCAAACATTTCATGTTTTTACATATAATGGCATGTAAAAGGTGAATGCCTTCAATGTTCTCAAGTCTAAAATAGGGTCAATAATGATACTTCCCACACAGGGCTATGGTGAGGATTAAATGAAAAAACATGAATGTCAATTGATTACTATAGTGGTTGGCACAGGAAAAATACTTTGGTGATTATTTCCTGGAAGCATGGGGTAGGGAAGAACTAACTAACCTGCCTGAAGGAGGTGGACAAGTTTTCAGAGCTGAGCAATATGAGCTTTTAACAATTAGTAGGTGTTTGTTAAGTAGAGACATCAGGGAATAAACATTCCAGGCAAAGGGAGCTGTATATGAAGGCTCAGAAGTCCTGAGAATGTGGTAAGTTCCAGGATCCCGGAGTTGCCTGCCATGGTTGGAAGATACAGTATATAAGGAGAAAGGGAACATGGTGGCAAACCAGGAGGTGAGCAGGCAAGGTTCCACAGGGGCAGTGATGTTTGAAGGATGAGTAGAAGTTTGCCAGTCACAGAAGAAGAAAGAACACTGTAGTGGTGGAAAGAGCATATACAAAGGCACAAAGTTGTACACGCATATGAAATATTTGGGGGACAGTGTTCTGTAGGTGGAGCTCTGCATTCAAGAAGCTACCTCTCCCATGTGGAGCTTTCAAAGGTGTCTGGGCATGTTTGCTAGGCTGGTGGGGTGGGCCCCTTGATGTCAAATTATGTGAGGATTTCAGAGGGGAATGGAAGCAGTACATGTACCCACAAAAGAAGAGGAATTTGGAAAACAGTAATATGTCTGTCTTGGAGGCTTGTACTCAGCACAGACTCTGCATACTGGCAAGCGAGCCCTGATAAAAGGGATAAAAGTAGAATCTGAATGACTTGTTTGCACAAAAAACTGTGAGACTCTGGGACACAGGAAGACCCTGCTTTGGTGCACACAATACACACTCAAGAACTATTTGTTAACTGGTTTCATGTAAGGTGATAAAGTGTAACATCACAGGTTGGGAGGAAAGAGGGTACTCTCTCTACTTGTGCACAGGATCTGGTGCCATTTGGGAACGCTGAGGATTCCAGAGCATCACCACTGTGGTGGCATCTCTAGACCAGCAGAAAGAGCCCCTACCAGGAATAGCACAGTTGGCAGCAGTGGTGATATGTGTAGCCATACAGGCAGTCAATGGACTTTTTTTTTTTTTTTCTAGCAGAGCCCATCATGGAAGTAGGTGTTGGGGAGGAAAAACTTTTCCTCTACTCTCTTAGGTTCAGTAACTAGGAGCCTGTGGATTAAACTAACAAAACACAGATTAATAGAAGGGAAGGCACACAATTTTTGTTAATATTTACATGTACAGAAATTCATAAAAAGGAAGTGAAACTCAAGTGGTTACACTTGGGGCCTTTACATCCTTTTAACAAAGGAAAGGTTTGGGATTCAAGGGAGGATAAAATGTAGGAAAGTGACTAGAAAATATACAGGGGAACTAATGGAGGGTAAGGGCTAGTTTGGTAAGGTTGGTGTCTTAGTCTGTGTTGCTATAAAGGAATACCTAAGGTTGGGTAATTTATAAAGAAAAGAGGTTGATTTGGTTCATGGTTATGCAGGCTGTACAAAAAACATGGCACCAGCAACCGTTTCTGGTGAGGGCTTCCAGTAGCTTCCACTCATGGTGGAAGAAGGGAAGCTGGCGTGTGCAGATTACATGGTGAAACAGGAAGCAAGAGACAGAGGAGGAGAGGCCAGGCTTTTTAACTACCAGTTCTCGAAGGAACCAAGAGTGAGAACTCACTCATTACCACAAGGACAGCACCAAGCCATTTATGAGTCATCTGTTCCATCACCCAAACACCTCCCATTAGGTCCCACTTCCAACACTGGGGATCAAATTTCAACATGAGACTTGGTGAGGCCAAACCATATCCAAACCATAGCAGTCTGTTTCTGCAAACTCTTCTTGTTGTTGACTTCCAATCTTCAATGATTAGAGTCACTCTTCTCTCCCTGGTATGAATGGGGGTGTATTAGTCCATTCTTGCACTGCCATAAAGATATACATGAAACTAGGTAATTTATATTCAAAAAAAGAGGTTTAATTGGCATATGGTTCCACAGGCTGTACAGAAAGCATGATGGCTTCTGGGGAGGTCTCAGGAAACTTACAATCATGGTAGAAGGCAAAAGAGAAGCAGGCATCTCTTCCATGACCACAGCAGGAGGAACAGACAGAGGAGGGGGGGGGGGCTACACACTTTTAAACAACCAGATATCATGAGAAGTCATTCACTATCACAAGAACAGCAAGGAGGAAATCTGTCCCCAAGATCCAATCATTTCCCACCAGGCCCCTCCTCCAACATTGGGGATTACAATTCGACATGAGATTTGGGTGGGGACACAAACCCAAACCATATTAGGGGAGCACCTTTCTCAAAGGGAAATTCATCCCCCTGCTTTTAGGCAGATAAGGGGAAGGCAGAGAACTGTTTCTACATCTGTTGGTTCTCAATTTCCTGCAGGTCAAAATAATCCTTCTGCCAAAGTGTCACATTTTGGGGTGTCATATTCTGATCTTCTTCAAGGGTCAAAGCAAGAAAGGAATGAAAGGGTGGTAACATGTGGTAACAGACAGGACTTGTCAGTGCTTCCTGGGAATCACAGTGGGGGCAGATAAGTGGAGACTATAGGGAAGAAAAACCTGTAAACATTTTCTACATCTAGGAGACCAAATTGACAGGACTGGGTGAAATTCTGATGTGGCTAAGCAGAGAAAGAGGGCCAAGCTCTCTGGTTTGAGTTATTTGCAGTTTCCTCAATGGAGGTGGAGCAATACTGGGATCTATAGCCCAAAGTTCCAGAAGAAAGTGTGCTGGGTGTAAAGAGGGACTACGCGTAGCTCAGCATGAGTGTTGGCAACCAGAGGCCAAAATTCCATCCAGGGTGTGGGTCAAGAATTGTTGTGAGTTCCAGGGGTGCAGCATGGAGGCATGGCTTCTTATGCATCTCACATGACAGGATAATCTCTTTTTCCTCAATATTTTCAATCCTTTCTATAGGACCCTGCCCCCCACCCAATATTCAGATATGGCCAAAGAGCTCCCACCTTTAAGACAAAATGGCTTTCCTTTGACCTCATATCCTTCTCCAGCTCCTTCCTTCACCATATCTCTCCAGACTCTGCAGTAGAACTTTTCTAAACAGTTGTCTTTAGCTGCTGTCTCCAATTCCTCATCTCCCCACACACTTCTTACAGTCCACTCCCATGTGGTTTCTGTTCCAATCACTACACCAACACTTTTCTTCTGTGTTGCTAACACCAATGTATACTTTTCTGTCTCTATATTATTTGACATCTCAGCAGGACATGACACGTTTGACTACTCTCTTGAAGCACTCTCATATTTTGGCTTCTGTGATAGCACAAATTTAGCTAGTATTGGGTGCTTGAGGGAATTTGGTTTGGATCAACATATGTGACAAAACTCTTACTCTGATCCCTATACAAATGCCTGTAAAAAAATAATGTGAGCAGCAGACCAAAATTGAGGCCACATTGAAACCTTCTGTACCCAATGGCCTTCTGTACCCAATCTCTTAAGTATCTTGACCTAAAGGGAGGTCAGAAAACAATAGCCATTTTCAGTGCCACGACATCCATGAATGTCCATGGTCATAAATGAATACTTACTATGCGCCAGACACTATTCTAATCACTTTATATGCAATGACTAAATTAAAACTCACTGCAAGATTGCAGGCAAAGGGAAATAATATCACTGTTATTCCATTTTATAGTTGGAAAGACTGACAAATACGGCTGGTAAGTACAGAGCTGGGCTTAAAAATCTAAATAGTCTGACTGCAAAGTTCACACTCTTAACCACCATGCTATAGTATAAGAATGTCAAGGTTATTGTGAAACCACCGCACCCATCCATGACTTGTTACCCTGTCCAAGGTCAGCACTGACCAGAGAGTCAATTACTTATGCAACAAGACTACAGATGATTTTTCAAAATTAACTTTTTTATTAATTTAAAAATCCAGAAATACAGTGACTACATAAATAAGTACCATAATTAGGTACATGTCCTGTGAGAACAGTGAAAGGGTAATACTGTTATGTTACTCTTACTTGTTTACATGAGTTAACTAGAAAATGGCTACAACTGCTAAATGATGCTTATGGTCTTTGTTGTTCCAAGTGTTTATGATACAAATAAATACACAAGAAGAACCACATCCATTCTTCTCTACTAACTACAGGCAGCTTGGCCTCTTTACCCTATGTCCTATTCTCTACACAACACCAAACACTGGAGGGTTTCTACTTTGACTTAACACAGCTCCCCAGCTCCTGCTTCCCACAGCATTTTGCAAAGGTGTGTCCCAGCACCTGGAGGCAGGAGTATATCTAGGGAAACTCTCTGCGTGTTCTCTTAAGGCTAAGCTTTCAGAGAACACCTGGGTGGGAAGGCTTTGGGATGAATCATCCAGAAGGAGAAACACCTCTTTGCCTTAGGATCTAGTTACTAGTCTCCACATTATGGAATCACTGCCACCTCTGGGACGGAGGGAGCAGCCGCATAACACCTTCCCCCCTTTACCACACACACACACACACACACACACACACACACACACACACACACACAAACTAATGCTTTGTGACCTCTCAACCGGGATGTACTGCTTCTCTCTTCCAAGGAGAACGTGTGTGATGTGCTGGTGAGAGTCTTGTCCCAAGAAACCCTGGCCATAAGGCCCTTGTGTCTCTTTCATAAGAATTGACTCCTTTATGCCAGGTTGTCATAAAGACTGAACATTTTACATTTTCCCCTATTGGTATCAAACCCTCTTAGGAAAGAATTCTCTCACCTATAGTCATGGAATGAGACATATGGGGTTTCTGGGTCCTTAAAACATTTCTACAGTTCATTCCTGCCCCTCAGAGGGAACAAATCTAGAAGGCATGCCTGAGATCCTTGCTGTGAAGAATTAGGTCTTCCCACAAAGATGATTTCTAAAGCCAGACCCCAGAATGGATAGTTTATGCTCTGGTATTGGGCTGCAAGTAGACATTTTAGGAGCAGCCTTCTCTGGAATTCTTGACTAAAATATCTGCTTGATGAATAAGACAAGGATAGTAGGAAGGTTTAGGATAAAGATCTTCATCAGAATATCCACCTCCCTAAATGAACAACAATTTTCTTAACTGAAGAGTCAACATGCAGATGCTCATGAGGACCGAGCCACTTTGCAAAGTAAAAATCAACTCCTATAATTGGAGAAGAAGGAAAACTTCCCTTTTAAAGAGCTTCTAGAATTTACTAATTTAATATAATTTTTCTGACCAGACAACTATGGTCTCAAAAATATTAGTGAGTACTGATCTATTACTTGGTAAATTTTATTGATGTGAAAGCAAAAAGATGGCCTTTTTGAATTCTATCAACTTCTTTCTTCAACAATTATTTTTTCTTACATGGATTCAGTTTCTGATGATTTTACTCAATTTAACTTCTTTCTGGAAGTCCCATAGGTACAGGGGGAAAAGAAAAGTGGTATCATTAGGGAAAAATTATTACCACTTCTAAGTGAATGAATGAGGCTATGAAAGTGTTTTTATTCTTTACCCTGACTCTATTGTTGGTGACTTAAACAGCCACAAAGACCTAAGGGCAGAGCCTCTTGTTCACAGTTATTTACTCTCCTGGGCACAAAAACTTCCAAGCTACTTGGGATCCAGTCAAGGGAAAAGTAACGTAGAATCTTGGCTAGCTTTGCTTCAAATAAAGCTTTCGTTTAATGTGAGTGTGGACGTGCGTGTGTGTGTGTGTGTGTGTGTGTGTGTGTGTGTCTGTGAGAGAGGGAGGGAGAGAGAGAGAGAGAGAGAAGGAGGGAGGGAGGGAGTGAGGAGGGAGGATGGGGAGCTAATTTTTTTAAAAGAACACATGACATTCTAAAATTCAAAGGTATAATTTCATACAAGTAATTGTTCTATACTGCAGAACTCCTACTAAGCAATTCCCTTCTCTTTCTTTCACTTGAATAACTTTCTAGATAAAAACCCTGGGGTCTTGTTTGTCTTTAACCTGTAAAGAAATGTGATTCTCCAAGAAACTAGAGCAGTGTTGTGATGTTCTATCCCTCCTCCTCCCACATATAATTTAAGACTCTTCTAGTCTCTTTGGAGGAGATGTTCAAGGGCTGACACACCACTCCACACAAAGGAGCAAATTATGCTGTGCATGGCGTGAATAATTGACTGCATTTGAGTTTGGAGTTTTAGGGCACTGTTGACTTAAGCAAAATAAGCCTGCAGTCCAGCTGCAGCTTGAGTTTTCTTGCTTTACCCTATCCAATACTGTCTGTCTTGCCTAACAGTGGCCCTTTTCAGATCTCTCCAGGTACAAAACCTTGACTAAATCTTCAAGCTCTGTTCTGCATACACGACTTGAACACATCTGGCTGATCTGAGCTTCTCCTTCGGTGAAGATCTTCCACTGGCCTAAAAGGCAAACAAACGCAAAGTGGCCGGGAGTGTGTAAGAGGAAAGCAGAGCAAATTAGGAATAGAACCAATATACCCCATGCTTACCCACTTACTCATGGACCTACCAGGGAATTTGGAATACAAATATCACTTGGTTTCAAAAAATGGCCCCAAAACACTTTTCTAGTAGCAGATATGGAAAATGGGAAATGAAGTTTTCATTTCAACACATAGCATTTGTAAGAATCCCAAGAATAATATAGAACTGCCCCTCCTCAAGAGCAAAACCTAAGTGTTATTCTTGGAATTTTTACAGTATATTTAGCATTTACAAAATGCTTCAATATCTGCTTGTTAGCTATTTAGGCAGCTTACTTGGCACCAGGTCAAAAAGGCACTTTGGAAAACGGCACCTACTGTATTACTGGGGCTTTGCTTACCCTTAGGGTCCCCAAATATTGGTTTGGGTTACTTGATTACTATTTGATTATATATCACTCTTTCCTCTATTCCTGCTATCTTTTGTTAAAAACTTCTCGACGTTGCTTTCTCCTACGTCCACATGCTGTCCTTATACCCCCTTAGCACCCTAAATCCCTTCCCATGGTTCCTCATCCATTCTCATATACCCCATGGAATCCCTTTCCACGCAGAGTAAACTTGGCTGTAGCCCTTCCATCCCCTGTTGTCTCTGCCCACCCTGGATACTGTGTTTTGTCTTCTTTTTATTCCTGTGCTCATGGTACTGCAACCTGGAGAACTCCTAGTCCAAGTTAAGCCAACTCCTCTTAAGCCCAAACCTGTCTTGAACCTCTTTTTCTTTTCCTTAGCCACAAGAGAATAATGACCCACCTTCCCTATGGGCCTGATTTCTCTGCTCCTTTCTCCCTTGGATTTCTCCCTTTTCCCCATTCTCTATGACTCAATGGGAAGATAGAAGGAAAAACAAAAAAACAAGAAGAGGATTTGGGCAAGGAACCAGCTATTACTGAAGCCCTATAATGTGCTGGGCTCTGCTAGGCACATTATATAAAAGAGTTGGGTTTGTTCTTCTTTGCTCCTAGGTGACCCTGTAGGATCATACCAACTTCTTTCAGCTACACACAGTTTGAGGCACATACCTTCTACTCCATTATATACCCCAAATCCTGCCATGGGCACAGAGTATATCTAAATCATCTTTTAAGTCCCCTGGAACCTAGAACAAAGCCTTGTTCACAGTATGAACTAAAACATGTAACTTCAGAAGTCCCATAATTGATCCTAGGATCTTACACTCTGCCTCCTTTCTTACTCACATGTAAGGACTCCCAACTTTTCCATTTGAATTCTCATACTGTCCTGTTATTTTCTATGAGTCCTGCCAAAGACAAGCAACTGACTGCCTTGGCTCTTTTTCTAGCTGCCTATTGGACCCTAACTCTGCTCAGATGGCTCTTAAGCATATTAATTTAAACATGTTCCAAGTGAAACTCTTTTTCACCAATACCTGCTTATTCTTCACAGTTTCCCTGTTGGTGAATGGTATTACTATTCACCCAGTCGAGTTATTAATATCGGACCCATTCCAAACTCGTTTCTCTCTTTGATGCTGATCTTGTTGATTTAACCTCAGAAATGTTTCTCACAGTGACGTCTCCTCCCGTCTCATTGATTTAATATAGTATAATTAGTTCCTAATTCAGACTATCCCACTTCTCTTAATAAGGGTCCACCTTTCACTCCACACAGCGAGGACCTCTTTCTAAAAAAATAAAAAAATAAATAAAGCAGATCTGAATGCACCATTCACTTGCTTAAAAACCTCCACTGGCATTCTCTGGCCTGGAGATCAAGTCCAATGTCCTAGCATGATAAATTGGGCACTTCATAATCTGGCTTCGTCAAAGTGTGTGCTTAATGTAATATATGCATCTGATAGCCGAAAGACATCTTTCCAAAGCACCATGTTGATATCTCTATGCTATTTGCAGCAACTACAGATGCTACTTGCCTTACATTTGAACATTTTACTGGCTTTTTTTCAGGCCCTATGACTACTTTCTACCTCCAAATCTTCTAATCTTTTAGTGCACCTTCTGTGGCCTTTGTGATCATTCCTCTCCCCTACCCACATTTCCTGTTTGCTCCTGTCTGAGTCTTCTCTTAGGCTGCACTCTTTTCCTGGACTGATTTCCTGACCCATTGCCCAGTCATACCCTTCTCTTTCAAAACACACCTCCTCCCCGAAGCCTTCCCCGACTAAGCCCACCTGGCTCTCATCTCATTGTTCTTTGCAGATTCCCCTGAGCACTTTGATATTTAACTCCTCAGAACTATACTAATTCATACTGAAGTCATTTTCATGTTCTGTCTCATCCATTATAATTCCCTGTGGATAGAAACTGTGTGCCTTTTATCCCATTAGAAGTGCTCAACACCCGCCCCAATGCCTAGAAGTATCTTAGTCCCTAGGCTCCATCTAGTGTGGAAAGTGGGAGAGCTGCAAGTGTTTTTGAGTGCCTGAATGCTTTTAAGGAAACATGACCACCCAGGGGCAGTTCCCCAGGAGTAAAAGTGCTTTCATATAACACAGGAATTGATATGCCTTTAATTTCTCTTTGCCTCTCATACCCACCACCAGAGGATACACCCTTCCAGATGTGAAGTCTCCATAAATATACCAGACCTGGAATCTTATGAGCTTTCTCCAACCCTCTTGAGACTCTGTGCTTAGCAGTTTCATTAAAGACATTCAGGAAGCCTTGACCTGAGGTATCCTATGCTCAGACTACATCTGGGTTTGTATTCACCATGTCCAAGCTCTTCAGATTACATTCAGACACCCCATTCACTGCTAAGTCACCCAGAAGAGAGATGGAACATCCTTTAGTGTTGATACTGAGCAGTGCTAATGTTCACTGAGATTGCGGAGGGACTTTAGCTGTGGCTATGCTAAATTGAAAACTGAATGTGTTTTTCAGGGAGCAGTCAAGAGAAGTACTACTTACTCAGGGTTGTTCTGGTCACCAGCTTGAAGTGAGGAAGCTCCTCAAACATCCTCTTGGAGATCTTCTCAATATGGAAGTGCTGGAGAATGCCTAGGGCCAAGCAAAAAGTGGAGCAAATGGTCAGGCACTCAATCTGGAACCATCAACTCCTTTTTTTCTGCTCAGGCTCAGCATATCATTTCATTACTAGGGCTTAAGAGTATCGAGTTGGGCTGTGTAATGTGCTTAACCAGGAACTTGGATGGCTCAAGGGTTATAATTGACTCCATTTGTTTCCTTGGCTTACTGGCTTCCCCTCGGCTTCTCCAGTGGATGGAGATAAGGGAGATAGTGCTGCTGACCATGGGACTCTCTCCTAGGGAAAGCCACATGGAATCTAGCATAAGTGCTTACTGGAGCTTCTGCAGCCATAGGCAGTATTAGAAATTCTGCACTTGCCCCCAACCTGGATAGACTGTGTCCATGCCAAACCGCTGGGCTGCCCTCCTGGCTAAGCACTGAGAGCCTGCAGTGGGATTGCAGGCAGGTTGGTTTTGTAAATGGAGAAGCCACCCTTGTTCTTGAACTCACTGAAAAGCATATTTTCCTTTGGGAAATATTCACAGATCCTTTAGCCTTCCTTATTCATAAATGGGGAGAGTTAAAATAGAGTGCTCTCCACAGTCTCAACCTTGCCTGAATAGCTTTTATCACAATAACAGGTAGACAACTGACAACTGCCTTATACTGAAGGAGCAACATATTACCAGCCCACTTAAATGGGCGAAGTAGATTAAGCCTCTTTTTCTGTGTCCACCAAGCATAGACCTTGATAACCCAGAACTGTGAACAAGAGGATATTTAGACGCTACATTAGCAAGTTGAAATTCATCTGCACACCTCTGAGAGGCGAAAGATGTGGGATGACGAATAGTGGGCCCACTGCTGGGGAAACGCAACAAACCAGTGCCTAGTCCTAGGTGTCCTGTTATGGATGAGCTAGGGAGTTAAAGATGGCAAATCAACACTCCAAGGCATAGACCAAAAATAAGCATGAGTGAATATATACATGTTCAAGCATCTTTTTTTTAGGGAGAAATGCATTCTTTAGATAAAGGCTGTTGTCTAAAGGGAGAGAAAAAAAGCCTCATAAATACTGAGCAGTCTTTTTCAAAGCATGGTCCAAGTGCCACCTGCATTAGAATCATCTGGCTATTTGTTAAACACTCAAATGTTTGGACTCTACCCAAGGTCTACTGAATTCCTATCTCTGGGATGGGGCCAGGTATCTGCATTTAAAACCAGCTCCCTGTGTAATGGTGATGCATACAGAAGTTCGAGTACTCTTGAGCCTTATGTGAGAGCCAATAGCAAAAAGATGTGTATATTTTCCAGCTGAAATCTCACTTATCCACTTGGATTGTGAGGAACCTTGACCACACTAAATAAGCACTAGTCTTGAGCCTACAAAAAGTTAGAAGAGCTGTAGGATCACAATGAACAGAATGTGGCTTGCTGTGGTAGTCACTGTGAGTAATCAGAAAAGGAATTGAACATTGTGACTGGGGTTTCTCCAGTAAGACTATAACCTTCTTGAGGGCAGGGATGATGTTTTAAATTTGTTTTACCCCAGAAGACACATCGTGATATTAGGGACTTAGCTTTGCCCTGAATGAATGGGTTTTCATGGTTGTTGAGCTTTATTCTGGAAAGAATGACAGACTACAGTTTGACAGTTTGTAATCCTGGCTACATATTACAATCACCTGAGAAGCATTATGAACAAACACTGATGCCCATGCCCCACTCCAGACCAACTAATCAGAATCTCTGGGGGTAGGGCCCAGATATTTGGTATTTAAAGGAAACCAAAACTCTCCCTGATGATTCTGATGGGCAGCCAGGGTTGAGAACCGCTTCTCCAGCTTTTGGTGGTGTGAAATAGGCAGCTTTGGAAACCCAAGGGTCAGTACTTGATCTTTAGCACAGGCCATCGTTAAATTTGAAAGGCCATAATGACAATAGTGTTAGATATGTCAGTTTCTAAGCAATCAAAAAGAACTTTTAATCCAAATGAGGGAACAGGTTGAAGCAAAATTAAAGTGAGTCCTCTCATCCTTTTCTGTGCCCCCTTACAAAGATGAGAAATTAATGTTGTCTTGCTCACCCTTTCGAATAGTCCAAACGTGGACCTCTACCTGAGGTGGTCTCTCAGTCTCCAGTGCTATTTTTCTGGTTGTCTCCCCATCCTCCATGAATACAGACTCATACACAGGCATCGTTTCTTCCCCGCAGAAGTAGCCTTTATTGTCAAAGCTTTGGCCTGGAAGTTCTTCTGGAATCAGGAAGCAAGTAGAATTTTGTCATGGTTTTCTAAAGCTAGAAGTGAACTTCTGCATTTATGTATCTCATTGTTCATAACATCTCACACTTATCAAAAGTGGACAATTAACAAGAACATTCTTCGAGAGACAGAAATTCCACCCATACTTCATTAGCCCAGCTTAGGCTGCCACTGCAACAAGCCACAGATTAAGCCACAAATCACAAAGGAGCACGTAACTTTGATTGAAGTCCATGTGTTGACAGAATCCATAGTTCTTCGGAACACTAGACCCCTACTACTGTCACTGAGAAGTGGACTTTCATGAGGAAAAATGTAGCCAGGTACAAATCTCCTAGGCACTTAAGAGAACATAGGAATTTCCATACAGGGTCAGGATCATGCTCTGTCCAGCTCAGTGTTGCCAGGAGAGGCCCAGGGAATGGGCTGAAAAAGGGCCTTGGTTAACATCCCCTGACATCATTTTGGTATACTTAGAAAACATTCATGACACTCATTTATGTGCATATACTTGCCCAAAGGATCCATCCAAATTGGCTTGACATTTCTGAATGCTCTTTGATTTGTTTGTAAGGGGAACAATAATACCGGATCAGCACCAGTGCCAAAATCTAGATGTCAGATTAGCCATATGTATGCTATGCCAAATGAATGGTTGGGAGACACAAAAAATTGGTCAAGTCCCTCAGCGATGGATCATTTAATGTGTAAACTAAACTGTTGAATTTCAGCTCGCAGGCATAAAGGCACAAGCTCTACATTTCACTCCACCCTCCCTCCTCTTTCCTCAGTCCCCTGTTTTAAAAAGTTTCTTCTTGTTGGTTATCAGTGAGTTAAGTTTGCTTGCTGGCCTTGTAATCAGTACTCTCTTGAACTGCGTACTTAAAGCATACACTCAAATCAGAACAACAGAAGCCATCTGTAAGAATATCTGAATTGTTGAGGATGAAACCACTGAGTGTTGAGTGCTTTGGATCTGTGACTCTAATTAGGGAGACTCACTGTTAGCCAATCAGACACATTTGGACTAGAAGTTGTAATCAAATTGCTATTGTATGTCTCTTGGTAACCTGATTAGCTTTCCCACCCCCACCACCATTTGGCATTGTAAGGACAAAACCATAGTCTTCTCTTGATTCCAGACTGAATTACTCAATTTGTGGATTATTGTGGAATCAAGCTTTTTGTTTTCCTCCTTTTGTCCTTCTTTTTAGCTATTTATTTACTTGGTGGGCCAGTCTTTTTGGTGATAGGTAATTAAGGGCCACGTGCTAGCACTTTTTAAATGGGTTGGAGAGAGGGAAGAGGTCACTGAGTGTACAGAGACTTCTGTGTATTCAATTATCACCTTTAGAATGACAGCCAAATTCATTTCTCAAACTTTGCTCACCAGCTTAATATTGGCTACAGCTATAGCTGACATGAAATCCATGATGGCACTGGCAGTACCTGTAATATGCTAAAAGTTCTTCCAGTAGCCTGAAGAGTCATCTTGCACCACTACCTCCTTCCCTACAAGAGCTTAATTTACTTGACCGAAGGGATCTACAAACAACAAAACTCATTATTGACTTAACTCTGGCTGGTACTTGAAAATGCTAAGAAAAGCAAAGTTTGTCTTTAGAACTACCTACTTAGCAACATCCGCCGTTTTTCACACTCTGCACTTCAAGGTGCTTTCTGATCACTATAGTTCACCTACTCTCATTTTCTTTTGGGGAAGACAATGTGCTTGATGTCATTTCTGGCCATTTCCACAGCCCAAGAGAATGTTCCCATCCTGAGCCTTCCAGAATTCCTTGCAGAAGTGGTAATGAAGGAGAAGTATTATTCCAGCTGGGACAACTTTTAAGTCTTAATAGGGACTTTTAATGCCATAACCTAAAAGGAGTATGTAATTATGGAAATTCAAGGTATTGGGATGGTATTGTGGTTGTATGTACAGTAAATGCTCATGATAGCAATAACTTAAGTGTACCCTTAGAATGACCCTGTATGGCAGACGTATCTGAATGTGTGTTCTGAGCTTGGGAATCCAGGCGTGGCCAACTGGGAGATTATTTCCTTGTCTGTGAGGACCATCTGAACCCCAGGCTCATCCCTGGGGCTGCACAGGGGATAGAGGCCTTGAGTTTTGGGTTAGATGAAGGTTGCCAGGTCGTTAAGGGGAGAGTGTTCAGTGAAAATGCTATATAAACTGCATGATGTTTGCAAGTGGTTGCAGTTTTCCTGCCCAACCTGCTGCCACTGGACTGTTTCTATATGTAAGGTGGTTCTCCTGTCCAGCCCACCTCCACTGGACTCTCTCCCCTGTATGTCAGCCCCTAATAAAACCCCATGTCTTGTTTGCTGGCTCTGGATCTTTTCTTCGGCCTCTTAAATCTGGTGCCTTCCCTACTGAGGTTAATAGGAGTTTGGCACGACAGTGTGAGAAGTGAGTTGGGGAATCTTCAGGAAGTGGACATCTTACCCAACCCTGTAGGTGGCCATTGATATGCAAAGCAAGGTCAGCCTCTACCAGAGCAAAGGGAAGAGAGAGATGAAACTCACATCTTTAATATTGGTCCTAGTTTGTTATTGTAGGAGGCTGCAATCACTTGTTACAATGAAACTTTTGGCTGGATTATCAGTGAATTTTATTTATCTCTTTTCCCTTTTCAACATAACTGAATTTACCATTCTTTCTTCCTTCCATCTACTTCTCTCCTCACTGCCTTGTTCCTTTTCTTCTGTGTCATGTGTCATTTTTTAAGAGGCCAGTAATGTCATGATCATCCCATTTCTCACCCCTTCACGTCATTCAGGACTCTATTCAAATATCTTTAGAGAAGCCTTCCCTGACTACTCCTTTAAAAGTGCTTCCTGCCCCATTCACTCTCTCTTGATCCTGTTTGGTTTTTCTTCACAGCACTCATCACAATCTAAAATTACCTTATTGATTTGGGTTCACTGTCTTTCTTTTCTGCTAGAATGTAAAGAGCATGCTGGCAAGTAGCCTTTGTCTTGTTCACATCTCTGTCCTCAGTGCATGTAACCGTGTCTTGCACACAGTAGGTACTTAAAACAAATTTCCAGATTGAATGCATGAGCAAGTGCATGCCTCCTGATGCTCTGCAGTTGCAGAGTACCTGGAGCAGGTGCCCTTGGCTATGTGGCTATTGACTCTCAGGCAATGTGACTAAGGAGTGATTCAACATGCAGACACCCATGTCTGGCTCACTGAGAGGCAGATACACAGAATGAGACAGAAATTCTCTTCTTCCATGTTGCTCAATCAATCGTCTATCTCCACAAACTTGAGCAGAGTGGGAAAGTGGGAAAAGCAGCTCTTCCAGAAAAATCGGTTTAATCATTCAGACTTCAATATACTGCCAACTGGGATACTGGAGGGCAGTTTTTTACATGATAAATTTTATTATGTTTTCTAAATACAAAAGTAACACATATTTACTATAGAAAATTTGGAAAATACAAATAAATAAATAAGAAAATAAGAGTTACCCATAATTCAGTCACAAGAAAATGGTCACTGTTAACATTTTGCCGTATGCTCCTCCAGTCTTTTTGTTTCTTTTTTTTGTCTTAGCATATATAAACACTTTCTTTCTTTCTTTTTTTGAGACAGGGTCTGGCTGTTGCCCAGGCCAGAGTGCAATGGCGCGATCTTGGCTCACTGCAACCTCCACCTCCCGGGCTCAACCCATCCTCCCACCTCAGCCTCCCAAGTAGGAGTAGTTGGGACTATGGGCACATGCCACCACACCTGGCTAATTTTTGTATTTTTGGTAGAGACATGGTTTTGCCATGTTGTCCAGGCTGGTCTTGAACTCCTGGGCTCAAGCAATCTGTCCGCCTCGGACTCCCAAAGTGCTGGGATTACAAGCATGGGCCACCGCACCTGGTCAACGCTTTCTTTTTTAACACAAAAAGTTGGATCATAATATACATATTGTTCTTTAGCTTGCTATTTTTACTTAACAAATACATTGCAAACATCTTTCTCTGCCATTCAATCTTGGTCTATAATGAGTTTTAATGGCTATATTAATATTCCACGGTACAGATACACCATAATTTGTTTAATCATTCCCATATTCGTGAACTTTCAGATTATTTCCAATTTTTCAGTATTGTAAACAGCATTGCAGCAAAAATTCTTATTTGTATATCTTTGTGCATGTCTGTGGTTACTTTCTTAGGATTCCTAGAAGTGGAATTTTTTAGCCAATTTTTTTTTTTTTTTTTTTTTTGAGATAGGGTCTCGCTCTGTTCCAGGCTGGAAAGTACTGGTGTGATCGTGGCTCGCTGCAGCCATTGCTCCCAGGCAATGATCCTCTCACTTCAGCCCTCAGCCTCCCAAGTAGCTGGGACTACAGGAGGTACGTGCCACCATACCTGGCTAATTTTCTTTTATTTTTGTAGAGATGGAGGTCTCATCACATTGCCCAGGCTGGTCTCAAACTCCTGGGCTCAAGAGATCTTCCTGCCTTGGCCACCCAAAATGCTGGTATTACAGGTGTGAGTCACTGCACCCGGCCACCAAATGTTTTAATAAACATTACCAACCTGAGAGGACAATTGTTTTAAAAGCAATGACTGTTGTTTGTCTTGTTCTCACAGCTTTTTGATTATTTAATTTTTTAATTGAATCATCTGCATCAATAAAATTTTAAGCACACAATGAAATAAGACTTGGTCTGAAGGCCTGAGATTCAAATTGGAATATTATACAATGAGAGGGTTTATGTTATCATGGGTAATTTGTGTAAATATTAGTTTTTGTCTGAAATTATCTTGTTGCATTACTTTTTAAACTATTAAGTGTTAGACCCCTGACAGAAGAGAAAATTGTGTTCATGAAACTACCACTATGTGATACTAAAAGGTTTGAGGATCCAGTGAGACCACAGACTTGGAAGTCATAATAGGTCATTGTTGCTGGGTGGCCCGGATGTCCATATCATCCTTAGAATGTGCTCTCTCCATTGGCCGGATACAGTGGCTCACGCTTGTAATCCCAGCACTTTGGGAGGCTGAGGCGAGTGGGTCACTTGAGCTCAGGAGTTTGAATAGCTGGGTGTGGTGGTGCGTGCCTATAGTCCCAGCTACTCGGGAGGCTGAGGCGGGAGAATAACTTGAACCGGGAGGTGGAGGTTGCAAGGTTGCAGTGAGCCGAGATCATGCCACTGCACTCCAGCCTGGGCGACAGAGCTAGACTCTGTCTCAAAAAAACAAAAAATAAAAAAAAAAATAAAAAGAATGTGTTCTCTCTGTATTCGTAATAAATACATTTTCTCATAAATTTCAATGCCCCAGTTCTCTACACCTTATCAAATAGCTCCTGTCCTTCCTGTCCACACGCTGCCCCCTGTGTACTCTGGAAGATGGGGGTTGTTACATTGAGGAAGATTTTGTGTCATAAATCAGTGCTTCTCAAGCTGTAATGTGCATTAGAATCACCTGAGGTTCTTGTTAAAATGCAGATTATGATGCAGTAGGTCTTGAGTGGGGGCCTGAGAGTCAACATTTTTAACCAGCTCCTAGCTGTTGCCAGTCCATAAACCACACTTTGAGTAGCAAGACCATAAATGACCCTGGGCCTACAGCAGTAGTTCTCAAACTTTTCTGCACACAATGTTCACCTGGGGATCTTTTAAAAATGCCACAGCCCAGGCCACACCTCAAATCAATTAAATTATAGTCTCTGGGGATGGGACACAGGTATATGTAGAAGCTCGCCAAGGGGTTCTAATGTTCAGACAAGTTTGAGTACCACTGGCCTGCAGGAAAATGCTCAATAAATACACATTGATTCAGGGCATGTTTGCCTACTAGTCATGAGGGACTAAGTTGAAGAAGTATATAATTTAGCTCTCTACCTACTTTTTAAAATGTTTGAATTTTCATCTGTGTTTATAAAAATGCTTTGCAGAAGCATAAGAAATGATAAATTCATGTGCCTGGGATTGACTAAATCATCGACTCTTCGAATGTTGGAGCTGTAAGGGCCCCCCAAAAAATCTACTCTAACCCTCTCATTCTGCAAAGAAGGAAACTGAAGCTCAGAGGGGTGAAGTGACTTGTTATAGATCACACAGGAAACCTGTGGCAAGACAGAGATAGAATGCTTGATTACCCATCCTATATTCTGTCAACCCCAATATTAGGGACTATATTTTTATTTAGCTCATGTTTTAAAAACTACCATTTAAATAATTAACTTGTCTTTTTTATCAGTCAATATTTTCTACTGGCATAGAAAAAACGATGGGCTGGAAGTGACTTGGGTTATAGGCCTTGGTTTTATGATTGATTAGTTGAATGAATCTGGGCAAGTCCTTTGATTTTTGTACTTCAATTTTCTTATCTTTAAAAAATAAATAATAATATAATTATAGGATTATAGTGTTAGAAGGGAGCTTAGAGATAATTTTTCTAAACTTTCAATTGTACAGATAAGGCTGATGAGGCTCAGAATGGATATGGCACATTTCCAAGATCACTCAACATCTTAGGCTTGGATCAGAACCTGGTCTCCTTCCACTATAACTCACCTGCCTCTCGTCCTGTCTTAAAAGGGCAATGGATGTGATTGTACTTTGATGGGTTTAATAGTGATATAAATGAAAGCTGCTACTATTCTTCCTTATCATCATGATAGCCTAAATTCTCTACTATTTAGAAAAGCATAGGTAAGTTCAACACTCAGGGATACATGAGAGGTGTGGTAGACACAAGCATATTTCTGGGTAGTAAATTTCTTCCAAGCAACTGCCTTTTCAGTCTTTCAAGAGAAGAGAGAATGAAATTCATTATTATTAGAAATATTATCATTACAATTATATGAAAGGTTATGTTTCTGATGCCTAAAGAAAGTTTAGAAAGACTAGGTGAGAATCTCAGTCAACCAAAAGCAGGGCCTCCAACCAACGCACCTTTTGCTTTTTTACCTGGACACACCTTGCAGCATTTTCCGTCTATTTTTTGAGGATACTTGCAGGGGTATCGATTGGGGCAGTGGATTTTCTTACACTCTTGCTTGGTGACATTACAAGTACATAGCACACACTCCACAATGCCAAATGCCCGGAGGTTTGGGTGCCAGGACTCGCCATGAGAATAGGTCTTTCCATTGGAAACACACACTGAAAGAGAATGCAGAATTAGCAATTAAAAGCTAAGGAGCTAAAATGGAACCCTATATTCAGAACCCAAGCCCTGAACTACTTAACATATCAAGCATCCTTTGTTCTTGTCATAGCCATGGGGCTATGTTTACCGAGTAGTATCTGTGACCAAAAAACAGCTTGGGCCATATTCTACTCTCAGGAGCTTCTCCAGATTCTTCAGCAGCAGCTTCTGGATGCTTATAAATGGCCTCAGACATAGTAGGCAGTCCATAAATATATATATGTATATATATATATATATATATATATATATATATATATATATTTTAAGACCGGATCTTGCTCTGTCACCCAGGTTGCAGTGGTGTGATTGTGGCTCACTGTAGCCTTGACTTCCCGGGCTCAGGCAATCCTTCTACATCAGCCACCCGAGTAGCTGGGACTAACATGCACCACCATGCCGTGCTTTTTTTTTTTTTTTTAATTTTTGTAGAGATGGGGTCTCCCTATGTTGCCCAGGCTGGTCTGAAACTCTAAGACTCAAGAGATCCACTTGCCTCAGCCTCCTAAAGTGCTGAGATTACAGGCATGAGCCACCGCACCCAGCCTATATATATCTATATATCTATATATATCTATATATCTATATATCTATATATATCTATATATCTATATATATCTATATATCTATATATCTATATCTCTATATATCTATATATCTATATCTCTATATATCTATCTATATATCTCTATATCTCTATATATCTATATATCTATATATATCTATATATCTATATATCTATATATCTATATATATCTATATATCTATATATCTATATATCTATATATCTATATATATCTATATATCATCTATATATCTATATATCTATATATCTATATATCTATATATCTATATATCTATATATATATCTATATATATCTATATATCTATATATATCTATATATCTATATATCTATATATATCTATATATCTATATATATCTATACATCTATATATCTATATATATCTATATATCTATATATCTATATATATCTATATATCTATATATATCTATATATCTATATATATCTATATATCTATATATCTATATATATCTATATATCTATATATATCTATATATCTATATATATCTATATATCTATATATATCTATATATCTATATATATCTATATATCTATATATATCTATATATCTATATATATCTATATATCTGTATATCTATATATATCTATATATATATATATTTTTTTTTTGAGATGGAGTCTCGCTCTGTCGCCCAGACTGGAGTGCAGTGGCGCTATCTCGGCTCACTGCAAGCTCCGCCTCCCAAGTTCACGCCATTCTCCTGCCTCAGCCTCCAGAGTAGCTGGGACTACAGGTGCCCGCCACCACGCCCGGCTAACTTTTTTTTGGATTTTTAGTAGAGACGGGGTTTCACTGTGTTAGCCAGGATGGTCTCGATCTCCTGACCTCGTGATCCGCCTGCCTCGGCCTCCCAAAGTGCTTGGATTACAGGCGCGAGCCACTGCGCCCAGCCACATATATATATATTCTCATATATATATATGAGAATAAATGAATGCATGAAAGCAGAGTTCTATCTCTAGTAGAATGTAATGTTAATATTTTCAGTTCTATAGAAAATTTGTATGCCTCAAGTGGATGTGCTTCCAGGCATGAAAATTTCCTTGGGAGATTTGCTTTCCATGGAGGCTAGATGCAAAAATTACTGCTCTTCCCAAAGGGACAGTTTCTTCCGGATCCTGAAGCAAATCCATTCAGAATGTCAAATGCTATGAGTCTGTCTGATCCACCAACATATATAAGTATGGAGCTTAATGGTGTTCGGCACTGTTTGGTGTAGGAAGGAAAGTGATAAGTCAAGATTGAGAGGGAAAGGACCAAGCCCTCCTGGGTAACTTGTGAAGGGATAGCCTTTTATGCCTCTAATTTCAGGCAATTTCCTCAGTCTCCCACCTCATACTGGCTATAGATATTTGGCTACAGCTGATCACTGCTTGCTTCACAGATATCCTTTGGCAGTCTGACATTTGTTAAGTGGGAAGTTAAGTCATTGGCCCCATGTCTTCTGAAGGACCTTAAAAGAGCAAGCATCTGGCTGGGTGTGGTGGCTCCTGCCTGTAATCCCAACACTTTGGGAGGCCGAGGCAGGAAGATCCTTTGAGCCCAAGAGTTCAAGACCAGCTGGCAAACAAAGGGAGACCCCAGTCTCTACAAAAATAATAATACGAAAGTCGCCAGGTGTGGTAGTGCATGCCTGTAGTCCTAGCTACTTGGGAGGCTGAGGTGGGAGGATCACTTGGGCCCGGGAAGTCGAGGCTGCAGTAAGCCGTGATGGCGCCATTACACCCCAGCCTGGGTGACAGAGTGAGACCCTGTTCCCTCCCCAGACCCACCCAAAAAAGGAGCAAGCATCTAGGATGCAGGCTGAGGGGCCTATAAAGGGAAGGGGCCACAGGAGTATCTTTCTATGCAAATCAACACCAAATATATCTGGCTCCTACTATAAGGCATGGAGCTAGGCTCCAAGATAACTGCACAAGGCTGCAGATGGGGAAGTCCGAGGATGAGTTATCTCCCTTTTTGAGAGTGCTGAGACATTGTGGAGATTTCAAGTCATGACTAGGACTGGGTGTGTTTCTTATTATTCCCATCACCTCATCACACCCAGGGAAACCTGTTGGCATCCCAATCAACAACATCTCTAGGGTGGGTTGTATCACTTCAGGCTGGGCTGTTGGGGAGAAATAGTCCCACTTGATGCATTTCTAGGAATTGGCTGATTTGGCTGCAAGACAATGGCCTCAGAAGGATGAATCACTGGGCTAGTTCTTTCTCATCAAGTCCACTGAGTCACATTAAGAAATAAGAATAATGTTAGCTGCCTTTTCCTGTCCTTTGCAAGAGCTGCTAGAATACTGGACACTCTAACTGGTCAACCCACGTAAAGATTTCCAATAACCTAAACTGGAGTGGCTCACAATGTTACAATGAGACAAAATGGAGAGCTGACACCTCAACTGTGAGGTCAGGGCTGTGGACAGGATCACACAAGACAGGCCAGATGTGCTGTTCACTCTCCTGCCCTTACCTCTTTTTTTTTTTTTCTCCCCAAACAGTAACGTTCCCTTCTAGACAATGTGATCAAGTGGACACACAGTATGCTTCAAGAAAATTTAGGCTGGATTCAAGTTCAAAATGGTGGATTCCTATCATTTCTCTTATTTGATGCTAACAAGGAGCCAAGTAGATATATCAGAGGACCACATTATTAGCAAGAGATGTAAGGAAAAGAACGATCCATGATGAGCAGGGCAGGCAGGATTCCCAGTGTTATATAGCTAGGCTCCATCTCCCCTGAACATTTGGACTAAAGGAATAGTCTAGACTGGATGAGACTCTGCAGTGGAATGGGGTGAAGTTAATTCTGGACAGGGAAACATAGCCCTCTCCTTACCCCAAAAATTATCGAGATGATTTTGAATCATCCAGCTTGGGAGTTGGGGGTGGGGACAAGTGATTCCTCAGTGAGCTATATTAGAAAGGTCAGAACAGAACTGTTGCATCCAAATCAGTGGGGGCAAATGAATAAATGTAAACCAGCTGGGGTTTTTGTAGGACATGGAGAAAATCAAGGGATGAGCCTCTGCCCTGAAATTAAAGAGACCTTGTGGAAATTATGGGATTTAGGATTTTCAAAATCCATTTCCCTACACTTTTAAAAGGCTTTGAAATACTTTCACAGCAAATGGAATCTATTGGAGGCAATTTAGAATTGAAAATCAAGCTATCTTTACCTTTCTTCCTGATTTCATAAGCTTTTATCAGAAATCCTTGGAACTTAAAAATAATAAAATACAAATCAAACACAGATCGATAGTAAGTATTTCCAATTCTTCTACTACATCACCATTTTCCATTAATGGTTTTATTTCGAATGTTTTTTTAAGCCTGCAAATTTCAAAAGCAATTTAATTTTTTTATCTGTAATCTGAAATATACATCTAACTAGTAACAGATGTGATCAACTAGCTTTGGCTTGACTAGCTTTGTTGAGATTTATGGTAGGAGTTCTTTGTAACGGATTGTTTTTCACCCATGTTATTCAATCATTTGGTTTAATAATTTATTACTTTTAACCCATTCAGAAAACTGCTTTTGATTTGTTTTCCCTTTAAACGAAACAAAACATGTTTGTGGTTTCATAAAAGGAAACAGCTGAGCCCTTGCTCCAACGAGCTGGTTGACAGGAGGCCTAAAAAAGTAAGAAGCAGTCAATTGTTTGATTGAGTTTCTCCTCCCTGACTCCTGCTACTGGTGTGTGTGGGGGTGGGGGCAGGGGGCGGGTGGAGGCCAGAAAATGCTGTGTAAGAAGACATTGGAAGCTATGGAAGTCTATGGGTGCCTGCTGTAGCCAGTTGATCAACTAAGTGGACAGCATGTCAGTCTTAACCTGATCAGTCTTCCTGGTGCTCAGCCAGGTGGTTTTGGGATTTCTCACTGGATTACTCTTTTTCCTTTTTAAAATTTTTAATTTAGAGATAGGGTCTTACTTTGTCCCCCAGGATGGAGTGTAATGGCACAATCATAGCTCACTGTAACCCTGAACTCCTGGGCTCAAGTGATCCTCCTGTCTTAGCCTCCCAAGTAGCTAGGACTACAGGCACTCACTACCATACTTGGCTAATATTTTTTCATTAAATTTTTTTTTGTAGAGTCTTATTATGTTGCCCAGCCTGGTTTGAACCCCTGGCCTCGAGTGATCCTCCTGCCTCGACCTCCCAAAGTGCTGTGAGGCATGAGCCACTGCACCTGGATTACTCGTTTCTAAGGATAGTCTCATATGCTACACATTTAACCAGAATCTGAGTGTGGGGCTAGGAATATGTATCTTTAACGAGAGCCCCAGGGTAATCTGGGGTGCATTGAGGTGTGAGAATTGCTATTTCTAAGGTATAGATAAGAGCTTCAGTGATGTTTGGCACTGAGTACCTTTGAATGTTGGGTCCCCTACTAAAACACAGACAATCACTCATTCTGTTAAAGACCCAAGAAATTTTCCCAAATGACCTACAATCCCCAGGGATAATTGAGAAAATACAAGAGGCTGTTTACAAAAGGGACCGGACTATGCTCTTTTGGCTGCATTTAAGGAAGTCCAAAGAGTCTCCTGGAGTCACCTGACTATACCCACAGACTTGATGCTAAGTGAGCCACAAGTGAATATGGGCTATTCCTGGGAGAAAGGGTCCTTTCCCAGCTCCAGCCCTGCAAAGACCAGGGCTGCTGAAGCCTTGTTGTGGAAGTATACAAAAGAAGGATGCCCCTTACCTTGTCCATGCTTGTGTTTGTTATTGATGACAATTTGCACAATGGTTCCTGATGCTTGCTGGGAATCCATAAGAGCTCCCCGGTGACTTCTGGCCCCAGGAAAGCGGGACAGACCTCCAGCCTGTCGGCTTGGTGGAGGATCATAGTGAGAGCGGTGGTAAGAATGTCTCTGTAAAATAACAAGAACAAATTTAGTCCAAAAGCCACCAATGAGATCACAGAGATTAAGTTATATACTAGAAGTCATTCAATAATTTTGATTTATAGTGGTGAGCTCTGATTTCAGCTGCATGCTTACCTACACCAATAGAAATAGGGATGTGGTCATGTACAAGCAGCTGACATTTTTTTCATTAAAATTTTTTTTTAATGACAACTTGCCAAGGTTTATCTCTCTTCTTCTAAAAGATAGGACTAGATTTACAGGCAAACTTCTCAGGGAGAAAAGAGCCAAAAAGGCTAAAGCGTCCTTCCTGCTGCCAAGACTCTCACATTTCAGTTTAAGAGTTAAGACAGTAGTCTGCACGCAAGGCAGAATGTGAATAGAGGCTGCAGAAGAAGTAAGCAGTCCTGTGCAAATCAGAAGGAGAAAGAGAGAGCTTCTAGTTGGGGAGGGCTTGTGACCTGGGCCACGAAGGATGGGTAGACTTTTTTACAGGCAGAAGTTAAGTGGAATAGTCCAGGCAGAGGTTTACAAGTTGAGAAGGTGAAGAAGAGAACATCGAGTCCATAAAAGGGAACAGTTGCAGAATAACATTCCAAAAGTGGGTTGAAGCCAGATCATGGAAGACTTTAAATGACAGGCTAAGGGGTGAAGACTTTATTTGGTAAGCAATAGAGGTGAGGGCATAGAAGGCTTTGAGGGATTTTTTTTTTTAAAGTTAGAGAAATAATGTAATCAGAACTGTTTCAAAGCATTGAATCCTGATCATGCATAGGGTGAACTGGATAGGAGGAAAAGATGAGATTCGAGTATAGTCTTGATAAGATGTACTTAGACTCTAAAGACAGGTAATGGCATAAGATCATACAATGCAGTACAAATACCCTAGGTATTTTATAGGTAGAAGAATTGATAGTACATGACAGTATTGGCATGTAAGCTCTACGAAATCAAGGACTTTTTGTTCACTGCTATATCTCCAGTGCCTAGATTTTAGTGTCAGGCATCTAGAAGGTGTTCATCAAATACTTGTTGAGTGAACAAAACTCTGGTACCTAAGAAAAGCTTAGAGTCTTGTCATACAAGTAATCTTTCAGCAAGGGTTCAACACACGTGATGACCAGACTATTGTGCTACCCACCCCTCTCCCAGGAGCTAAAGTAGGCTGGGGGTACAAGAAGATGAAATGAATGAAGAATGGAACCTTAAGGCTTAAAGCCAAGTAAGATTAATTGTATTTTATAGGCAATTGTTAGGGGTGAAGGAGGGGGAACCCATTAAAAAACTCTTTCACAGGCAATTGAAAAGGAAGGTCTTTATATTCAGTGACAGAAATAGTGAGGAACCTTGGGAAGATAGTTATGGGGTCCCCTGACCATATCCCATAAAACACTGTTTAAAGTTATGGGCCACAGACAGGCATGTTGCAAATTTCACTTTGGGAAGTATTATTGCCCTCTTGGCAGGAAGGGGCCACTGGTAGGGGAAAGGGAGAGTAAACAGGAGCTGAAGTAAGAGGACCTTTTTTAGCCTTTTGAAAGACAATGTTATTCTATCTAAGAAGAGCCTATGTTGGTGCATTGCTATCAAAATTCACACAAATAAAAATTTGCATCAGTTTGTTTTCATGCACATGGATAGGATTCTCAGTTCAAATATTTCTCATTCCCACAATGGCTCATATGTCCTTTTCTGCCATAATCACTCACATTCCACAAAGGCCATTATAGGTTGCTCTGTCCTTTTTGAAGTTTGGCAAAGTTTTGCCAAAGGAACACATAGAGGACAGTTTGGCTGGTTGGTGTCCCACTGATCCTAAAAAGAAGCAGTTGGACTGGGATAGAATTAGAGAGGGAAGGTTGTTGACCCAGGATAAGCTGCAAGTACGAGAAGTTCTCTGACTCATGATGGTGAACACAAAATGAAAAGCCATTCTTTAGCACCAACGTCTCAGACCTGGGACATATAATAATGGTAGGAAAATGATCATGATGAAAAAACAAAATCCTCAAGAATTTTGATCACAGGCCCTATTGTAGACCAGTCAGTCCCCCAGAACCTAATCTTGTTGAAGTCTTTTGTTTTACAGACAGAGAAACTGAGGCCAAGGAGGAGAGGCAGTTTACTCATGGTGATAATGAAGATTGAGTTTTTGGAGATGGTAGGAGTGTAGGAGTAGGGGGAAGATGAATAGAAGGAGGAAGAGAAGGAGAAGAAGGAGAAAGTGGAAGAAAGAATGTCCAATCAAACTCAGTGGTCTATAACCATTTGACTAAAAGCTGGTGCAAAGAGAAGTTCTTTCAGATACAAAAGTTCATTCAGCTACAATGTTCACAACCACATATACCACATACTCCACTTTGGCTATACACTAAAATCACCCGGTGAGCTGTAAAAAATACTCATACCTGGGTCCCGCTCTGAGGTATCCTTATGTAAGTGGTTTGGGGGAAGGCCTGGGCATTAGGATTTTATATACTCCCCAAGAGACTCTGGTTTGAAGCCAAGGTTGGGAATCACTGACATAAAGGATTTTCTGTTTGGGGGCTGGAGTGGGTGGTGGTGGTGTGTGATTTTGATTTAAGGGTAATGGTTCTTTTAGAGTTCCTCCCCTAAACAAATGAAAGAGACTTATGAGGGGCCATTCTGACCTTGTAACTCAGAGCAAAGGAGAAAAAGGTTATTAACGCCCTGAAGTTGTAAGTGAAATTGGAGCTTATCTTAAAAATTAGCTGCAACTAGCCTGCTTGAGAGAGCGGGTCAAAACCAGTTAGAAATGACCATATAGCTATGATCTTTTATTTTGCTCAGTATTTTGGTATTTTTTGATTTACTTACTTGAAAGACTGAAAAATATTTCAGGCTTTAGAGGTGGCTCTAAAACAGTTCTTTTCCAGTGTTGAAAAATCCCCACTATTGTAGAGGACCCCCAAGAATTTCATGTTCTAAAGTCTAAAATATAAGAGTTTTATTGGTGTAGACAAGAAAACATCAGGGTCCAGAAAGGGCCCTCATGTTTGTGATACTGTACTATAGATTTTCAAGATGTTACCATTTGGGGAAACTGGGCAAAGGGAATATGGGATCTCTCTGTATTTTCTGCTACAACTGCAAGTGAATCTATAGTTATCTCAAAATAAAAAAAGTTTAATTTAAAAAGCGGCTTCAGAATATATTCTAATCCATACAGCCATTAAAACATTGTATCTTAATCACTACCAACCTAGGACTATCTCTGGCTGGAAGACACTTAGGCCAATTTCCTTCCCAAACCATTGTTCTGACAGTACAAATGAGACATGGATTTTTATCTGTTTCATGTCGTTTCTATCCCAAACGCTTTCACTTTTTTTAATGGTAAATTTCAACGTAATCTACAGGGGGCAAAAATCAGGGCTTGGCTGTTGTCCAAAACAAAATTATGCATGCTTTCATGTTTTGGCTTTCTAGTCTGCACCTACTTCTTCCTCCCCACATACCACACCACTCCACACACACACACACACACACACACACACACACACACACACACACACACACACACACACACACACGCAGACACACTCCCCACCAATGGCACGAGGACCAATTCATGAGAAATTACAACTTAGAAATCAAACAAAAACTGTTTCAGGTTTTTACAAAGGAGTCATATTTGAACCACTGGTTCCTCTTCCTGTGCACTTCATAAAACTTGCTAAGCCGATGGTTTTCAGACCACCTGGCAAAAGAAACCAGTCAGCTGTATTTCTGTTGAACAGAGGTTTTGCTGGTTCCCGGTAAATAGGAACAGTTTACGAAAAGGACAGTCTCCTGGATAAGAAATCTGTTGTTAGGGCTGCCTTTTCTTCTTGCCCTGAGGAAGTTGGGCCTGCAAAGGATATTCAGAAGGGATTCTCCTATTTTCTCATTTTAGGCTGGTCAAGAGCAAACAACAAATTTGAAGAGTTTATCTCTGATTTGAGACAAATTCCTGTGCATTAAAATTAATGAGGAACCCCCTCCCCACTCCACCATCACACACATTTTACGCCACCTCCCACACCCATTCATTCAATGTTTATTTATTGGGTGACTACTATGTGCCAGGTATATATTTTTCCATTACTACAGATGCTATTTATTATTCAAATCATATCCCACAATATCTATCCCTTTTAGAACAAAGGGAAATATTTATTTATAATAAAGTGAAACCATATGGCCATTTTGGTCTACCAGGCACAAATGTTTGTTTCTAAAGATAGGTCTTGAACTCCTTTGAAAATCAATAACTATTTCAAGGGCCCACATTCTGTACCCGACCTTTTTTGCTACAGGAAGTACTGGATTAAGTCCAGGCCTATCACTAGGCCTGTCAATGAAGCTGAAAGATAAGGGCTGGAATTGAGGGCAGTGTAAAATGAAGTCAAGAAGAAAGGCTAATTCATGGCATTACCAGCAAGACTGCTAAGGTGGCCATAGTGCTTAGTGTGGGGGCCTCTCAGGGAATAAGTCACATAGCTTAAGGTGACTAAACTCTAAATTTGGTTTAGAATGACATCTGGTTGACAGCCACTAATTCAGCCACTCTCAACTACCTACCACAATAAAAAATAGGGGCTGAGAAAAAGAGGAACAGACAACACAGAAAACTGAGACTGACATCATCTCCTGTCAGGCTCTGGAAGGAATCTCACTTACTATAAAGCAGATAGAGTTGGGTGGAGAAAATCTTTCCTCAGGGTTTATATTAACCAGCAAACAGGGAAGCCTACCCTCTCTTGCAGGATGCTGATTTTTTGAGATGTCCAGAGTACTGTTCTCCAAACCCCTTTCCCCAATTCTTCTGCAACTATTCAGAAACAGCAGTGTTCAGAAAATAATACTGATAGAGAGTAAGACAAATAGAAATGGTTCCATCTCACTGCTGAAGCTTTGGGTTGGGTGTTGGCAAGCTGGGAGCATGCAAGTTAGAAGTGGCCCATGTGATGACCAGGAAGCCCAGCCTCAGCAGCACTGTGATGTTTGTATGAGTCATTCTACTGCATCCCCTATCAACATCTTCCTCACATGCTCAATATCCTCAGGCTTGCCCTGTAATTCCCTGGACTCCTGCCTCATATTCAATCCTTGCTGAGATTTTTCTAGGGTTTTAGAAAATCAAATATATTTTATTACAAAACTAATTGATGCTTATAGGAAAACATCAAATTATACAGAAAATATAAAGTAAAAAGTCAAAATCTACCTTTCCTCCTGCCCACTTCTACTCCTTTAAGATTAGCACACCTGACATGTTGGTATGTGACCTTCCAGATTGGTTTATATGCATTTATATACATGCACATACAATTTTTACATAAAGAAGTGATAGTGTACAATTTCATTCTGCACCTTGTTTTGTTACTTAACATATCTTGGAGCTCAATTCACTTTACTACATTTAGATGTACCGTATTCTTTTAACAACTGCACAGTGTCCCATTAATTGGATGTACACACCAAGTCCCTAGTAGACATTTAGGTTGTCTCCATTTGTTTTGTTTTTATGAAAACAACAACGCAGTGAATGTCCTTGCATACTTTTTTTGTACAAGGATGTGATGAACACCTATTTATGTGCAATGGTCACCACTGTGCATTTTGTATGATAGATTCTTTGAATCGGAACATCTCCTTTTCAGATTTTAAGAAATTTGTAGTGTAAAGCTTCTTAGACATATATTTTTAGAGAGGAATGCTATTTTATAAATTCCTTCAAAATACAAAAGAACAAAAGATGCTATTACTTACATAGACAGATGCCTACTTGTGAGGCTTATTCTGAGATTAGTGCAGAGAACAGAAGGGAGACATCACCAGGCTGAAGAGAGGAGAATCCAGACTGCTACCTTTCCTCTTTTCCAACTGTATGACTGAGAGCCTAAGGCTTGGGAAAGAGTTTATGTGGACATGTCTGAAGTACCTACCAAATCCCACCAAAAAGATGGTTGTATCCTACAACCCTACAGAAGGTCCTCACTGTTGAGGATAGGAGTGACCTAGCTTCCTTAGAGAACACATAAAGACTTGGCAAGTCATCCTGAAAGAGTACCAACTTCTGACCTAGACAAAGGGCTGGGGCTATGGTTTCTTTGTGCACATTTCCTGCCTCCAGTTACCAATTTTACAGTGTACTTAAATGGTTTCCAGTTGGTGATGACATTAAAAACTTTGAGAAAAGGGAAGAAAAATGGTGTTAGAAATCGGGCCTTTTTTTTGGATTTGCTAGAATAGTAGCCACGAGGAGAGGAAAGCTTGGCCTGATGCTGTGGAGTGTTGAATTATTTGAGCTATTCACACTTACTGCTTCTCTGTTGGCAGGTTGCCGGAAGATATCACCATCAGAATGTTCCCATGACAGTTCTCCATCTCCTGTTTATTAAAAAGAAATAAGGAGAAAATCATACATTCATAAAAGGGAAAGTTATCACCCTTGTGACCCAGCAACATTTTTGGTACTATGATCCCAAAGTTCTTGAAGTGTTTTTGCTTTTGTGGCTGTCCTTCAAAAAGCGGCTGTGAAAGATTTCTCTGGGTGTGCCTCATTTTTCAAAACAACTCTGAAGAAAGTTGCCACTTTCTAAATAGATGTCCTAGCAACATTATGCAGAATTTGGAAAATAAAAGGAAAATAATCACTTTCCACCTAATTTAACCATCACTGTCACTTTTGCTCATTTTACTTCGTGACAGTTAAGTGTTTTGCAGGTCATAATTCACTTCTGTTTAAACTACCATTAAAATAATGAGTTTTGAGGATTTGATCTGTCATAATTTCTTATGACACACCTTTCTCTAGGTCTACATGACCCACTCTTTGGACAGAGAACTCCTTATCATTATCTTCTAAAGTAACTGCTTATAGGAAGAATATTCTACTTTCAGCCTCTAGAGCAACAAACACACAAGAGCTGTGGATATACCTCAACTGATTAAAAAACAAGAGGATCATTTCCAAGAATATTGCCCTTGTGTTACCTCTGACCAAGCAAGCGAATGGGAAGAGCCTTGTCTTAGAGATGTTTGCATCACTTGAAATGAGTACTATTTAAATTATATATATGGCTGAAGATAAACCTAATATTCAACATATATTTTATAAGATAACCAGAAACACAAAAAAGTGTAAGTACTAAGAATTTTCTATTCTGATTACTCTCTCAAGCCTTCATAAGAGTAACACGCCGGGTGCAGTGGGTCATGCCTTTAATCCCAGCACTCTGGGAGGCCGAAGTAGGCAGATCACTTGAGCTCAGGAGTTTGAGACCAGCCTGGGCAACACAGGGAGACCCTGTCTCTACAGAAAATACGAAAACTAGCTGGGCATGGTGGTGTGCACCTGTAGTCCCAGCTACTTGGGAGGCTGAGGTAGAAGAACTGCTTGAGCTTGGCAGGTGGAGGTTGCAGTGAGCCGAGATGATGCTACTGCATTCCAGCCTGGGCAACAGAGCCAGACCCTGTCACACACACACACAAAAAGAGTAACATGTTACCAGTTCAAGCATGTAGTAGTAGTGTTAGGGGAAATTAGGTAGTATCATAGGCTTTTAAGGGCTTGAAAACGACCTAAAAATTAGTTTGATAGCAATATTAGAATCAGGCAGTGACTTATAACAGAGTATGACTGTAAATCTTCATAATTCAAATATTATCTGATGAAAAATAATGAATTTTGAGGATTTAACTATTTGCTAGGTTAATCTTCATAAAACAGTAAAACACCACTTTGATTGTATAATCGTGTCATTCCCTGATCAAAACCCTCAGTGGGTTCCCAACCAAGACTCTCTACAATCACCCCCTACTGCCTACCCAATGATCTCAGCTACTCTTCAATGGGAACCCTTTGAGCTACTTGCTCTTCACTGAATACTGGACTCCCATTGTTGCTTCCGTGCTGTAGCTCATGTTATTCTTCTTCTGAAATTACCTTCCATCTCCCACACCCCATAGCTCCCCCATGCCTGTGAAAACCATTTAAGTTTTCTCTCCTCTGCAAAGTCTTCTTCAAACACTCTTACATATTTCTGATTGCCTAAAAGACTAAGCATCCTGAAGTTTTAGAAGTATAGAGGACGTCAAGCATAACTTTGTCCAACTGCTCCATTTAACAGATGAAGAAACCATGGCTGAGAGGGGAAGTAGCCATTCAGAGTCTAATAATGAGTTTGTGAGAATTAACACCAAAACTCTAGGTTACCTGGCTCCCAAATAGGTATGTCCATTCCATAAGAAAAGGGTTCATTACCTGTGTTACTATATCACCATCATCTATAACAGTGCCTGATACATAGTAGTCGCTCAATAAATACTTGTCAAATGATGGAACTGGGAGGCCTTCTCTGACCACCCTATCTATAGTTCCAACCCCCATCTGATATTTATGCCTGCTCTTTGCTTTTTCTCCTTAGCAGTTATTACTATCTTATATTTCTTATATTTTATTTATTTTGTTTATTGTCTGCTTTCCCATATTAGAATCCCCCCATGACAGCAGGGATTTTTGTCTATTGTGTTTACTGATGTAACTCCAGCATCTGGGGCAGTGCTGGGCACATAGTACTTATTCAATATTTGTCGAATCAATAAATACTAAAACACTGTACAATATTTATTACTGTTAAATGTTTTCTGGGCCTTCCTTGTCTCCCTAGAGAGTCTGTAAATTCCTTGGAATGAGAGATTATGTCTTAGACCACCTCTGTATCTCCTAGACCACTGCTTCTCAAAATGTGCTTCCTGGACTAGCAGTATCAGCATTACCTGGAAACTTGTTAGAAATGCCAAATTTCAGATCCCAACCCATACCTACTAAGTCAGAAACTCAGGATGGGGGCTGGTGATCCTGGGTTTTGACAAGCCTTCCAGGGGATTCTGATGGATGCAGGAGTTTGTGAATAACCAGGCTGGAGCACTTAGCATATTGCTGCGTACACATCAGGTGCTCAATATATGTATTGAATTGAACTGCAGTAAAACATACAGAATTAAGTGCTTGGTCAATAGTATATATACTCTTTTCTGCCTGTTTTATTCCATGTCTGAGTAAAGATTGTAGACTGCAAGCTGAACTCTGTGGAAACCCTGACTGACTACTGTAAAACAAAGATGATTTCAACTATGTTTATAACTAGAAAATTATGCCCAAGAGTCAGTTAACATGCTTTGAACACTTCTTGGGTGAAGAGCCTGATACTACAGCAGAAAGAGGAGAAAATCAGGCTGGGCTCTTGCCCTCAGGATATTTACACCCAGGTTGGAGGTGATGGGAAATCAATATAGGAAACAGCCTAAAAACACACAAAAAAAGCAAATACAAATGAAATACACATGCTTAGGAGACACTGAATGGGATGAGTGAGCAGTCAGATGTAATCGTAGAAAGCTTCCTGAAAGAACCATTAAGTCACATTTTTAGAAGTAGATACTGCACAGCATAAACCGACAGTGATAAGGGCAGAGAGTACCTCAACCAAAGGGAGTGACATTGGCAAAGGACCAGAGCTTTGTAAACAGCAAGTCACATACTGGAGACAGCAAGCAAGGTGTGGCTTGAGTAGAAACTTCAGATATGAAAACAAGAGAAATTACGCTGGTAATTGAACTTGTAGAGAGAAAGGGAGGAGAGGGAGAGCGAAGGAGGGAGGGAGAATGACAGTGGGGTGTGTTGTTGAGGTAAATAGGGGTAGTAAATAATGTGCTACTATTTGATAGCACAATAGGGTGACTATAGTCAATAATAACTTACTTGTACATTTTAAAATAACTTAAAGAGTGTAATTGGATCATTTGTAACTTAAAAGATAAATGCTTGAGGGGATCGATACCCTATTCTCCATGATGTGTTCATTTCATATTGCATGCCTGTATCAAAACATATCATGTACCTCATAAATATATATGCCTATTATGTACCCACACAATTTTAAGAAAATAATTAAATTGTAAAAAGTAAACAGTAAAAATTCAAAAAAATATAAAATTTTGTAAAAGGCTGAAGAATTCACATTTGATTATGTTGCCAATTTTTCTGTAGGGGTTCCTATGATAAAACTGATATTTGTGGAAGCCTATTCTGGCAATGGGGTATAGACTAGTTGGGGAGTAACTCGAATGCAGGAGGCCATACAGGAAGCTGCTATAGTAATATGTAATAGGCCATGAGCATCTGTGCAATAACACACAAGAAGGATTGAATGAGACTCCTACAGATGAAAAGAAACTGATAAGACCCTGAAGGAAGATTTGATGATGGGGAAGGAAGGCAAAGGGGAAATCAGTATCTGACAACTCTTGGGTTGCAAATCTGGAGAGCTGGGGACAGTGATTGAGCAGGGATGAGCTTAGATTTACTTGTCCCCCTTGTTTCAGTGGGCAGTAGTGGGTCTGGGCCAAATAAAATATGGGACTAGAGAGACGAATAGAAACCAGTAAAGATTTACCAGCAAATGGCAAAACAAAATGTAAAAGCTATATAATGTGGTTTCAAGCCTAATTTAAGTAGTCAAAAGGGAGAAAACAAGTTGCAAAAGAAAAATGATAGACTAGTTCTCTTCATCAAATGTCCTTTTAAAATGTAGATTTAATGATTGGTATTGACATAAAATGTTTACTTAGCTGGCCTTCTGAAAAGTTCAGTTTATTTAATTTATACCCTAGAGTTTTTAAAAGGATTTTAATTAAAGAGTGTCATTAAATACTTATAGTCCAGTCAGAATCTCAAAGCATTATAGAAGCACATAGCGCCTCTTACAAATGAGCAGAGAGGTAAGATGGAAAATCAAGGAGGCAAGTCACTATCAGGCATAGGAGAAGAATACTAATACCCTGTAACACAAATCAGATGAGTGTGTCGTGATGTGTATTTGATGAGCATTTGCAGACAAGAATGCATACCTAAATTTCAGCACTTCATTAAAAAGTAATGGAGACTATATATATATATATATATATATACACACACACATATATATATACACACATATATATACACATATATATATATACACACACACATATATATATACACACAGACACATATATATACCATCTGATCTTTGACAAACCTGACAAAAACAAGTAATGGGGGAATACTAAACCTGTATTACATATATATATCATCTATATCATACTAAAACTGTATGATATATATATATATATCATCTATATCATACTAAAACTGTATGTTATATATATCATACAGGTTTTAGTATTCCTAGTCTAAAATGCTCCAGAAGTTTTTGAGTGCTGATGATGCTCAAAGGAAATTCTCACTGGAGCATTTTTGGATTTGGGGTTTTTGGATTAGAGATGCTCAACTGGTAAGTACAATGCAAATATTCCAAAATCCAAAAACATCGGAAATCTGAAATACTTCCAGTCCCAAGCATTTTGGACAAGGGATATTTAACCTGTATATAAATACACACATATATGTATATATACACTATATTTATATATAAGATATACTATGTACATTATAAATTATATACATTAAATATATAAATACTAGGAACTGTTAGCATTTCTGGTGCCTCTGAGCTTTCAAAGTCATCAAAATTGCATTCTCTAAACTTCAATGTTCTATTAAGTCTATTAAGTAGCTGCTAAACGTTTTAACATTTGAATTATTCTATTTAATTTAACCCATAATTAAACTGGAATTATCTTCTTAGATGTTGACATTTTATAAGGCTATAAGTGGTTCTCTAGACCTGGGTACAGTCTGTCTGGATAGCTGAAAATAGGTATGTCCATTTGCAACCTTAGATATCATACTTTGAAAAAAAGTAGGCACCAATACCCTAAAAAACCTGTTTCTTTGCTCTTTTTGTCTGATCACTGGAAAGATTATCTGAATGAGATGGAGGCTTTTTCATTCAGCCAAGTCTTTTTGTAAAAAACAAAACAAAACAAAAAACAGAGATTCTAATGGATTCAGATGGATTCTAATTAATTTTGAGAAGCAACAAGATATAATTTTAACCAATTTTTTGAACTGAAATAAAAACAAGTGTAGTGTACTGTATGTCAAACAATATTCATTTAACCCTAAAAGCCACATGTATTGTTTATTCAAACCTCAGTCATACTCTCTCTGAGTGGTACCCTATGAAGCTGTAATGGGTTGGCTTTCTAGTAGTGGGAGAAAGGGAGAACAAGTATTTGAAAAATGGCCAAAAGCTAGGCTGAAATTCAGACTGTTTATAACTCCTGTGGCTTCCATTAATCTCTGGTGGCTTGAGCAGGTCAGAGAGGTAAACTGTCCTCTCAAAAGGACTAAGTGTACAATGAGATTCCGAGATACCCATGAAGATAAGCCTCAGAGAGCAAAACTATGCCAGCATGTGGCCACTTTTGAACCATACATCATAAATAGGGTAGCCATAGAGCAGATTTATCTCAGACAACTCAGTTTTATTGCCTGTTTTTCTGGCAGGCATAATTATTAAGATTGCAGCTCTTGCTTTCAAAATGTGCCTCGGTTGAGATAGTAAATTACATAGTCACTCTAATCATAAGGCAAAGGGACATGAGACAAATCCCTGAGACAGGGGAAATGTTCTCTGTATTTTTTGAGGCAGAAGTTGAAATGAGCAGAATCAGGGCAAAGTGGAAGAGAGCAGGGAGGAATAAACCCATTGTGAAGTCTCTCCTTACCATGAGCTGGGTTCCATGGGGGAGCACTTTAATGCCAGTGCTCCATACCGAAGCTAGAGATGAAGAAGTGAGTAGAAGCAGATGACTTTAGGGAGCCTCTGCCAAACATCTAATTCTATAAATTCTGCTGGGAGGGAGCAAGTGTGCTGAAATTTGAGAGAAGCTTTAAAAGGAAACTAGTATAAGGATTCTCCACTGATAGGCATTTGAGCTTCCAATGATGATATACAACAATACAAGAAATCTGCAAGTTTTATAAAGCACAAAATTAGAAAAAACTACTTTAAATTTCAAATGGAACCAAAAAAGAGCCCATATAGCCAGGACAATCCTAAGCAAAAGGAACAAAGCTGGAGGCATCACACTATCTGACTTCAAACTATACTACAAGGCTACAGTAACCAAAACAGCATGGTACTGGTACCAAAACAGATATATAGACCAATGGAACAGAACAGAGGCCTCAGAAATAATGCCACTTATCTGTAACCATCTGATCTTTGACAAACCTGAGAAAAACAAGCAATGGAGGAAAAGATTCCCTATTTAATAAATGGTGTTGGGAAAACCTGGCTAGCCATATGCAGAAAAATGAAACTGGACCCCTTCCTTACACCTCATGCAAGAATTAACTCAAGATGGATTAAAGGCTTAAACGTAAGACCTAAAACCATAAAAACCCTAGAAGAAAACCTAGGCAACACCATTCAGGGCATAGGCATGGGCAAAGACTCCATGACTAAAACACCAAAAGCAATGGCAACAAAAGCCAAACTAGACAAATGGGATCTAATTAAACTAACGAGCTTCTTCACAGCAAAAGAAACTATCATCAGAGTGCACAGGCAACCTACAGAATGGGAGAAAATTTGTGCAATCTATCTATCTGACAAAGAGCTAATATCCAGAACCTACAAAGAACTTAAACAAATTTACAAGAAAAAAAAACCAACCCCATCAAAAAGTGAGCAAAGGATATGAACAGACACTTCTCAAAAGAAGACATTTATATGGCCCACAAACATATGAAAAAGAGCTCATCATCACTGGTCATTAGAGAAGTGCAAATCAAAACCACAATGAGATACCATCTCATGCCAGTTAGAATGGTGATCCTTAAAAAGTCAGGAAACAACAGATGCTGGAAAGGATGAGAAATTGGAACACTTTTACACTCTTGGTGGGAGTGTAAATTAGTTCAACCATTGTGGAAGACAGTGCGGTGATTTCTCAAGGATCTAGAACCAGAAATACCATTTGACCTAGCAATCCCATTACTGAGTATATACCCAAAGGATTATAAATCATGCTACTATAAAGACACATGCACCGGTATGTTTATTGCAGCACCATTCACAATAGCAAGACTTGGAACCAACCCAAATGCCCATCAATGATAGATGGGATAAAGAAAATGTGACACATATACACCATGGAATACTATACAGCCATAAAAAGGATCAGACAGTTATTTTCTTAAAAAATACTTCTTTGTCAAATGAAGTACTTTATTGTTTGGGCTGTCAATATAAGATCTTAGTATTTTTAACAAAATAGCTCCTTGAGAAATACCAAAACACACACAACGGGGGGAATTCCTGCCAACAGTAGCAAGCCAAATCTGAAGAAGAGTACAAAATTATTTGTCCAGAAAAATCATAAATACTTACTTTTTAAAAAGTGCATTGTGAGAATGCATGCGTTTCCAGGAGGAAATCAGAAGAGAGTGAATACAGAAACTACGAGCTGGATGGTACCCACCATCCACACTCTGCTCTTTCAATGGAGATGTGGCTAAACAGATCCAAGTTTATGGTGAGAAACAGAATCTTTGCTTCTCAGAGCAGTCCCAATGCATCTGCTGGATTGTTACCATATCTGGCCCCTGGAAAGATGGTCATCACACAGTCTGTTCCTCCCGGTAGCCTCAGAAATAAGAGTTCCCAAATTTGCTTTGCTTCCCCAAGTTGAGAGGCAGTATAATATAATGGCTAAGAGAACAGATTGGAGCCAAACAGTTTGGATTCAAATTCTGGCTCTGCTCCTTCCTACTTATGTGACTTTGGGCAAATGAATTAACTTCTCTGTGCCTCAGTTTCCTTATTGCTAAAATGGAGACAATAATGCCTACCTTATAGGGTTGTGAAGATTAAATGAATTAGTATATGCAAAGCATTTAGAATTGTGCTTGGCACACTGTGTCAGCTAAATGTTAGCTGCTATTCCTAATCCCCTTTCTTCCCATTCTTTGCCTCCACTTCTTTTTCCTCCTTCTCCTCAAGGGTAGCTTACACATGGGGGAATACCCGGCTTAAGGGACTCCCACAAGTGTGCTGTGTATTTAACAAAGAAAAGGGCTTGGATCAAACAAACAAACAAACAAACAAGCAAACAAAGCCTAGCAAAGATAACTGCATGCCTGCACATTGAAAAGGAATCATTTCATCTCTAAATCATTGGAAGACAGGGTCCTGGAGATATTTTTAAAAATGGCTAGAGAGATTTCTTCGGCTCACACCTTCTAAACTGGCTTAGAATTTCTCATAATTATGCTAGTCCTCTATTTCCAATTTTTTAAAAAAGAGTTTGCATCTTAATTAAAATCTCTTTTCTCTCTTGGCTAAAAATGAGGCTTGACAGGAAAGATATCTGCTTCATTGGTAGGAGTACAATTTACAAAGTTATAAAGTGAAGTCTTAAAAATCCAAGTGCCCACTGAGCGCGGTGACTCATGCCTGTAATCTCAGCACTTTGGGAGGCTGAGGCGGGTAGATCATCTGAGGTAAGGAGTTTGAGACCAGCCTAGACAACATCGGGAAACCCCGTCTCTACTAAAAATACAAAAGTTAGCCAGATGTGGTGAGCGCCTGTAGTCTGAGCTACTTGGGAGGCTGAGGCGGGAGGATCACTTGAACCCAGGAGGCAGAGGTTGCAGTGAGCTGAGGTCATGCCACTGCACTCCAGCCTGGGCAACAGAGACTCTGTCTTAAAAAAAAAAATCCAAGTATCCAAATAAAGTAGAGTTCTGTGCTACCACATCCATGAACTGAAAATAAAAAGCAGGACAGAGAGGAGAAACTCAATGACCTACCCATGCTGACTGTCTGGTCAACCTGAAAATGAAAAGCAGTCAGTTGTATACACTGCTCTTCCTTCTCATGTATCTTTTACCTCTGTTTGCACTGTCAGTCAACAAACCAGGTTGATTTCTATAAATTGTTGGAGTCTAAGCTCATAAAGACTATTATAATGTGAGTAATGGGCACATCCAATGGTGTTTCTGGGCAGCTATGGAATTCCTTGAAGGAGTTAGAAAGAATAAGGTTGAAGAAAGAGTGGCTTTAACCACCCATGAAGAAATAATTGCTCTGAAATGCTTCACTGGGAATTCCTTATTTTTATTATAGAAACAGATTCATATACACACAAAAAAGTCCTCCAATCCCAGAAACAGAATGGGGTATTACTGACCCTGACAGGACAACCCAGATGGCCGATTAGGAATCAGTGCTATTAATTTGTTAAACTCAATGTGAAAGTCAACGCTGTCCCATCCACTGTCTGAATGACTTTCTATTCAAGAAGAAATATTCTAGACGTAAGAAACATGCCAAGAAGGAACATGATGACCTTAGAGGGACGGGGTCCTGGGACAGTCAGCAAGTACGTGGGGATGAATTTTGAGCACAAGAGATGGAGAGAAAGCAAAAACAATCTGGAACATTTCCATGGAAGGAGATCCAGTTGGGATTTAGATGAGGAGAGGTAGGTGAGGATGGCAAATCTCTAAAATGGTCCCATACACATGAACATAAATGATTCACTTTTGAAAAGGTATTATTAATGACAGCGAGACTCTTCTATAGCTATGAAAATATCAGAGTATATCAATACACAGTCGTCCCTCAGTATCTATGCGGAATTGGTTCCACGACCCCCCACAGATGCCAAAATCCACAGATGCTCAAGTCCCTGATAAAAAATGGCATAGTGTTTGCATATAACTTACACACATACTCCCATATACTTTAAATAATCTCTAGATTACTTATAAAACTTAATACAATGTAAATGCTATGTAAATAGTCATTTTACTATATTGGTTTCTAAAATTTGTAATTTTTAGATTGTTGTACTGTTACTTTTAACGTGTTTTTAAAAATTATTTTCTATCTGCAGTTGGTTGAATCCATGGATGTGCAACCAGTGAATATAGAGGGCGGACTGTATTTTGAAGTTTAGGTGAGAATGTATAAACTCAAAAATTACTGAGTTAATTTTAATTTTTTTTATTTTATTGTGGTAAGGACACTTAACGAGATTTACCCTTTTAACAAACTTAAGTATACAATACTATATGGTTAACTATACACACACAATGTTGTACTGCAGATCTTTAGAACTTGTTCACCTTGGAGGGGGAAGTGGGGAGCTGCTAATCAACAGGCATAAGGTTTCAGTTATACAAGATGAATTTTCATTTTTTAAAGTAGTGTTTCTCATTAACAATGTTTCTTTCCTATCATCATGACCAGGAGATGGTGGTGTTTCTGCAGAAAATGTGGGCCAAAACATAAACAACTTGAGACTAATTTGTGAGAATCTATATTTGGATTTGCTGTTATTTTCTTCAGTTTTCTTTGATTTTGAAAACTTTGAAAAACTGGTCAATTTTTATGATGTTTAAAATCAATGAAGTATCTCACATACCACTTCCCTGAAGATCCCGGATTCTAGCTGAGATGGGATCTGAGGTGCAATTTTGCTGCTCTTTCGGAAAGAGAAATCAAGTGTCTTAGGTAAAATGGCACTTATCTTGAACACTGACTAATATACTTTTAAACAATTGCTTCCAGTTTCATTTACCTTGAAGGAGTTAGCAGAAATATCAAAATTTCATAAAAAGTGACTTCCATTTTCTCCCTGGGCTCATTTGAGATATGTTGGATGAACGGGCTTGGGTTGAGCAAATTGTAAGTTCCACCATTTCTCCTGCCTCCCTACTGCATCTGTACTTGGAATGCTGTCAAGAGCTTTTTGTGACTGTGGCTCTTTTTGTATTAAATAAACCAGTCAGCATGATATATGATTAATATTATGTTATGCCAGGGGAAACAGGAAGACACAAAGCAATAACAGTGCAAGAATATATTTCTGAATGCTTATTTTTGAACCAGATTAAGTCCTGAAGGTGGTCAAAGAAGATCAATGAGAACTAGAGTGATTGGGCAAAACTATTAGAAGAGGTGCAACTTCAACTGGACCCTTGAAAGATGAGTAGGATGCGAATAGGTAGAAGAGGAGCGGGGGCTATTCCAAGCTTGTGAAAAATAACAGTTTAAGTGAAGCACATAACAGGAGGGAAGGTAGGAAGAAACATAGCATGTAACAGAACAAAGAGATCAGCCAGCCAGCCTAAAGGAGATGTGTGTGTTGGTGTCAGAGAAATGAGGCTGGAAAGTAGGTTAAGGAAGGATCAGACTGTTTCACAGAGGGTCTTTAAAAACAAGCTGAAAAATTCAGATTGGATAATATGGTAAGAAATGGTAGCATGATCAAGTAGTTTCTCAAAAAGAAAATTCCTAGGCTGGGCTCATGTCTGTAATCCCAGCACTTTGGGAGGCCGAGGCAGGAGAATCATTTGTGACCAGGAGTTTGAGACCAACCTGGGCAACATAGCGAGACCATGTCTCTAAAAAAAAAAAAAAATTGGTTGGGCACGGTGGTGCACGCCTGTAGTCCCAGCTACTCAGGAGGCTGAGACAGAAGGGTAGCTTGTAGTTTGAGGCTGCAGTGAGCTATAATTGTGCCAGTGCACTACAGCCTGGATGACAGAGTGAGACCCTGTCTCTGAAAAACAGGAAACAGCCAAAAGAAAGAAGAGTAAAAGAAAATTCCTAGATTAGGGTATTATGTAGCATGTATAATGTAGAAAGAACATTATAGACCCCTACAGCCTGGGGAGGGACTGGATTCATGGTGGGATCAGAAGTTGGGGATCCCAGGAGTGTATGACTGCCACCAGTTATCTCCCTAATTTTTGAGCCAATCTTTCCTCACCCTGGAGTGCAGAGAACAAGGAGGGATGTGGTGCGAGTTGAGGCTGGAGAGACAGTCTCAGAAGTCTTCCTTCACCTCCCTGACTAGGTCAACCCCTCTCAATTATTGGCTTTTATAACAACTTTCCTTTGTGGCATGTGGCACAGTTGCAATTTTATAATTACTTATATCATGACGTGGTGTCTATCTTCCCTACTAAAACTCCATGAAGGCAGGTTCCATGTCCATTTTTGTTCACCATTGTATCTCTAGCACTGGTGCAGTGCCAGGCTCTTAGTGATTGCTTAACAATGTTTGCTGAATGAAAGAAAGTAGACATTTACACTCAAGACACTTTAAGCCTAGAGTGAGAGAAGGGTAAGTTAAGGCCTTGATGGGAAAACATGGGCAGTGTGGTAAGATACTCTCTTAGGAGTATCTGCACACAACAATGTGCCATGCATGTCCCGTCTTCCCCTTTACTCCCCTGTACTAGGAGATATCCTTGTCATACTCCTATGAATGGGTCCCAACAGGTAGTATAGAAGTTAAGAGCTTGAAACTCTGAAGCCAGACTGACCAGGTTAAAATTCTAGCTCTGCCACTTACTACCATTTGTCCTTGGACAAATCACTCAACTTTTCTGCCTTAGCTTCCGCATCTGTAGAATGGGGATATAAATAGTTGCTACTATTTTTGCCAGGATCAAATGAGCTATTCCACACATAAGTGCTTAGAACATTGTCTGGCACATTGTACGTGCTACATTTAGACACCATTTACTAAATGCATACTTGGCTTTCAATACAGTTAATACCTACCCCAAATACCTTTCCCTTGTCTAGAGTCCAAGTACATAGCCTTCCCTGTTGTTTTGGCAAGATGAGCAGGGGACAGGAAGTGGAAATGATCAATGGTGGAGGGAAGCTGGGTGTGGGTTTGGGTTTGAAGCCTGCCTTCCCAGAATGTGGCAGTAGTATAATCTCTGAAGAGATTTAAAAAAAAAAAAACTTTTATTTTAGGTTTGAGGATACCTATGAAAGTCTGTTACATAGGTAAACTCCTGTCATGAGGGTTTGTTGTACAGATTCTTTCCTGCTTCTCTCCCTCCTCTCACCCTCCATCCTCAAGAAGACCCCAGTGTCTGTTACTTCCTTCTTTGTGTTCGTAAGTTCTCATCATTTAGCTCCCACTTATAAGTGAGAACATGCAGTATTTGGGGAAAAAAAAAGACACATGCACGCAAATGTTCATTGCAGCAGTATTCACAATTCTGAAGACACAGAATCAACCTAAATGCCCATCAATGACAGACTGGATAAAGAAAATGTGGTATATATACACCATGGAATACTATGCAGCCATAAAAATGAATGAGAGCATGTCTTTTGCAGGAAGATAGATGGAGTTGGAGGCTATCATCCTTAGCAAACTAACACAGGATCTGAAGAGATTTTTTCTTCTGATAAAATTTCCCTTAAGGTTCCAGTGGCTGTTTGCACTATGCTTCCAGTCCTAATGAGGTTTGCTGAAGTGCTAGCAATGACACACATTCTGCCAACGCTCTCCTTGACTGTCCCAGCCTCAAAGACACGTCTAGCCAATGAAGGCTAGGTCTGAGATTCAATCCGCGTCTAGGATTGCTGTCTGACCCAGGAAGAAAGACACACATTAGTGTTTGGGGACAGTGCAGAGAGGCTATTTCAATGCCCTTTATATGAAGGTTTGCAAGTTCAGCAGTCAAAAGATTATTTCTTCTTCAGTATTTGGCCTGCAGTCAGGGTGGCCAGCATAGGGGAGAGGTTTCTGGGTTCCCTGCTGTATGAGTAATACGCTTATATAAGATACAGTATTGTAAAAACGTCATTTCCATGGGAAAAAATAACTAGGTGCTTCAAAAGTTAGAACTTCAAAGGAGTTTCAACCACATTATATACAGCTGAAAGATGCAAAGAAACTGGAGGCAATGAAAGAACAACAATTTTTACAAAAGTGTAGGATTTAGTCTTTATAAAGGAAGATGAAAGAAAATTGTGCATTTAGGCTGGATGAGAGGTTGCAAAGAAAGAACTTAATGAATTATCAAGTATATAAAGGGACAATACATGGCCAGTAATAACTAGCTTTTATCTGTTGCTTCTGAGGACATAAAAAAGAAAAGAAATTTAAATTGTAACGATAGAACAGTACATAAAATAGCTAGTTCCAGGATCTGTTACCACAAGAAGAACTAGAACTAAAGTTCTGTCTATGGAGATTACATTTTAAAAAGGCAAAACTATCAAAGATAGAGGAGAAGGTGCAATGATACTTAACTCGGGGGTAATAAATATAGTAATTACTATATAAAATATAGTAATTGTTACTTATAAACCAATAACTCTGTATTAGGCCATCTCCTAGCACTCTACGCCATCTCAGTTAATCTACACAACCCATTTCATACGTAGTAAGCATAATCTCCATTTTTACACCTGAGAAAACCAAGGTTTTGAGTGGTTAAATAGTTTGTCCAAGATAACAGCACTCGTAGGTGGTAGCCCTGCAATGTCAAATCTATGACCTTCTGGCTTCAGAGCCTCTGTCCTTTGCATTATACCGTATTGCCCCTAGGTTGCAGTGACATGTCTTTTCACTGTTGCCTTTCCTTTCTATTATCAATTGTTTTCCAGTTTAGATTTCACATATCCTTTTCCCCAAAGGGAATAATATCAGCCTAACAGCTGGATTATAGTGACCAACTGGTTATATTAGCAACCACATGTACACCTCTGCTCAGTATGGACTTTCTTTTGAGCCACACTGAAATTAAGTTGGGGCCAAGACAAGAAAGGAGGTGAGGAACAAAATATCCATCTTTCTTGACTGAAATGTAACAGCTACACTGTAGTACAGACATATACACACACACATTGTGAGAAACATGTATGGAAAGATCCAGGGCCTTACCAAAGCATAAATCAAATTAGGCTGTAACTAAATCCATATTGACTTATGAGGGCTGATGCAAATAGCATATTAAAAGGGATGAGCATACACTGGTAGTCCAAACAAGCTCAGTCCTTCCAAAAAGCAATGTTAACTGTAGTTTCCTAAAGTGGTATAGGGGAAGAAAACAACTTGGAGATCAGGAATGAGACCAAGTAATTTCCTATTGACGAGGAATCAATGTATAGTCAACACCATCTACCACAGTCAATCAGTAATTCAGGGGGAAAAATGCACAACAACCATATTCTTTTTTGGTAGCACCTAATTCAAATCCTGACTAAATTTCTAGTAATCATTCCAATCTAGTGTGCATTCATTTAAAGAGCACCTACTCTGCCTGGCACAGTGGGAGAAATAAAGATAAATGAAAAAGAGTATCTGTCTTGAAGAGCTTATGCATTAATAGGGATGATAATACATGGGCACAAATAATAAAAAACAGAAGTTGACAAGGTGATAAATGCTCCAGAAGAAGCACAGGTTAAGTGCTGAGGAGTCCTAGAGTAGAGACAGGTTTACTTCTAGTTTGCAGGATTTAAAAACATTTCATGGAAGAAGTGGCAATTAGGCTGGATTTTGAAGGATAAGCAGGATTTATGGGTGGAGAAATTAGGGATGGAAGTGGGAAGGCAGAAAAGAAAGGCCTTCCAACTACTACTTATCAAAATGCGACCTGAGGACGGCCTGCAATAGAATCTGAGGAAGCTGCATTTGTGCTAGGTCTTGAAGGACTAGCAGGACTTCCACAGGCAGGGATGGAGAAAAAGAATTTTCCAGAAAGAGGAAACATTTTCTCCATCCAACCTGTACATGTGCAGTTGTTACTTAGACAGCCCTTTTGTCTCCTTTTCATCCCAGTTCCTTATCATGAAATGGCCACCACTCATTCATCTCAAATTGGTTGCCATATGGTCGGACTTAGATGCTTTAACCAATCAGGAACTGAAATTGGTTGCTTTTCCACTGGTTCACTCAGGTTTCAGAATTTTAATGTGCTCAATTTAAGTGCACTAAACTCAGATTTTTTAAAACAAATCCTTGGTTCCAGGTTATCTACATGGTCTCAGGAATGGTTTCTCAAAGTGACAGTCCACAGACCACCATTCTGCATCAGAATGAACGATGGGGTCTGCTTAAATGCAGATTCCTGGGTCCCACTCCAAGGCCACTAAATCAGAATCTCTGCAGGTGTGATCCAGGAATCTGAACTTCAACAAGTTCTCTGAGCAATTCTGAAGCACACTAAAGTGTGAGAAACACTGACAGGAAGAGGACTGAGCAAAGGTAAAAAGGTAAGAGAGCACAGGAACAATGCAGTGGGCCCTGAGGTGCATGAATGGAAGAATATTGACCTATAAAGGTAACTTGAGGTTAGACCATGAAAGGCCTTCACTATCAGAGTCGGGGGTTGACATGTATTTGAGTGGCGACAGGGAGTCATCCCTTTCAGTGGCAGAACACTGTGGTTAGAGCCTGAAATATGGAGCCAGGCTGCCAGGATTCAAATCTTAGCTCCTCAACTCACTAGCTACCTGACCTTGGATAAGATTCTTAACCGCTCTCTGCCTCAGTTTCCTCATCCATAAAACAGGGAGAACAATAGTACTCCTCACATAGGGTTGTCATGAGATTAAGTGAGTTCATATCTGTAAAATGCTTAGTTAGAACTGGGACTGACATATAGTAAGTCCAAATACATGTTGGCATAAAAATTTTTGAACAGGGGTGTAACACGGTGATGGATTGCTTTTTGGAAGATTAAAATGGCAGTAATGTATAGAAGTCACCTACACATCCCCCACCAGCAAATCCTATAATTTTTTTCCTCTAACTCAGTGGTTCACAACCTTAGCTGCATATTGGAATCACATCCTCCTCCTTCTGATCTGGTATAAATCTACCAAGGTAATTCCAATATGCACCCATAGTTGAGAACCACGGCTCCAAATGTATTTCAAATTTGTCCACTTTTAATTATTGGGTCCTCAGTATATACAAGACACTGTGCCAGGTCCTTCTCTTATATTATCTCATTGAAATCTCACAAACATCTTGAAGGTAGGAGCTAACATTATCCTCACTTTAAAGATTGGTAGAAAGGTTGAATAAGGTCATTCAACTACAAAGTAGCAAGGCTGGGATTAGAACCAAGGCAGTTTGGCTCCAAAGGCTCCACTCTGAACCACTACTGTGTTCTCAGTCCAAGCACCCTTTTTCTCACACTGGAAAGAGTACTACCCTAACCATCTTGCTAGTCTCTCCACTTGCATTATTGCCTCCCTCCAGTCTAGTCTGGAAATAATAGCCAGTGAGATCTTTTAATATGTTAATTGGATCACTTCATACTCTTTCTCACAACCTTCCAATAGCTTCCCAATGTATTAAAAATGGAAATCCAAAATCCTTCCCATGGCCTTCAGAATCCTGCATGGTCTAATTCCTAGTTACCTCTTCAGCCTCATCCCATGTCAGTTTCAACCACAATCACTACATTTCAGCTACACTGGTCCTTAGGCTCTTTGAATGCTTTAAGCTCTTCCCTGCCTGGGGCCTTTGAACTTTCTTTTCTCTCTACTTAGAATGTTCTTCTTTGGGATCTTTGCATGGGTGACTTCTTTTTATCTTTCAGGTCTCAGCTTAAATGTCACCTTCTCAGAGAGGCCTTCCTGACAACTCAACCTAAATAAACTACTTATTTTTAATCTCAGTCCTATGTTTATTTTCTGCATAGTACTTGCATTATCTGTATTTCCACGTTTGCTTATTATTTGTCTTTTCTGGTGAGTTCCATAAGAGCAAAGAACATATCTTGGCTGCTATGTATGCTATATATATTGTTGTGTAGGTTGTGTGCTGCAAAAGGATGCCACAGCTACAAAGGTGCTTTCCCTGGGATTTTCTGAAAAATGGCAATAAAGTATCTTATGTAAGGGAATCCTTTTTGTAACTCACATAAAGATGCCATATGGTCTAGCACCACCCTATATATCTACTGTATTTATCAATATAAATACCCCAATTCTAGCACAATGCTGAGCATACAGTAGATGGTCAAAAAATATGTTGACTGGATAGAAGGAAAAAGGACAAAATAAGGATATTGCCAGTGGGAAAGTGGGAAAAGGGAGAGATACAGATAACTGCTGAAAGATTTGGTAATCTGAGAAGAGGTAACAAAGGAGAAATTAAAGGGGATTACACTTGATCCCAGGAACCTAGCGAAAAAACTGGTGCCATTATAAAAAAAATAAAACCTAAAGAAAAAAAGACTAATGTGAGAAGACAATTCAATTTTGAATATAATTTGAGAAAATGCTTTCTGTTTTGCTTTTATTGAGTTTGTCACCATCTTATTATGGGGTTTAAAAAGTATACCTAAATTTGCCCTGCACAGTCTTCAAAATGGCCACATCAATTCCTTGCAAGGTCCATTCTTCCTTCTAAGGCTATGAATGAAAATAGTCTGTGTTTTATGATACAATAATTTAAGGGCCAAGCTAGAAGGGATTAAGGATGGAGAAATAAATATATTCACTTTCACATTTGATGACTCTTTCCCATCCTCCCCTGAAGCACAGCACTCCATCCTGTAGTTTTTTTTTTTTTTTTAAAGGCTGTGGCCTTTAAAATCAATGCTTTATTTATTTTTCCCTTTGTTAATTAAACCACCTTTAAAAACTAAGGCTACCATAAAAATTACCTTTCCCTAGGACATTAGACAGGTATTTTCCTCCTTTCTAAATTCTACTACACAGGATAGCAGCACCCAGGGGTCTTGGGATATAACACACCTACCTCTGCATACCCGGCAGCAGGAATCTGGAACAGAGACTGGGAAGGCACAGGTTAATTTGGGGCAAGTCTTGAGACCACAATACACGTTTCCCTCCTGCCAAGGAGAAACAGAATTAAGATTAGAAGCATCTAGGATAAGTGTAAAGGCTTCACTTAATACCTGAAATAGAGCAGGGACTCAAAACACGGCATGTCCTTCCCCCCAGCTCTCCCATCGTCAGTTCTCGGTACTTCCTACATTTTATTACGCATTATTTTTTTTCTCCTACAATTCCTCCATGCCAGAGACTAAGCCACAGAAAAGTTAGCAATCCTAGTCGAGCATCATGGTCTAAGGTGGTACAAAGTAGTCTGTCAGGGATGCCATGAGCCTCTGAACCATGAATTATAGTCTTGTTTCTTTCTTCTCTGTTCATGGTACCCTTGGTCCCCCAGCTGGATTGGGGGTTTAAAGGAATGAAGATTTATTTCATAGCTTCCATTTGTAATATTCACTAGACTCTCCCTTCCAAACCAAAGGAACAAGCTCTCTGGGGTAATACAAAACTATACAAGATGATCTGATGGCCACAGCTCAGTCTAGCACAAGGCAAGGGAGAGGATAAAATTTACTTGCTGGTTACATCTGTCTTTGCAATAATCCTGATTTCCTAAATTTCTATCTTTCAAATGTTATTCCTTAAACCTTGTTCTTAGTTCTTAGAAGCACATTCTTTTGGGGCTAGAATGATTCCTGGAAGGCCATTAAGAAAGCAAGGCCACACGAAAATTCTCCTAAACTACTGAGATACTATATTCTTACTAAAAGTCCTAAAGGGAAGAGATTCTATAGCTTCCCTTGACAATCCAGTGCTTAATGCCACTTGCAGGCAGAAAAGTTGTTACTACATCTAACTTCATTCCTTCCTGCTTCAGTTTAAACACTCATTTTACTCCATTTTCTAGTTCTATTGATTATATTCTCCGGACTGCATATTAGATAAGATGTAATTAGTATACGTTGTTTGTAAAGTAAATGCAGTTCTTCTGACAAGTAATGTCCTGGTAGTCATCATGACCAAGCATTTATAGAGAGTTTTCTCATTGCAGGGCACTAGGAATTAACTGGTTAGTAAAATACTTCAGATATGGGAACTAACAGACAACTCATTTTCTTGTTAATTGGAGTGAGTGGCCCTAGATAGTCAAAGTGACTTTTCCACCCATAGCATTCCCAAAGCTTCAAATAATTGTGAGTCCTTCAGATGGAGGCTTTGGTGGTATAATTATTATGAAAAGGAGCGCCGATCAACACAAACAGCTCACCTTTGCCCATTTAAGCAGTCCTACAGCTTTAAGACTGGGATATGATTGGGCCTGAGCCCTTCAACAGAGTTGTTCAGGGTGGGTGAAGATCAGGGAGTTTGGATTGTCAAGGAGGCTTATGATTTAATGCAAGTCATGTTTTATTCAAACACCTTACAGTGCAGGCACAAATGAAAGTACAAGTACAGAGGAAGCTCTTGTATTTGAGTAGGGCCTAGCAGGAATGTTAAGATGTAGGGTCTTACCGAACAGCTGCACTGGGTGCATTGATTGGGTTGCCGATTCTGAAAGAGCCCTTCAGCTACGAACAGCTCTCCATGTTGGTAAGTTGTCCCATTGTACTCGCAAGACTTGCTGGTCACCTTATTGTTCACTGGGGGTAAGGAGTCTTCTAGAACAGGGTGGAGAAAAACCACACTGAGTATTGGCATCATTGACAAGAATTTCATAAATCCCAACAGCAGACGGGGCTGTACTACATAGAGGGAGTTTTAAGACAGTCCCCGCTCCAGTGACCAATGATTTTGAATAATGTTAAAACAGCCAGACAAGTACAGCAGCTGACATTATGATCTATCCATCCATCCATCCATCCATCCGTCCATCCATCCATCCATCCATTCTTTTATTTGTTGACCATTTACTGAGCACCTACTATGTGCCAGGAATTGTAATATGTGTTAGAGAGGGATCAGAGAACATGGACAAGGTCCCTGCCTAGATGGAGCTAATATTCCTAGATGAATAAGATATTATCTTTCCTGAAAGGAAGGAGTCCATGCTATCTCATTTAATCTTTTCCCCCAGTTGCTTCAGAAGGGGACCCATCTATTATACTGCCCTGGTAACTTTATTCCCTCCCACATTTATTTATTTAGAGACTGAGTCTCACTCTGTTGCCCAGGCTGGAGTGCATGGTGCGAGCTCTGCTCACTGCAACCTCTGCCTCCTGGGTTCAAGCAATTCTCGTGCCTCAGCCTCCCAAGTAGCTGGGACTACAGGCGCCTGCCACCACGCCTGGCTATTTTTTTTTTTTAAGTAGAGATGGGGTTTCACCATGTTGACCAGGCTGCTCTCAAACTCCTGACCTCAATTGATCCGCCTGCCCCATCTTCCCAAAGTGCTGGGATTACAGGCGTGAGCCATGGCGCCCGGCCACCGCCTACATTTTAAATCACTTTTGTGCTTATCTGTTTGTTCCAGCCTCTGTGGTTTTGCTTTTTTTTAATCCCTCCACCGAGACTGCCCACTCCCTGACTCTTTTCCACCCATTGAGGTCCTATCTGATCTTGAAGGTTCAGCTTATGCCGCCTTTCCTCCACGAAGCATTCTCTAAATAACTCCAGCCACAATCTGGATCTCTCAAGGCATCTAATGTCTGAAGCACACAATATGACATTTGAATATTATTGAAACTCATATTTGTGAATTATAGTAACCCAGCAGACCATTTACAAAGAGATTTCACATATATTATTACAATGGAGCTTCATAACAACCCTGTGAATCAAGTAGGGTAAATTCTTACCTTCATTTTCATTTGAGGGAAATAGGATTGCTGAGGTTATGTGAATTATTTGAAGTCACAAAGCTAGTGAGTGGTGAAAAAAGGAATTGAAACCAACAAAAGATACAACCAGAGCTTGGAAAGTGCCTGCCATAAGACAGTGGAAGGAGAGAAATCAGGGGAGCTGTGTGTTTCATTAGGGAGAGGCTTAGAGAGTTGAACCATCCTTTCTTTTCCATCAGTCAAAACTGTAATGAATATGAGTCTATTTTGTGGTGGGTAAGTTATACCTCAATACAACTGTTTAAAAAAAAACAGAATGGGCCAGGCGCGGTGGCTCATGCCTGTAATCCCAGCACTTTGGGAGGCCGAGGCGGGCGGATCACGAGGTCAGGAGATTGAGACCATCCTGGCTAACACAGTGAAACCCCGTCTCTACTAAAAAATACAAAAAATTAGCCAGGCATGGTGGCGAGTGCCTGCAGTCCCAGCTAATCGGGAGGCTGAGGCAGGAGAATGGCGTGAACTCGGGAGACAGAGCTTGCAGTGAGCCGTGATCACGCCACTGCACTCCAGCCTGGGCGACAGAGCGAGACTCCATCTCAAAAAACAAACAAACAGACAAACAAACAAACAAGCAAAAAGAATGAAATTATTCTCAGTATGTAGTGAAAATGATAAGGCTAACAATAATAACATCCATAATAATAATAATAATACACGAATAGATACCATTTATCAAGCCCTAGCTATGTGCCAGGCAGGAATGAGTGCTTTTACATACATAATCTCATTGGCTCTTACTAATAATGTTCTGATGTAGACATGATTATGCCCATTTTGCAGATGAAGAAACTAAGGCTTAAGAGATTGACTTGCCCAAGGTGACACAACTTGCAAGTGGCAGCACTAAGATATAACTTGATGTCTGACTGATTCTAGAACCTTCCCTCATAACCACTATCAAAAAAAGTGCCAATCACTTCAAACCTATAATAAGGAAGGGACCATTTAATTAAAAACCAAAACCCAAACCACTAGAACATGAAGGCTATGCTGTCCCTAATGTTGTGGCCTAAAATACCCAGAAAACAGACAATGCACTTCTTTTGGCTTCAGCGATTTGGGTAACTAACTCAATTCTATACTTTGCTATATAAGTCGATCTAACATCAATTTCTGAGTAATTCACTCTCAGGGTGTTAACTACTTATTAATGACCCTTTAGAGGATATAAAGAAAGTTCCTTACTTTTGCCTTATAAAGACAGCCTTAGCTCCTAGAAAGAGTTTAACTCATACTAATTAACTCTGTCTGGGCTAAGAGGCCCTGCCCCTGCCCACAAGCGTATACAATCAGACAGCTGCAGCTGGCAGACATGAGTGAAACCCATCAGAGAAAGGACAGAAGCAGGCCCATTTGCCCCCTGGGCTCTAATTATTCCAAATCTCAGCATTTTGTGGTGAAGGAAATCTACAGTGACCTACAAAATAATATTTGTCACGGCTCTTATGGGAGCTGGCAGATGTTTGGAATACCAAACAAACAACAACAACAAAAAAGAAGTTTGGAATTATTTTGCCTCAAAAGAATGTGGCTTGATTTTTGAACCGGGCCTTCTACCAAGGAATCAATGGCAAGGCAACTGCAGGGTGAGATTTTCCAGTGGAAGAATGATCTTGAGAATCTTCCTTGCAATAGTCTTCTGAGTAACCTGGCACTGGAGTCTATTATTCTACTCAACAGGAGATAGGGAGAAAGAGAAAGAGAGGAAGACACAGTAGAATCAAAGAAAAAGAAACCAATTATGGTCATGCTTAAGGCTAGTTTTATGCAATAAAATTCTTAACATCTCATTCTTATTTCATTCTTGCAACACCCTTAATGGTGTGTATCTCGGGGGTGGGGGGCGAATTACTGAAAATGAGGCTACTAGTACTCCAAAAGATTTGTCCCATGTCACACAGCTGTTTAACAAGAGAGCCAACTCAGAAATATAGCTTTCCTGCTTTCAAATTTGTGCTCTTCACAGAATGGGTGTTAAAGCTTCAGAGCAGGATCACTGAGTCACAATCCCAACTCAATGGTACTGACTCCCCACAATCTTGTACAAGGCACTTTACCTCTTTAAGCTTCAATATTTCTAGGAATGCGATATGGACTCAAATCTCCCCTTGCATCTTTAGAGGGCCAACACAGCATGCTTCCTAACTGCAGAAGGAAGAAAAACCACCTCATATTTTACCTTCTCCTCTCCCAGATTTTCCAAGGTGGCTGGGCTAGTAAACAAATATCCTTGGAACACATTCAGTGTTCCTGACTGAAAACTAGCAGAAAATCAGTTCAAAGCAAAGCTGGCTACAGGGCCCCTCAGGGAATGCTACAATAGGAATGACCAGGCTGCGTGGCTTCTAACCTCCCCCATCTCTTCTGTTTCCAGTCAAATTCCCACCTAGCACTAAGAGGAGGACTGGAGAAAAAACCATTGTAGGGTGAGCAGACAAGCACTAAGTCATGTGACCACAGATGTGTTGGGAAAGAGGAGGTTTCTTCTCCCCAAGTGAGGGATGATCTCATATGTAAGCAGAACTATGATTTCCGGGATGCTCAGAAAATACCCCCTTATCCCAAATGTCTCTTACCACCTTTTCTCACACTGATGCTTAAAATGCCACTATTGGAAGTCCATTCCTCTAGGTTAAATGGCTACCTTTTGCAATCAGATTTTGTAATCCCAAGAATTATATGAGAGGGTACACTTACACCTTGTCACTAACTAACACCTCAGTCTGAATAACTGCCACAGGCCTTTTTTTTTTTGTCCTTCAGAGCAACTGGCAAATTTTACCAAGAAGCCTGTGGTTCCACTTCACTTCTTTTTGTACGCCTTCCCTCCTCTCCTGGTGTTACCCTTCTTCCCACACTCTGGAACCAAGTCCTCATGCTGACTGCTCTCTTCCCCACTCTCCCCACCCTATAAAATGATCATTTCCATAGTAGGACAGTTCTTGGATAGTCAGAAAAGCAGCTTGTATGTCAGGAGACAAATCTGCTCCCAGTGTTATAAATACAAACCTCCCCAGAGCTTTCAGAGATCAGTTGCTAATCTCCTTGACGCCAAGCCATCTTTTCTTTTGCCATTGCTGCCATTACTTTGGTTCCTACTTTTCTTCTGATGGCTGAGCCTGATGCTAGCATTTCTTTGGTTCTCTGTCATTCTACTGATAGAGTCCTAGAACATTTGCAGGCTATTGGGAGGTGGCTGGAGAAGGGACATGGAAATGAAGGTAAAGACTAGAAAGAAGAGGTTATAGTCCCTTTAATTGCCCATGACACACAGAGAGACATACACATCCAACAAAGTAAAACTACATCATCTAAAGGGCTTTACCCCAAGTCTCAGAAATATATGGGAAGAGAGAATGACAAAAAGGCCTTGAAAGAAACCCCTAGAATAGGATGCTGTTTCTATGTGCGTATCTCACAGTGATGCAAGAGAAGATAACTGAGCCTGGTCTCTGGGGTCTGCAAACATTGGTCTCTGGGGTCCCAGCTGCTATGATCTGAATATTTGTGTGCCTCTGAAATTCATATGTTGAAATCGTAACCCCCAAGGTGATGGCTTTTAGGAGATGGGGCCTTTGGGAGGTGATTAAGTTATAAGGGCAACATCCTCATGAATGAGATTAGTGCTTTTAATAGAAGAGGCCTGTGGGAGCTTGTTCGCCCCTTCTACTATATAGGCTCACAGGGAGAAGGTATCATCACTGAACCAGAAGCCAAGCCCTCACCAGAGAACAAATCTGATGGTACCTTGATCTTGGATTTCCACCTTCCAGAACTGTGAGAAATAAATTTCTGTTGTTTATAAGCTACTCAGTTTGTGGTGTTTTGTTATACCAGTTCAAACAGACTAAGACACCAGCTTTGGCATGTCTTGGTTCTGTGATCTTAGGAAGGCTTGAGTATGCCTTCTACTTTACGTGGCTGTGAGGTTCAGCGATAATTAATTTTAAAAAGCCCAAAGGTATCTGGTACATAACATTCACAATAAATGGTAGATGATCTTGCTCTAGAAAGAGGTCACAGAGAGGAAAGCAGTAAAGTTGAAGAATATGAAGGAATTTTCCCAATTTCCATAGATGATAACTAACTGAAAGGCATTTGCTTTGCACTGATGTGTATGGTAGGTGCTATGGAGACATGAGTCAAAACACTATTTCTCTCTTGTTTTCTTATTCATTCAACAAGCACTTGTGGAGGTCTTTGACTATACCTGGCACTAATAGATCCTTGACTATACATTGACAATACCTGGCATTATGTTACCTTAAAGCTACAAAGATAAATAGGACATTCCCCTGACTTCAAGTAAAATCCTGCTTTCATTGGAGGGGAAGGCACAAAAAGGTGTTAAATGATAATGTATTTAAATAACACATAAAGGTTCATAATGGAAGAGAGGTCAAATAATCACAAATTGCCAATGTTAAGTGGGGAGGAGTATCAACTGCATCAATAAGGATTCAGGTTAGATACTAAAAAAGATTCCTTGCTGAAAGAGTTATTAGAAACTGGAACCACAGGCCAACTAGGCATGTAGGGAAATTATTTTCAAACTAGGTTCTGTGCTGCTTTAGGATTCTTCAGAGGTACTTGAGGGATGTGAAAAAAAAAATCCCTTCCCCATTTCTACTTCAACAGAATACCTCTTACTTTGTTAGTGAAATGTGTTTTTATTAGCTTTTTTAAATTTCATTTGAAGAAAGAGTTTGCTGCCATAAGACACTGTAAAACACTGGAATAGAATCTCTTCACATATTTGCTGTTTGGGGATTAAAATCCTATTTGTCCCTAATATATAAAGAGCTTCTATAAATTGACAAGAAACAGATTCATAACCCAATGGTAAAAATGGAAAAAGGATATAAATAGACAGTTGACAGAAATGGAACTACAAGTGGCCCTTAGACATGAAAAAATCAACCTCATTCATTAGAGAAATATAAATTAAAACTGCAATGAAATACCATTTTTCTTAGCAGATTTAGAAAAATCCAAAAGTTTGAATAAAACACTCTCTTGGTAAGTCTGTGAAGACTTGATTAAAACATGATGAAGGGCAATTTAGCAATATCTGTTCATTTAAAAATACATATATATTTGACCCAACAATCCTATTTTTAAGAATTCATTCTACAGATATACTTGCACATGTGTGAAACATATAAAAATTATTCATTGCAGCATTGTTTGTAATGGCTGAATATGGAAACAACTTCTATGTCCATTGATAGAAATCTGGTTAAATAAATGATGGCTCATTATTATAACAAAATATTATGTAGTTCTATAAAAGAATAAGTTCTCTGTGCACTAATACAGAAAGATATATTATTAAATGATGAAAACAAGGGGTAAAATGATGTGCACAATAGACTACCTTTTATGTAAATGAAAAAATATTTTTAAAATATATATATATATTCATATTTGCTTACATTTTCATAAAAATCTGGAAAGATATATAACCACTAAAAGTTATGGGGGGGAACTACATGTTGTAGGGAGAAGATAAGAATTGGGTGAGTGTGGGACGGGGTGAATAAGATATTCTATTGCATTCTTTTATATGTATACCTAGATATATAATCATATATACATGTACATATACATATGCATTCATATTCTTGAATGATATAAATGTATTCCTCATTAAATTTGAAGACTACGTTTGAAAAAACTTCTACTTGAAGGCCGTAGACTAGACTAGGTGAACATTTTGGGTCCATTCCAACCATAGAAAATCAATCCTACAAAGCTGGTCATCAGAAGCCCGGCTGTATTCCTACTAGTGGGAGAGATCCTAGCTATGACTTTGTGTTCCCAGTCTTATTCCAATAATGGGTTCTCTCCACCGACATCATTGAGCCCGTCCATCTGGGCAAAGTGGAGGTTGTTACATTGCTTTCTTAAACAATGTTAAAGTAATTGTGTAAATCTGAGCTGGCTTTTAGTCCTTGGCCCAAATGGAAGGAACATAGACAAATAAGGTTGCTAGTGGGAAATCACCCATGGCCTTCTACCAGAGCACTGCTGTAATGGAGGGAGGAGCAGCTGGGAGCTAGCTGCATCTCAGTCAGGCAAAGTAAGAGCATACATCCAGGATGCAACACATCTTGCAGGATGAATGTATCAAAAACAGTGGGCTGGGCACAGTGGCTCACACCTCTAATCCCAGCACTTTGGGAGGCGACGGCAGTGGATCACCTGAGGTCAGGAGTCCAAGTCCAGCCTAGTCAACATGGTGAAACCCCGTTTCTACAAAAAATTAGCCAGGCGTGGTGGCGGGAGCCTGTTATCCCAGCTACTCTGGAGGCTGAGGCAGGAGAATCGCTTGAACCTGGGAGGTGGAAGTTGCAGTGAGCTGAGCTTGCGCCACTGCACTCCAGCCTGGGCAACAAGAGCAAATCTCTATCTCAAAACAAAAACAAAAACAAAGAAGAGTGGGTGTCTGCAGCCTCCCCCCACCTCCAAAAAGTAACAATGCTCATATTCTGAGGCTATGTGGATTCAGACGACATTTTCCTTGGGATGCTCCCTGAGATCAGAGGTACTGCTTCAAATGGGCCCATCAGTTGAATCAATGATGCCTACCTTTAGATTTCTTTTTTTTTTTCAGCACTTCAACTGCCATCACTTCTTTTTCCCCTGGGCCTCTTGATGTGATGACTTAACTAGATCTGCTTTCCTCGGGTAGAGTCCAACGATTTCTAGATTTTCCCCAAACTCTCCTCCCCCATAAGAACTTAACTCTCCTGTGGCCCATCACATTGAGGTCATGCTGGCAGGCCTTAATACTAATCCCGTTAAGTAATTCATACTGAAATGAAAATGGTAGATAATGTTTTAAAACAGGGTCCTTTTCTAGATAATTATATTGTAACATAGGCCTTTGATGTTTTATTCATAATGAGGCTGTAGAGCACCGGGTAAAGAGTGTGAAACTTTCTAGAACTTAAGACCTGAATGAGGGAACTTGCTAAAAATGCAGCTTCCAAGACCTGTCCTAGGGAGAGGAGAAGCCTTACTTCAGAGTGTCCCATTTGGATTCAAATTAAAGCTCCATTGCTAATTATTGCTTATTAGCTGAGCAAATTCTTAGCATCTCTGAGTCTCAGTTTCTCCATCTATAAAATTGGGATGATAATGGTACCTACCCCATAGGTTGTTGGGATGATCAAACAAGGTAAGACATAATCTGTTCAGCATAGTACCAGGAACATATTAATGCCCAATAAATGCAATTGTTGTTCTTTTACTACTAGCTATAAATGATAGGGTTTCTGGAGGGCAGAAAGCAGGCTGGTAGGGAAAGAGATGTGGGGCTACTTAACCCTTACAGTGGCCATCCTCTTACCACACTGGCAGACCCTGCCTCTGTATAAGGCTTATGCTGAACTCCAAAGTAGCAGTGACATTTACTTTTCAATCAGTATTATATACTGTAAATTTTAGAAATTCTCAACACCTGTAATGTAATGACAAGGTTTGTTTTTACCCCTGTGCAGTCTTTCACAGCCCTGTAGAACTTCTCAAAAACTGTCAGATCCCAAGTGGTAACTAGAGATTCACTTCTGAGCCATCACATCCACTAAGAATCCTTTTATGCCCCAGCTCCTGGGCAAACACTATCTGCCCCATTTTCCCATCTCAGTGGGAAGACCGTCAGGTGTGATTTAGCCAAGCAGTTGCTTTCTAGCCAGAGCCATTTACCAAGCACATAGACTCTACTTTGGACTTATTGAGCACCCCAGACAGGTGGATTTACGCTCAGAAGGGTCACAAATGTATTTGTGATTATGAGTAGTCCTAAAGGGCATGGAATAGAGAGAAAAAGTGAACTCCTTGGCCAACACTCCCATTGTATTTTATTTTATTATTATTATTTTTAGAGTTGGGGTCTCACTCTGTTGCCCAGGCTGGAGTGCAGTGGTGTGATCATGGCTCACTGCAGCCTCAAAGTCCTGGGATCAACTGATCTTCTTGCCTCAGCCTCCTGAGGTGCTAGGATTACAGGCTTGAACTGCCATGGCTCCCACCGTATTTTAACCATCATTTCCAGTGTCCTCTCCTGCAACATGTTTTCCAGAATTGCTAAACAAAAGTAATTGTTGATTGGTTTGACTTTCATCTTTGTTTTAGGTCACTACTGAAGGTGCTTTTCAGAAAGGATTTAATATTTTTTAGTTTAGGAAGCCTCTCCATTTCCCCCTTCATACATCCTTTGGCCTCCCACCCTTCGTTGCCCAGCTCTTGTCTTGCCTTTTCAAGAAAACTTCACTTGATTACTTCTGCACTTGATGGTCTCTTTGTGGGAAGGGAAAGCAATCAATAGAGCAGATTGCTTCTGCGATGGTAGAGCTTCCAAAGGTGGCAAGTTCACCATGTCCCTAAACTCTCTTCCTCTCCACCCTGCCAGAATGCCTGATATGCCCCCAGATTCAATCATTAGTTAGAGAAGGGCCCTATCTTTCCCAGAGGTTTAATATCTTCACAGTGATGAATACACAAGACTGGAACTATTCCCCAGTAAAGAGAAAGGCGCTATTGGGGGGAATCCTACAATGAGATACCATTTCACATCCACTAGGATGGCTATAATAAAAAAGACAATAATAACAAGGGTTAGCAAGTAGGTGGAGAAATTGGAACCCTTATACAGTGCTGGTGAGAATGTAAAAAAAAATAATAATAGTACAGCTGCTTTGGAAGATAATCTAGCAGTCTCTCAAAAAGTTGAGCATAGAGTTACCAATATAAGCCACCAATTCCACTCCCAGGTATATACACAAAAAAATTGAAAGAAGGAACTGAAACAGATATGTGTATATGAAAGTTTATAGCAGCATTATTCATAATAGTTAAAAGATGGAAACAATGCAAATGTCCATCAGTAGATGAATGGATGAACAAAATATGGTATATCCATAAAATGTAATATTATTGCTATAATGGATGAAACTTGAAAAATTCTGCTAAGTGAAAAAAAAGGCCAGTGACAAAACACCACATACTGTATAATTCCATTTACATTAAATGTCCAAAATAGGCAAATCCATAGAGAGAGAAAGAAGAACACTGGATGCCAGGAGCTGGGGGAAGGGGAGAATGGGAGTGACTACTAGTAGGTATGGGATTCTTTTAGAGATGACGAAAATATTCTGGAGTTAGATAGTGGTGATGGATGCAACATCTTGTAAATATACTAAAACCAACTTTACAACATAAAAGGGTGAATTTTACAGTATGTAAACCTCAGTATGAGGTATGTATACCTCAATAAAGCGTTACCAAAAAAAAAAAATAACCTCCAAACGTTATACAATACAAACACAAAGACTGGGTATCAGAGCGGAGCGGGCCTGAAAAAAATGAAGGTGTTTTGTAGGTGATAGGCAGTTGAAGAAGAGAAAGGTAAATTAAAAAGAAAGGGAGAATCACAAATGGGTAGAGGGAGTCAATCTCAAGTCATAATTTTGCCTAGTGTCCCCAGCCGTGGTGTATCCACTTTGGGAGATGGAGTGGGTCAGCCAGACAGCTCAGCTAAAGGAGGGGGTGATGGGGGGAAGATTTTCCTGCTTGAAAGCTTCCAGGAGACTCTGTGGGACCACACCTTCAACAAGACTAGTGGCCTCCCTACTTCTACCCTTGGCCCAACCCCCAGTGAGGTCCCAGGCCAGGAAATTCTTGTAGCAGATTCAACAGATCACTCTGCAGCTAAACAGACAGACACAACACTCTGTCCCAACCAAGAAGGTGCCGAGTGAGAGGAAACAGTCATCTGCTGCTCCAGCTGGCGAGAAGAGAGTGGAAGAGGGCGCTGAAAGCTCACATCCTAGTCTAATCCCAGCTCTCCCCCTCCTCATCCGGACCCCATCTGCAGGCTGTTTTTCATCCCACTTCCGTCAGTGTTTCAGCTGCTGTCAGTCAGTAGCTGACCCTGCCTGAATATGCCGTCTTGTCAGACAGATGGCTAGGAAGGATGGCTTGAGGAGAGAGTGTGCAAGAAAGGGCCATGTCTCTGTGAAGCAAAGAGTGCTTGCAAATGGCATAGATTTGGGGGTTTTTTGGGGGGCAGGGGGAGGGCCCATGTATTCTTAGCTAAGTTGTACTATTTGTTTGCTGTGTGATGGAACTGCTATCACTTTGCATCTCTAGGCTTCAGTTTCTAAAGAACTTTCTGTGTGGATATGTGTATGTGTGTGTCAGAGGTAATCATTTCACCTGCTTCTCTTTCACAGGGATATATTATAAAGAACAAAAATGATTATGTTTTTCAAAAAGATTCAGGGAGTAAAGAAGCAACATACAACAAAGTCAACTGATTATGATTATCTCCCTGCTTACCAAATGCATTCTACCTGAAGGCAAAAAGAGATGTATAATTTTGTCTGCTTTGATGGTCCAGTGTCCAGAGTTACTACATCCCATAGAAGTTAGAAAAGTCCCTTCAGCTTGTGATGTGCTGCCTTATAGGTAGCAACTCTAGTCTTGCAGTGTCAGTCAACTGCTTGTGAGTAAGCACACCCCAAAGACTGGAGTTCCATGTACGGACCCACACCACAGCATGGCCCAGCCAGGGTCATGAAGTTCATGTCAAAGATGTATCCCCTGAGGATGTGCCACTTGGCTAAAGAATGCTCTACCTCTGATTGGCCAATTCTGCCCTGACTCATGCTAGCCCCAACTGCCCCCACAGACTACTCTTTGCTTACTCATATCCAGCCCCCAGGGCCCATCAAACACACTCTGATTTTCTGCAGCAACTCTCATGGTCTGCCTGTTTGCATCCTACCATCTAGCACCTAATATAAAGTGTGCCGCTTTTTAAGTGATCAATAAGTGCAAAGGAGACAGGGTCTATGCCTTCTACTTCTCTATCTCCTGCTGGCTCTAGCATTAGAACACAGCATGCTGGCTGGGCGCAGTGGCTCATGACTGTAATCCCAGCACTTTGGGAGGCTGAGGTGGGTGGATCACCTGAGGTCAGGAGTTCGAGACCAGCCTGGCCAACATGGTGAAACCCTGTCTCTACTAAAAATATAAAAATTAGCCTGGTGTAGTGGCAGGTGCCTGTAATCCCAGCTAGTCAGGAGGCTAAGGCAGGATCATTGGTTGAGCCCAGGAGGCGGAGGTTGCATTGAGCCGAGATTGCACTGCTGCAGTGCACAGCCTGTGCTGTAGATCGCACAGCCTGGGCAACAAGAGCAAAACTCTGTCTCAAAAAAAAAAAAAAAAAAAAAAAAAAGGAACAGAGCATGGCAAGAAGGAACAAATATTCAAATAGTGATACATGCTAATTTTAAGAGTCTGGTATTAATTTCATTAACATATAAATATGCATATCTAGAGGCAAGGTGATTCTTCATTTAAGGGCAGATAGCTGGAGAGAAATAAGTATGATTTTCAAAAGTGATTCAGAAGTGAGTTACAGAATCGATTTCTTCTGGGAAAAGGGTCTGTGGGTTCAATCAGATTCTCAGGATTTCATGACCCAAAAGAAGTACCCTCTCTATTGCCATACAAAGCAGGGGGGCTGAGGATTTCACTTCAGCAGTATGAGATCTCTGCAAACAACTCTGTCCAGATTCTGTGGCTCTAAGGTTATGCACACTTGTTTTCAGCTTTCTGTGTGCTGAGAGTACTTACTTGTGGAAGTTTCTCATAATCCAGTCTTCAGAGGCAACCTCTATGTTCTTTCCTGTCAAAATTTCTTCTTCCACTTTACTGAACAGCTTTATCATCAGCTCCATTATTCAGCTCATGGACCATTCCAATCTCATTACATAAGCCTCCTAGGGTTCTATCTCCAAGAGGAAACTGGAAATGGCCTTCTCTTTTGACAGGTGGAAATGAGGCCCAGAGATGCCAAGGGGACACTGCTATTTAGTGCCAAAGCAAAGATTCAAATTTAGGTCTCTTCATTTTACCTAGAGCAGCAAAACGTGAGGGCTAGAGAAGCCCACTAAAATCCAGTCTAATAATTGCGGAAGATAAAACACAAATCCCTCTGTTTTCAGAGGCTAATTCCTCAACCTCAAATCTTCATGTGAACTTGGATTATGTAGCCCAACAAAAAGAATCCCTTCCATGGTGAATCTGATAGATTTGTATTATTCCTTTGCTACTGTACTATGGGTTTTAAAAACCTCTAATTACCAGGAGGTGTAATGTTAAATCAATGATTCTTCACGATGCCTCATTGTTAATAACAGGTTATGTGGTAATGTTGTCACTCACTGCCTTCCTCTTCTCCCTGAATAAATTAAGAATGAGTTCTACTATTACTTGGTTAGTTCTAATCCTTTGAGAACTAGATTTTTTTTTGAAGGTCAATGACCCTTTGAAATGGACAAATTAGTCATTACCCTCAAGCAGCATTTACAGAAACAATGTGAGGCATCTGGATGAGACAGTGGGGAGTTCAGTCAAGCATTCCTTTGTATTGCCTACACCAGCATTTCCCAAGTCTGCTCTGCAGAGCACTACTAGTCCACAAGATGCTCTGTGAAAACAAAATTCTGTGCTTAAATAAAGTTGGGAAAAGATCCACATTCAACATTCAGTGTCCCTTTCAATATGTTAAAAGGATCTCACAAGTCCCATAGTAAAGAAACCTGTTTAATGATAACTCAGCATTTTCTCTGACTTTACTTATCCACCAGACTCTTTTTTTCACCTAGGTAACAACTATGAATGCCCCAGAAACACTCCTTGGAAAGCACTGCCCTGCACCACATCAAAACCTAGATATTTTGAGGATCTGGATATTCGCCATCTCATGGACACTATTATCTGCTGAATCCAGAACCGCACTCCCAACTTCAGTCACACTCAACCTTCAGCTAAGACCTAACACGTTACTCCTAGATGGCTGATAGCATCTCCAGTATCTTTTCTTTCATTAGCAAGCCCTATAAATCAAGAGAAAATGCTCCCCTGTGAAATACTGTATAGTGCTAATAACCAGAACCACTTGCAACAACAGCCCAATGACATCAGGCACCTGGAGACACAAAGAAGTCAAGTCCAGGGGGTGGTATTTTTCCTGTATATGATGAGAAGCCAGGGAAGTTATTTAAGTAGTGAAATGATTTGATGAGATTTACATTTTTGAAAAACTATTCTGAGATGACTGGAAAAGAGATAATGAGCTCGGGGACAGGATATGTCAGGAGGTGACTGAAAGAGCCCATTGCTATCACATTAGGCATAAAGGAAGAAAAGAGGCATTTGGTACTTGAAGATTAATTGAGAAAAGTTATCCCCCAATGCACATATTATTTTGTTTGGAAAACTGTTAGCAGCTGGCTTCAGAAAGTGGTCCCTGGAGGCCACTGGCAGAGGGTGCAAGGAAAGTGGTGGCACACAAGGCTCCAGGCTGCTGGAGCAGTGGGAACGCTGTTAGGAAAATCCAGTCTACCTCTTCCTGACGACCAAGGAGGCAGCTCATCTGCCATGTCATGGAACTACTAGAGGAAAAGACAAAGTATCATTTTGCTTCTCCTAGGAAATTCTTTAAGAACCCAGACCAAAATTCCTGATGTGGGGAGAGTTATTTAGTTAAGACTACACAATACACAGAAAGGAAAGGGAAGGTGTTAGGAAATCTGGATTCTAAAGAACTCCACCATTGATTGCCATGGGATGGTGACAATTCCTTAGGAAAGAAAGGTGTGAAAAGTAAAAATATGTCAAATATTAATAAAAATTTCCAGTTTGAAACTGGGCTTCTTTTGGCAGCCAGATGCTCATATTAAAGTGATTAGAGTGAAAAGTGATGATAGGGGTCAGAGATCAAACAAATAAATAAGGTATATTATCATCTTTGGACTTACCAAGGCTGGAAAAACAATATGAGATTCAGTCATTGCTTAGACCAATAACCCTCAAAAGAGGAACAAGGAGACCATGGTGTCTGGTGGGAGTGGTTTCAAACTCCACATACCACCTCATCCCTGATTGAGAATCACTGCACATGATGAAAGATGTCACTGATAGGAGTACAATATATGCAAACAATTTAGAGGCAAAAAGAGTCTGAGGATCCCAGTTCCAATAATGACAATAACCACACCAATAAGATTAGGAACTAATATTTACTGGCTCATGCTTACACTGAGCTGGTTCTGTGCTCAGGGCTTCAGGTTGATATTCATTAGTTCTTTTCTCCCTATGTCCACCCTCTAAGGTGATTATTGCTATTATCTACAATTATAGATGAGGAAACAAAGGCTAGGAAGTGGCCAACCAGAAGTGATCCCAGAAGTGGAGCTATACTACATTGTTCTAGAGATGGATTTTCCATTATCTGAAACTCCAGCTAGGATAAAATAGCCACCTATTTCTGACACTGTAATGGCTTTTCCGAAGTTATCCCCACTATTTCCTCTGGAAAGGAAACTACTCTCTCTCTTACACACGGACACACAGAAGGTCCAAAAAATATAAGGTAGCTAATCAAAAGGAAGTACTTGACTAGCTTACCTCATATTAGCCTTAAATGGCTGCAGAGAATGAAAGAGAGAGCAGGGAGACTATCACTGTGGGTTGTACCTTCTTGAGAGGAGAAGGAGGGAATGTTTAAGAACTGCAGATTACTTCACTACTTACTGGGCCAATGGAATAATCTTGGAAAGAACAATTCCTTCTGCAGAACCTAAAAATAGTGTCTAGTTAGCCAGCTCCTCTTCTCCAGAGACCACCAACCCTCTACTCAAAGTGTGGTATGGGAACCAGCAGCATTAATACCACCTGAGAGCTAGTTAGAAATGCAGAATCTCACACCCACACTCCAGACCTACTGAAACATCATCTGCACTTCAGGAAGATTCCCAGTGATTCAGATTCTAAGAGTTCATCTTATTCAGAACCTTCAATAATGCTGTAGAAACAAGTCAGCTTCTCAAAGGTTAATGAGTATTGAGAAGCCTTTTTACTGCCCGTACTGGACAAACATATGTCATATTTGTTCCATATGGCCTGAGTCCACACCCCAGGGAGGTATAAATGCAGGCAATCTTAGAACTGAGCTCCCTGACATCCATAACCTTTGTTTCCAACTCCCATCTCTGCAAGAAATGTCAAATACAGAACAGGATTCTGGGAAAGTGAGGGTATCTACCCCCAATTAAAAAAAAATTTACAACTACAGTAGTTCTCAACTGGGGCCAACTTTTCCCCAGGGGACATTTGGCAATGTCTGGAGACATTTTTGGTTGTCACGAGTTGAGAAGGGTACTCTGGCATCTAGTGGGTAGAGGTCAGAGAAGCTGCTAAACATCCCACAATGCACAGGATAGACGATATGACAAAGAATTATCTGGCCCCAAAGTGTTTGCGAAGCTCTGGACTAGAAAAAATAATAGATACAAATCATCTAATCCCTAAATGTTTGAAATATAGCTAGGGAGAAAAGGAACATAAAAGTGCTTTCTCCATTCTGGTGAACAGCTTTAGATTAGACAGCAAAGATCTAGCTGTCCTTGAAGAGGTGATGCACTCCTTTGGCTCACATCAAACTTAGAGTTGAGCCTTTCTTTCAGCTGAAGTTCATCTCCAAAACTACACCATATAAAACCAACTGCTCAGGAAGTCACGATAGACACAGAAAAATCTTTTTCACAAATGCCAGTCTTCAAACCGAGCCTAAATAAAACAAGAAGAAGCCATGCCTTATTTTTTTCTCCTGTTCTCAACAAACAACATATATCATGAAGTAATTGAAAATAGAAAACACCTGAACCGAGAAGTAGCTATAAGAAATACCACACCTGTAATCCCAGCACTTTGGGAGGCTGAGGCGGGTGGATCACAAGGTCAAGAGATCGAGACCATCCTGGCTAACACGGTGAAACCCCATCTCTCCTAAAAATACAAAAAATTAGCTCGGCGTGGTGGCGGGCGCCTGTAGTCCCAGCTACGTGGGAGGCTGAGGCAGGAGAATGGCGTGAACCCGGGAGGTGGAGCTTGTAGTGAGCCGACACTGCGCCACTACACTCCAGCCTGGGTGACAGAGTGAGACTCCTTCAAAAAAAAAAAAAAACAATGAATAGGATTAACATAATTATTCTATGTATTCTATGTGAGTGTGTTAAAGGACTCTGAATGCCCTGGTAGCCAGGCCAAAAATGGAACAAAGATTAGTTATGTAGTTCCAATTTTAATGGTTTCCTTTTACTTTTTAAGAATGGTTTACGCCCAGTTTAGGATTCAGAATGAATTTCCTAGGATCATTGCTCACGATACCATTGAATGTCATCTATTTCACGTTCCTGCCCCAGGATACATATCCCAAACCTGTACCAATGAGAATGCAAGTGCTCTTACATATCTGTCCAGAGGCCATGTGAATTATGAAGTAAAATGTAAGGACTGGCAAAATTGCATTTATCTAAGGCCTCTGCAGTCAGGACTAGTCTTCTGTTCAACCAAGGCCGACAGTGCTCTGTAAGGGGAAAACATTTCAATATTGAGAGTATGTTGATGAAGACTTCAGTTAAGACTCAGTCAGACTGAACCCTTCCTACAAAAAATCACCCTTGCTCAAGACAAGTATGCAGCGGAATACACAATGTTGTGTGCTCATTAAACCCATCTCCATCCTCCACTCCTGGCACCCAGCTACACTACATTCCATAGTCTCGCCTGCAGTTAGGTGGAGCCATGTGAATGAGTTCCAGTCAATTGAATGTGGGAAGAAATGATAAACATGCCTTAGAAGACTGACCTATAAAACGTCCTGCAAAACTCTCCTTGCTTTCTTTTCCCTAAACTAAGGACCACATACCAGAGGCTCCAGTGATGAACTGTGAGACTCTAGAGGAAAGAAAGACCACTAGAGTGAAAGGGGCCTGGGTCCCTGAATGACTGCATGGAGCAAAAGCCCTCCCTCTCCATAGGCCCCTCCACTCCCACATTCATTGTCTTTAGTCACTAAGATTTGGGGATTGTTAGAGCAATGGGCTTATCCCAACTAATTATTTTGTCTTTGCAGATATATTCCTTCTTCTAAAATCATGGGCCATATGTTTCACTTTAGCCCATAATACTGCATTAATATCACCTATACTTTCTACCTTTCACATTCCATATTCCTCTTCCCTCTTGATAACTGCTCTCCATAGCACTAAGGGAAGGCACTGCCTAAAGTCAATATGCTTAGAACTTCCTCTCTGATTCAAATTCTCATTAAAAGTAAACTAAAGTGAAATCAAAACCAGAGTTATGGGAGGTCCAATTTTTCTCAGGCTTGCTGCCCAATGGCAATCAACCCTTGGATCCAACGGCATGTAAGACCTGGCTCTGAGGCCTGACTTCATGTTCATGCTGGTCTACACAGCATTTTAGGGAATAATTACTGTCCCAATGCTTTAGTCCCTAAGTTGTCCCTCCCCCATGTATCAATGTCAATGACCAGCATGTCTGAGGAAGGCCAGGTAGGGTTGGACAAAAGATACAACTAGGCCAGATAACCTAAAGGTAGGCAAGGAATGACATGAAGAAGAAACTGAAAAGGAGTTCTTAGAGTGTGTGATTGTCATTAGGGCTTTCCATCAATATTCAAATTCTCCTCCTTCCAGGCACATGGTAGTATTGCATTTCCCTGTCCTGTAGAAGTCAAGTCATGGTAGTGTGACTTGCTCTGGCCAATGCCAGATGAGCAGAAGTAATCTGTATCACTCCTGGCCAAAAGTCTTAAACAGCCAGACCACAGTGTGTTATATTCCCTTCCCATAGTGCTGGAACTAAATTCCCGATGGTGCGGCACTGTCAGCCAGAGTCTGTTGGTGATAATGACAGGCACCAACCTAAGACAAAGAGGTAGTATGAGTAAGAAATAAATCTTTGTTGTTTTAAGTCCTGAACTTTGTAGGTTGCTACTGCATCATACTTTAGCCAATTCTGATTACTATGGAGTATGTAATATTTGATGAGGAATGGGCTTTGATATTCAAAATGGGAAAGATGAAAATATTCCTGCAATTTCTACCTCTCTTCCCCAAAAGAATGGAGGATAAGAGTGATTTTTTCCCCAATGTGATATGCTTAAGCACTCTAGCAGCTGAAACTAAGTCTCAGCTACTAATTTGACTTAGCCTATTGTGTCTAGAACAGGGGTTATAGGCCAGATATGACCTGCAACTTGTTTTTGTAAATAAAGTTTTATTGGAACATATTCATGCCCATTTATTTACATACTGCCTATGACTGCTTTCACATTACAATGCAAGAGTTGCTACAGCAGAGACTTCAAGGCCTGCTAATGCTAGCATATATACTATTTGGCCCTTTACAGAAAAAAAGAAATGCTGGCCCCTAGTCTAGAAGAAGCCAAAGGAAAACAGATCCATGGAGGGTCTGGAAAAGAAATCCAATGTGCACTGCCACTCCAGGTAAAGAGTACATACTCTTGATAGCTATGTAACCAAAAGCATACACAAATCAAAAGTTGGTACCAGCAGGATTTCTCTTAGTGCTTCAGGCCCTGTTAGAGTCAGTAGGGCAAAGGGAACCCTAATACAAATGACTTCTAATGAGCACATCCTTAAAGTTCTGTTGTTTATAACCCCTCTCCTCCAATATCAGGATGGGTATAGGATCTGAACAAAGGGTATACACAGTATATATCAGGATTAGCAAACCTGACAGTCCTCAGAATGACTCAGTGGAAAGTTGCTTAAGTGCTTGCTCAAAATGATTCACTGCCTGGAGAGTCCATGGCAAGTCAGATTCTTAGGCTAAAGTGGGAGGTACAGTTTGTCCACCTCCCTGAACTCAGCACAGTGCAAGCAGGCAGGCCCTAAGTAAGGAAGTAGGCTCTTGGAGGGTCTGATGAGGGTCTCAGCCTGCTGGGTAAGGCCTCTGCTGTGGCCACTGGCTGCCCTCTGGGGGTGGGGGTGTATATGGTGTGGCCGGAATTCTAGGAATCCTGTGCTGTCCTAGCAGGCACTCCAATTGGCTTGGTGTTCTACATGCTCCAAAGACTTTCTCCAGTGTCCTTGGCATCTGATGACTACACTTGGGCTTAAGATTTTTAGGGCTGGGAGGGTCCCTGGAAGCCTTCTATCTTAGTACCAGATCACTCCTTCATTTGGTGGCACCAGCAAACCATCTGGCCATTCTACTGCAGATAGGCCACAGGCTATTTACCCCCTTGCCTCTGCCTGGCTTTTGAAGGGCTGCCTGGAGGAGCTATCTGCTTGGCCGAAACTCAGCCTTTGGTGACTGTTAACAGGTTTTGCTTCAATTCAGCTATTGCTGTGTTACCATAGGTTGGCTCTGGGTTGAGGGCAAAGGCCTGGGGTGGAAAACAGAGAAAGGAGAAGAGAGATGAAAGGATACTTTACTTGGACCTACAAGTTGAATTATTCTTTCTTTTAGCAGGTGATTCTGAGGTTAGTTTCTACTGGGTATTTTCTCTTACTTTCTAAAGTAACCAGTAAGATATGGCCCTAGACTCCTCCCTGAAGCATCTTTAGTTCTAGGTTACTATGAAAATGTGGTGAAGGGAGGGCGCTATGTCTGATGGCATCCTTGTCTACCATCAAGTCTAGAGAATTTAGAAGACAGAGGGGCCCAGGTCCCAAACTGCTACAGCTTTTTTATCAGCCTGCCAGGCTGTTGCACAGGCTTCTCTAATGTATACCTGAGCACCTGCACAGGCCAGGGCCACATCTACAGAGGCCCCATCTCCCTGGGCTGAAACAGCATAAGTAATGGTTGTCTCAAACACACTGAGGCAGAAAAAGATTTTCTTTAAAAATATAGAAGATAACAGACAACAGAAAGACCTCAGAGAATTTTCACCCCACAGACATTTGTCCAGAGCCTATTTTGTGCCTTGGCAGATGAGGAGATAAATGTAGACTTGAGATCCAAATTATTTCCAAGTATCAGGGGCTGAATCTCAGATATAAACAGTGAAGAAAGTGGAGAGGAAGAAAACTCTTCCTCTTTCGAAAACTTGTCTGCAAGGGAGATGTGGTAGAAGCACAGTCCGGGAGGCAAGGAGACCTGGGTTCCAGGCTCAGGTAATGTTACTAATGAGTGCTGTCACTTCAAGAAAGTTACAGAGTCTTTCGCAGTCTCCCTATTTGTCAAATATGGGGAGAGGCAGCTGAAAAAAAATATCTTTTCAAGGTATAACTTTCTGTAGTTGTACAATATATGATTCCTGCCCTCAAAAAGTTTATGATGTAGTTGCAAGACACTGAACAGAGAGGAGGTACAAAATTAAATTCACTGCCGCACAGAAGTATCCAGCGAATGGGATAAAGCTGTGCCATACACCACAGTAACCACTAGTCACATATGTCTATTCATATTTAAACCGATTAACATTAAATCCAATTTAAAATGCAGCTTCTCAGTCTCACACCAGTCACATTTCAAATGTTCAACAGCCACCTATACTAATGGCTGCCACATTGGAAAGTGCAGATATAGAATGTTTCCATCATTGCAAAAAGTTCTATTGGACAGTGCTGGTATAGACAACATGTATCACAGATGTCCAGAGAACACAGAACTTCCCTTCCATGCCTCCTAGGCTTGTGCTCATGATGGCTGTTCAGCCTGACCAATGCTGACTTTGGGTGGGGGCTTAGTGTTTGGTCAGATTATTGCCTTGCTCTGGGAGCTGAGCAGTTCCACACTTTCCACATTGTCTCTGCTCCTTTGATTTTTCCCCAGGGCCTTTGGGAAAGCCATAGCTATCCAGTCCTGCCTTAAAAAATTTCCTTTTAAGCAGACTCATGAATAATCTAGATAATCCCAGAATTCAGGCATCTTTTAGAGCTCCCTGAGCTATTTGCCCATGAGGTATTGTATGCAAAGTCTGACAAAGATCAGTTTGATTGATCAATGAGAGTCAGCATTGTATTTGGGGAAGCAAGCATGGCCAGGACTGAGGAGGAAGTCCTTACATGCTCCCTGCACAGCACTATTAATAACATGAAAAAATTATCCAATGTAATCCCAAAGACTGATTTCAAATCAAAACAAAGCAAATACAGGAAAGCAAAACAAAAGAACAGCAAGACAAGCACAAGGGCTCCCTAGGGTTCCTCTAGCTTGTGGGATGGGTGTGGGTGTGAGCCTGTGAGAGTGTATGTGAAAGTGTGTGTGTTCCAGATGTACATGAGAGTCACGTGTGTGTGTTTGTGGGGATGGTGGTGAGGCGGGTAGGCAGACTTGGAGGTTTTCAGGGTTAGGGCTGGGCAAACGTGCCTCTGACTCAGAGGAGGAATCTCAGTTTCTTTTGGTGGGGAGAGGAGAATTAAACTTTTGTCAAACAACCTCATGCCTGATTCCTCTAAAGTGGGGTAGGAAGGACAGTGTCATAACACAGAGAGTGTTAATGGCTGCTATTTTAACAATCTAAACTCACTGCCCCAGGGCGCCAGTAGAAACTAAACAGTCTTACTGCAAAGGGTGCATTTTTAAAAAATCAAATAAATAGCTGCAGGCGCACTCACATTGAACTTGTGCCCAATTCAGTGTCAATCAACAAGTTTCCATTGAATTCTGGACAAGCCAACTCCTCTTCCAAAGAGAACACAGAAAACATTGTAAGTTCAGTTTGGGGGCAGCTGGATGATCTTATGTATCCTGTCCTTTTAGTGATTTTTTTCCCCCTTTTTGCTTCTTCCTTCCTTCTCTGGCTAGTACTTTTGTTCCCTAATTCAGATCCTCCCAAGTTAATTCCTTTCTAATGCATCTCCCTGGCTCTGGCCCTAGTGCTGTGGTTCTTCTATTTTATGTTGCTATACATGAGGACAGATCAGCTGATCTGGGCCTCAAGACAGGTCCACGTCATTTGTAAAACAACAGCTTTCTACCTGCCATGTGTTCCATGAGTAGAGATGGAGAAAGTACCCAAATATATACAGTGTAATGCTATGGCTCCACTTGGGAACATGTACATTCTGATAAGCCAACATGCTGAAAAATTATATTATCCCAGTGATAGAATGTGTCCTAGGCACATATTTGAAACTAGCCAGACGTAGCCACTAAGCCTTAGTGTAAAATCTTCATCTCCATCTTGGTAGTAAGCATGTTCCCCCTTCTCCAGACTGAATTCTGGCCCTGCATTCTAAAATAATACCAACAATACCTTGCATTTATTGAGGGTATACTATGGGCAGGGCACTATGCTAACTCCTTTAGATACCTTAATTCAGTTAATCCTCACAACAGTCCTTTGAGATAGGAACTATCATTGTCCCATTTCTCCCTCTCTCTCATTCACACACACACACACACACACACACACACACACATACATACCACACAATGTCACCCACTCCAACATACATGCTCACCCACACGCTTACATACACTTACACTTACATCAAGTGTGTGTAAACTGAACAAAGCTCCTCTGCCCTATCTCCATAGTGCTCAGTTCTTCCAGGTTCTCTGCCCAAAGACTCTCCCTTTGACATCCAGAAATCTATCCTTAGTGAATTCTTACAGTTAAGCTAAGCATTGACCTTTCTGCTGGAAGGAGTCTCATCAGCTGCCTTTGTAAGTGGCTGGGAGAGAGATGAGGATATGAGGGACTGCAAGAGAGGAAAGGGGATGCAAAAAGACATCCAAGAACACTAAAGACAAACTGCACCTCCTCCCTACTTTTGCAGTGGGCTGGCTCTGCAAAATAATGTCTACCCACAGGATGTACAAGGTCCTTTGAGACTGGGCCTCCATCAATCTGACATTTCCAGCCTCCTCCCTCCTACACAGACCATACTCAACTGCAGTCACGGATCCCACACATGCCTCTGCACGTGCCCTCCCCACCTCCCTCTTCTACATCTGGCAAAGTGCCATTCATCTGTCAGAACCCAGCTCAAATGTCCACTCCCCTCTGGGACTGTGCCTGATTCCTGGCTCTTGGAGAGTGCCTATCTTCTCCCCTCTCTGCCTGCACAGCCCTTGTCCACACTTCTACCAGAGTACTCATCACATTACATTTTAATAATCTTGTTATGCGTGTCTCCTCCACTAGATTGTGAACTCGTCGAGGCAGGAACTCTGAAACCTCAGCACCATACATGGGCTATGTCTCAAAGCTTATACTCTGTAAATGTTTGTGAAATTAATATGAGTGAGTGAGTGAATTAATGAATGTGTGGACTCATACCACCAACTTCTGGTTAGGAAGAGACGCCCTTCACTAGGCTTCTCTGACTAAGGCTGCTGTCCAGTATTTCTCAATAGAGCCACCACTGGAATTTTGTGTGGGACACTTCTTCCATGCGTTGTGTTCCTACTTATTGTGGAACATTTTGCATCTCTTGTTGCTGCCCACTAAATGCCAATGACATCCTCCCATTACTGTGACGAACAAAACAGTTCCCAGACATTTCTAAAGCCCTGGAGAAGTTGGTGGGGGCAGAAAGGGTGTGTGTGTGTGCTGATCCTCCCTGGTTTGGAAGTAACACTACAGCAATGGCTCATTTCCCTGATCCCAGTGGTCTGAGAGGCCCCCTGCAGTACGGACACACTGTGCTCCTGCAAGAGGCGCCAGATGACAGCCTCTAGCAAGACCACGGATTAGCAGAAGGTAGGAACCAAACAGGAGTAAGGCAGCCTAATCAACACATAATGGTGAATCTTGCTCTCTCTTTTTATGATTTAGGAGGGAGGAGGTATCAGTTCTAGCCCTCCCCCAGAAAAATCCCCTTCAATTTCTCAAGGCAGTCTAGAGATTTTTACCTTGTCTCTGAGTGCATTCTCAGCACTACCTTATGTTTCTGTTAAGAGCTCACTCAGCTTTGAGAACATCAGCATTATTGTGCGGCATACTCACACAGGCACCTCTGAAAATCTAATCAGAAGGAAATAGAAAGGCAAGGCAGAGGTGATGCCATTAATTTAATGCCTTTTGCCTGACAGTCATTAAACCTGTCACTTGTTTCCTTTAGACTCCCCTCATCTTTTCCCTGAGGCTGGAGACACATGGTCAATGCCTGGTTATGAGGCTGCTATCATTGGGATCTAGAGGAACACGTACCAAAATGCTATGGTTTCAGGCTTTGCCCATATTGAGATATGCCCAGATGAAATCTGGGGACCCAGGATTTAAATACCTTCTTTTCATTGCTGATCACTGCCTTGATTATATATACCTCCTTATACTTTTCAAAGCAATTTCCCATATCAACTTTCTTGTTCACTGTCAATGCAAACTTTAAGAGAAGGCAGGAATTATCATCTCATTTTACAAGCTGAGAAAATAGGTACAAAGAGGTTAATCAGCTCTGTGAATGTCCCACAGTGAACTGGAAGGACAGCAGAGCGAGGCCCCATCTCTTTATTGGCCCCCCCTGCCTTCCTCCCCCCATGATAACACAATAAAACCTCACTTTGAGGGAAGGCAGGCATACTCCACAGGTCCAAAGCCCTTCTTCCTTCCCAAAGGGGTTCCTGACCAGCCTGACTTCCTGGAAGCCAAACATGCCCTCTGGCCCTCTGGTCAGTGATAAAATCCTGGAGCCAGATGGCTTCATCCAGATGCCAATACACTGTGCACTCTACAGCTTAGAAATCAATGCCTCAAATGCCTACTTACTAATTCCAAGAGCCCACTTAGAGGACAAGGAGCACACCTTTCTCTAGGTTTTGGTACTGCTATTCTTTGTGACAAAAAGACCCAAAAACCAAAAACCAAAAAAAAAAAAATCAAAACAAAACACACACACACACACACACACACACAAAACCAAACATCAAGAAGACCAAAACAATGCAAACAAGTAGACAAATATAACAGTCCCCCAAATTGCCATATGCACATACAGAATCCTATGCTTGGTTGTAATCTTGCAAGGTCTTCTGGTACTTTTGCCTCCAATCAGAACCATCAAGAACAAATGAAAATGTAATCCCACTTTATATTATACTGGGAAATATAACTTACATACGTACAACATAAATGTAGAGTTGTACTGATGCTTTCAAAGCAAACACCCATGTGACTACCACGTGGATCAAGAAAGAGTGCATTGCCAACACCCCAGAAGCACCACCCCCCAATGGAGGTCAACTCACCACCATGCTGACTATTGTGATAATCATTTCTTCACTTTCCATTGTAGTTTTATCACATTTATGCACATCCATAATCAATATAGTTTACTTTTCCCTATTTTGAACTTGATATTAATGGAATCATATTGTATGCGTTTGTGCATTTATGTGTGTCTTGTGTTTACTCAGCATTGAGCCTGAGCTATTAATATAATATATTGACTGTAAAATGACTTCAGCTTCCCTTATCTATGCCTGGAACTACTTTTTTGTGCCTAAGTTTTTTATACTGAAGCTCACTTCTACTCTTTCTCCCCCTTTGGAAGTGGAAGGAGAAAGCTGATCAGCCTCCTCTAAGACCCATTTATGTTTCTGAAACTTGGTGAAGGCCCCTGTCTTTCTTTCACCAGTTTCAGTAATTACAGTTTTCCTTCAACATCACCTCATAGGTTTCATACTCTAATCCTTTAATAATCTTTCTAATAAAGCTATGTTGAATGGCTCCAGACACAATTTCCCTCAGAAAGCAATCGCAGAAGAGGCCCTTTTGGAAAAGTACTTCTCCAGATAAAGAGAAACAGGGGTACTGTTCTATTCCTATGGATTTCTCCAAAAGCAGATGACAAAACTTGCCAGTAATCAGCTCCTAATAGATGACACTCTCTGAAGTTCCCTGGGGAACATTAATAAGGAACACGTCTTTCAAAACCTAGCATTTCACACAGGCAGTAATACTAGTTACTGCTTGTCAGGCCTGTCATTTTCAAAGACAGTGTGGTCTCTGGAGTCTTCCAGAAAAAATGTGTTCTGAAAAGCAACATTTGCTAGATTCCTCTAAGACTCTTTGGTTGTCTCCTGACTTCACTTCCTCATTTCTACCACCAGCCTCTTCTCAAATTTCTTCTCTCTCTTCCCCATTTGAAAAAGAGACACACTACATCCTGGATGAACCTTAAAGACATTATGCTAAGCAAAAAAAGCCCATCACAAAAGGATAAATACGGCATAATGCCATTCATATGAGGTACTGAGAGTAGTCAAATTCATAGAGACAGGAAGTAGAAAGTGAGGAGTTAGTGTTTAATGGGTATAGAGATTCAGTTTGGGGAGATGAAAATGTTCTGGAGATGGATGGTGGAGATGGTTGTGCAACAGTGTGAATGCACTTAATGTTACTGAACTGTACACATAAAAATGGTTAAAATGGTAAATTTTATGTTATGGATTTTTAGCACAAGAAAATAATCACAAATTAAACAAAAAAGAGAATGAAAATAAAAAGGAAGGAATGAGGGAAGGAAAGAAGGGAAACAAAGAAAGAAAACAAGGAAGAAAGCATGCCACATTTCCTTGTCCTCTCCTTCTCAATATCCATTTCTCTATTAAAATAATAAAAGAATATATTATATAAAAGGTATGATAGTGAGTGTGGACTCTGATTTGGCCTTAGATCCCTGAGGGCACAATCTTGTGAATGTGAAGAAATCAAAACAGGATGAATTTATTGAAGAAAAGAAAAAGAGCTTGTGGGGACACTTACATTATCTTCATGTTCCAAAAAATAACCTCAACTCCCAAGTTTGACGTATTTCTCTGTCTTCTCAATTAAACTAAAATCCAAGCAGCCCTCTTCCTCCCCCTCCTGCAGACAGCTTTGATTTAGCCCTTTACTGAGAGATACAGTACATATATTTCTTAGCCTATCTCCAATTCTGGGAGCATAACTCTAGAAAACACTTTGTAAGTAGCCATACATATATTTGCTGAACCACTTCCCAGTCTCTGTGTCTTAGAGTATATGTGGCAAAGACAAAAGACAACACATCAAGACATTTATAAAATAGACTACTTTGATGGCCAAAAATGGAGTCCTGTGAGGAGGCGGATTTTGGAACAGATTTCAATAACTGACACCCTAAGTCTGCCAGTTCCTAAAATCACTTTTAGGGAATAGCTGATGGTATAAAATTCTAAACACAAAAATCAGACAAAAATCATTCTAATAAAGACAATTGCTTATCTTAGTGGCTGCAAATAATCTGGCAAACCTTTTGGGTTACAGTCATTTTAAGTCCAAAACCCTGAAGTAAAACTCTTTGGCTCTAGGCAACAGATAGCAAGGATATCTGGTTACTTTGAGAACATATTGGTTTTAAATTAACAACACTAAAGTGAAAAACTTGAGAGCTGGCAACTCATTCTAGAAACCACTGTGTCCTCTGCTACAAATAAAGAACTTATCCTAAATACTACTGGTGTTCTGCAGGACTTTGGGGTAGGTAAAGCTTGACTCCTTAGGCCCTTCCTTCAACAGGCCCCTCTCCCTTTGTAACTCTTCAGGTGCCCAGCTGAGCTTAGTGGCCTCGGGATCTTCCCCCCGCAACACCTGTCTCCTCTTTCTACAATCAAAATCTGCTTTCTAAATCCTGTGTTCAGACGAAAGTAAAAATGATTAATAAGAGTTAATTTACTACCTTCAAAGATTGGTGAATTTATCAGGACAAGGCCTAAATTTAAAAGATTAAGCTGTAATGACAATTTCAGGTGTCAGGCAACTTGGCAGGGAAGTGGGGGTGGGCTTGGGCAAAGCTGATCCGATGGCTGGACAGGTCTCAGAATCACAGGTCACAGGAAATCAAGGTAATAATTGCCTCTTCTGCTTACTCAAGAAGAAAACAGGCCCTGGTTCAAGGGTCAGTCTGGCAACTCAGATGAAAAGCCCACTACAGGACATTTTGCTAATCCTTTCCTTAAAATACCCTAGATGTGACTCTTATTTCAAACTAAGTTAAAAACAGACTAAGCTGAAAACACTGATTTTATTTCAAACTATGTTGATTGCTTTTCCCTTTGAGAGTTTCATTTGTTTATCAGCAGAAATTCCTGGGCTAATTCCGAGAAATGCCATTCATTTCTCGCCAACAACAAGTCATGAACAATGGGCGGGGTAGAGGGGGAAGCTCCCCACGGAGGGTCTTGCTTTCTGGACATGACAGCCAAGGACTCTGAATGTGGAAGATGGCAGAAGAGGCAGCCTTTGGGTGGGAGCTCTGGGAAAGCAGAGGGGCAGGCCAGATGGCACATTGTGCACATGTTACTGCAGGGTTAGTCCTGGGGAAATGTCACACAAGGAAAATGTGTTTCCAGAGTGTCTATGTGCTCCATTATCAGCGAAACAATGTTGTCATGTTGCCCACAGCCCTCTGGAGATCCCACTGCTGCAAGATCTTACCCAGAACGGCTTTCTGTGGGCAGTTCTCTTGACCTCCTTTCTCAAAATCTCCCCTGGGCCCTATTACTGTAGTGCAGTCCTCAATCCGACTGCATCAGAATTAACTGGGATGCTTGTGTGAAATGCATGACACCCACTGCAGCCTAAATGATTCAGGATTTTTGGTGTAGGGTCTGGGAGTCTGCATTTTATCAAATCTCCCAAGGTGATCCTTAAGCATGTTAAAATTTGAGTAGTACTAGTTTAGGGTCTTGTGCTAAAATTGCCTACTACCCTAACAAACTTCTCCAAACTAAGATACTGTATATACCAATAGCTTATTGCTATAACATACATTGCTCCTAGAAATTGAATGGCAAAATACAACACTTCTTGAAGCACATAACAAAGAACCCTAATTCTGCAAAGTGCCTCCAAAAAATGGGTATTATGGCTGAATAAATTTAGACAATGTTACATCCCATATACCTCTCTGGTAGATTCATAATGGGTACTAATGTATCAAGGCTCTGTCATATAAATAGACAACAAGTATATAAAAATGCTCAACATCACTAATCATCAGAAAAATACAAATCAAAGCCACAATGAGGTATCATCTCAGCCCAGTTAGAATGGTTATGTTCAAAAAGACAAAATGTAATAGATTCTAGTGAGGATGTGGAGAAAAGGGAACTCATATGCTGTTGGTGGGAATGTAAATCAGTACAGCTACTATGGAAAACAGTATGGAGGCTTCTTAAAAAAGCTACAAATAAAACTACTATATGATCCAGCAATCCTACTACTGGGTATATATCCAAAAAAAGGGAAATCAGTGTATTAAAGGGATAGCTACATCCCTATGTTTATCGCAGGACCACACACAACAGCAAGATATGGAATCAACGTAAGTTTCCATCAACGGAAGAATGGATAAAGAAAATGTGGTATATATACACAATGGAGTATTATTCAGCCATAAAAAATAAAGAAATCCTGTCATTCACAGCAACATGAATGAGACTTGAAAATACTAAGTTAAGCAAAATAAGTCAGGAACAGTAAGATAAACACCGTGTGTTCTCACTCATATGTGGAAGCTAAAAAAGTTGATCTCATAGAAACAGAAAGTAGAATAGTGGTTACTAGAGGCTGGGAAGGGTAGGCACGATCTTGTCTCACTGCAACCTCCACCTCCTGGGTTCAAGCGATCCTCCTGCCTCAGCCTTCTGAGTAGCTGGGACTACAGGCATGCACCACCACACCCAGCTAATTTTTTTGTATTTTAAATAGAGACAGAGTTTCACCATGTTGACCAGGATGGTCTCAATCTCTTGACTTCGTGATCTGCCTGCCTCGGCCTCCCAAAGTGCTGGGATTACAGGCGTGAGCCAGTGCACCCAGCAAATGCTACTTTCTTGAAGAAGGTTTTAACCCCTTGTACTGTGTCAAGTGTCCAAGGACCAACAGTATGAGAAAAATAGTGGAAATAAGGCATGGAAGATGGTTAAAGGGGTCTAAGAGAACAGTCAGTATGGACATGGAGGGTCTAGTGATCAAAAGTGAACATCTCCTTTGGCAGCCCCTCTGTAACCTAAAATAGTAATAATAATAATAAAGCAAAATATCTGCTATTCAGACACCAACATTTCAGAATCCTCAGGCTTTTGGATAACTCTGGACCCATATATATATATATGTAATTATTATGTGTAATATATATACCAATCTTTTGCAGGCAAAGGAGTGGCTCCTGGTTGATCATCTTGCACACTACAGCTATTGTAGTCACCTTACTAGGGAAAACAATATGCTAATTGGCTGTTACTGTTAAAAAGGAATTGATCTGTTTTGATAAAATCCAAGAGACAAACGAATATAGAATTCAGAAGAGAATAGAAGAGAGAAGAGAGCAATGGAGATCAGATATGGATGGTGGCAAAAGCAGCAAATCAGCAGCAACCATGAGGATGGCTGGCAGTAGGTACTCAAAGAAATGAACTAAAAGAAGATGGGGCAACCTTAAAATTTAAGAGAGATTCCTCAATAAATTAAAAATAAAATTACCATAAGACCCAGAATTTCCACTCCTAGGTATATACAAAATAATTGAAAACATATGCCACACAAAAACTTGTATATAAATGTCCGTAGCAGCGTTATTCACAATGGCCAAAAGGTGGAAACAACCCAAATGACTACCAACAGATGAATGGATAACGAAAGTGGTCTATGCATAATAATGGAAGATTATTCAGCCCTAAAAAGAAATGTCATACTGATACATGCTACAACATGGGTGAACCTTGAAAACACTATGCTAAGTGAATGAAACTAGATGCAAAAGGCCACAAATTGTATGATTCCACTTATGTGAAATGTCCAGAATAGGCAAATCCATAGAGAAGTAGATTCATGGTTACCAGGGGCTAGGGGAAAAGGGGAATGGAGAGTGACTGTGTAATAGGTTTCCTTTTGGGGTGGTGAAAAATTTCAGAAACTAGATTAGTGGTAAATGTTCTTACCACTTGTACAATATTGTAAATGTTCTTAATGCCACTGAATTATACACTAAAATGATACATTTTATGTTATGCATCTTTTACCACAATAATAAATAAATAAATCTCTCTTTTGAACCTTCCCTAGAAAAAAACTGGAGGAAACACAAAAGGCCTGTCTACTTGATTACTGTAACTGTGGAAGTCACAGATATAGACAGACATAGTCATAGACCTAGACTCTAGACTCCTTTTTAATATAAATACATGGGATGGGAGAAAAGGGGAACACAAGGGCAGATAGGTCAGTGATTAAAGACAAAAAAAAGCAGATTCAGAGTAAACAAGTGATTTTCAACTCTTACTCTAAACTTGTCTACAGTCAAATGCCATGTACCCACCTCATCTTACACAGTCTGTGCTATAGTGTGGATTTGTGTAACACAAGTGGTTCATATGTGAGTGCTAAATAAGGGAATGAAGTTGGTATAAAATAGAAATTGCATTAGTTCATACATGATTACCCAGCAAATTAATATTTTGCACTACCAAGTGACAGCAGCTAAAAGCCAAGTACACTAACTCAACTGAAATCAGGAAGCCATTTGCCCTACATTCTTCCTCTTGCCTCAGTTGGGCCACATGCTCTGTCTTGTAAGTGCTTATTACATGATTCTCCGTGATCTTTGTGCAATTTACTGTTGTCTCTATAACTTAGCAGCTTCAATCCTTCCTTAAACACTGTTCCTTCAAGCTAATGTTACCATTTTAAAAGGTGAAGTCTAGAAGTCTATATTTACTGTAATATTTTATTAGAAATGTAAGATGCCTTTTTAAACTGTGTTAGTATTTCATTAGTATAGTTGCTTTGTTAATATTCTGGTTACAAAGTTGCCTAAGTTTTGAGTGGTTTTCTCTAATGCTACTTTTTCCTTAAGCCCTGTGATTTTTCAGTGTACAATTTTGTAGAATGTGAGGATTTTCAGATATGTGCATATTGTATTGTGGCAGAAATGCCTGTGTTTGCTAGCTCACTCACAACCCAACTATTGTTGAAAGAGAAATGACACAGGGCTTCCCACATTCTCCTTATGGGAACACATACTATAGTGCAACACTGGTAAGGTCTTTTCCCTAACCTACCTTGAATATCTAAGACTGGGGTGTCTCTCTTGGCAAACCACACTGTCACTATTCCTATTAAAACCATTCATAGTGCCAAACTTTTTCACACCTAGCCAAAAGGAAACACTGTGGATTAGGTCTCTGTTAACCAGATCAAATCAGTTATTTTGGCAATTTTATAAGAGCTCTTTAATAACCCAGGAATGCTGGAATACCTCCAGGAAAACCCAAATTTATTAATTCTGAATAGCAAATTCTCAGTGGAATGACCATTTTAAAAAGCCCTCTTAGATAATATCATGATTTAGACTCCTGATCACTATAAAATTCTTCTTTTTGTGATAAAATTCTCTCTCTGTGCATATATATAAAATAAAATATATATATTATGAAATATATACATACACATATTATGAAAATAAGTCATGTTGTTTTACTTTCCCTTCCAGCATTACCACTTCATTCCCCCAAAAGAGAAGATAGGGAATTTAATTCCTTCAAATCACTAAAATCTCTTAATTATCAGGGACTCCACAGAGTCTTGCTTAGAGACCAGGATGAATTTAATGACGTTCATGAGTCCTATGCAGTCTTGACTTTTCCATTAAGAATGTTCCAGCCTCCATGTAGCCTCTTTGGGCCCAGTAGAGCACTGTGGTATGTGACTAAGACTTGACCTCTGCCAAGACTTGGACAAGTGCTGATGAAAAAAAATTTATTTGCTCTTTGTGGGAATCAGTATAGATTTCTCTCTGGTATTTCTGGAAGAGCTGCCTGCATACTCTGATTTCCACGGTTTAGCAGGAGCTGTAGGAGACAATTTCAAATACAGGTGGGCTCCTTGGAAATTTTAGGGGTAACGAGTTTAGAAAGCAAGAGCCATGGGAAATACATAAACAAATGAAATGAGATGGCTCCTCTGTCTCCTTCAATGGAAACTAAGCTCTAAGCATGATAGGTAGGACACTTCCACTGAGTCTGTTACCACCTAGGCAAAAGCTTCTCTAAATCAATACTGCTATAGGACAGTATGTAAAGCCAGTATCTGGGGTATACAGTTTGCTTATTTGTCGTCTTTTTATACGGAGCTTATTCATCATCTTGGCTTTAAATATTTTCTTCTTAAATGAGGACATTTTCATCACAGTGCCTTCCATTGGGTTAAGATGGAAAACCAGAGCCCTTTTCTTTGACCAAACATTTCTGTGGCCCTGAAGGCATGAGTTTCCTCATGCCTAATAATCACTGGGGTGGAAGGAACACAGAGGAGTCATCACATCCATTGCCCTGTCTCAAAGCAGGACTGTGCCAACTCTATCTCAGATGGGTGGGTACCTTTTTATTTCTAGAAATATTAAGTAAAGAGACTAAAATTATCCTTAGTCATTTATTCTAGGATTTAACAGCCACGGTGTTCAAAGTTCTTCCTTTTGTCAAGCTCCACTCCTCTCTGCTATGATTTAAAGCTATTTACTCTTGTTTTATCTTCAGTAGAAAGAAAGAATAGCTGGTTGCATTCTGGTTCAATATGGCAAAGAGAACACATGAGAAATCTCCCTGTTATTTTCAAAACAAAGAGAGATGAAATGTGGAACTAGAAAAATAAATAAATAAAACGTGAAAACTGCAAAATTATATTCAGAAACACAAAAAAACTCTTCGTGGAATAAAATATAGAAGGAAAGTACAGCAATAAATGGGAGCCAAAGCCATATGGTCCATCAGCAGCTGGGACTGAATATGGATAGTTTGGATCCAAATGGCTGAGGAGAAACTACAGCTTGCAAGTGGCTTCCCATGTGAAGTTGGGGACTAGGGTCACACTACTCGCATGTAAACAGGGGCTGACATAGCTCTCCCCACTCAGTGTTCCCTAAAAAACACTGATTGTCCAAGTTAGGCAGTTGTAGATGAGGCAGTTGTAGATCAGTCCATGATCATTATCAGAGACTAGTAGTGCACAAGAAAACAGAGGTAGAAATAGACCATTCAGGCATGAGGCAGCCCAAACCGAGTCATTAATATATGACCTGGTTTAGAGCAAAGTGAACTATAAAGCCTGCAACAACCATCCCACAAAGAAGGGCTCATGTAAGAAAAAACAAAAACAAAAACAAACAAACAAAACAAACCCAAAACACCCATGGATAATGAGCTTTGAAAGAAAAAGTAGAAAACCAAGGAAAATTCAGAACTAAGAAAAGCTGTCAAGAAACCCAACAAAGGTGACAATTCACATCTAAAAATATTTAGATATTTGAACAATCTGAAATGGACTTCAAATAAACTTTTAAATACTTTAAAGAAGTAAAAAAGAGAATAAGATTCCCCAAAACAATAACAGGTTATAAATTAGCATCATGTAGATGTCTTTTTAAATAACTTGAAAACCTGAGGGGAAACAAGGTTATTGAAAATAAACAAAGAAACAAACAAAACCCAACACATGGCCTAAATAGTATGCATGGAAAGAATTCATGAATTGGAGAACAGAGTTGAAGTAATATATCATTTTAGGGAGAATATCAGGAGGGAAAAATAAAGGAGACATTAGGAGACATAAAGGATAAATTAAATGAGATGCAATAATATACACCAAAGACAATTTTGAGAATGAGAAAAAATAAGAAGGTGAAGAGATAATTTTCAAAAAAAAAACTGACTAAAAATTGAAGAGAAATTTGACTCCTTTGGCTGAAAAAATCATGTGCTGAGCAGGCTGAAGAGAATAATCAAACTTACACATCTCATTGTGTGCATCAATGAAAAGAAGAAAGTTTTAAAAGCTAGAAGAAAAAAAAAACGAAGAACCCGCAAAAGAACTACAAATAGCAGAATTCTTAACCACAAACAAATAAACAAACATAAAGCCAACAAACCATTTAGTAATATCTTCAAAGTGCTGAGGGGAGATGAACATGCACCTATAATTTCATACCCAGCCAAATTATCATTCAAGAATGGTTGTAAAATAAATACACTTTTTTGTATATAAGGACTAAGGAATTTTAGAACTACTACCCACAGAAAGAGCTGTTAAAGGTTATAGTTAACAAGAAGAAAAATGAACTCATGGAGAAGTGAGCTGCAAGAGCAAGAAGGAAAAGAAAAGGAATAGTTTATTTCTATCCTCCATACCATAAAATGAGCTTTTTAAGTCTTAACCATAATGGTGTTTATTTCTTTCAACGCTTTCACCTCTGGAATTTTTGAGCTCAGTTCTTTTAACACTTTATTTTTCTCTCAAAATAACTGCTAGCTTATACTTTCCCTTTTTCTCAATACTTGCTTCCTGTTAGGCAGCTGGGGTAGGTGCAGCCATATTCTATTCTATGTTGTTTTGCCCCATGCTCTGGGTCTGGGTCATGCCTCAACCTTCTTCCCAGGGAAGAACAATCTTTACACAGAAGTTTAGATAAGTTCCTATGACATTAGACCACTTTTGGAGACTTCTGAGGAATAAAAAGCTTTTATAAGGCTGTCTGACAGGCTACCTGGCAGGTTAACCAAAAAACAAAAACAAAAAACAAAAAACAAAAAAACAAAAAAAAAAAAAACAAAGAAGCTCTCCAGAGTGGCAACTTTATCAGAAACATTGTTCCCATTTACCAGAGCGCCCCCACCCCCACCCATACCACATTCTTGCAATCCAGTTTAGGAAGAAGAAGCAAATAAACACATACAGAAACAGTAAGCCTGGCTTAGGGACTTATTCCAAAAAAAACCCAACAACTTTTAGGTTGGTCATATGCCAAGTCAATCTCTGACATCTCAAAGCATATACTATCAGCACCAACACTCAGAATTTAAAAACCTGTGATATGGCATGATATTCTGCCATCTGGAAATGAATCACCTGTGTTCATTAGGGTGTATTTACTGATGCAGGAAAATATATTTTATAAAGGTAGTGACAAAAAGAGTTTGGGTGTTTCTTCTCCATTAAAAAAAAATTCTCCACTCTTGGAACATTTCAGTTGACTGGGTTTTCATTGAACCCCATTCCCAGCCTTATTCCTAACATTTTTGCCTGGATACATTTGGTTTCTCTCTTATAAGTTCTGGAAGTTCCTCACCACTTAAAAAGCACCGTCTATACCTTAGCTGGGGTAGTGGTTCTTCCTGTACACCCCTTTGGGACTGACAATAAAGCTGCGGATGTTCTCTAAAGGAATTTACAAATATACATAGTTACACCAAAAACTGCAAGCAATTTTAAAGGGTTCTCTGACCCTCAAAAGCCCATCCAGGAACCCTAGTTCAAGAATTTCTACCCTAAAGGGAAATGGAATCAACTTACAGGATGATAAGGCTTCTACTTCACAAAGCCCAAGAGTGTCAAGTAGCTTTTTCTAGGATTGCCACTGGGCCCACAGGCATTCTCTGAATCACTCCACACGCTTTTGGGGTGGGAATCGGGCCCCAGTCAGACATGAACAAAGTGTCATTGAGGGAGCCCCTGCCTCAGACAAATACCGTAGCTGCAAATCGTGAAAGTAGATGTCCTAACAGTTGTGTGAAAAATTCTCTGCCTGGCTGCCCCTTAGAATTACACTTAACAATGTGTACATAATAACTGCAGTCTGGAGGAGGTGACTATTCAGCAGGCAGGCAGCTTTATACTGTCATAAACCTCACTGGGTCAGCTCCTTTGATTTATGAATGGCCCCCTCATAATTTAGAAGCTATGCTCGGATGCAATTCCAGCACTAATTGTATAAGACACATGCCGCCATGCTGCAACTCTCCTGGTGCCTGCTGCCCATGGCAGGAAGAGGCTGCTTATAGCAGAAAATCTCTGGGCCACAATTTCCATCTCCGATTGACACCCACCTTCAAATGATTAAAAGCCCAATAAAAATCTGTTACTGGGTACCCAATAACTTATTAGAGCCTAGAATGTACCCCATTTGGGCTATAAAAAGTATTTAGAGGCCAGTTTGGACTGCCTAAAGGTTCCTATTGTTATCTGTCTGGAAGTTTCCCTTCTGGGGAATTATGGAGATGAGTTGAGTTGGGTGAAGAGGGAAATGGAGAACCACAGCTAGGAAAGAAAGAGACAAATTGCTTTACCTGGGCAGCGAGGGCAGCACAGATGAGGAATATGCACAGGAGAAAGGCAATGAACATTTGGACATCTGACTCGGCTGCAAAGCACATTCCCATTCTGAAAAAGAGAAGGCAATGAGAAAAAATAAATGTCTTTCAAAGGTCGCTGGGATCAAGCCAGTTTGGGAAACAGTCATGCAGGGACTCACCCAGGCAGTGAATAATGCATTCCCAAGAAGCTGAATGCATTCAACATTTTCTTTCCTTTTCTCATCACCAGCACCTCTGCTGGGTTGGTTGATAGTTTATTGGCATATTTTTCTAAGGCTGAGATCACCACTCCTCCAATTTTCAAAGCTTCCCATTAATTGTGGGAGGCTTCTTCTGGCCTGGCTCCATGGCATTTCTACCATTCCCCAGCTCTAGCTGCATGTCTTTTCCAAGAACCTACTCTGATTTCATAATCACCTGTCCAATAACATGAAAGACACAATGAGCAATGGGTCCCCTGAGCTGCTACCCAGCCCTGGGCAAGGAGGCATCCCTAGCAGGTGGATCCTGGATTCCATATAAATCTGCCTTGGCCCAGTGGGCCAAGTGATTCTTCTCATTTCCTTTTTAGCCAAAATTCTTCTGAGGACGAGCTAGAGTTTGGAATTTAGCTGATTAGGTAGTATGCCTGGGTGGGGCGACTGGGTCCCTGCCTGATTTACAATTACAAGACCCCTCGCTCTGACAGCTCACAACCATTTCTAGAACAAAGACATAGTCTGGAAATAAATTTTTCATTTACATTTTCCATCCATAAATCATTTGCAGCAAGGGCTACTTGTATTTGTCAGGCTGTTGTGGGGGAAGAAAGTAGTGAAGAGGATATAGAAATAGAAAATGCCTTGTGCTTGAGCTGTTGGCATTGGGATCATTTTAACATTTTGACTGCGTTGCAGACATCAAAGCCTCAGCTCCCAATGGTTAGCTGTCCATCTCCAACGTGTCGAAATGTGTCGCGTCAAGAATCCGACAAAATCAGGCCATCCCAGGCAGTTAATCAATCCCCAAATGATCTATTTAATACATGCCCTAACCATTTAAAGAGGCGGGCTTCTTTTATCCAAATTGGAATTGCCTTATCCCAACCTTTTCCTTTTCTTGTGTACTTTCTAGAATAATTTTTTTTGGAGTGTTGCATTTGGCAACACCACAGAAGCTCCTCAGGTATCACACTCCTCAGAGGCAGGTGGTATAATCTTGAATTGAGATCACTGAAGCACATCAGAAACCACACCTCCCAGCTGAGGTCTAAAGTGAATCCTCATTAATGCTATATACTGAATTCTGTTCTAGAGCTAATAGATTAATAATAATAACGATGATGATGATAACCACAATGATAAGGACAACAATGATGACAATAACAGCTGTTAACATTTCTTGAATGTTTACCAAGACTAAGTATTGTTTTAAATGATTTAAATGGATTTGTAAATTTAATCCTTATCAGAACCATATGAAATGGTAATATCATTATCCCATTTATAAAAAGAGGAAGATGAATGAATATCACAGAGGTCAGGTAACTTGTCCAGTGGCTCATAAGTGGCAGAGGCAGGGCTGGAAACTTGGTCTGTCTTTATTCTAGAACCTCATAGCCTCTTAATACTGCCTGATGTTACCTGATAATTATGTTTCCACATGCTCAAAATTCTGACAGCCCAAAATTATGTTCAAATGGTAAATGGATCAGGCTTGCAAGTGATTGTTCCTGCTCTAGCTGGGCATGAGGGAAGAGGTGCAGTCCTTACAAAAGGTCTCAGGTAAGAAGCTGGTCTTGAAAATTCTTTGTGTAAGTTCAGAATTCTCAATGCCTAGTACAAGGCCTCCCTTTCCAATTAGCCTAGTGCACCACTTCTCTACCAGGGGTGATTTTTGCTCCCCAGGCAACTTGGCCATGTCTGGAGACATTTTTGGTTATTAGGATTGGGGTTGGTGCTCTTGTTGTCTAATGGGTAGAGGCCAGGGATACTGCTTAACATCCCACAATGCGCAGGACAGCCCCCAAACAAATATCTATAGTGCAAACAAGAAACTCTAGCCTAACATATAATGGCAGAGGTTTGTTGAGAAAGATGGACCACAGCTGTGCTCCTGGGTCAAGACCATGGGAAGAAGATGGAACAACCTGCTTTATCTATTGCAAAGATGGCATTTATGCCAACCAAAATCCTTTCTAAATGACTGGACAAGAGCCAAGGCTAAGCCAAGGGAGCTCTAATCCTTAAGAGGTACAGGCCAACGTTTCACAAACTCAGTCTTAATTACAGTTATTGGCTGAGACAACATAGAATCCACTCTCCCAATGAACCAGTTTATAATTTGTCCTAATATTCTCCCTAAAGGTCAGCCTTAAAATAATTTTCAAAAACTACTTTGTCTTACAATCTAAACATTCTATTGAGCTTTTGCCTCCACTCCCACTATCAGGCTCTTCTGCCTTCTCTAACCATGCCCTATATCATTAGGCTAAGAGATCATAAATATCTGTCCATAGTAAATATTCAGAGAACCCATGAAAATCAAGCCAAAAAGCAAGAGAGGACAGAAGACAGAAAATGTTTATTTTTCTTGCAATCGTCTTCTTACTTTCTTCTTTTATTTTATGAGATAGGGTCTTGTTCTGTCAACCATGCTGGAGTGCAGTGGTATAATCTCGGTTCACTTCAGCCTAGAAGTCCCCAGCTCAAGTGATCCTCCCACCTCAGCCTCCCAACTAGCTGAGACAACAGGCATGTGCCACCATGCCCAGCTAATTTTTGTACTTTTTGTAGAGATGGGGTTTTGCCATGTTACCCATGCTGGTCTAGAACTCCCGGGCTGAAGTGATCCACATGCCTCAGCCTCACAAAGTGCTGGGATTATAGGCGTGAGACAGTGCGATCGGTCTGCTTCTTTACTTTCTTTAAGGATTTTATCATCCATGGTCCCTGGCCATTTGGGCACTGAAAGCCTCTCGGCATGCTGAGGAGCAAACTGGGAAATCACATGTCATGAGAGATTGTACCTCTGAGCAGATGCAGTTCACGCAGTAAACCAACCCATAAGGTTCCAGGTAAGGATGCCATCTCTCACCCACTCTGTACTTCTTGTCTTGAAACATGCAATATGTCTCTGAATCTGTGAAGAAGGAGATGGAGAATATGCCTGTTAGGAAACATCAACCAAGTCACAAAATTCAAAAGCAATCACAAGTTCCATCCATTTTATTATACATCAAGAGAAGTGGCATAGCAAGTATTTATAGAATTCCTATTAGGGGATTAGTGTTATACATACTTTGCTCACTGGATCCTCACCACAATGACCCATAAGGTAGATATTATTATTAGTCTCATTTTATAGATAAGGAAAATCAAGAGTCATATAACCAGTAAGAAGCTGAGATGGAACTCAAACCCAGGTTTGTCTGACAATGATGTACAAAATCTTTTTAAATTTAATTTTATTTTTCCATAAGTTATTGGGGTACAGGTGGTATTTGGTTACATGAGTAAGTTCTTTAGTGGTGATTTGTGAGACCCTGGTGCATCCATCACCCTAGCAGTATACACTGCACCATATTTGTTGTCTTTTATCTCTTGTCCCCCTCCCACTCTTCCCCCCAAGTGCCCAAAGTCCACTGTATCATTCTTATGCCTTTACATCCTCATAGCTTAGCTCCCACATATCAGTGAGATCATACGATGTTCGGTTTCCATTTCTGAGTTACTTCACTTAGAATAATAGTCTCCAATCTCATCTAGGTCATTGCAAATGCTGTTAATTCATTCCTTTTTGTGGCTGAGTAGTATTCATATATATACACACACACATATATATATACACACATATATATAATCAATAGAAACATATATATATATATATATATACACACACATACTGACTCTCTGTCTCTGTCTCTCTATCTATCTATCTATTTATCTATATGTTTCTTTATCCACTCATTGATTGATGGGCATTTGGGTTGGTTCTACAATTATGCAATTGTGCATTGTGCTGCTATAAACATGCGTGTGCAAGTATCTTTTTCGAATAATGACTTCTTTTCCTCTGCATAGATACCCAACACTGGGATTTCTGGATCAAATGGTAGTTCTACTTTTAATTATTTAAGGAATCTCCACACTGTTTTCCATAGCGGATGTACTAGTTTACATTCCCTGCATCCACACCAACATCTACTGTTTTTTCGTTTTTTGATTATGGTCATTCTTGAAGGAGTATGGTGGTATTGCATTTGATTATGGTCATTCTTGAAGGAGTAAGGTGGTATTGCATTCTGGTTTTGATTTGCATTTCCCTGATCTTTAGTGATGTTGATCATTTTTTCATATGTTTGTTGGGCATTTGTATATCTTCTTTTGAGAATTGTCTATTCATGTCCTTGGCCCACTTTTTGATAGGATTTTTTTTTCTTACTGATTTGTTCATTGTAAATTCTGGATATTAGTCCTTTGTCAGATGTATAGATTGTGAAGATTTTCTCCCACTCTGTGGGTTGTTTGTTTACTCTGTTGACTGTTCCTTTTGCCATGCAAAAGCTCTTTAGTTTAATTAGGTCACAGCTATTTATCTTTGTTTTTATTGCATTTGCTTTTGGGTTTTTGGTCATGAAATCCTTGTCTAAGCCAATGTCTGTTGCGGGAAGTCAGGGACCCCGAACAGAGGGACTGGCTGGAGCCGTGGCAGAGGAACATAAATTGTGAAGATTTCATGGACATTAACCAGTTCCCAAACAATACTTTCATAATTTCTTACACTTGTCTTACTTTGATCTCTTAATCCTGTTATCTTCGTAAGCTAAGGATGTACATCACCTCAGTGCCACTATGATAATTGTGTTAACTGTACAAATTGACTGTAAAACATGTGGGTTTGAACAATATGAAATCAGTGCATCTTGAAAAAGAACAGAATAACAGCAATTTTAGGGAACAAGGGAAGACGACCATAATGTCTGACTGCCTGTAGGGTCAGGCAAAAAGAGCCATATTTTTCTTCTTGCAGAGAGCCTATAAATGGACATGCAAGTAGGGAAGATATCTCTAAATTATTTTCCTAGCAAGGATTACTCTGGGAAAGGAATGCATTCCTGGGGGGAGGTCTATAAATGGCTGCTCTGGGAGTGTCTGTCTTATGTGGTTGAGATAAGGACTGAAATGCACCCTGGTCTCCTGCAGTACCCTCAGGCTTACTAGGGTGGGGAAAAACCCCGCTCTGGGAAATTTGAGGTCACACTGGTTCTCTGCTCTCGAACCCTGTTTTCTGTTGTTTAAGATGTTTATCAAGACAATAAGTGCACCGCTGAACATAGACCCTTATCAGTAATTCTGCTTTTGCCCTTTGAGTTGTGATCTTTGTTGGACCCTTATCAGGAGTTTCTGATTTTGCCCTTGTCCTGTTTCCTCAGAAGCATGTGATCTTTGTTCTCTTTTTTGTCCTTTGAAGCATGTGATCTTGTGACCTACTCCCTGTTCTTGCACCCCCTCCCCTTTTGAAATCCTTAATAAAACTTGCTGGTTTTGTGGCTCAGGTGGGCATCACCATCCTACCGATATGTGATTTCACCCCCAGCGGCCCAGCTGTAAAATTCCTCTCTTTGTACTCTTTCTCTTTATTTCTTAGCCGGTTGACATTTATGGAAAATAGAAAGAACCTACGTTGAAATATTGGTGGCATGTTTCCCCAGTAAATGTCTAGAAGGGTTTTTCCAATGTTATCTTCTAGAGTTTTTATAGTTTCAGGTCTTAGGTTTAAGTCCTTAATCCATCTTGAGTTGATTTTTGTATAAGGTGAGAGACGAGGATCCAGTTTCATTCTCTTACATGTGGCTTGCCAGTTATCCCAGCACTATTTGTTGAAAAGGACCCCCACATTTATGTTTTTGTTTGCTTTGCTGAAGATCAGTTGGCTGTAAGTATTTGGGTTTATTTCTGGGTTCTCTATTCTGTTCCATTGGTCTATATGCCTATTTTTATACCAGTACCATGATCCCAAATTTATAAAACAATTACTAACAGACCTAAGAAATGAAATAGACAGCAACACAGTAATAGTAGGGGACTTCAATATTCCACTGACAGCACTAGACAGATCATCAAGACACAAAGTCAACAAAGAAACAATGGATTTAAACTATACCTTGGAACAAATGGACTTACAAGATATATATAGAATATTTCATCCAACAACCACAGAATACACATTCTATTCAACAGAGCATGGAACTTTCTGCAAAATAGACCATATGATAGGTCATAAAACAAGCCTCAATAAATTTAAGAAAATCGAAATTGTATCAAGCACTCTCTCAGACCACAGTGGAATAAAACTGGAAATCAACTCCAAAAGGAACCTTCAAAACCACACAAATAAATGGAAATTAAATAACCTGCTCCCGAATGAGCATTGGGTGAAAAACAAAATCAAGATAGAAATTTAAAAATTCTTCAAACTGAATGATAATAATGACAGAACCTTATCAAAATCTCTGGGATAAGGCTAAGGCAGTGCTAAGAGGAAAGTGCATAACCCTAAACACCTACATCGAAAAGTCTGAAAGAGCACAAATAGACAATCTAAGGTCACACCTCAAGGAACTAGAGAAACAAGAACAAACCAAACCCAAACCCAGCAGAAGAAAGGAAATAACCAAGATCAGAGTAGAACTAAATGAAATTGAAACAAAAAAAAGACACAAAAGATAAGTGAAACAAAAAGCTGGTTCTTTGAAAAGATAAATAAAATCGATAGACCATTAGCAAGATTAACCAAGAAAAGAGAGAAAATTCAAATAACCTCACTGAGAAACAAAACAGGAGTATCTTCAAATACTGAAATACGAAAGATCATTCAAGACTACTATGAACACCTTTACACACATAAACTAGGAAACCTAGAAGAGATGGATAAATTCCTGGAAAAATACAACCCTCCTAGCTTAAATCAAGAAGAATTAGATACCCTGAACAAACCAATAACAAGCAGAGAGATTGAAATGGTAATTTAAAAATTACCAACAAAAAAAAGTCCAGGACCAGGTGGATTCACAGCAGAATTCTGCCAGACATTCAAAGAAGAATTGGTACCAATCCTTTTGACACTACTCCATAAGACAGAGCAAGAAGGAACCCTCCTTAATTCATTCTATGAAGCCAGCATCACCCTAACACCAAAACCAGGAAAGGCCACAACCAAAAAAGGAAACTACAGACCAATATCTTTGATGAACATAGATGCTAAAATCATTAACAAAATACTATCTAACTGAATCCAACAACCTATCAAAAAGACAATCCACCACGATCAAGTAGGTTTCATACCAGGGATGCAAGGATGGTTTAACATATGTAAGTCAATAAATGTGGTACACCACATAAACAGAATTAAAAACAAAAATCACATGATCATCTCAATAGATGCAGAAAAAGCACTCGATAAAATCCAGTATCCCTTTATGATTAAAACCCTCAGCAAAATCGGCATACAAAGGACATACCTTAATGTAATAAAAGCCATCTATGACAAACTCACAGCTAACATAATACTGAATGGGGAAAAGTTGAAAGCATTCCCTCTGAGAACTGGAGCAAGACAAGGATGCCCACTCTCACCACTCCTCTTCAACAAAGTAATGGAAGTCCTAGCCAGAGCAATCAGACAAGAGAAAGAAATAAAGGCCATCCAGATCAGTAAAGAGGAAGTCAAACTGTCCCAGTTTGCTGACAATATGATCGTTTACCTTGAAAACCATAAGGAGTCTTCCAGAAAGCTCCTAAAACTGATAAAAGAATTCAGCAAAGTTTCTGGATACAAGATTAATGTACACAAATCAGTAGCTCTTCTATACACCAAAAGCAATCAAGTGGAGAATCAAATCAAGAACTCAACCCCTTTTACAAAGGATGCAATAAAATAAAATAAAATAAAATAAAATAAAATAAAATAAAATAAAATAAAATACTTAGGAATACATCTAACAAAGGAGTAGAAAGACCTTTACAAGGAAAACTAAAAACACTGCTGAGAGACATCATAGATGACACAAACACATGGAAACACACCCCATGTTCATAGACAGGTAGAATTAATATTGTGAAAATGACCATACTGACAAAAGCAATCAGCAAATTCAATACAATCCCCATCAAAATACCACAGTCATTCTTCACAGAGTTAGAAAAAACAATTCTAAAATTCATATGGAACCAAAAAAGAGCCTGCATAGCCAAAGCAGGACTAAGCAAAAAGAACAAATCTGGAAGCATCACGCTACCTGATTTCAAACTATACTATAAGGCCATAGTCAGCAATACAAAATTTTAACTACTACTCCGTTACAATGATAAAGGGAGCATATCATGTGTTCTTTTTCTTGAAAAGGTTGTGTTCCCTTTCTTTGGAAATGCAAGCTAATGTCTGAAATGTGGATGTATCAGAACATTCTCAGAGCTGTTGGTGGTATAGGAATGATAGATGATGCATTGTGTTAGGTCTCTATGATTGGCTTTGCCTACACATGTTAACATCACTCAATCATTTAACAAATATTTGAGCACTGTCAGGCAATATGCTAAGTGTTGCAGACGAAAAGAACTAAAATTTTTATACAAAGTCCCTGCTCCCATTCAACTTACAGAATTCTTGCTTAAACAACTCCTGTGATGGTTAATATTAAGTGTCAACTTGATTGGATTGAAGGATGCAAAGCATCCTTCTGGGTGTATCCTATCTGGGTGTATCTGGGTGTCTCTGGGTGTTTTTGGATGTGGCCAGAGGAGATTAACATTTGAGTCAGTAGACTGGGAGAGGAAGACCTACCCACAATTTGGATGGGCACCATCCAATTTGCTGCCAGCAAGGCCAGAAAAAGCAGGTAGAAGAAGGTGGAAGAAGCTGACTTGCTGAGTCTTCTGGCCTTCATATTTCTTCCATGCTGGATGCTTCCTGCCCTCGAACATCAGACTCCAAGTTCTTTGGCTTTTGGACACTTGGACTTATACCAGTGGTTTGCCAGGGGCTCTCGGGCCTTCAGTCACATACTGAAGGCTGCACTGTTGGCTTCCCTACTTTTGAGGTTTTGGGGCTCAGACTGAGCCACTAATGGCTTCTTTGCTCCTCAACTTGCAAACGGCCTATTACAGGACTTCACCTTGTGATCGTGTGAGTCAGTTCTCCTTAATAAACTCCCTTTCATGTATACATATATCCTATTAGTTCTGTCCCTCTAGAGAACCCTGACTAATACAACTCCCAACTAACTCAAACCACTCACTCTCCTTTGCTGGAACAGAAATTTTGGTAGCCACAGCTTATCTTATACCACAGTTCACTTGAGCACATACCATGTTAACTGCCTTATTGTACATGATATATTTCTCCATCAGAGTCCCTGAAAGTAGGTAACATTTATTCTTTACTCTCTATTCATCACATGGCCTAGTACACTGTGGGCAATAAGCAATTATAGGCAATATGCAAGCATAAGCAACTGACAAATGATTGGTAAATTGAATTTCCAAATCAAGTGGTTTATCTTCTAATCCCATCCTCTTCTATCTCCCACTTTTCATCATACTAGCTCAAAATAAAGCAATACTCCTCTTATAATAAACACACAAATTTTCTTCAGTCCAGTGCAGATTTTCCTGACGATCAAAATTGAAGTAATAAAGACAGATAAGCATGAAGCTAAGAGAAGATATTGTGAACAAATAGTAAACAAAATATTAGTATTGGAATATTTTAATCATGCAAATCAATTAGGACCAACCAATCCAATAGAAAAACAATCTAAGTACAGAAATAGGCAAGTCAGAAAAGAAGAAATTGGAACAGACAACGTATTAGTCCATTTTCATGCTGCTGATAAAGTCATACCTGCAACTGGGCAATTTACAAAAGAAAGAGGTTTATTGGACTTATAGTTCTATGTGGCTGGGGAGGTCTCACAATCATGGTGGAAGGTGAAAGGCACATCTCACATGGCAGCATTCAAGAGAAGAGAGCTTGTGCAGGGAAACTCCCTTTTTTAAAACCATCAGATCTTGTAAGACTCATTCACTATCATTAGAACAGAGCAAGAAAGACCCGCCCCCATAACTGACCTCCCGCCGGGTTTCTCCCACGACATGTGGTAATTGTGGGAGTTACAATTCAAGATGGATTTGGGTGGAGACATAGCCAAACGATACCAGAGAATAAATATTAAAAGATGTTCAACCTCACTAGTAATCAGAAATCTAAATTAAAACTAAACTGAGAGAGATGCCTCATATCAATGATTGCTTCAAAGAACCTCTATGAATCTTTCCAAATACCCACAAGGTGAATTCCAATTTATTTTTCAAACCTTTCTTTACAATTTCTTCAGAATAATAAACTGGGAGACAGAAAATCTAGGTTTGAGTCCTAACCTACTCTGTGTGACATTGAGTAAGTCACTCAAACCCTGATAACCTTTTCAACATCTGTGAAATATTATGTTTCTCAAGTGGATGTTAGAGGATTAAATGAAGCACTTTGTAAATTATAAAGTGCTATAAAATATAGAGTGTTATTTTATAAACATTATACATAATCCCAGTACAGGAAGATAACCACTTTTAAGAAGCTGGTAGCATATAAATAGTCTGTGGGTTGAAGAAGAAATCAATAGGAAATTAGAAAGTATTTTGTACTAAATGAAAACACAGCACATCATTTAGGGATTCAGCTAAAAAAGCACTTAGAAGGAAATTCGTATCACTAAATATCTATATTGGAAAAGGAGAAAAGTCTCAAATCAATATCTTAAACTAGAAAAAGTAGGACAAAATAAGAAAAAAAATAGAATAATAAAGAGCAGAAATCAATGAAATTGAAGACAGAAAGTCAATAAGGAAAAACCAATGAGATCAAAACTGGATCTTTAGGAAGATCAATAAAATTGATAAACCCCTATAGATAAAAAGAGAGAAGACAAAAACTACTAAGACTAGAGACAAAAAAGAGGGTTTCATTGCATTGACTACAGACATTAAAAGGGTAAGGGTAAAAAGGGAACAATGTGAATAACTGTATGCCAGTTAGTTTAACAACATAGAATGATTAATTCTTGAAACAACATAAAATGGATTAATTCTTTGAAAGACACACATTACCAAAGCTCAATCAAAAAGAGATAATTAACCTGAGACTGGGCGTGGTGGCTCACACCTGTACTCCCAGCACTTTGGGAGGCCGAAGTGGGTGGATCACCTGAGGTCAGGAGTTCAAGACCAGCCTGGCCTACATGGTAAAACCCTGTCTCTATTAAAAATACAAAAATTAGCCAGGCATGGTGGTGAGTGCCTATAATCCCATACTCGGGAGGCTGAGGCAGGAGAATCACTTGAACATGGGAGGTAGAGGTTGCAGTGAGCTGAGATGGCACCATTGCACTCCAGCCTGGGTAACAGAGCAAGACTCTGTCTCAAAAAAAAAAAAAAAAGATATCTAACCTGAATAGTCCTATATATTTTAAAGGAATTTAAATTGTAGTTGAAAACTTTCTTACAAAGAAAATTCCAGAATCAGATGGCTCCACCGGTGAATTCTATCAAACATTCTACCAAACCCTTCCAGAAAACTGAAGAGGAGGGAATACTTCCCAACTGAATATTTAATGCAAGCTTTACACTGATACCAAAACCAGATAAAGATATTACAAGAACAGAAACTACAGACAAATATCCCTTAAGAACATAGATGCAAAAATTCTCAACAAAATTTTAACAAACTAAATCTAACAATATGTAGAAAGATAATACTTTTATGAGCAAGTGGGGCTTATCCTGGAAATTCAAGGCTAGTTCAACATTCAAAATCCAATCAATGTAATTCACCATATCAACAAACCAAAGAAGGAAAATCATGTAATCATTGCCACAGATGCAGAAAAATCATTTGACAAAATTCTACATCCATTCATGACAGACAGTCTCTGCAAACTAGAATGAGTACTTCCTCAACCTGATAAAGGGCATCTACAAAAAACCTATAGCTAATATTACACTTAATGGCAAGAGACTGCTTTACCCCTAAGATCAGGAATTATACAAGGATGTCTGCTTCACTACTCCTGGAGATATTAGTCAGTGAAATTGGGTAAGAAGAACAAATAAAAGGCCTATATGCTGGAAAGTAAAAAAATAAAACTTTCTATTCACAAATAGACATAATTTTCTACATAGAAAATCTATAAGAATATATTAAAAAGTTACTATAGAGAATTTATAAATCATATTTATATATTTTATAATGAACAATTAGAAATTGAATATTGAAAGTGTACTATTTTCAATAGCTCTCCCAAAACTTGAAAATACTGAAGTATAAATCTAACAAAATATGTGTAAGATCTTCGCTTAGAAAGCTAAAAAACGCTGATGAAAAAATCAATGAAGGCCTAAAAAATGGAGAGATACACTTTATTTATGGATTGAAAGATACAAAATTGTTAAGATATCAGTTCTCTCCAATATGATTTATAGATTCCATACAATCTAAATCGAATTACCAGCATGATCTTTTATAAAAATTGGTAATCTAATGAAAAATTTATATGGAAAGGCAAAGAAAGTAGAATAGCCAAAACAATTTTGCAAAAGAAACATGTCAGAGACTTAATATAAAATTACACTTTTTGGCCGGGTGTGGTGGCTCATGCCTGTAATCCCAGCACGTTGGGAGGCTGAGGCAGGCAAATCGCTTGAGGCAAGGAGTTCGAGACTAGCCTGGCCAACCTGGTGAAACCCTGTTTCTACTAAAAATACAAAAATTAGCCAGGCATGGCGGCACACGCCTGTAATCATAGCTACTCAGGAGGCTGAGGCACGAGAATCGTTTGAACCTGAGAGGCGGAGGTTGCAGTGAGCCAAGATTGTGCCACTGCACTCCAGCCTGAGCGATAGAGCAAGACTCTGTCTCAAAAGCAAAAAGAACAACAACAGACTGACGTTTTCAAGACAATGTGGTGTTGGCGAAATGTTAGACAAATAGATCAACAGAATAAAATAGATTCAAAATCTACCCACATATGTGGTCAATTGATTTTCAACAAAGGTGCAAAGGGAATTCAATGGAAAAGGGATAGTACTTTCAACAAATGCTGCCTAAATATTTGGATAGTAATATACAAAACATAAACTAAAATGAACCTTAATCCATATCACATACTATATATAAAAATAAACTCAAGATGGGTTATAGACTTTAAAACCTAATTTTTTAAAACTTCTAAAAGAACAAACAGGAGAATATCTTTGTGATTCTGGTTTAGGCAAAAAGTTTAGAAATGACCAATGTCACAATCCATAAAAGCACTCTATTTTGCTACCAAATACTACATCTTATTCATTCTATCTAACTGTATTTTTGTAGCCATTAAAATTTATTTTCTATTGATTAGTTTGGATTTGATTTACTCTTCTTTTTCTAGCTTCCCAGGGTGGTAGTCTGTATTATTCAGTTTAAATCTTTCCACTTTTAATATATTAATTCCTTGCTATATATTTCCTTCTAAGCACTGCATTTGCTGCAGCCTGCAAATTTTGATAAGTGGTATTTCCATTTTCTTTTAGCTCAAAATATTTTAAAATTTCTCTTGAGACTTCTTCTTTGACCCATGTGCGATTTAGAAGTGTGGTTTTTAATCTCTAAATAGTTTGGAATTGTACAGCTTTCTGTTACTGATTTCTAGTTTAATTCCAGTATGGTGTAGAAGTATATATTGTAGGGCCGGGCACGGTGGCTCACGCCTGTAATCCCAGCACTTTGGGAGGCCGAGGCGGGCGAATCACGAGTTAAGGAGATCTAGACCATCCTGGCTAACACGGTGAAATCCCGTCTCTACTAAAAACACAAAAAATTAGCTGGGCGTGGTGGCAGGCGCCTGTAGTCCCAGCTACTAGGGAGGCTGAGGCAGGAGAATGGTGTGAACCCAGGAGGTGGAGCTTGCAGTGAGCCGAGATCGCGCCACTGCACTCCACCCTGGGCGACAGTGAGACTGCCTCAAAAAAAAAAAAAAAAAAAAAAGTATAGTATGATTTCTATTATTTTGTGTTTCCTAAGGTATGTTTTATGACCCAGAATATGGTCTATTTTGGCGAATGTTCCATGTGATCTTGAGAAGAATGTATATTCTCATGTTGTTGGATGGAGTATTCTACAGACATCAGTTAAATCCAGTTGACTGATGATTAAATTGAACTATGTCCTTACTGATTTTCTGCCTGATGGATCTATAAATTACTAATAAAGGGGTATAGAAGCCTCCAGCTCTAATAGTTTGTATTTCTCCTTGCATTTCTATCAGTTTTTGCCTCACATATTTTGATGCTTTGTTAAGTGCAAACACATTAAGGACTGTTATGTTTTCTTGGAGAATATACCCCTTTATTAATATGTAATGCCCCCCATTTTTCCCGGATAATTTTCCTTGTCCTAAAGTCTTCTTTGTCTGAAATTAATATAACAACTCCAGCTTTCTCTTGATTAGAGCTAGCACAGTATATATTGTTCCATTCCTTTACTTTTAACCCATCTGTGTCTTTATATTTAAACTAGGTTTCTTTCATTTAGCATAATGTCCTCCAAGTCAATCCATCTTATGGCAATGACAGGATCTCTTCCTTTTGTATAGCTGAAAATATTCTTTGGTATGCATTACAATAAGTGAAATAAGCCACACACACAAAGAAAAATATCACATGATCCCACTTATATGTGGTATCTTTTTTTTTTTAAAGGTCAACTTCACAGAGATACAGAATAAAACAGTGGTGACTATGATTGGTGTAGGGGTGTGGAAATGGGAGATACAGGTCAAAAAATACAATGCAGCAGATATATAGGATGAACAAGTCTAAAGATCTAATATGCAGCATGAGAACCATAGCTAATGATAGTGTATTGTAGTCAGAATTTTTGCTAAATGATTAGATTATAGCAGATCAATTGAACAAATTGTCTCTTGGATGTATTCAACTGAAGAATTTGTCCCTGGATATTTGTACTAAAACATACTAAAACCAAAAGTCAAAATATATTGGTTAACAGGACATTCTTCTCATATATGCAGTAAAATGAACCATCATATTAGTTAACAGGATATTGTTCTGATACATGCAATAAAAGGGAATTGAAAGCATTGTTCCCAAAATAGGCCTTGGCAATTTGCAAGTAATGGCCTAGACCACCAAGTTGCATCAGATGCAGTTCAAAGTAATGCTTGCATACTTTGCAACAGAAATTGTAGTTATCAACCATAATATGGACCGAAATTTCAGTCTCTGTGACTTCCACAGACCATACCAATAGAAGATGGAGCTGCATTTTCAGGGAAATGTTGACTTTTGTGAAAAAACATTCTTTTCAAAAGGAGACCCAAGACACTTGGCAATGTGGTGAACACATTTCCACGAATAGCCATCTTTACATTTGTATCATATAAGGGTTGGTGACATGAGGAACTTTCAGGAGTCATGGATAACAAATTATGCTGTTTCAAGATGTCAGTAGCTGGTAGGTTTGAAGTGTTGACAATAAGAGGATGCAGTGTATCTTGAAATAAATGTCTATCCATTGGGAGAGGTGAAATAAAATTTTTCTCAAAAATAAAACCACTAAAAAAATAAAATTTGAATTTCACCTGCAATGGTTGGTCACAATTGAGGAATCTGACCCATCACAACTGAGGAATTTGACTTGAAGGGACAAATTGTTCAATTAATATGATTATAACTGCTCTTGTGGGGGAAAATGGATAACCATGTAAGATGAATAAATATACTAATTTGTTTCAGTACAGTTACAATTTTTATATGTATCTCATAACATCATGTTGTATACCTTAAATGTACACAATAGAACTTATTAGAAATATTTTTTAAAATAAAGTGGTTTCTTATAGATAACACATAGTTGGATTTTGGGGATTTTTAATCCCCTGACAGTCTCTGTCTTTTAATTGGTTTATATAGACCATTCACATTTAAAGTGACTATTGATTTGCTAGTTTAATATTGACCGTATTTGCAATGACTTTCTATTCATTGCCCTAGTTTTTTTGTTACTTTTTTTTTTGTCTTCCTTTCTTTTTCTGTCTTCTCTGGTTTTAACTGAACATTTTATATTATTCCATTTTCTCTCTTCTCTGAGCATATCAATTATACTTCGTTTAAGAAAGTTTTTAGTGGCTGCCCTAGAGTTTACAATATACATTTACATTAATCCAAGTCCACTTTTACTTTTAGATAACACTATACCACTGCATGTGTAGAACAGATATGTTCTAACAGAATTTTCCCAATCCCTCCCTTCCATTCCTTATTACACCTGTTACTCATTCCACTTTCCCATAAGCTACAGACATGTAAGATATCACTGCTATTTTTATTTTGAACAAACTGTCCTTTATTATGTCAATTAAGAAAAAGAAAAATATTTTACTTCACTTATTATTTTGCTAATGTTCTTCCTTTCTTTATGTAGATCCAAGTTTCTGACCTATGTCATTTTTCTTCTTTATGAAGAATTTTTGTTAATAGTTCCTGCAAGGAAGGTCTACTGGTGACAAATTCCCTCAATTTTTGTCTGAGAAAGTCTTTATTTATCATTTATTTTTGAAAGATAAATTCTCTGAATACAGAATTCCAGATTGGTAGCCCTTTTTATGAAGAATTTTTGTTAAAAGTTCCTGCAAGGAAGGTCTACTGGTGACAAATTCTCTCACTTTTTGTCTGAGAAAGTCTTTACTTATCATTTATTTTTGAAAAATAAATTCTCTAAATACAGAATTCCAGATTGGTAGCCTTTTTCTTTCAACAACTTAAATATTTCACTCCTTTCTTTCTTTGCTTGCAGTTGCTGAAGAGAAATTTGATGTACCCATAAACTGTGGGGGGAGGGAAAGTATTATATAAATACTTTAAAGTATTTATGTATTTTTATATGTTAAATTAATACTTAATTTTTTAGAGCAGTCTTATGTTTACAGTAAAATTGGGAGGAAGGTACAGAGATTTCCCATATACCCCCTGTTACCACTGCCACACATGCATAGTGTCCCCAGTTATCAATATCCCCTGCCAGAGAGGTACAATTGTTTCCACTGATGAATCTACACTGACACATCATTATCACTCAAAGTCCAAAATTCACATTAAGGTTCACTCTTGGTATTGCACATTCTGTGGGTTTGGACAAATATATAATGACATGTATCCACTATTATAGTATCAAAGAGAGCAATTTTACTGCCCTAAAAATATTTTGTGTTCTGCCTATTCATTCCTGTCTCTTCCCTAACCCCTGTCAACCACCGATCTCTTCATTGTCTCCATAGTTTTACCTATTCCAGAATGTCATATAGTTGGAATCAAACAGTATGTAGCCTTTTCAGATTGGCTTCTTTCACTTAGTAATATGCATTTACATTTCCTCCATGTTTCTTCATGGCTTGATAGCTCATTTCTTTTTGGCAATGAATAATATTCTACTGCCTGCATTTACCGAAGTTTATTCATCCATTCACCTACTGAAGGACATCTTGGCTGCTTCCAAGTTTTCGTAATTACAAATACAACTGTTATAAACATCTGTGTGCAGGTTTTTGTGGGACATACATTTTAAAATTTGGGATGTTAAATATCAAGGAGTGAAACTGCTGGATCATACGGTAAAAGTATGTTTAGTTTTGTAAGAAACTTCCAAACAGTCATCCAAAGTGGCTGTACCATTTTGCATTCTCATCAGCAATGATTGAAAATTCCTGTTGCTCCACATCCTCACCAGCATTTGGTGTTGTCAGTGTTCTGGATTTTGGCAATTCTATAATAATAGGTGTGTAGTGGTATCTCACTCTTATTTTAATTTGCATTTCCCTGATGACATATGATGTAGAGCATCTTTTCATATGCTTATTTGCCATCTGTATACATTCTTGGGTGAGGTGTCTGCTAAGGTCTTTGGTCCATTTTTAAATAGAGCTGTTTGTGTTCTTATTGTTGAGTTTGAAGAGTTCTTTGTATATTTTGGATAACAGTCCTTTATCAGATATGTCTCTTGCAAATATTTTTCCCAGTCTGTGGCTTTTTATTTTCTTGACAGTGTCATTTGCAGAGCAGAAATTTTTAATTTTCATGAAGTCAAATTTATCAATTCTTTCTTTCTTGGATAGAACCTTTGGTGTTGTATCTAAAAAGTAATTGCCCAGAACAGAATAAGAAGCCCAGAAATAATGTCACAGACCATTTGATCTTCGACAAAGTCAACAAAAACAAGCAATGGAGAAAGGAATCCCTATTCAATACGTAGTGTTAGGATAACTGGCTCGCCATATGCAGAAGACTGAAACTAGACCCCTTCCTTAAACCATGTACAAAAAGTCAACTCAAGATGGGTTAAAGACTTAAATGTAAAACCTAAAACTATAAAAACCCTGGAAGATAACCTAGGAAATGCCATTCTAGAAAAAGGAACTGGCAAAGATTTCATTACAAAGATGCCAGAAGCAACTGCAACAAAAATAAAAATTAGCAAGTGGAATCTAATCAAACTAAAGAGCTTCTGCACAGCAAAAGAAAGCATCCACAGAGTAAACAGATAGCCTACAGAATGGGAGAAAATATTTGCAAACTATGCATCTGACGAAGGTCTAATATCAAGAATCTGTAAGGAACTTAAACAAACTTATAAGCAAAAAACAAATAACCTCATTAAAAAGCAGATAAAGGACATGAATAGACACTTTTCAAAAGACACGCATGTAGTCAACAAGCACATGAAAATGTGCTCAGTATCACTGATCATTAGAGAAATGCAAATCAAACTCACCATTAGATATCATCTCACACCCATCAGAATGGCTATTACTAAAAAGTCAAAAAATAACAGATGCTGGCAAGTTATGGAGAAAAGGGAAGGTTATACACTGCTGGAGAGGATGTAAAATAGTTCAACCATTGTGGAAAGCAGTGTGGTGATTCCTCAAAGACCTAAAAACAGAACTTCCATTTGACCAAACAATCCCATTATTGGGTATACACCCAAAGGAATATAAATCACTCTACCATAAAGACACATGTGTGCATATGTTCACTGCAGCACTATTCACAATACAAAAGACAGAATCAATCTAAATGTCCATCAACAGTAGACTGGATAAATAAAATGTGCACATATACACCATGGAATACTATGCGGCTATAAAAAAGAATGAGGTCATGTCCTTTGCAAGAACATGGATGGAGCTGAAGGCCATTATCCTTAGCAAACTAATGCAGGAACACAAAACCAAATACTGCATGTTCTGACTTATAAGTGAGAGCTAAATAATGAGAACCAATGGGCAAAAAGAGGATAACAACAGACACTAGGGCCTACTCGAGGCATGAAGGTGGGAGGAGAGAGAGGATCAGATAAAATACCTATTGAGTACTATGCTTAGTATTTGGGGACAAAATTATCTGTACACCAACCCCCCGTGACACACATTTGCCTGTATTAACAAACCTGCACATGTATCCCTGAACCTAAACTAAAAGTTAAAAAAGCAAGTCATTGCCAAATCCAAGGTTACCTAAATTTTTCTCTTATATTATCCTCTAAGGGTTCTTTAGCTTTGCATTTGACACTCATGTCTGTGTTCCATTTTGAGTAAATGTTGGTGAAGGGTGTGAAATCTATGTCTAGATTTATTTACATTTTGGATATGGATGCCCAGTTGTTCCAGCACCCATTTATTCAAAAGACTATTTTTTCTCCATTGAATTACTTTGTTAAAGATCAGTTGATGATGTTTATTTGGGTCTATTTCTGGGCTCTCTATTACATTCCCTTGATCTATTTTTCTATTACTTTGCCAATATCTCATAACTTTGATTACCATAGCTTAATAGTAAGTCTTGAAGTTGGGTAGTGAGTTTGTTCTCCTTTAATATTGTGTTGGCTGTTCTGGGTTTTGCCTTACCATATACACTTTAGAGTCAGTTTGTTGACATCCACAAAATAACTTGCTGGGATTTTACTGATATTGTATTGCATCTATTCATCAAGTTGGGAAAAACTGATATCTTGACAATATCGAGTTTTCCTAAACACAAACATGGAGTATCTCTCCATTCTACTTAGTTTTTTATTTCTTTCATCAGAATTTTATAGCTTTCATCATATAGATACTGTACATATTTTGTTGAATTTACACCTGTTTCATTTTAATGACTGCTTATATAAATAATATTGTATTTTTTATTTCAAATTCCACTTGTTAATTGCTGGTAGACAGAAAAGCAATTGACTTTTATATTAACTTTGTATACTTCAACCTTGCAATAATCACTTATTAGTAACAGGAGTGTGTTTGTCATTGTTGTTGATCCCTTGGGATTTTCTATGCAGAAAAACATGTCATCTATGAACAAAGGTAATACTGTTTTTTCCTTCCCAATATGTATACCTTTTATTTCCATTTCCCATCTTACTGCATCTATTGTTGATTTTCAGTTCATTCAGTTTTTTTTCTTTTGACAACAGGAATGACAACCTCCAAGATCACTATTTATCAGACTGGAAACTGGAAGCTCTTTCTGATCTTTTTTTTCCATGGGTTATGTGTATTAAGGTTTTATTACAAAATTAACAGCATATATTATATACATTTTATAAACTACATTATAAATTAACATATCAGAACATTCCTGTGCCATTAAATAGTTTACCCATACCTCATGACTAATTACATAGTTCTACACCAATACACAGCTGAACCATAATTTATTAACCAATCCCCTATCTTGGGATATTAGGTTGTTTCCATTTCTTTCCATTAAATAAATTATGACAAAGATCCTTACATATAAAGTTCTGTTTGCAACATTAGGTATTTTCTTAATGCAAAATCTTAGAAGTAGATTTCTTGGGTCAAATGTTTTGAGTACTTTCAAATTCTTGATTTACATTACCAGACAACCTTCCAGAAAAGCCACAGTAATTTACTTTCCCATTAGCAGTGAGTGAGAATGCCCAGCAATGGACTGTTTAAAGTTTTGGCAACTTGGTTAAGTAAGGGAAAATGGAACCAATATTTCTTTCTTTTTCTTATCGGCAAGGTTGAATATATATTCATTTTAGTAACAATTTTTATTTCCCCTTTTATGATACTATCATCGTCAACATTGTTATATTAATCTCTATTTGTGAGCTAAAAGTAGGTGCTCAAAATATTTATTAATTGAAAGAAAACAGAACATACTTTTAAGGCAGAATGTTAGTGTTTTTCAGCCAAATCTTAGCAATACATTTTTTTTTGGTATAGATACAAATTAAACTTCTGCTCCACAACATTCAAGGACATGGTAAGAAATATTTTAAATATTTTAATAATCCCAGTATATTTAACTGATGAGAGATGATTATGAATTTCCCAAGACTAACATCTAAATAAGGCATCTTTCTCTACCATTTCGGTGGGATGAGAGTTACTGTTTCTGTACAATAAATGTATAGTCTCACTGACAAACACTTAAGTGATTTGCATTTCACATATACAACTTATTTCAACATTTCAGAAAGAATCTGAGTATACATGTGGAAGCAAATCCTACAAGGTGGCTCCTTCAAATGGCATTACTAGGTTAGCATAAATATTCATACTTATATGAGTCTGGGGCCACTAAAACTTGAATGGAGGTAAGCTAAAAGTTACTTTGTAGGTTTAAATCCACATTGCAGAGTAAGCTATAACTGTATATTATGTGTTTGATTCTGAATTATTTTTCTTGCTTAGATTAGCTCAATCAGAGGTTGACATAATATTTACCTATTTAAAATATGAAACTGAATATGTTTTCCTATCAGCTATATGTTCTGCATGGTTGAATGACCTACCCTTTTCTTACTTGATAAAGAAGAAAGGGGATAATAAAAGATAAAGACCACCGAAAAGACTACTCAAGCACTGAAATAAAACAAGCTATACAAATGTGGGTTTCAAGTTCATTTGCACATTTCTAAAACTCTCTTCCAAACTGTTTAAGATTCTGACTTGCAGGAAAGTCTGTTTCCAAAAGGACAGTATATATTGATGTGATGAGGAAGGTATTCTTAATATATAACTTTCAGGCAAGTTGCTATCTATTCTCTAAAAAATATTTAAGATAGATTATTTCACTGACACTATTAAATGGATCGCTTCAGTATATGTGAGTTCACCATTATTCTTGAAAACCACAGATAACCCAACTAACTGATTTCAGCCAATAGATTACATTTTCCCCCAAATTCAGCCTCTAAGGAGTATTATTAGACAAAGTTTGAAAGCTGAGCCATCTGAATTTTCTGCCCCGAATTTAGCTCAAAGGCTAGGAGGTAGATGATAAGTGTAAAAAGCAGCCAGGGAACCAACTGCAAGAAAAATATAGAGCCAGATGAGAACGGTGATAACAATAACAAAAACAACAAGTTATATTTGTTGAGCATTTCCTATGAGGCAGGATCTGCTCTAAGGGTTGTACATATCTGAATTCACTAAATTCTTACAACAACCCTACAAGGTAGGTCTCATTATTGGCCCCATTTTACCACTGAGGAATCAATGGCACAGAGAGGTTTGGTAACTTGCCCAAGTTGACATGACTAATCAAGGTATGGAAATAGAATTCAAACCTATATCTTGTAGCTTTAGAACCAAAGACTATAACCTTTACAGAATTCTGCCTCTCCTGCTACGTAGTTGGTAAGGTGCAGGTCACTGTTTTTAGAACTTGGAAAGTAAAGAGCTTCCACATATTCTTTACTAACCTTTTCTCAAATTACCTTTCCACTATACCTTTTTAACACAACTTTAATCACCTTTTAAAAATCAATGTTGTTTGTAGTGAAGTCAAGTAATACTCAACAAAGACTATATAAAATAGTGCAGCTGGCAGAGACTATTTTGCATTTTTGTATTTACATCAGTGACAACACATAATGTATAAAATAGTGCTCATGCTTTTAAGGGCTTTGAAATCTTGATGGGAAGACAAGATTACCCCAGCTAAAAGTTATTTTTCATTCTCTTTAAACCTAACAGCACTTTCCTCATTTGTTCACGTGGCATTTATCCCACGTACCAGTGTCTTCCAAACTATGCTTCTTGAGGATGCAAATATCTTACTCAAACACTAACTGCTGATAGAAACCTGATCTAAAATGAAAACATAATGGTATTTCATCAAGTGTATTGGTCTTATTATCTCAGCAACATGGGATTTGGCTAATTATGACCCAGACAGAAACCTACAACTCCTGGAAGGAGCAAATTTAGGAACTGAAGGCAGACAAGGAGCTGAATGGTCACGCCATTAGTGCTATTAAACAATGTTTCTGCAATTACTGACACTGATATTTTTATAGCATATCAAAAAAGTAAACATTATAATTTTTTTTTCTTTTGAGATGGAGATTTGCTCTTGTTGTCCAGGCTGGAGTGCAATGGCACAATCTTGACTCACTGCAACCTCTGCCTCCTGGGTTCAAGGGATTCTCCTGCCTCAGCATCCCGAGTAGCTGGGGTTACAGGCACCTGCCACTGTGCCCAACCTCAGGTGATCCACCCACCTCACCTCCAAAAGTGCTGGAACACCATAATTTTTAAGACGTGTTTGAGCATGGTTGTCCAATATTGAGTGGTTAGCACAATTATACTAATTTCACCATGAACACATTGGACAATCACCAAATTTGAGAAACTATGATAAAGCCAATTTCAGTATATGCTTATAAGTTTGAAATTTTAAAAATTGTTGACATTACCAAGGAGAGAATTTAATGAGTTATGCAGTATAATCAATAACACATAAAATCCCAGTATATCATCTTGGACAAAAAGCACAAATCAGATGCATGACTTACTGCTAACTAATGGTGTCTGAGAGTAGAATTTGGTCCCAAAGGAATTCCAACTAACTTGTGAGATGGACCTTCAACCTGCAACATCACAGCTATTTTTCAAATGTATCAGCTTGCCCTCATTAGAGGTGGCTATCTCTGCTACTTTAGGGGCCCCTGTTAATAGGAACAATGATGACAAAAAGTAAACAACAACAGATACGTGTCACTATGCCATCAATGTTTTGCCAATCATTACTGACTAGCTCCCAGGATTAGGCAAAGGTCAGTAACTTCATCACCAGTCCAAAATCAAGAAAACATTCCCAAGAACTGTTTTTGATAAGCGCTATTACTGTAGACACATTGTCATGTCAGTATTACAATAATATTTATTCTATTATAACACATGGTCAGTGGAAAAAAAGATGAATCTCTGCTATTCATTATATGAGTGGACACATCAAGTAAACAAATTCCTTTTTAATTATTTTTTTCTTTAAAAGGCTACTAGAAGAGTGAAGAAAAAATAAAGGCATAAGTACGTCTCTTCTGTCATTTATCAAACTTGAAGCAGAATGTAGGAAGGGCAAGATGTAGTAGTTAAGGGGAAAACGTTTCTTATTTCACTGACAATTGGGTTTCTAGAGTTGAAGACTCTGTTTCATGTTTTCTCAGGACTTTAAGACTTCATTTCCAGCCTGCAGACGCCAGAGAAAAAAAGAAAGTCATGAAGAAGCAACATTCTCCGTCCTGTGTATGCAGCTTTTTCCTTCATTCAGAAGTTAATTAGCTTTTTCCTACTTGCTGGATCACCTGCCCAAAATTATATACTGAGTGTTTTTTGTTTGAGATGGAGTCTTGCTCTGTCACCCAGGCTGGAGTGCAGTGGCACAATCTCGGCTCACTGCAACCTCCGCCTCCTGGGTTCAAGTGATTCTCCTGCCTCAGCCTCCCGAGTAGCTGAGATTACAGGCACCCGCCACTACGCCCACCTAAATTTTTTGTATTTTTAGTAGGGATGGGGTTTCACCATGTTGGCCAGGCTGGTCTCCAACTCCTGACCTCGTGATTCACCTGCCTGGGCCTCCCACAGCATGGCCCTCTCACTACTTGTTTTGTGGTTATTTTACTTTCCTATTAGCAGGTGGGCAAACCCATCGAAAAGAAAAGGGTCCATAATTCAAAGAAGTTTGGCAGTCAAGCAAGGTGACACCATTAAGATGAGAACTGGAGATTTTCCATGAAATTTCAATTTATTGTGCCCTTCTATCTTTCATTAGCATAAATAACTGGGAGTTGATGATATTCTCATTAGTGTCTACTATGAGGCCATGAGGAGATCCTTTTACAGAAAGGCTGCTAAGCTGATGAAACCTGACCTGAATATTTTTTCAGGCTAATATCATCTCTTCCATGTCATATGGCATAGAACTTTGGGCAAAAATAAAAATGCCTGTTCAAAAAACCAAACTGTTCTTCCTATCAGCACTTTAGCGGTGCAAATCTCTGTGAAGGGAGGCTTTCTGTTTGATCAGGAATACTTTTGTTCCCTTTGGTAGAGAATAAAAGTTGAGCTCTTGAACTTCTCACAATAGAATCAAATTTGCATATCCTGCAACTCGTGTCTAAACCGCCCAGCTTTCACTTACAGACAACATGGGATGTTGTCTTTACTACAAGTGCATTTTAGAGACTCCAATTGTGAATTGATCTTAAGTGAAACAACTCAAAAACAAAAAGCCAAATACTGCATGTTCTCACTTACAAGTGGAAGCTAAATAATGTGTATATATGGACATACATTTTGGAAAAACAGACACAGGAGATGTGGAAAGGTGGGAGGGTAGAAGAAGTATGGGGAATGAGGAATTACCTATTGGATACAATGTACACAATTCGGGTGATGGCTACACTAAAAGCTCAGACTTCGCCACTATGCAGAATATCCTTGTAACAAAACCGCACTTGTCTCCCCTAAGTTTATATAAATAAATAAACAAACCCTGATCCATACTGTTTAAAAAGTGCTTCAGTTTTGTAAACTAATATGTTTGTATAACTGAGCTTAGAAAAAAAGACTACAAGTATATATATATATCAATTAACTATGGTTATCCATACACGTTGTGATTACTGTTCATTTTTGTTTTCCCTATACTTTTATGTACCTTTTGAATGTTTAACAATGAGCATCTATTTTTAAAATCAGAAACAAATCATGTTAATAGAAAGCTTGCTTAGGGCATCTGATAGTTGACAATCCAGTCTAGTAGACATATTAAACATCTATTTAACATTTCCATGTTCTATTCTCCAATTTAGATCATTCAAAGGGAAAGTACCTGGAATGCATTTCCTTACTGCTTATAGAAAGTCCTTTATTGAATTATAATTTAATATTTGCCTTCTTCCTTTACAAAGCATCAGTAAAGAAATGCCAGACAATTCTTTTTTCTATGAAACCAAGGTTACCCAGAATGTGCCTTATTCAAACATCCCAGGATCAATACTGCTTGAGTGGGTTAGAGGTGGGAATAATCTCTGTAGATGAAACTGTAAATTTTCTCTTGACAACAAACCCAAAGTTTCTCTTTTCATCCTTTTGGGAGGCATAAGCCAGATTTACATTATAAATGCTATAATCTACTAAACCAAATGTTAAAAACATCTATTCCTTCTATTTTCTTCAGATGATCTCTATTTTATTTCATCTTTAAAAACATTATCTTGCCCCTATTCTTTCATCTCTAATGTGTATCTAACCTTTCTAGAAGCAGACAGGCTATAAATCTTAAATGGATAAAATATTCTTTGCAATTACCTTGTGACAATATTAAATATCCATGTGGTTTGCTCCAAGTACACAAAACCAGGGCCTTCGTTTCCCTTGTTCCACCTCCCCAGCCCCTATACTATTCTCCTTTAGTTTTCAGTCCAGAAGGCAAGAATTCTTTTCAATTTGTAAGTAGTGAATCTTTACTTCATAGAACACGAATGATTCAACCAATACCACACGGCAAACAAGGGAAGACTGACCGGAAACCAGGTCTCTTGACTTTAAGCACAGTCCTCTTTCCATTAAACTATGAAGACATTCCAATCCTACTGAGAAGTCAGGGAAATATAAGAAGCATAGACATAGACGCACATACTTTTAACCTTCCTCACTACTTTCCTTTGGCTTAGCAAATGTAGGTTCCTGAAAAATTTTTAGTCCTTGTCTCAGTCTTTTAACTCCCAAATAGTATACTATCCCTCTTAGGAATTTGGGTTAGAAAATTTTTATTCATTTACTTGGATCATCTCTTATGTGTTAAGTGGCTGCCATGTATAAAGGACTGGGCTTCTATTCAAGACAATGAACTGACTTCCTCAAAGAATTCCAAGAGGCAGATGGGTATAGTGAACAGAACACTTAATTCGGAGACCTGGGTTTTGGTTCTAGCTCTGGCTGGGACTTGCTGCTTGTCCTTGTACAAAGTCACTTGATTTCATTGAGTTTCAAGTTTCTCACCTTAAAATTAAGGGGATAATATCTTTGGCTTGTAAGAGAGTTGCTCTAATAGCAACTACTTATGAAAAACTTACTATGTGCCAGCCACTATGCAAAGCACTTGGTGTACACAATCTCGTTTCTTCTTCAAATGACAATGCTCACGCTCATTATGCTATTATTTCCCCCACTGTACTGATAAGAAAACGAAAGCTGGAGAGGTTAGGTAACATTCCCAAGGTACATAAGTAAGTCAAGGAGCTGGGGATTGGATCTAGGCTAACTACAGAGCCTCCATGACAAAACCTACTGCCCCCTCACCAAAATAAAAAACAATTAAGAATATACTTTGAAAAGCATTAAGCTATCTAATTTTAGGTATTCCTTTCGTCTAATTCCACTTAATTAAACTTCTAAGATGTGAACAGGTCCACGCATTTGCTTGCTCAATAATCACCTCAAATGACCAAGGGAGAATCTGGAGGAGGAAAACCCATGCCTTCCTGGCTGGCTCTCACAATAGAGAAGTTCTAAGTGGGCTTCACATGTTTCAAACTTTCTAAGTATCTTCTTCCTTCCCTTCAATCTTTTGGTGGCTTGCCTTTCCTGAGAAGTCCAGAGGCCCACTTTTAGCCAAATCTGAATATTGGAAGCTTTTCTCTTGAGGAGAAAAATAAGTGACAATCTAGCTCCTTGAAGATCCAGTTAACTACCTTGTAAAGCAGGAGTGGACTGCATGAAATACATGAACAATTTCTCTCTCCAGAACCTTTGCCAGACTTGGCACAGGCTGGTCTATTAGAAATACATAATTGAATATTCTTAACAATTCAATTCTTCAACCTCACTTTGATCAATAGTTCATTACCTAAGTTAGATCTGCCAAATGGGCAAACTCTTCAGCCCATTTATCCCATATTTGCATGAATATTATGCTGTGAATGTTACGCTCCTTTGAACTTCAAAAGAGTTTCCTGGCCTCATTGACTACAACTTTAACAACAGAGCATAATGGAGTTATACACAAGGACCTTTTCCCAGCTAAAGAACTCAAACCTTGCTGATGCTAAACAGTAACAAACTTTTATGTAAGCAACAAATGGCTCATTCATCCATTGCAATGCACTATCAGTATTTTCGGGTTTCCTGAGCCTGTCTTCTCTCTTATAAGAGAAATTGTAACTATGGCTAATTAGCTACCAGCAAGTGGCAGCACCCATCTTCACCATTCCTTGTGATGAGCTTTCCACAAACAAAGCGTTTTTTCCACACCTCTTCAGATTTCTGAATCAATTGAGTGAGCATCTTTGACCATAATGGCATCCCCCGTCATTCCCCTGTGATGCCCCAAATAGGAGAGCAAACAGGCTACAAAACACATTCCTTGACCTAAAAGCTTATATTCTAACCAGCCCCTGCAAGATAAAAAACTTTGCCTTCTTTTGGTAAAATGGTGTCAGACAAGGAGAGACGTGAAGGGTTTATGACCCAGGCCTACTCTTACCCATTTTCTGAAGTTTTTCCAGTTGCTTTCCTTTTTAATTTTAGAAAACCCCTCTGTTTCTTCATCTACTCACATACCAACTTGTCTCTAGAGTTGCACAGTAAAAATATGGGAAATAAGATGTACTTTTACTTTAAAAAGAGCTTTTCTCCTGTTTTAAAAGTGAAACTTGCCAATTGTGGAAATTTTGGAATAGACAGAAGCATAAAAGTGAGCAAAAATAACATTCATAAACCTACCATCCGGAGATTTAAAAAAAATTAGTTCCCCATTGCATACCATACAGGAATATAAATTTCAGATGGAATAGAGAACTATGGGTAAAACATAAAATTATGGCAGCAGTAGAAGAAAATATAAAAATATAGGGTGAGAAAGACCTTCCTAGGAATAAGAAATCCAGAAGCCATACAGAAAATGAATGACAGATCTGACTACGTAAAATTTTAAAACTTCTATATGGGAAAAATACAACTTAAAGATTAAAACAAGTGGCATATCAAAAATAATATTTAAAATATAAAAGGTTAATAAGTAAGTTTTTAACAAATAAATATCACAAGCAACCAAACTAAAAATAGACAATTCACTGAAGAAATAAAATTGAACTAGTACATAATCGAAAAGATGCTGCAGAAAGAGAAAAATACCAAGCAAAACTTACAGATTATTTCTCCTATTAAAATGGCCCCAAAATACAAAGATTGATTATAATCTTGGTGAAGGAATTAGAAATGGACTTTCATACATAGATGGTGGGAGCATAAATTAATACAACTTATATGAAGGGCAATTTGACAGTACTTATGAAGATTAAAACTGAACATGCACTTCGACTATTTCTCACAAATACTTGAATAAGTGCCTAAAGATGTTCATAAATGTCTTACTTTTAATAGCAAAAACCGGAAACAACCTCAATATCTACAAATATAGACTGGTTAAATAAACCAATGCAAACTTATGCAACTGCAAACCATGCAAGCATTAGAAAGAATATGGCACTATTACATTGCAATGTATTGACATGGAAGGATGTCCTACACACATTATTGAGCAAAAGCAAATCACAGAAAAGTGTATATAATATCCTATTTTTGTAAAATAAAATATCATACAGGCATGTATATATAATTTTATAAAACAAAGAAAGTAGTTTGGAAGATCACACAGCAAACCACTAATAATGGTTATCCCAGGAGAGTGGAATGAGAGTTTAGGGACACATGTTCCATATGAAGCTCAGATGCTTTCATGTTGTTTTGTATAATAAGCATATATATTAATTTTATAATTTAAGAAACTTAAAAATAAGTTAACAAGCATTTCCCAGGGCCACCAAATTTTCAATAAACAGTGTTTTTAATAGTAGCATTATATTGCATTACCTGGATCATTTTTGTAACTATTTATCTATGAACTGACATTTCCACTGCTTCTGACTTCTCACTGTTAGAGCTGCAATATAAATCTCTGTGCATGCATATTGTGTGTGTTTGTGTATGTGCATGCATATATCAAGACAGCATATATAGGACATATGCTTTGAGGTTTTCCCTTTAGCAGAGATGATTTTGCATGTCTTCAGAACAGTTAGCTTGGGCATGGACACACATAATGATGCTCAGTGGCTCACTAAGGGAAGGACCATGACCTTAGCGTCATCATCTGACAATAAGCCTGAAACACTGGACCAGATCTGGTGCCCTAGGCCATCTGTTACATAATCACTTTGGCACCAATTGAATATCAAAAGGGCTTGGGACAAATTCATCAGCACAAGGAAATATTAGAAAGTAGTAGATTTGGGTTTGTAATTTTTTTAAGTCACATCTTTCTTTGTCTAAGTTTCATGGACAATATTCAATTCTTCATAAATATGAAAGGCTTTCCATAAGAGATGGTCTTCTGAGAGTTACAAGCTTTCCCCATGAGGTCATCATTAACAGGCTATAAGGGAAGTTTCTCTCTAAGACAGGAAGATTTTTTTGTATAAATTTAAGGGGTACAGGTGCAGTTTTGTTACATGGATATATCGCATAAAGTGTGGACTTTAAGTGTAACCATCACCCAAATAATGTACATTGTACTTATTGAGTAATATTTCATCCCTAAGCCCAGCTAATTGTGAGCTGAGCTGAGAATGCATGGATGCTTCTGTCACATCCACTTAAATCAAGGAAGGCTTCTGGAAGAGGAGGATTCTGAGATGAACTATATTCAAGTGGAAGAAGAAGGAAGCAATTTGAGGGATACAAGAGTAGAGGCTGATCCAAGCTTCCTTGCTGAGATCATGCCCCACTAAACTTCCTTTTGTGTCCCAATCATACTAGATATCACCATACACCGCTCATGCTCAAAAGCATAATCAAAAACACTATTAAACACTGTTTCTCCCAGGAAGAAGACTACACTTACTATGAAAATTGTAGTGGGACAGAAACACACTTAAGGATGGAATAGGCTTGGCACTGTTCTCCTTGTCAGCAAGCCTTCTGCCTGATCTATTTAACTTATGTGATAAAAGAGATAAAGGTTTAAGTGAAGGGCTTCAGATGCTGCTTCAGTTCCTACCAAGAATATTTTCACAGCTCCTTCTCATGAATAAGTTCAGTGAAGCAGAGAATGCCCCTCTTGGACCAATTCCATTTTGTGCTTTTTTTGATGCTGTCAAAAAGGGGAACTAGAGCTTAGGCTTTTCCTTCAAATTTAGAGCAAGCATCTACCTCAGAGATGGCTGCAAGTGGCCCAAAGAAGGTAAGACCCACATTGTGCAAAGGCAGCAAGAACGGATATGTCGACCGTTACTCATAAATCTCCTAAACGTGGCAGCAAGGAGGGTTAATTATCCCCCCCGCCCCCACTTCCTGCCACTCTCTGCTTTCTCCAATGTGTTAGCCCATTACACGGATCGCTGACTTTCTAGAAATATTCCCTGGCTTTGCGGGGATGTTCTTTTCAATAAATGGCATCCAATTTGCTAACGGTCCCTGGAATCTCAATTTCCTCAAAACATTTTTCATCTGAGCCCAGTTCATAGGAAGGTTTCGTCCTTCCTCGTTTTTCGGCATAAGGGAATAGGCAGAGCCTGCTTTTCTTTTTCTTTTTTTTTCTTTTCTGTGTCATTATTTTTCATAAACTGAAAGCCTTTGCTGAAGAGTCTGAAATTTGGGAAAATTCCAGCTCATCTGTCAGATATTTCTAGAGTTACGTAAAATGTAATGAGATTTGTATAGTTTAGAACAGGGAAGAGAAAATAAGCTAATGTGTCATATGTTCTATGAGACAAAGACTACATGATAATCAGAAAAACAGCCCCAAATTTAGTTGGCCTGATTCAAAGCTCTCATTCTTTTATCAATTCATGCATAAACCAGTAACATTCACTTTCTTCTCTTAGAATAATGGCACGGCCACATTTGGGCTAAATCATAATTGCTACAGATTATAGCCACATTTTCAAAGAAATTATAAAAAGTGTATTATTTTCCAAATGCAAGACACTTACGTTTTACTTGCTCTGTTTTGCCTCCTTCTAGCAAAAGAAAGAACAACAACGAAAAGATGTATTTCATGCCTCCCATTTTCCACTTTTTTCTCATTTGGACCACTGCAAAAGGTGACAGAACCTTCAAGCTGTTGGGAAGAAAGCAGAAAAAAGACTTAACACAGATCTTCTGGAAATGATAGAGGTCACTGATGCTCAGGCTTCTAACCTGCTAGAATAAAAAAAAAATGTCCTAGAATTTACATAAGTGTAAGTATTGTCTGCCTGCACAAGATAAAGGACTTGCCTCTCCTGTCTTGCAAGGCTTGTGGGTGAAAATTCAAGTGAATGAGGGTGCATTCCTATCCAAAGCTGAGGCTAAGTCCTTACAGGCAAGTTATAGGAAAATGAAAATAAATTTTGAAATCTTCCTTTCTAAGGGAATTAAAGTTGATTTCTCAAGAGATTTTTTTGGGAGAAAAGGGAAACTTTAGCTTGCAAAAACGGTTATTTTAGCAAACAAGGTAAAAGTAACAAGCATGAGACCAAGCAATTTCTGAAATGAAAGTTAACTAATCTTAGCTTCAAGACTACTTTTAATCCTTTTGGAATGAAGTACAAATTGATCAGTTTCTCCTGTGTCCTCTATGAGATCTACAAGGATCTTTGGTTTGGCAACTAATATTGCAAAAGATAGATGTAATTAGCAAATGGATGCAATTAAACACCTGAAAAGTTTTACTGCTTAAAATGGTTCCAACATATTCCTCCCCCAAGAAGTCCATTGTAAAATGGAAATTTTAAATGGGCCATTTTTAGGGGAAATTGGGCAAATTAAATAGATAATTTGTTCACCTTGCACCACCATGCAAAAGACCATTAAAACAACTACAGTTCTTCAAAACATGAGATTGGCATTCCCAGTATAAGGGGTAGAAATCTTAAACCTTTTGAACCTTGGAACACAGAAAGTTTGCTGTAGCTCACATCTAGTCACGGATCATTTCCACAGATGTTAGAGTTTGCAAAATTCCTCCAATGGGTGATCTGAAAATATTGAAATGTTCTAAAAACACCAGATTCAATCTGAATGGGAAATGAACTCATTGATCTTTCCAGAAAGTCCAACCTAAATATTGCACATAAAGAACTTGAAGGAATGCAAAACGATCATTTTGGAGAGTTGAATATCTTTGGGCTCTGAAGTAGATGCTACAGCTCCTACTTAAATGCTATGAAGTTGCCTGGGTCATTCAAAATCCACTGTTTCAATTATGAATGCATAACCAAGGAAGAACTGATGATAGAGTAATCTGTGCTATCAAACAAGATTTGCAGCACCGTCTGCCTTCCTTCTTTACCTCCTCCCTGCTCCTTAAAGAACCAAATTCTCTCAGGACATGTTCCTACCCATCTAAAGACCTGAGTTCTGATGTCTTGGTCCCCTCTGTGAGTTTGTGGCCCACTTACAATCACTCAGAATGTTACTGTCCCTTGAGGGCTACCACGTTTATTCGAAACAAATCATTTTCATTAACAATTTAACACAGCTACCCACCTCAGTGAGGTTCTTCCTGAGCCTATTCTAATAAGTTTATTCCCCAAGCCTCCAAAAGAGAAAGATTTTTAACCACTGAAATCCAATTTATCACATTCATATATGGATTTCAACGGGTGTTTCTGAAACCATGGTTTTAGGGTCTCCCCATGCGAGAATCAACAGGGCTGCTTTTCTTGTATAATGGTTGGGCGATTCGGTGAACTGTAGCATTGCTTCATAACTCAAGTTGGCAAGAAAACAGCTCATAGATTTTTTTGCCTTTCTTAGGTCCCAACTAATATTATGAGCAAATAAAAAAGTTGGTAACTAGAGAGCAATTAATCTCCTTTGGCGTTCCTGTCATCTGTGTGGCCTCCCAGGCTGTGATGGAGAACATCAGAAAATGAATCGCTTTATAAATATTCACTTTTGATTTACAAGATCCTGAAGTCCTGCCTTTGTATTCTGTGCAGAAATATGAACCAAGAAGAGTTCCCTCCCCAGATCTCCTCACTGTTCAATTTCTCTTTATCTCTTCAGCTTTTTCTTTTAGGGAAGGGGGTGGTTCAAAACATGTGTTGGGACTGCAGCAGTAAACACTAGCAAGCATTGCTCAGCGAACTTAGCCGACTCTTATTCTTGCAAAGAGCCAAACTGTCCTTAATTTTTCAAATTATACTTTGACCCAGTTAACTGGAGTTATTTCTGCATTAACTCTCTGTCTGCTTCACACAGGCTGTTGTGCCATTGAACTTGCACTGGCTCTTTTACAGGTTACTTAGACATGTAGCCATTGACATGCTTCAGGGGATCCAGGACCCAACAAGAAAGCAACAACAACAACAAAAAAACAAAACCCTGCAACTAACACAGGTAGTGGAGGTGGGATGGGAGAGTTCCTGTGTTTTACAAGAGAAAGAGAAATGTATCAAGTACCAAAAGAAAGGTATTTATTAAGGTGCTTCCATGAAACAAGCATTCACATTGTTCATCTGCGTTAAGCAAAGGGACCAACTGCTCCTTGCCCAGCTGTGACTGCAAGGCAATCTGGGCCATCAAGTGTCAGGAGCCCACTTTCAGAACAGGTCTCCTGGGTAGAACAGAAGCAAAGAGACATCCCCACAGGAAGGCTAAGGGATGAACACATGTCAGCCAGTTCTTCACGCCCCACAGTGTCTCTTTAATCCTCCTGAGAGGCTTGACTGACCTTGTAATCTCACATTGACTATCATCTGTGGGACAGCCCCTAGGGTAGCAATTTTCTTTCCGACAAACAATAAGAAAGACACTGGAGTCCCAGGCCCTTGTCCATCAGCTGAAATCCTCTCCCCACTCTACCACCCAGCAAGAAAAGTTCAGTTAACTGGTGGTGTGTTGCCACTGAAAATGGCAGTTTTAACCCAGGGTATCTCTTGTTGGAGGAAATGCTTTCATTGCTGCTTATGACTGACAAACAATGCCTCGCATTTGGCTTGCAAAACACCTTTCTATCATTTCATTTCATTCCACACAACTCCACCTTCAAAATGGGCACTGGGGGGACCCAGAGAACTCAAATAACTTTAGTGGCAGGGCTGGGAGGGACTGGAAAGCAGGCTTTCCGGGCCCTATGTTCTGGCAATATACCACGTTGCTTCCAGAGCCTAGTGTCTCAAATTCTGACCCCCGTAGTCAGGGACAAAAAATGAGGCAGATGGCCAGAGGATAGGATAGGGAGCCTTTCGCCCATCTACCCTGCTACATTAACTTTACCATGTATTCATCAGCAAAATGAGAAAACAGGCTCAGGAATACAGGCAGTGATTAAGGGGACTGCAGAGTCCCTTGGGTAGCTCAGGGTGGAGTACCTAAGTGACCTCTCAAAGCGCCAGAGCATAAAGAAATGCAGGCCGAGTGGGGAGGGACGAGCTGTGAGTTCGAATTCAGAGACCCCCAACTTGCTTTGGTCAGAAGCCTTGGGCCCCACCTCCATCCAGGTTGCTAACTGCTGGAGCACAGAACAGGTTGGGGTGGCAGGGGAATTTGGGGCACCCTGGGGAAACTTCCAGGGACGGCTCCGGCCAAGAGAAGGCAACCCACCTGTGCAAAGGCTGGAAAAGGAGGTGAGGGAAGCGGGCGCCGGGCACTGCTCACTAACCTGGGCACTGGCCTTCTCCGTCTGCCACGCGTGCACGCGCTCCGAGCTCCCCGGGGCGCTCTCGTCCGAGGTCTGGGGCTGGCAGGTTGTGGCGAGAGCTAGAGTGCGCGCGAGGGGGGAGGGGGAACTCAAAAGTGGGTGGGAGGAAAAACATCACCGCCCTCACACCACGAGGGAGCAGCGGCTTGCTCGGCTCCCGGGGGCAGAGCCAAGGCGCGGGCGCGGCGGCCCGGGGCCACCTGCCCGCCCTCCCGCTCGCTCCCCACTTGGCCCGAGAAGCCGGCCGCTCGGCGCTGGCGGGAAGTCCGCAAGCACGCAGCCGCTGCAAGCACGCACACTTTCTCCACCCCGGCACAATGGCTTTATTTCTGCTCCCCCGGCCCGAAAGTTTAAAAATCGGGAGAAAGTGTGAGACTCAGCCGGCTACTTTCCCATCACACAGCGCCCCCACTGCAGCCCCCACTCCTTTGGCTAGGCGAGCGTTGGGGTCTTAAAGGGACCGCACAGCTCCTCCGGTCCCTCCTCCCCCTCTGCACTGGATGCACCTAGGAGCTCCCCACCACTCGCGCACGCCCTGAAGATACCGACTACCCTCTGACTCCCCTGCCTGGAAGCCCACACCCGCTCTCCTCCGGCACCAAGGCCTTTCCGAGGTGTGCACCTGGTCTGGTACTGAGCTGGTGCCCTGGACACAGAATGAACCCTCCTCGCAAATCACGCCCTAGCATGCTGCTTATCATTTCACGGCGTTTCCCATATCCACACTGTGGCTAACAGAGTGACAAAGCTTTGGTTTGGTGTCCTTAAAGGCGGGGTGGAGATGGGTGTGTGTAGGGTCAGGGATTAGAAATCCACTTTCTCTTACAAACTGGGCTCCCAAGCCTCATGGAAAGGGCCTGTTCTAACTGTTAAGTGTCTTGAAGAAAACTTGGTGCCACACACTATACCCACCATTTTTTTTTTAAATGAGTCCCTAAGCTTCTAAGTTGGGCCAAGAGCTCAACCTGGAAATCACAGTAGCACTGCTGATGCCTTGGTGGGCCTGCCTACTCCAAATTTGTGTTTATTCAACAAGTGATAGTTGCAAAGAATTGTCAGAAACTTCTAGGGTCCAGGAAAGTGCTGCCTCGACAGACAAAATTTTAAGCCCCTAAATTTGGAGAAGAACCGCAGAGCTTTTTTCTAGATGAACTAGATAAATATCTATATTCCTAACATCTGTATAGTACTTTATGGCTTACGGAGTGTTTTCACATACATCAACATTACTTTTTAAACCCTCAAAACCAACCGAACTACCTGAGGTCTCAAGTGTTAGAGTTGGTGGGGAACTTCTGAACCATTCAGCTTAACTTCATCATTTCACAGAAGAGGAAACTGAATTGGGGGAAGAGGATGATGTATCTAAGGTCACACAGCTAGTAAATGACAAATTTGAGATTCCAATCCAGATTCCCTGACTTTCAACCCACTACTCTCTGGTTGTTATCTCCAGTCTGTAGATGAGGAAATTGATGTTCAGAGAAACTGTGGCTTGTCAAAAAAACAAACAAACAAACAAACAAACCACTTATCAGGAACAGAAAACAAAGAAAAATTAAAACAAGAATAATTGTCCCTGAACGTTACCTCCTTTTGCTTTTTCAGAAGTGTTAATAGTATCCAGCTAGCCCCTGCATTGCTGGTGATGTTTATTTCACTGTTAACAAAGGAAAGGGGGCCCTTTCTGTAATGTTGCCTTCAGGGCCCAAAATGTCTAGCTCCGTCCTGCTGCCTGGGTAGCCATACACTGCCACATGCATTCAATTTGTGCTGTTGTATATCGGTTTGAACTTGCTGATTTGTTGCCTTATAACTGTTCTCATGCCGTTTAATGCAGTGATGTTTTGTCTTACTAGATTGTGAGTTCTTCAAGGGCAAGGACTGGTTGTTCAATTTCTCTTGTGCGTGCATTACCCAACTCCCATCATTACTTCCAACATGCTTACAGAGTATTCTGGAAAATGAGTTTCAAGGGATAGTCTGAGACAAACATAAATTCTAGCATTTAAAATAAATAGACTCACTGGGATTTAAAAGTTCATCTATTTGGCTACAACCACTCACTCCCTTGCTTGGTGTAGAATCCTAATTACTGCATAACAAACCATCCGAAAACCTAGTGGCTTAAAGCAAGCAATTATTCTCAATTGGTTCTATTGAGTTGATTCTATTGAACTTGCTTAAGATCTCTTATGCAGTTGCAGGCAACTGTATATGGGGCTGCTGGAATTCTCTGACAGGTTTTTCATTAGTGTAAATGTTAGTCATCCTTGTATTTTGTATTAGTTCCAATCTTGATTTCTGAATTGAGAACTCCCATTTGGGTGAGTCCTAATCTAGACATCCTACCAGGTCTTATAGAAACTTAAGTGATGATTACCTTCATGCTTTATTTTCTCTGTTTATTAAATAGGGATGAGAGCATAATCTCATACTCATTTTTTAAAAAGTTTTATTTTAAGATAATGGTAGATTTACATGCAGTTGTAAGAAATAATTCAGAAAGATCTCAAATACCCTTCACCTAGTTTTCCCCAATGATAACATCATTCATAAATATAGTACAATGTCACAACAGGACACTGACATTGGTACAATCCATTCATCTTACTCTGATTTCACCAGTTTTATATGCACTCATTTGCCTGTGTATATAATTCTATGCAATTTTATCGCATGTGTATATTCATGTGACCACCACCACAGTAAAAATATAAAACAGCGCCATTACCACAAGGATACCCTGTATTACACTTTAATAGTCACACCCATCTTTTCCCTTCCTCCTCTCCCTACTCCCTGTCAACTACTAAACTAAATTGTCCTACATCTCTATAATTTTGTCATTTAAGAATGTTACGTGGAATCATACGGTATGCAACCTTTTGAGATAGTCTCTTCTCTCTTCTCCCCCAACCCTGATATAATTCTCTGGAGACCCATTCAAGTTGTTCCTGGTATCAATAGTTTGTTCCTTTTCATTGCTGAGTGGTATTCCATGGTAGGGATATATCACAATTTGTTTAAACCATTCATCTATTGGAGGGTTGAGTCTAGATTTCGGTTACAACTGCTATGAACATTTGTCTACAGGTATTTGAATAAGCGTAAGTGTTCATTTCTCTGGGATAAATACCCAACAATGTAGTTCCTGGGTTGTATGGTAAATGCATGTTTAGTTTTGTAAGGACTGTCATACTGTTTTTAGAGCAACTGTACTATTTTATATTCCCACCAGAAATGTGTGAGAGATCCAGTTTATCTGCATTCTTGCCAGCATTTTTTGTTGTCATTATTTTTTATTTTAGCCATTCTGGTAGGTATATAGTGATATCTCATTGTGGTTTTAACTTGCATTTCCCTAAAACCTAATGATATCTACCATCTTTTCATTGTTTATTTGACACCTGTATATCTTATCACAAATATTTTATCCCAGTCTGTAGCTTTTCTTTTCATCCTCTTCCCTTGAACTTCCACAAAACAAAATTTTTTAATGTTTTATGTCCAATGTATCAAATTTCTGTCATATAGGTCATGTTTTGGCATTAAGTTTAAGAACCCTTTACCTAGCTCTAGATCCTGAATATTTTCTTCTATATTTTTGTTTTAAAAGTGTTATAAAGTTTTACATTTAATTATGATCTATTTTGAGTTAATTTTTATAAAAGGTATAAGGTTTAGGTTGATGTTCATATTTTGCCTATATATTTTTGTCCAATTGCTCCAGTATCATTTGTTGAAAAAGCTATCTTTCTTTCATTGAATTGCTTTTACACCTTGATCAAACATTGGTTGGTCATATTGTGTGAATCTATTTCTGGCTTCTCTATTTGATCCCATTGATCTATGTGTCTATGCCTCCACCAGTACCACGCAGTCTCGATTACTGTAGACATATGGTAGGCCTGAATTTCAAGTAGAGTGGGTCCTCCCACTTTATTCCTCTTTTTTAGGGTTGTTTTAGCTACTCTAGGTCTTGTACCTTTCCACATAAACTTTAGAATAAACTTGTCTATGTCTACAAAATATCTTACTGGAATTTAGCTAGAAATTGCATTAAACCTATTGATCAATTTGGGGACAATTGACAAATTTAATTTGTTGAGCATTCCAATCCATGAACACAGTATCTCTCCATTTATTTAGGTCTTCTTTGATTTCATTCACCAGTGTTTTGTAGTTTTCAGCATATGACTTCTATACATATTTTGTTAGACTCGTATCTACATATTTCTTTTTCTTTGGAGCAATTGCAAATGTTATTGTATTTTTAATTTCAGTTTCCATGCACTCATTGCTAGTATATATGAATGCAAGTAGTTGTTGTGTGCTGATCTTCTATGCCATGTGTTGCAGAACTCATACTTATTTAAAAAATAAATATGTAAGTGGAGGTATTATGAAATGATTATATACAAAATAATTTTCTGATAGCACAAACTTTTTGCCTTTTAGTGCTTCTTGTCCCACTGGGACTTAGAAAACTCAGGTTATTAAATTAACTTTCAAAAATGGCAGAATACATAAAGATTGATGAGTATATTGTACTATAGGTTTACCTCTTTTTAGAAAAGATGCCACCAACTTAGAGTTTGTATTAATCAGATACTTGATTCAATATATAGAAGTTGACAATTCTCTGTAAAGACCCCTTAGGATTATTCAGCTATATTCTAATGAGCCCTTTTGTTATTTGTGTATGTTCTTGTTTGTTACTGAAATTTTTCTCTGTTGTATTTTCTTCCTGCTAGCCATTTCTAAAAACTGCTAGAAAAAAGAGTAATGTCCATCAATGATAGACTGGGTTGAGAAAATGTGGCACATTTACACCATGGAATACTATGCAGCCATAAAAAATGATGAGCTCATGTCCTTTGTAGGGACATGGATGAAGCTGGAAACCATCATTCTCAGCAAACTATAGCAAGGACAAAAAACCAAACAACGTATGTTCTCACTCATAGGTGGGAATTGAACAATGAGAACATTTGGACACAGGAAGGGGAACATCACACACGGGGGCCTGTTGTGGGGTGTGGGGAGGGGGGAGGAATAGCATTAGGATATATACCTAATGTAAATGATGAGTTAATGGGTGCAGCACACCAACATGGCACATGTATACATATGTAACAAACCTGCATGTTGTGCACATGTACCCTAGAACTTAAAGTATAATAATAAAAATAAAAAAATAAAAAAAAGAAAAAAAAAGAGTTGGTATGGTTCATCTAATATTTCCAGCTTTCCTCCTTTTGAGCTCATGGTAGGATTTTACTCCTCTTCCCTTTTTGAAATTAAGTATTGCCATTTGATTTGCTTTGGCTAATGAAATCTTAGCAAAAGTCATGTGTTGCTTATTTTTACAGCATAACCTTCAATACTGTCTCTTAGCACCAGTGAAAACAATTCTGTTTCTTAGAATTTTATGACAACCAAATAAGTAAATAGCAAGAGTAGGTTATAGATTCTTGAAGGTAGAATTAAAAGGAGCAGATTCTCTTTGTTTTAATGTATTCTTATAAGTTAAGCTGTCATTTTCTATTTATGCCTTTCAGTTATTGTAGTAAACAAAAATAACGCAAAGTATTTTTTATTTGTGCTTTGTGTTATATATGAATATTATCTTATAGAAATAATTTTCTTTTTTAAGTGATTTTAAGATATTTTTAGAAGCATTTTAAGTGATTCATTTCCCAAAGAAACACATCTCCAGATTTATAATAAAGGGCATTGTAAAAGCAAGATTTGGCTTACAGAAAATTTCAGGAACATATTTATTTTTAAAAATCAAGATAATCTCATCATAGTATACAGGATTATATTAACTACCTAAAAGATGAAAGGAGTTAATTTCTTGATCCAAAATTATATTGTGCTTCATCATCACCATGAGTGGGTCATATGGGCAGAGCATAAAATACACCACTTCTGACTGAAGATTTGTTTCAGATAGTTTAACTGCATTTCCAAACAGTTATACAAAGGTGTTTAAAACTTTTAATCAAAGATGTCATGAAAAATTGGAGACATAATATGTCCAAGTGTTATGCTATGCATAGAAAAATGCAATATGGTAGAATAGAAACTGCCTCTCTAGAAGCTGTATTCCTATAGAATGTTGATTCACTTTATCAAATTTCATTTGCCTAGATAGCTTACTATAGGACCTCAAAGCATCCACAGTTCCCTAGAACCTCCATGAACTTCCCAGATTTTTCACCTTTATTCCCAGAGCTAGGCAGCAGATTGATTTATTATTATTTTTCAGCAGAAGCAATAAAAATCAATGTTTAATTGTCTTAACCACAGCATCTAGGTCTCCTCAGGGAAGTAACATGATGCACAAAGAACCAAGACAACTAAGACTATGGAATCAAGCATACTTGAATTAGAATCCCAAAAAGTCATATAGCCTTTCTGAGCTTGTTTCCTTATAGTATGTAAAAAGGGGATGATGATAAGGTAACTGTGGCAGTTCAATGGCCTACTGTATGTGGAGTGCCTGGAATATAGTAGGTGTGCAATAATTGTTTCTATCCTCACTGTCCCCTCCCTGCTTCCATCCACTTAGTCCAAATGTGAAAGCTATTGCACATTCAGTAAAGTTCTTTATTAGCTAGTCAAGCTTCAGTTTGTCTGTCTTTAAAAGAAAGTGGGGATAAAAGCAGGAAGAGAAAACCAATAATTAACCCAATTTCCCACCCTATTCTTCAAGGCGGGGAGTAAGTTGGAGAGTAGAGTGCCAACATCCCTTCAACAGAAACAGTAAAGAAACTAATGCCAAGATGTAAAATTACTCTCTCCTTGCACACAGGTGCACAAGCACTAGCTATTGTCCTGGTGCCTGGAGACTATTATAAAATGTTAGATGCAGATTTGGGGCTAGTATGCTCTTCTCTAGCTTCATGTCACATGGACTAGAAAACAAGACTCAAGCCAGAGTAGAATCATAAGAAGCCACCTGGATATTCTCAGATCCACATTGCCTATTCTTTTAGTTCTCAAGTAAAGAAAATTTGTTTCTCATTAGGAAAGATGCCGGCAACTCAGCTTTAGAGCTATAACCCAGGGGGTAAGAGCAGGAACCAGAGATTCCATAAAGCAAAGATGACAAACTGCTGACCCAAGGGCTGAAGAGAGCCTGCCCACATTTTTTTTTTCAAAATTTGAATTGGTTCTAAACAATCTTTAATTTTTATTATTGGGAGATTTTACATAAAAGACCTTGATTCCAGTTTCTCATAAAAAAATAGATTTACTAGGAACACTGGGCCGACATCTCTCCATGGTAACACAGACTGGAATAGAGTAGTAGCCGCTGCTTTTAGACAGCATATGTGCTTGCCAACTGCCACAGTCCCCACCACTCCCCATTGTGTCCCTTTTGTTACCCTCAGGCATGTTTTACTCATTCACATTACTTTCTTTTTTTTTTTTTTTATTATACTTTAGGTTCTAGGGTACATGTGCACAACGTGCAGGTTTGTTACATATGTACACATGTGCCATGTTGGTGTGCTGCACCCATTAACTCATCACTTACATTAGGTGTATCTCCTAATGCTTTCCCTCCCCCCTTCCCCAACCCCACGACAGGTCCCAGTGTGTCATTCACATTACTTTCATAACCCCTAGAGATGTATGAGTTTGAACCATTATGTACAATGATAACTATTTGAGAAGTGGCTTTTTAGGGAGGAAAACAAAAACCCTGATTTGTAGCAATTTCCGACTTCTGTTGTGTAAATATCTCCTACATGGCCAATTTCAGACTAACAATGTGTTGTCACTTAACATGAAGTTGGTAAAAGCTGTGCACAATGACTTCTCACAAACTGGTGAGAGCTGGCTCTGGAGCACTACTGGCTTGAATTTGCTCAAAAAAGCTTCATCGAGTTAATGGAATAGTTAGGAGCGTGAGCCAGGAGATCTTATTCATAGAATGAGTCAGAAATCAACCAGAAAAAGTAAGCTTCAACACTTGACATGGAACCTGTCTTTAGACCAACACTACTTCCTTGTTCTCTATGTCTTTTTAAAAATCCCACAGGCCAATTATCTAGCCTTTGGGCATAGGATAATCTGAGAGGGAAGTATGAGCTAATGAAGGGTGAGCACTAGCTTGAGGAGGTCAGAAGACACAGTACAGGACCCCTAATAGTACTGCTGAGTTCTTCCTGTAAACTGAATACTGTCCTCCTTTTGTCCTTACAGGAAGGAGACTAAGGGAAGGGACTGCGGAGAGCAGGAAGCCATTTAGAACCCATTTAGAACCCAAGTTCAGAGAGATATTGAAATAGGCTGTGAATCACATCCAGAAATCTCTTCTCACACTAGAACTACAGGGCTATGACCTATGCATGTGGCAAAGACCACAGGCAGGGACATCATCCTGTCCTATCCCGTACCGGAAAGTGACTGTGCATAGAATACTACCTGGAAGGTGAAAACTCTAAAGCTTCTTAGAGACAGCTTAGTCCAAATCTGATTAATTCACAGAGAAAAAAACTGAGGCCCAGAGAGGAAGATAAGTGGCACAACCAAGTCTGGAAGCCAGGTTTTCTGACAGCCAGTCTGGGGCTTATTTCTTCTACCTCACACTGCCTCTCAGGAGTTAAAAAGCAAAAGATTCAGTCCACCAACTGGTTGTGTTGCCAAACCAGCAACATGAATAATATTTTTTGACTGAATCAACTGTCTCTTTAGGCATCATGTAGACATAGTCAAACACTCATCTCCAGTTTTCTCTGTGTTTGGATGATTTAAAAACCTAACAGAGAATCTGCACGTCCAGGGAGTTTTGCCAAGAAAATCTGAAAATCTAAACAGTCACTCTCACATTGGCCCTATAACCAAGTGTCCAAATCTTTTTTCCCCTTTTCATATTAGAGAAAATATAATGTTCTTGCCACAAGGAAAGCAGCATCAGAATCTGGAAGGATTCTTGAACTGCGAGTTATGACTCTTGGCTTTAATTCTGTCTCTTCCTTGGATGGGTCATATCCCAACCTCCTGCTCCCTGTGGGCCTCGGTTTCCCCGTCTGTAAAATGTAAGACCTGAACTCCATGATCTCGTAGATTCCTTCAAGCTCTAGCAGTCTTTCATGGTAAAATCCTAATCCAAGTGTCCATTCACTCAACTCATTGGCCCTTTCCAACCTGTGTTTCTCTGGCTACAGGAACTTCTGGAACCCAAGTGCCAGAGACAGAGCTGTGCCTCTAAAAGACTGCAAGACTTAGTAGTTGGAGTTATTCTCCACTGCAGCTAATTTATACAGGCAGCCTCAAATTTTTATCCTCATTAGAGACCCCTAGTATTGCTGTCTTTGAATTTTCCTGGTAACCTCTCAAGTCATAAAAGCTCCCTGAAATTGAAAAAAAAAAAAAAACCCTCAAAGAGTCATATCTTTAAAAATAAAATGCCTAAACCCGAAGAACCTTTTACTAGATTATGGGCTCCACTGCTTATTCCTCAAGGGACTCTTGTGAAATCAGAGACAAAAACTTGAGAACAATCAGACAAAGAGAAATGTCAAACTAAAGATTTGGGTTTATTTAATTTTATTGTTTTTAAATCCATCATGAGTCGAAGGGGAGGGAGAGTTGAAAGAACACAGAGAAACCCATTCCCAGCTACAAAGTCCATGTGCTAAACCATGTTTTTCTGTCACTTAGAGTTCAGCTCTCTCCAATATTAATGGAACTTAAGCCAAACAAGAGTTCCTTTTATGCTTTCTCCCCCCAGCTCCCTGCTTGCTAAGTCCTGTGCAAACTTGCAGCAGTTTCCAAGCACATGGCTGTGAAATTATCAGGGCTGGACTAATGCCAGTACAAACCAATTTATTGGGGTCCTGAAATTAACTAAAACCTAGAAAGCTTGATTAATTGTGGCACAGCACAGCAAGGAGCATTCAGGAGGGTGGCCATCAGGCCAAAGTGCACACCCCCAGAGACTGTCCTGACTCCCGAGTTTTAGTACTTGTAAAGAAGAGTTCCTTTTGTGGACAGACCTGTGTTGCTCGTACTACTTATTCATGCATCACAAAAATGTCGTTTTTGAGTCCAGCAGGGAAAATGGTAGTTAGTGGATCTTAGCTACCTATATAATCAGCCAATCCCATAATAGTAGTTCTTCGGATTAATTTTGCTTAAATTAATTGTCATCTTTATGCAGCCCATTTGACAAGCTCTACTTTTTTTTTCTAAGTAACATTGGCTAACTATGCCTCTGGAGAGTCATTGTTGAGATTTGGTACTTCTGTGGTTTCTTGGAACACCTTACCTCATGAGACAAGGAAAAGGGAAGTGACTATATGGCAAATTGTCTGGGTTAAAAAAGATGGTGTGTGGGTTAAGAAAGATGGTCTGACGTCCCCCACAGACCAGAGACTTTCCCTTCAGTTCTTATTCCGAACAACACCAGATCTATCCATTGCAAAAAAATGTGACTTCGTGTAAAAGTACTAAGTACCGTATCTAACTGCTCCTGAGCTGTTTGCCAGTTGCAGCCCTTGAAGACATAGGCAGTGGCAGCCAAGAAGCATTCTTAACCTTGGGAGTCATGAGTTGCTGTACATTGCTCACTTGCCAGCAGAGGTTTCACACTTCTGCCCAGTTGTCTTAGAACCTTGGTGTGGGCAGAGCTGTCTAACATGTGAGTTTCTAGAGGGCCAGGCCCAGCTCCAGCTAGTTTCCTTTGTAAGCTCCAGGCCTAAAACCTTACCTGAGTACATCCAAGTTTACTGAGTACTTCACAGTACACTCCAGTGCAGTGGTACCATTGTTAAAACATCAAAATACTTCCTTGTTACTGGGTGATTTGCTGTTTCCCCAAGCCTCCCCAGGTGTCCCCTGCAGTCTCCATTGCTCCTGTCCCTCCCTGTGGACCCTTGGGTACTTCACACAATCCATAACTAAAGGGCTACTGGCTGGGGTGGCAGAAGGCCTTCAAGCCCCTGGTCCATGGGCCTTCTGACATCTTTTCTAGTTGGTTATTGCCCATGCTAGACTAGAAGTTAACTATTTTGGATATCACCCTAAGTACATCACAAAATGATATTGCCATTGCTGATGGTGGTGAGGAAGACATTTATTAAAAAAAAAAAAAAAACACCACCATGTGACTTTCATGAGGGAAACAACAACAATCTTTTCTCATTCCTAAGGGCAGTGGGCACTTGTTGCAGACATCCTGGGTACAAGGCCTGGCACAAAGTGCATGTACACTGAAGAAGGCAGCTCTGGCTACTGAGGAAACAGCTGTTGCCACTCTTCTCTGCTATGATCTTCCCTAAGGATAGGATGGCTCCTAGGGATAGAGATCTACTTGAATAGGGATCACTCATGGTTTTGTAGTAGTCACCAGAATGGAGAAAGGAGGGGTAGAAGGACAAAAGGGCTAAAGTGACCCTCATTACAATTCTGCCAAAGTATATGAGTATGTGATCATTACAATTCTGCCAAAGTATATAAAAGTATGTGATGTGGAGTGGAAAGAACTTAGAAACAGACTTCAGGGGACCCAGATCCTAGTATTGGTGCTGTTATTAGCTAGCTCTGTGTCCTGAGACAAGTCCATTTACCTCTCTGAATCTCGGCTTCTTCATCTATGCAAGCAAATGACTGAGTAAAATGATCTCAGGGGTTCCTTCTAGCTTTGGGATTCTGTGAAATTGAGCTTATTGTTAGTCATCAGAACTCTACCATTTGTTAGGTATTTACTGTATATTGGGCATGGGAAGGACTTTTACATGTATTCTTTTATTTAGGCTTCACAATAATACTTTGAGATAGGCACTGTTATTGTCATCCCACCTTTTACAGGTTGAGGAAGGTCACACAGCCAGTAAGGGATAAAGCCAGGACTCAAGCCCATGTCTGTCTGAATCTTTGATGTGTGCCCTTAACCTCTCTCTATCCCACCTATTCTGTATCTCCATGTGTTTGCGACTGCAGCCCATGTGTCTACACATGTCTTGGTGTGCCCCACTACCACTATTTTCCTTGTATCCACACTACCCTGATAATGAGTCCCCTAGTTCCTCTATTCACAGATTTCTAGCTCACCAGCCTTGTGCCCACCATGTTTCATTCTCCCATCTTCCCCATCTCTATGGTGTTTCACAAGCATATAAATAAAATAGGGGGCCAACAATTATACACAGACCACTAAAAAATGCACCCACCTTCTCTCTTTTGTGGCTGGATTAGAAGAAGAGGGTTGTTTGATTATATTCATGACCCTAGAAACTGTTCCGTAGCAGAGACAGCCGAGCCACTAATATTTAGAAAAATAACAAAAATTGACTGTATTTAGCTCTGCAGAGGAGTCCTGCTGGTTATTCATGGTTAAATATTAACGTCTCAGCTGTTTTTGGCCATCTGAGTGACAGGCTGCAGATTTGGTTAAATGATCCTCTACAAACCCAATTTGGCTATACAATTTTTAGAAGAAAACAAGATTTACCTTTATATTCATAGTGACCCAGAGGATATTAACTGCATCTAGTTCATTTGAAGTCCAAAGAAGCCCATATAAGAATTAGAGGTATAGATTATTGGATTTAAAGGAAATAGGTAGAGTTCATCTATTTCTCTTGTATTACAACTGAGGAAACAGAACCAAAGAAGAAAGGGGATGTGCCTGAGGTCACACAGTGAGTTACTGGCAGTGTCAGAGTTTGACCTGGGCTCTAGCCATTGCCCTTATTTTATATAAATGAGACTGAGACTTAGAGATTTACCAGAGGTCACACAGCTAGTTATGGGGGAAAGGCAAGGGTAACCTCTCTGCTTTGCCTCCATACCTTATATTCCCAGATAACCAAAGGGCTTTGTTGGACAGCTTATTCATTCAGGGGTTTCATATCTCAGGCCATAAGTTCAGTTATGTAAGAATACCACGTCTTCCTTCGGGCCAGTAATAGACCCTCCATCTTAGTTATTCCTAGTCATTTCAGGCTCCTTTGCTTGCTTCACAGCTGTATCCAAGTTCTGGAGATTTCCTAGTTTCCTCAGAATGGGATTGGGGTGGTGTAGGGGCTGGGGATGCTGGCATCCGCTTGGATGTGGCACATCTCATCTGATCCTTGGCTGAGGATTCAAGCCGATCACTGTTGCATTGTCCTTTATTCGCCACCACAGGACTTCTCAGGTCCAGTCTCTCTCAGCCACTTCCATGCCCCTCAAAGACATAGGACACAGGATTTTCCTCCTTGTCTCTCTGGAGCTTCAGAAAATTAAATGGAGCTGAATCAGGCCCATTTATCTTGGGCCCATCTGTAGACATTTCTTGTGATCCCACATAAATCTGGGCTGTAGGTAACTACTCCTGTGTCCTTCCCAGTCCCACAGGATCAGTCTCCTTCTGAGTTCCCTAAACTAGTTGGGAAGTCCATGTTTCTTCCTGCCTCCAGAACTTTTCCCAGTGAAGTGACAGACATAAGACCTCTGCTCATGGCTCGCTGTGCTGACCCAATACACTACCAGGTTCCTCACTGACTCTCTGACTTTCCCATTCGGAATATTTTTATATTGTTGTGGTGGTAAGGAAGGCTTTTCTCCCCATGTCCACTGTTTCTGGCCAGTCTTGGGATAAGGGATAAGGGAACCCAAAACCTGCTGCTGTCAGCCTGGGAAACATGGCAAATCATACACATTTCTTTTAGCTTCAGTAATCTATAACTCTAACTCTCATATGGACTTCTTTGGACTTCAAATGCACCAGATGCAGCTAATATCCTTTGCATCATACTTGATATAAAAATAACTCTGATTTTCTTCTACAAAAAATTAAAAAATTAGCCAGGCATGGTGATGTACACTTGTAGTCTCAGCTGCTTGGGAGGCTGAGGCAGGAGGATTGCTTGAGCCCAGGAAGTCAAGGCTGCAGTGAGCTGTGATGGCGCGACTGCACTCCAACCTGCGTGACAGAGCAAGACACTGTCTCAAACAAAAACAAAAACAAGAAACTGTTGCTCTTAAATAATGATTTCTGCTTTGAGTTTTTTGTTATTAAGTATTTAAAAATTGATCCTTAGGTGCGCAGAAGTGAATTAAACATAATCCTTGTTTTAAGATACACCCTTATCATTGTTCCATGCATGGCTCTTTTTGCTTTAACTAGTTATTTATTTTCAATAGTTGTAATAGACCCCTTTCAAAACAAAAGCTAGAAAATTAGAACCTTAACAGTAACCTACACCTAATCATGTGTTCTACCCCCTATCATATCTCTACCTTCCCCTACCACCCACCACCTCAATTATCTTGAAACCCATGCTCATCATTCTCTTGTTTTCTTTTTCATATCATTTTATTGCATCCATGTGTTATAAAAACTAATTTTTAATTTTTAAAAACTGCCATGATTTTTAAAAATTAAAAATTACTTCTTATATTTAATTCTGTTAAAGAGGTATCATGTCTTACCTTTGGGGACTTCATTTTTTGACCTAAAATCGTATCACTAACTTCATCAACATTGTTGTGTGTGACTCTAGATCACTCATTTTGACAGCTGTATGATATTGTGTCTTGTGACGATATCACAGCTTATTCATCTAGGCTCAAATTGATTGATACTTGTTTTGTTTCTATTGAACTTCAAAAGGAAACAATGGACTCTTTTATTTTTATTTTTGTGGGTACGTGGTGTATCTATGGGGTATATGAGATGTTTTGATACAGGTATGCAATGCGAAACAAGTACATCATGGAGAATGGGGTATCCATCCCCTCAAGCATTTATCCTTCATGTTACAAACAATCCAATTACACTCTTTAAGCTATTTTAAAATGTACAATGAAGTTTTTTGTTGACTATAGTCCCCCTGTTGTGCTATCAAACACACAGGTCTTATTCATTCTTTCTACTTTTTCTGTATCAATTAGCGATCCCCACCTTCCTCCCACCCCCCACTACCCTTCCCAGCCTCTGGTAACCATCCTTCTACTCTCTATGTCCATGAGTGCAATTGTTTTAATTTTTAGATTCCACAAATAAGTGAGAACATGCGATGTTTGTTACCTCCATTATTTATGCTCTGTTGGCCCTACTCTGAGGCAATGGATGCTTTACAGTGAAGCTGCCTGAATGGGAAAGTGATAATGGAGTAACAAGAAACACCTGGAATGAAAGCACACATTGGTTTAATATGCCAAAAATAATCCCCCTCAAACTCAAAGGCTTTTACCTAATCAAACCCCAAGCATATTCATTGGTAAAAAGGAGTGGTCTTAGGGGAAAAAGGAAGTAGATACGGCTCCTTGCTGCTGAACCCAGGTACTGAAAAACCATCCCCAAAATGACTTGTTTTGCAGGAGCATCATCTTTGTAATAAAAATGCAGTATATCAATTAGCCTATTTCTCCTCCCCCGTCTCCTGATAGTTTTGCTCAGAAAACAGGATAGGTGTGGTGGAGAAAGTTTAGGAAAGAATGTGGTTTTTGGCTCAATATTATAATTAGCATCCTTTAGTCATGTTTTAGATTATCTCCCCATTTACTAAAGAACATTGAATCTGCTAAAATTATGCTGTCATTAGTGCCAACACAATTTGAATCTAGATTTCCTAAGATATTTTCCTTTCTCTGTCACAATTAAGTACCTCATGATACTGACAAGTGCCACTTAGAGGCAAAATGCTGAAAATGAATAATTTTACTGGAGATCCTGGGTGAGAAGTATGTTTATAAGAGGAAAGGAGGTGGTTTATATGGCTTACAAAAGTATTTAAATATGGAACTGGCTTTGAGGATATTCTTTCCTTTTAATTCCCCAGCCTGTGGCTTATGAACCTTGATTTAGGGAAAAGATCAGGTAGATGGTTGGGGGAGGGGAGGTACGTGATGGATACTGTTTTAACTTTAGCCAAGGGGCAGCCAGCTGCTGCTTCCTAACTCTTACTCTTCCAAGGTCAATACAAGGCTTATTTTTCAGACTGGTGTCATGTGCTTAGCACTCTGAGAGGCATTTACTGGCAACTGTGATAGATGTTTTAAGGGGGAAATTGGTTGAAAAGTATTTTGGGAAAGTATTTTTTCTTTCACTACTCCCACTCCCACTAACATGGGAGTTACATAAAAAGTAGAGAGGAAAGTAAAAATGTGCTGATAGTGATAAGAAATGCATACATTCTAGGTGAGATATACTACAAGTTAATTTCAAAGTCGCTGTTACTTTGCAATTTTTTTATTTTAATTTTTATTTTTTCTTTAAGACTGAGTCTTGCTGTGTGGCCCAGGCTGTCGTGCAGTGACACAGTCTCAGCTCACCGCAACCTCCACCTCCTGGGTTCAAGTGATTCCCCTGCCTCAGCCTCCAGAGTAGCTGGGACTACAGGCGTGCACCACCACGCCCCGCTAATTTTTGTATTTTTGGTAGAGACAGGGTTTCACCATGTTGGCCAGGCTGGTCTCAAACTCCTCACCTCAAGTGATCCACCTGCCTCAGCCTCCCAAAGTGCTGGGATTACAAGGCATGAGCTGCCGTGCATGGCCTTGCAATTTTATTTTAATAAACATTTATTTTGAAACAATTTTATATTTACAGAAATGTTGCAAAAGTTGCAAATAACAGAGAGTTTCCATGGACTCTTCAACCAGTTTCCCTTAATGTTAACATCTTATATAAGTAGAATACATTTGTCAAATTTAAGAGATTAATATTGGTACATTACTATTAACTAAACTCCAGTCTTTATTCAGATTTCACCAGTTTTTCCACTAATACTCTTTCTCTGTGTTCGAGGATTCCATCCAGAATATGACATGACATTTAGGAAATTATATGTTAAATGGGGAGAACCAACAAATTAGACATTAGAGACCCTTAAATTCCTAAAGCACATTATTTATTAGATTCTGTAGTTTCTTTGTGAGTGTCAGTGGGAATGAGAGTAGGGCAGTGCTATGATTTGAGTCTATCCCCACCAAAACTCCTGTTGAAATTTGACCCCCAATGTGGTGGTGTTGGGAGGTAGGGCCTAGCGGGAGGTGTTTGGGTCATGGGGGCAGATCCCTCAAGAATGGTTTGGTGCCATACTCACAGTAGTGAGTGAGTTCTCATTCTAGTGAGACTGGGTTAGTTTTAAGGGGAATTGATTAGTTCCGGTGATAATGGGTTGTTATAAAGCCAGGAGTCCCTTGGGTTTTGCCTCTTCACAGGTGTCTGCTTTCCTTTGACCTTCGGCCTTGAACTTCTGGCCTCAAGTGATCCTCCCACCTCAGCCTCTCAAAGTGCTGGGATTACATGCGTGAGCCACTGTGTCTGGCTGGTCGTAATATTTTTGAGCCAACTTGACTATTTTACTATTTTGTTTCTTCATGCTTGTAGTGCATGCTTTGACCCATTTTGCAGAGAAGCTGACCATTTACTGAGTTGTCTCACTTGAGTCTCACATGTCCCATTAGGAAACTGAGGCTCAGGAAAGTTAAGTGGCTTGCCCAAAGTCATACAGCTTATAAATGGAGACTGCCACACTCCAGCACTCATGCCTTTAACCACTGTGATAACTATCTTGATCCAAAAAAAAAAAAAAAAAAAAGAATGAGATTCTATCTTTGAGCTAGTTCATTAAATAAGGAATGATATAAAGAATTTGTATCAATAAAAATATATCTTCTACTTTCTTTTCTTCTTTCATTCTTTCAACAAATACTTATCAGGCACCACATTTTAGCCAAGCACTGTTATAGACTCTGGGGACCATTGGTTAAAAAAATAGAAAAGAATGAGAAAAAAATCGCTACCTTCACAGAGCATACATCTGGGTGGGAATAGGGGAGACAGGTAAAAGACAAGGTAAATGAGAAAAGTATATACTGTGGTACGTTGTAATATATACTATGTTAGGTCAAACAGTGACGGAGTGTATACAATGAGGGTGGGGATGGAGTTTGCAATTCTGGGATAGGGTGAACTCACAGAGAAGGTGACATTTGAAGGGGCTACGGAAGTGAGCCATGTGGATATCTGGGATTAAAGTGTTCTAAGAAGAAGAAATAGCAAGTGCAAAGGCCCTAAGGTAGGACAGTGCCTGGTGTGGTCAAGGAACAGCAAGGAGACCAGTGTGGTTGGAGAAGATAGAGTGAGGGAGATGAGGTCAGAGAGGGAACAGGGCCAGATCATGTAGGGCTTTGAAGGTAGGTCGTGGATAGGATGTTGGTTTTAACTCTGAGGGACAAGGTGAACTGTTAGGGGATTTTGAGAAAAGGAGTGTCATCTGATTGATTGTTTAGTAGGATTGCCCTTGCTTCTCTGTTGAGAACAGGTTTACGTTGGGCCAGGACAGAAGCAGAAACAGCAGTTAGAAAGTCATTGTAATAATCCATGCAAGATAAGATGGTAACTCGGGCCAGAGTGGCATAGTGCGCATGGTGAGAAGATGTCAAATTTTCAATAAAATTTGAAGGTGGAGTTGACAATTTTCAACAGATCAGATGTGAGGTATAGCTACAAGGTTTTGGATCTTAGCAAAAAGGAATAAAGATTTGCCACTTATTGAGATGAAAAAGACTATAATAGGAGCAGGTTAATGGAGGAAGACCAGGAATAGAGTTTTAAACATGTTAAATTTATAATACCTACCTGACATATAAGTGTGAATTTCAAATAGGTAGTTGGAGTCACCACTGTATTGATGGTACATAAAATTAAGACCCAGGATGAGATCCTCTAAGGAATGAATGTAGATAAAGAAGAAAAGAGGTACTAGAACTGAGCCCTGGTTACTCTAACATTTAGTGGTTGGGAAGATGAGGAGAAACCAGCAAAAAAGATTGAGAAGGATGGTCATAAAGGTAAACGACAAAGGAGTATAGCAGCCTAGAAACCAAGTGAAGAAAGTATTATATGGAGGAGTGATCAGCAGCGAAAGAGCGCTGATGGATCAATTAGGATGAGAACTGGGAAGTAATCCTTGGATTTTACAATATGGGTGTTGCTAGTGACCTTATAAGAGCAGTTCTGGAGGAGTGGTGGAAGCCAACATCCTATTAGAGCAGGTTCAAGAGAGTGTAGGAGGAAAGAAATGGGGAGCTGAGAGTGTAGACAATTCTATTCATAAGTTTTTCTACAAAGGAAAAAAGAAAATATAGGTGGAGGAGGAAGTAGAGTCAAAAAGAAGTTTTGGCTTAAAGATGGGAGAGATAACAATATGTTTTTACACTTATTAGGGAAGTTCCAGCAGAGAGAAATTTCTTAGTGCTCTCATCCCCCAGGTCTTTACTAGTTTGTGGCAGTTGTGTTGAGCTATGTGCAGTGGTTCTCAAGCTTTGCTGCATGCTATAATTACTTTGGGAGCTTTGCTTTTTAAAATTGTAATGCCCAGACCAATTAAATCAGAATGTCTGGTTGAGGACCTAGGCATATTGATGTGTGTGTGTGTGTGTGTGTGTGTGTGTGTGTGTGTGTGTAAAAGTATTAATATTGACCAGGCCCTCTGCTAGATGACTCAGGGAGCACTAGAAAAGCCGTTTGCCCACATCTGGCTTCTCTCTCACCTTCTAGATCCTTAGGGTGAAGGCACTGCAAAGGAGGTAAAACAATATGCCATTATCAATCATTAACATCTTAGAGGAAATTGTTCCAGACCCTTGCCAGTGTGACAGCTAGCTTAACAGGAATTTGTCAGGGATGAGAGATGGCACAGATAATTTTTCCTTGAATAGAAAGAACAATTCTGCATTTCTTATTCCTTTGATTTCACATCGTGATTATAGTTGTTATTTTTGAGTCAGAAGTGCCCAGCAGGCTGCCTGTCATGGCCTTTGCTTTTTGCTTGTCATTGCAAGCAGAACACTGCATATGGGGTAGAGCAGCAGGCCATGCCCACCCAAACTACAGTGCCTTCTCAGGCTTCAGAGTAGGGGGATGAGGCTTGAGGGCTCTTCCCTTTCTCCCTTCCTGCTGAGAATGTGGATGCACTAGTAGGTACACAGTGTCTCCTGAGGAAATCATACACAAGGTCTGATGCACTGTCACCTGAGAAGTCTAAACCATGTACTGTGGAAGCAAAGAGGAGGGATCAATTAATTCTTACACAAATACTTCATTCACATATTAATTCAAGAAATATTTACTGAGCACCTGTTAGGTGTCAGGTACTGTTTTAGGTAATTGGAATATATCAATGACAAAACAATTCTTTGTAGAATTTATATTCTAATTGAAGAAGACAGAAAATAAACAATAATAAATGTAGTTGATATAATTTTTGTCTCTGAATGTTCATCTTCCTTCTATCTATACTCTTTGCCATGTGGCTGTATAGTTTCTCTTATTAGAGACAGAGTGTGTTATTTTGTATTATCCCGTTAATGTTGGTTTTTGTCATAAGACTTGCGTTGGCCAATGGAATATTGATAGAGGTGATGTTTACAAAAGCTTAAAATGTGATTGTGTGTTTGGGCTTGCTTTCTTGTGCTTCTACCATAAGCTTGAGAAAGATATGTCCCTGGTAGCCTACTGGTCCAAGGAAGATAAGAAACAAGTGGAGGATGATTAGATACAAATAGCAGCTTGGAGCCAACTCCCAGTCAATCCAGAGATATGTGATTGAGAACAAATGATTGTTGTTCTAAGTCACTGAGAATTGGGATGGTATGTTAGTGCAAACTATTTTGACAATACTTGGCTGATAGATAGATAGATAGATAGATATATTGATGTATACATACATATATAGGTATGTTAGAAGATACTAAGTGCTGTGGAAAAGATAAACATTAGAAGTGTGAGGCAGATTAAGAGTGCTGGAGTCAAGGAATGATTTGCAATATTAAATAGGGTGATTGGTGTGGCAGGAGGGGAGAGTGATGGGGGAAGGTTGTGAGGGATAAGGACAAGGTAGGGATCAGATCATGCTAGGCCTTGCAGGCCACTGAAAGGACTTTAATCAGCTGTTTATCTAAGGAACCGCATTTTCTTTCTTTTTTATTTATTTATTTATTTATTTATTTATTTATTTATTTTTATTATACTTTAAGTTTTAGGGTACATGTGCACATTGTGCATGTTAGTTACATATGTATACATGTGCCATGCTGGTGCACTGCATCCACTAACTCCTCATCTAGCATTAGGTATATCTCCCAATGCTATCCCTCCCCCCTCCCCCCACCCCACAACAGTCCCCAGAGTGTGATATTCCCCTTCCTGTGTCCATGTGATCTCATTGTTCAATTCCCACCTATGAGTGAGAATATGTGGTGTTTGGTTTTTTGTTCTTGCGATAGTTTACGGAGAATGATGATTTCCAATTTCATCCATGTCCCTACAAAGGACATGAACTCATCGTTTTTTATGGCTGCATAGTATTCCATGGTGTATATGTGCCACATTTTCTTAATCCAGTCTATCATTGTTGGACATTTGGGTTGGTTCCAAGTCTTTGCTATTGTGAATAATGCCACAATAAACATACGTGTGCATGTGTCTTTATAGCAGCATGATTTATAGTCCTTTGGGTATATACCCAGTAATGGGATGGCTGGGTCAAATGGTATTTCTAGTTCTAGATCCCTGAGGAATCGCCACACTGACTTCCACAATGGTTGAACTAGTTTACAGTCCCACCAACAGTGTAAAAGTGTTCCTATTTCTCCACATCCTCTCCAGCACCTGTTGTTTCCTGACTTTTTAATGATTGCCATTCTAACTGGTGTGAGATGGTATCTCATTGTGGTTTTGATTTGCATTTCTCTGATGGCCAGTGATGATGAGCATTTTTTCATGTGTTTTTTGGCTGCATAAATGTCTTCTTTTGAGAAGTGTCTGTTCATGTCCTTCGCCCACTTTTTGATGGGGTTGTTTTTTTCTTGTAAGTTTGTTTGAGTTCATTGTAGATTCTGGATATTAGCCCTTTGTCAGATGAGTAGGTTGCAAAAATTTTCTCCCATTTTGTAGGTTGCCTTTTCACTCTGATGGTAGTTTCTTTTGCTGTGCAGAAGCTCTTCAGTTTAATTAGATCCCATTTGTCAATTTTGTCTTTTGTTGCCATTGCTTTTGGTGTTTTAGACATGAAGTCCTTGCCCATGCCTATGTCCTCAATGGTAATGCCTAGGTTTTCTTCTAGGGTTTTCATGGTTTTAGGTCTAACATGTAAGTCTTTAATCCATCTTGAATTGATTTTTGTATAAGGTGTAAGGAAGGGATCCAGTTTCAGCTTTCTACATATGGCTAGCCAGTTTTCCCAGCACCATTTATTAAATAGGGAATCCTTACCCCATTGCTTGTTTTTGTCAGGTTTGTCAAAGATCAGATAGTTGTAGATATGCGGCGTTATTTCTGAGGGCTCTGTTCTGTTCCATTGATCTATATCTCTGTTTTGGTACCAGTACCATGCTGTTTTGGTTACTGTAGCCTTGTAGTGTAGTTTGAAGTCAGGTAGAGTGATGCCTCCAGCTTTGTTCTTTTGGCTTAGGATTGACTTGGTGATGCGGGCTCTTTTTTGGTTCCATATGAACTTTAAAGTAGTTTTTTCCAATTCTGTGAAGAAAGTCATTGGTAGCTTGATGGGGATGGCGTTGAATCTATAAATTACCTTGGGCAGTATGGCCATTTTCACTATATTGATTCTTCCTTCCTACCCATGAGCGTGGAATGTTCTTCCATTTGTTTCTATCCTCTTTTATTTCCTTGAGCAGTGGTTTGTAGTTCTCCTTGAAGAGGTCCTTCACATCCCTTGTAAGTTGGATTCCTAGGTATTTTATTCTGTTTGAAGCAATTGTGAATGGGATTTCACTCATGATTTGGCTCTCTGTTTGTCTGTTGTTGGTGTATAAGAATGCTTGTGATTTTTGTACATTGATTTTGTATCCTGAGACTTTGCTGAAGTTGCTTATCAGCTTAAGGAGATTTTGGGCTGAGACAATGGGGTTTTCTAGATATACAATCATGTCATCTGCAAACAGGGACAATTTGACTTCCTCTTTTCCTAATTGAATACCCTTTATTTCCTTCTCCTGCCTAATTGCCCTGGCCAGAACTTCCAACACTATGTTGAATAGGAGTGGTGAGAGAGGGCATCCCTGTCTTGTGCTAGTTTTCAAAGGGAATGCTTCCAGTTTTCGCCCATTCAGTATGATATTGGCTGTGGGTTTGTCATAGATAGCTCTTATTATTTTGAAATACGTCCCATCAATACCTAATTTATTGAGAGTTTTTAGCATGAAGGGTTGTTGAATTTTTTCAAAGGCTTTTTCTGCATCTATTGAGATAATCATGTGGTTTTTGTCTTTGGTTCTGTTTATATGCTGGATTACATTTATTGATTTGTGTATATTGAACCAGCCTTGCATCCCAGGGATGAAGCCCACTTGATCATGGTGGATAAGCTTTTTGATGTGCTGCTGGATTCGTTTTGCCAGTATTTTATTGAGGATTTTTGCATCAATGTTCATCAAGGATATTGGTCTAAAATTCTCTTTTTTGGTTGTGTCTCTGCCTGGCTTTGGTATCAGAATGATGCTGGCCTCATAAAATGAGTTAGGGAGGATTCCCTCTTTTTCTATTGATTGGAATAGTTTCAGAAGGAATGGTACCAGCTCCTCCTTATACCTCTGGTAGAATTCGGCTGTGAATCCATCTGGTCCTGGACTCTGTTTGGTTGGTAAGCTATTGATTATTGCCACAATTTCAAAGCCTGTTATTGGTCTATTCAGAGATTCAGCTTCTTCCTGGTTTAGTCTTGGGAGAGTGTATGTGTCGAGGAATTTATCCATTTCTTCTAGATTTTCTAGTTTATTTGCGTAGAGGTGTTTGTAGTATTCTCTGATGGTAGTTTGTATTTCTGTGGGATCGGTGGTGATATCCCCTTTATCATTTTTATTGTGTCTATTTGATTCTTCTCTCTTTTTTTCTTTATTAGTCTTGCTAGCAGTCTATCAATTTTGTTGATCCTTTCAAAAAACCAGCTCCTGGATTTATTAATTTTTTGAAGGGTTTTTTGTGTCTCTATTGCCTTCAGTTCTGCTCTGATTTTAGTTATTTCTTGCCTTCTGCTAGCTTTTGAAAGTGTTTGCTCTTGCTTTTCTAGTTCTTTTAATTGTGATGTTAGGGTGTCAATTTTGGATCTTTCCTGCTTTCTCTTGTGGGCATTTAGTGCTATAAATTTCCCTGTACACACTGCTTTGAATGCATCCCAGAGATTCTGGTATGCTGTGTCTTTGTTCTCATTGGTTTCAAAGAACATCTTTATTTCTGCCTTCATTTCGTTATGTACCCAGTAGTCATTCAGGAGCAGGTTGTTCAGTTTCCATGTAGTTGAGCGGTTTTGAGTGAGATTCTTAATCCTGAGTTCTAGTTTGATTGCACTGTGGTCTGAGAGATAGTTTGTTATAATCTCTGCTCTTTTACATTTGCTGAGGAGAGCTTTACTTCCAAGTATGTGGTCAATTTTGGAATAGATGTGGTGTGGTGCTGAAAAAAATGTATATTCTGTTGATTTGGGGTGGAGTGTTCTGTAGATGTCTATTAGGTCTGCTTGGTGCAGAGCTGAGTTCAATTCCTGGGTATCCTTGTTGACTTTCTGTCTCGTTGATCTGTCTAATGTTGACAGTGAGGTGTTAAAATCTCCCATTACTAATGTGTGGGAGTCTAAGTCTCTTTGTAGGTCACTCAGGACTTGCTTTATGAATATGGGTGCTCCTGTATTGGGTGCATATATATTTAGGATAGTTAGCTCTTCTTGTTGAATTGATCCCTTTACCATTATGTAATGGCCTTCTTTGTCTCTTTGATCTTTGTTGGTTTAAAGTCTGTTTTATCAGAGACTAGGATTGCAACCCCTGCCTTTTTTTGTTTTCCATTTGCTTGGTAGATCTTCCTCCATCCTTTTATTTTGAGCCTATGTGTGTCTCTGCATGTGAGATGGGTTTCCTGAATACAGCACACTGATGGGTCTTGACTCTTTATCCAATTTGCCAGTCTGTGTCTTTTAATTGGAGCATTTAGTCCATTTACATTTAAAGTTAATATTGTTATGTGTGAATTTGATCCTGTCATTATGATGTTAGCTGGTTCTTTTGCTGGTTAGTTGATGCAGTTTCTTCCTAGTCTCGATGGTCTTTACATTTTGGCATGATTTTGCAGTGGCTGGTACCAGTTGTTCCTTTCCATGTTTAGTGCTTCCTTCAGGAGCTCTTTTAGGGCAGGCCTGGTGGTGACAAAATCTCTCAGCATTTGCTTGTCTGTAAAGTATTTTATTTCTCCTTCAATTATGAAGCTTAGTTTGGCTGGATATGAAATTCTGGGTTGAAAATTATTTTCTTTAAGAATGTTGAATATTGGCCCCCACTCTCTTCTGGCTTGTAGGGTTTCTGCTGAGAGATCTGCTGTTAGTCTGATGGGCTTCCCTTTGAGGGTAACCCGACCTTTCTCTCTGGCTGCCCTTAACATTTGTTCCTTCATTTCAACTTTGGTGAATCTGACAATTGTGTGTCTTGGAGTTGCTCTTCTCGAGGAGTATCTTTGTGGCGTTCTCTGTATTTCCTGAATCTGAACGTTGGCCTGCCTTGCTAGATTGGGGAAGTTCTCCTGGATAATATCCTGCAGAGTGTTTTCCAACTTGGTTGCATCCTCCCCATCATTTTCAGGTACACCAATCAGACGTAGATTTGGTCTTTTCACATAGTCCCATATTTCTTGGAGGCTTTGCTCATTTCTTTTTATTCTTTTTTCTCTAAACTTCCCTTCTCGCTTCATTTCATTCATTTCATCTTCCATTGCTGATACCCTTTCTTCCAGTTGATCGCATCGGCTCCTGAGGCTTCTGCATTCTTCACGTAGCTCTCGAGCCTTGGTTTTCAGCTCCATCAGCTCCTTTAAGCACTTCTCTGTATTGGTTATTCTAGTTATACATTCTTCTAAATTTTTTTCAAAGTTTTCAACTTCTTTGCCTTTGGTTTGAATGTCCTCCCGTAGCTCAGAGTAATTTGATAATCTGCAGCCTTCTTCTCTCAGCTCGTCAAAGTCATTCTCCATCCAGCTTTGTTCCATTGCTGGTGAGGAACTGCGTTCCTTTGGAGGAGGAGAGGCACTCTGCTTTTTAGAGTTTCCAGTTTTTCTGTTCTGTTTTTTCCCCATCTTTGTGGTTTTATCTACTTTTGGTCTTTGATGATGGTGATGTACAGATGGGTTTTTGGTGTGGATGTCCTTTCTGTTTGTTAGTTTTCCTTCTAACAGACAGGACCCTCAGCTGCAGGTCTGTTGGAGTACCCTGCCTTGTGAGGTGTCAGTGTGCCCCTGCTGGGGGGTGCCTCCCAGTTAGGCTGCTCAGGGGTCAGGGACCCACTTGAGGAGGCAGTCTGCCCGTTCTCAGATCTCCAGCTGCGTGCTGGGAGAACCACTGCTCTCTTCAAAGCTGTCAGACAGGGACATTTAAGTCTGCAGAGGTTACTGCTGTCTTTTTGTTTGTCTGTGCCCTGCCCCCAGAGGTGGAGCCTACAGAGGCAGGCAGGCCTCCTTGAGCTGTGGTGGGCTCCACCCAGTTGGAGCTTCCTGGCTGCTTTGTTTACCTAAGCAAGCCTGGGCAATGGCGGTCGCCCCTCCCCCAGCCTCGCTGCCACCTTGCAGTTTGATCTCAGGCTGCTGTGCTAGCAATCAGCGAGACTCCGTGGGCGTAGGACCCTCCGAGCCAGTTGCGGGATATAATCTCCTGGTGCGCCGTTTTTTAAGCTGGTTGGAAAAGCACAGTATTCGGGTGGGAGTGACCCGATTTTCCAGGTGCGTCCGTCACCCCTTTCTTTGACTCGGAAAGGGAACTCCCTGACCCCTTGCACTTCCCAAGTGAGGCAATGCCTTGCCCTGCTTCGGCTCGTGCACGGTGCGCGCACCCACTGACCTGCGCCCACTGTCTGGCACTCCCTAGTGAGATGAACCTGGTACCTCAGATGGAAATGCAGAAATCACCCATCTTATGCGTCGCTCACGCTGGGAGCTGTAGACAGGAGCTGTTCCTATTCGGCCATCTTTGCTCCTCCAGGAACCGCATTTTCAAGACCACCTTCTGAGTTCTAAAAATGCTTATTACTACTGGGTTTGTTGTTATGCCTTTTAAGTACAATACTCTATGAGTATGTACTGATATTACCAATTATACTTCGTATGACATAGGATTTTATTAAACTCTTCTACCTTACATCTATATCTCCTTGGGAATCCTTGCTCTCAAGGGTAGCAGTATTGATAGAATCAGACTATCACTCAATTGTTCATTTGCTTTATTCCATACAAAGCTGAAATGTACCTATGTTCTGGCCCAGCAAGTCTACTTCTATGTATTTATTCTGAGAGGAATGCTCTTCTATGCACAAAAAGAGGCATGTACCAGGATGTTCTTTATGGTCTTATTCACAGAAGAGGAAAAAAAATAAAAAACAACCTAGATGTTAATCAGTAGGGTAGTGGGAAAGCCAAACTTGGTGCTTCCATATTATGAAATACTTTGCAGCAGGATAAAAATGAAATTTATATATGTAAAATATTCAAAACATTGTTGGGGGGGAAGTGAGTTACAGGATAATAATAAATCATAGCATTTATTGAGGGCTTAATTTATGCCAGACATTGTCTCAAGTCCTTTATATGTACTAATTATTGCCATTGTCATAACCCTACCTATGTGGTTGGCAATATCATTATCCCCCTTTTACAGATGGAAAAACACAGGTACAAAAGTTTTGAAGAAATTCACTAAGGTCACATAGCTCATAAGTGCTACAATGTGGATTTGAATTCAAGCAGTTTGACAATAGAACCTATGATCTTAACCTCCATTTTATACCACCTATCTAATTTACATACATGAAACTCCAAAATTTTATATTAGTATGCAGACATATATACTTTATTTCATAGAGGAAGATCTGGATGGATGTGTACCAAACTACTAACGGCTACCTTGGGGGAAGATAATTAAATAGAGTGGAACAAGAGGGACTTTTGCTCCATCTACATAATTTGAAATTTTAGCAAGGAAAATAGAAAATATAGCCATGGTTTTTTTTTGGTAATTAGAATTTTTTTTGAAAAAATTGATGGGTTCTACTTTTGGTTATGGCTAAGTAAACTCATATTGGACCAACCCTCCTGAAGATAAAAATATAAAATCTGGACAAAATTTGAAAGGCAACTCAATTAAGAGACTGGAAAACAACAGAAAGCAGGCAGATTCTGGAGGAGAGTCACCAGCCAGGCAAAGAGAATGGCAAAGGGTTTAAGTCTCCTCTTTCACAATTTCTTGCCTGGGGGTAGGCCCTAATCTGTGCCATGGAAACAGCTAATGCTCTGATAGAAAACTGGCGGGTTTTTCTAGATTGAGTAGCAAAAGGATAGAGTTTGGGCCCACCAAGGCTGCTGGGAAGGGAGGAGGAATTATCAGAAAGCAAAGTGACAAAGAAGAGGAAGCACAAATTCTCTGAAGAAATTCTTCCCAACTCTCTGCTCTCTGGTTGACCTCTGAACTTTATAGGTGCAGGGAAGACTCCAAGCAGTTCAGCTAAAGGTAAACAAATTGATCTGACCTTAGATCAGTCAGTTTGTAGTTGCCTGCTAAAATAACAATATTAACATTCATTAGAGAAATATAGAATTACCCAGAGTTTCCACAATACAATATTCATGAAGTCCAGGATGCTACTCAAAACTATGTAGTATATGTATGAAGCAGCAGGAGAATATGACCCATTCTCAAAAGAAAAATATTCATAAAGACCCTCTCTGAAATGACTCATGTTGGAATTAGCAGACAATGATATTTAAGCAGCTATTACAACTATGCTTAATGAAGGAAATATGCTTACCATGAATGTAAAAACCAGGAATCTCAGCAGAGAAATAGAAACCATAAAAAGGGAATAGGTGAAAATTCTAAAACTGAAAAATACAATATCTGAAATTTTAAGAAATCTAAATGGGCAAAAAAGTGTAGATGACAATGGAAGGAGCCAGTGAACTTGCAGATAGATCCATAGAAAGTATCCAATTTGACAAAAAAGGGAAAAAAATCTTCAGAGACAAATGGGGCAGTATCAAAGTTCTAACTCATGTGTAGCTTGAGTTCCAAAAGGAAAGGAAAGAGAGACTGAAGCAAACTTCAGTCTTTAAAAAAAAAACTTTTTAAAGAAATAATGGGTGCAAATATCCCAAATTTGGTGAAAGACATGCATTTACAGATTCAGGAATCTCAGTAAACAAAATATACCATGAAAACCATGTCTAGTCAAACTGATGAAAAGCAAAGATAAAATCTTGAACATACCCCAAAACAACCAGAGAAGATAATACATTATATCAGGGAACAATGTTTCTGATAATCTAGAAATGATTTAGATGTTGGGATTAGAAGACACTGGAGTACAAAAAATAATATAATGGGATACAGTGGAATAATATATTTTGGGGGAAAAATCTCTTAACCTAGAATTTTATATCCAGAGAACTTATCCAACAAGACAGAAAGTGAAATAAAAATAGTTTTACATAGAAGAAAACAAATAGACATTGTCTCCAGCAGATCTGTACTTCAAGAAATGATAGAGTTATTCAGGTGATAGAGTTTGAATGCATGTCTCCACCAAATCTCATGTTGAATTGTAATCCTCAGTGTTGCAGGTGAGGCCTGGTGGGAGATGTCTGGATCATGGGGTCAGATCCCTCATCAATGGCTTGGGTCATCTCCTTGGTGATAAGTGAGATCTTGCTCAGAGTTCACATGAGATCTGGTGCTTTAAAAGTGTGTGGCACTTGCCTCACCCCCTTCCACGATCTCTGTCTTGCTCCTGCTTTTGCCATGTGATGTGCCTGTGCCCCTCTTTGCCTTTTGCCATGATTGAAAGCTTCCTGATGCCTCCCCAGAAGCAGTTGCCGCTATACTTCCTGTATAGTCTGTAGAACCCTGAGCCAGTTAAACCCCTTTTCTTATAATTTACCTAGTCTCAGACATTTATTTTTAACAGTGCAAGAATGGCCTAATACATCAGGCTAAAGGGGAAATTATACCAGATTGAAAACCAGAATCTTCAGAAACGAACGAAGATTACCAGAAATGGTAAATATCTAGTAAATATAAAAACAATTTTCCTCTTAATTTTCTTGAAACACATATGACTGTTTAAAGCAAAGACTATAACATTATTGTGTGAAATTTAACATGTATATAGGTCTGATTTATCCAACTGCTATAACATATAGATGATAGTGGTGTCCTTATAAGAAGAGAAGAAAAAATGCAGAGACATAAACACATGAGAGAAAAATGCTGTGTGGTGATAGAAGCAGATATTGAAGTGTTGCAGCTGCAAGCAAAGGACCACCAAGGATTTCCAGCAAACCACCGGAGGCTAGGAAGAGGCAAGGGAGGATTCTCCCCTACAGGTTACAGAGGGAACTTGGCTCTAACTACATCTTGATTTTGGACTTCAAGCATCCAGAATTGTGAGACAATACACTTCTCTTTTAAAAGTCACTCATTTTGTAGTATTTTGTTACGGCAGCCCTAGAAAACTAATGCAGATATTATACAAAGTCTGTTTTCTGACCATGGTTGAATTAGAAATTAATAATAAGATATCTGGATAAACAAAAAATGTTTGGAAATTAAGTAACACATTTCTAAATAATCCATGGATCAAATCACAAGGGACATTAGAGAACATTTGAAACTGAGTGATAATAAAAATACAACCTATCAAAATTAATGAGATGCAATTTAAGATATTCATTGAAGGAAGCTTATATTAAACAATTATAGTAGAAAAGAAGAAAGGTCCAAAATCAATAATATAAATTTCCACTCTAAGAATCCAGCAAAAGAAGAACAAATTAAACCCAAATAGAAGGAAGGAAATCATAAAGAGCAGAAATTGATTAAATAGAAAACAAATGAAAAACAGAGAAAAATAATAAAACCAAAAATGGATTCTTCACAAAGATCAACAAATTTGATAAACCCCTAGTAAGACTTATCAAGGAAAAAAATTAGAAAATATAAATTACCAATATAATAAATGAAAGTAGCGTTACCATTAACAATCTGCAAACATGAAAGTATATTATTAAGGGATTATTATGAAGAACTTCAAGCCAACAAATTTAATAATGCAGATAAAATAGACAAATTACATAAAAATACAACTCATCAATTATAAACAGCACCATATCTATTAAAGAAATTGAGTTTATAATCAAAAACTTTTCTGGAATAAAAATTCTGTGCCAGGATTGTTTCACTAATGAAGTCAAACATGTAATGAATAAACAATGCCAATCTTAACACAAATTTAGACAGAAATTAGAAAAGAAAGAAACATGTTCCACTTCATTTTTTGAGCACAACATAATGCCAACACCAAAATATGGCAAATATATTAAAAGAAATTTATAGACCAGTATCTCAAGAACACAGGTGCAAATCTCCTTAACACAGTATTAACAGATACAATCCTAGCAATATAGAAACAATATAATACAGCAGGACCAAGCAAGGTTTATCCTAGGAATTCAAGGTTTACATAACATTTGAAAATCAATCAATATAATTCACCATGTTAACAGTACAAAGGGAAAATTCATATAGTCACATCCAAATATGCTGAAGAATCATGACATAATCAGCACTTTTTCATGATTAAAATTCTAAGCAAACTAGGAATAGAAGGACACTTCTTCAATCTGATAAAGTGTATCTATGAAAAATGTACATCTAACACCATACCTAATGGTGAAATACTACATGTTTTAACCACTTTTAATCAACATTGCTTTGGAGATTCTAGCCTTTGCAACAAAGCAAGCAAATGAAATTAAAGGCATAAATATGAGAAAGGAAAAATTTGCAGATGGCATGATTTCTTACATAGAAAATCCTAAAGAATTTTAAATAACTACTGGAACTAATAAGTGAATTAACAAAATTACATAGTACAATGTTAGCATACCAAATCAACTGCATTTTTTATACTGGCAAATGATTGGAAAGTGACATTCAGAAATCAATTCCATTTGTAATAGCATAAGAAAACATAAACTACTTAGGAATAAATTTAACAAAAGATGTGCCAAGAACTCTAGACTGAAAAAGCTCAAAGCTTAATTAAGATAAATTAAAGCTCTAAATACATGGATGGAAATACCATATTTGTATCTTGAAAGACTTGTCTTAAGATGTTCATTTCCCCAAAATGATCTAGGGATATAACCATATGCCAAACATAATCCCATCTGGCTCTTTCATAGAAATGTACAAACTAATTCTAAAATTTATTTGGAAATACAAAGGACCTAGATATCCAAAGCAATCTTAAAAAAAATCTCAGGAATGGAAAACCAAATATCATATGTTCTTACTTGTATGTGGGAACTAAGATATGAGGATGCAAAAGCATAAGAATGATATAATGGGCTTCGGGGACTCAAGGGGAAGGGTGGGAGGAGGGTGACGGATAAAAGGCTACATATTGGGTGTGGTGTACACTGCTAGGATGATGGGTGCACCAAAATCTCAGAAATCATCACTAAAGAATTTATCCATGTGACCAAAAACCACCTGTTCTCCCAAAACTATTGAAATTCAAATAAAATAAACTGGATCTTTCGAATACCACTTTAACTAAATAAAACCAATTTTATTAGCAGTAAAAACTCACCAGAAATACCAGAAAATTTCCTATACTTGACTTCAATGTTTATTGTAAAACTACTGTAATCAAGACCATATATCATTGGCATAAGGACTGACAAATAAGGTGATGGAACAAAATATAGAGTCTACAAATAGACACACACTTATATAGTCATCTGATTTTTGACAAAGATGCTAAAACAATTCAATGAGAAAAGTAAAGAATCCTCAACAAATGGTGCTGGAAAACTGGATATACAAATAGAAACTTAATCTCTACCTCAAACTACATATCTTAGTCCATTTGAGCTGCTATAACAAAATACCATAGACTGATTGGCTTATAAACAACCAAAATTTATTCCTTACAGTTCTGGAGGCTGGAAAGTCCAAGATCAAGGCACTGGCAAATTTGGTGTCTGGTAAGGCCCCACTCTCTGGTTCATAGATGGCTATCTTTTCACTGTGTCCTCACATGGTGGAAGAAGTAAAGAATCTCTTTTAGGCCTCTTTTATAGGGAAACAAACGAATCCTATTCATGAGGGTCCCACTCTCATGACCTTATCACTTCCCAGTGGCCCCTCCACTGAATACCATCACTAGTGGATTATAATTTCAACATATTAATTTGGGGGGAACATAAATATTCAGACCATAACACCATACAAAAATTAATTTGCATAGGATTACATATCTAATGATAAAACTTAAGCCATAAAAATTCTCGAAAATATAGGAGCATATCTCTATGAACCAGGAGTAGGCAAAAGTTTCTTAGGACACAGAAATAATTATATAATAAAAATTGATACATTAAACATCATCAAAATTAAAAACAGCTTTTTATCAAAATACACCATTAAGAAAATGAACAGACAAGCCACATTCTAAGAGAAAGTATCCCAAAGCATATATCAGATAAAGAAATGGTATTCAGAATATATAAAGACAAATAACCTAATCAAAACAGGCAAAATGTTTAAACAGAATCTTCACAAAAGATATGTGAATGACCAATAAGCACATGACTATGCAGTCAACATCATTAGATATCAGAGAACTGCAAACTAAAATCATACTGTGATACCAGTAGACACCCAGAAGAACAGCTAAAATTAAACAGACAACACCAAATGTTGGAAAGGATGCAGAGCAACTAGAACTTGCATACATTTTTTGCTGGGAGTATAAAATGGTATAACGACTTTGGAAAAATGTCCAGCAGTTAGTTATAAATGTGAATATACAGCAACCTTATTATCTGAAAATTCTATTTCCAGGTATTTGCCCAAAATAGATAAAACATTTGTCCATGCAAAAACTTACATATGAATACTCATGGAAGCTTTATTCATAATACTTCTGAACTGGAAATAGTTCATGTGTTCATTAATATGTGAATGGATAAAACACTGTGATATAGGCATACAGTGAAATACTACTTAGCAATAAAAAGGAATGAATTATTGATATATGCAATAGCATGGATGGATCTTAAAAAATTATGCTGAATGAAAGAATTATTACACAAAAGAGTGTAATAAACTGTATGATTTCATTATATAAACTTCTAGAAGAAGCAAAATTAATCCATGGTGAAAAAAACTGTGGTTGCCTGAGGCAGAGATAAAGGTGGGGGTTGAATGGAAAAGGGCATGAAAAACTTTCTGAAGTCATGATAATGTTTTACATCTTGAAAGGGGTTTTGGTTACACGTTTGTATCCATTTGCCATAACTCACTGGTGGTTCAATTAAGATTTATGTATCTCAATTTTATGTAAATTTAACTTCAAAAGAAAAAGTACCATAAACAAATTCTGAACTTTAGTTGATGATATGCATGCTGAAGTATTTAGGGAGAAGTGTATTACTGTCTGCAATTTACTTTGACATGTATCAAAATAATAATATGGATTGATGAATGGATAGCGGGATAGAGAAATTAAGTTTGTGATAATGCAAAGCACAATAAAATGTAAATTGTAGAATCTAGGTGTTGGGTATATGGACGTTCACTGTGAAAGTCTTTCAACTTTTCTGTATGTTTGAAAATCTTGGTTAAAAAATGTTGGAGAGAATAATGATGGTTGTGTTGATTCATTCAGGAGTACCCATGATCTCCCCACATCTCTTTCTGTGAATGACTTCTCCATGCTCACTCATATTTAGTATCTGAACTTCCCCCTCCTGTTTTGTTTTCCAGGTTATATCTTACCCCCCATATACAACCATGACTTCCATCCCCATCACTAAGTTCATTTCAAACTGTCCTCTGATAAGGGATGTAGTCAGCTTGTCTGCTGGATCTCTTCAAGGGACCTGCTCCATCTGATGAAACCTTCCATTTCAAGTTCTAAAACCCTTCCCTGGCTCCCACTAAAAAGGATTAGCTTCTAGGGCCATTACTTTCAGAGATACAAGCTCACAGTACAAAGACAATTGCATTGGACACACAGAGGTTTCCATCCTGGCTTGTAGAGTTAAAGATGACCTTGTGTGGAGTTTCTGTGCTACCTTATATCCAGACTAAATATGAGAACTTCAGTTTATTGCAAAGCTAATTTGTATAGATATTGGGGCCCAGGCAGTGTTATGAACACCTTCCCAGACAAGTTATGATATGCTTCTTTAGGAACCAGGATTAAGTCCAATGGCCTTAGAGGAAGTCCAGCAGGCTTGATCACTTGTTCTTTTCCTAATGGTGCACCCAAGTGATGGCTGTGAGCTATACTCAAAAGGAAATAGCTCTCCACAATGGCAGTATATCTAGTCCAATGGTTCTCATTCCTGGCCACACATTAAAATTACCCAGGCACTAATTTTTTTTTTAATTTTATTATTATTATACTTTAAGTTTTAGGGTACATGTGCACAACGTGCAGGTTTGTTACATATATATACATGTGCCATGTTGGTGTGCTGCACCCATTAACTCGTCATTTAGCATTAGGTATATCACCTAATGCTATCCCTCCCCCTCCCCTCACCCCACAACAGTCCCCGGTGTGTGATGTTCCCTTTCCTGTGTCCATGTGTTCTCATTGTTCAATTCCCACCTATGAGTGAGAACATGTGGTGTTTGGTTTTCTGTCCTTGCGATAGTTTGCTGAGAATGATGGTTTCCAGCTTCATTCATGTCCCTACAAAGGACATGAACTCATCGTTTTTTATGGCTGCATAGTATTCCATGGTGTATATGTGCCACATTTTCTTAATCCAGTCTATCATTGTTGGACATTTGGGTTGGTTCCAAGTCTTTGCTATTGTGAATAGTGCCGCAATAAACATACGTGTGCATGTGTCTTTATAGCAGCACGATTTATAATCCTTTGGGTATATACCCAGTAATGGGATTGCTGGGTCACATGGTATTTCTAGTTCTAGATCCCTGAGGAATCACCACACTGACTTCCACAATGGTTGAACTAGTTTACAATCCCACCAACTGTGTAAAAGTGTTCCTATTTCTCCACATCCTCTCCAGCACCTGTTGTTTCCTGACTTTTTAATGATCACCATTCTAACCGGTTGAGATGGTATCTCATTGTGGTTTTGATTTGCATTTCTCTGATGACCAATGATGATGAGCATTTTTTCAGGTATTTTTTGGCTGCATGAATGTCTGCTTTTGAGAAGTGTCTGTTCATATCCTTTGCCCACTTTTTGATGGGGTTGTTTTTTTCTTGTAAATTTGTTTGAGTTCATTGTAGATTCTGGATATTAGCCCTTTGTCAGATGAGTAGGTTGCAAAAATTTTCTCCCATTCTGTAGGTTGTGTGTTCACTCTGATGGTAGTTTCTTTTGCTGTGCAGAAGCTCTTTAGTTTAATTAGATCCCATTTGTGTAGTTTGGCTTTCGTTGCCATTGCTTTTGGTGTTTTAGACATGAAGTCCTTGCCCATGCCTATGTCCTGAATGGTATTGCCTAGGTTTTCTTCTAGGGTTTTTATGGTTTTACGTCTAACATGTAAGTCTTTAATCCATCTTGAATTAAATTTTGTATAAGGTGTAAGGAAGGGATCCAGTTTCAGCTTTCTACATATGGCTAGCCAGTTTTCCCAGCACCATTTATTAAATAGGGAATCCTTACCCCATTGCTTGTTTTTGTCAGGTTTGTCAAAGATCAGATAGTTGTAGATATGCGGCGTTATTTCTGAGGGCTCTGTTCTGTTCCATTGATCTATATCTCTGTTTTGGTACCAGTACCATGCTGTTTTGGTTACTGTAGCCTTGTAGTATAGTTTAAAGTCAGGTAGTGTGATGCCTCCAGCTTTGTTCTTTTGGCTTAGGATTGACTTGGTGATGCGGGCTCTTTTTTGGTTCCATATGAACTTTAAAGTAGTTTTTTCCAATTCTGTGAAGAAAGTCATTGGTAGCTTGATGGGGATGGCATTGAATCTATAAATTACCTTGGGCAGTATGGCCATTTTCACTATATTGATTCTTCCTACCCATGAGCATGGAATGTTCTTCCATTTGTTTGTATCCTCTTTTATTTCCTTGAGCAGTGGTTTGTAGTTCTCCTTGAAGAGGTCCTTCACATCCCTTGTAAGTTGGATTCCTAGGTATTTTATTCTCTTTGAAGCAATTGTGAATGGGAGTTCACTCATGATTTGGCTCTCTGTCTGTTATTGGTGTATAAGAATGCTTGTGATTTTTGCACATTGATTTTGTATCCTGAGACTTTGCTGAAGTTGCTTATCAGCTTAAGGAGATTTTGGGCTGAGACGATGGGGTTTTCTAGACATACAATCATGTCATCTGCAAACAGGGACAATTTGACTTCCTCTTTTCCTAATTGAATGCCCTCTATTTCCTTCTCCTGCCTGATTTCCCTGGCCAGAACTTCCAACACTATGTTGAATAGGAGTGGTGAGAGAGGGCATCCCTGTCTTGCCCAGGCACTAATTTTTCAAAGGCTTCCCAATGATTCTAGTGTGAGGTCAAAGAAGGAAGATAATTCAGTCAGGATGCACTGGTATAGCCATACAAGTTGTGAAAATATTGAGATATTTTCAAGTGAATTGGTAAATGCCCTGAGACCCAAGTGCCCTGGAAACCTCATCTCCTCCAGCTCAGAACCCCTAGACTTTCTCATAATCAGTAACTATAGAGTTAATGCCTGGCCCTGAAGGAGTCCTCCAGCACAATGCTTCCGCATTTAGCCAGATTCCATTCTAATTAATCAGTACCCAGTACAGTACCCATTATTAAATATTTTGAATACCCCTCCTGCAACCAGTGTTGAGAACCACTGATCTAGTCAATTCAGACAAGCGTCTGAGCATTTTACCTGTTCCATACCAAATAACTAGTTTGACTATATTTCTACTTCTGTCCATGCACATAACTAGGTTTGACCCTTAAGAAAGTCATTTCTGGGCTCTGAATCCCATGTGAACAATGACAGGATTGAACTAGGTCCTCTTTAAGGATGCTTCCAACTCTGAAGTGCATGGTACTGTGATTCTGTGAATCATGAATTCCGCAAAGCTAAAAAAGGCTCCAAGAGAAGTGAGAGCAAAATGGATTCAGACTCCTGTACACTAACGCAAGCCAGCTAACGAAACCCCACAGTGCATGTTAATTGTATACTGCTCTTCTTAGAAGACATCATTCTTTCCTGAAGCTCCCCTCTCCCCTGCCTCACCAAGTTATAGGCTTGGAACTTGAAACCTGAAAATGAATTATACTTAACTTGGGCCAAAGATGCAAATGTGATTAGAACTAAATTTAGCCTATCCACTTTTAAAGCATGTTCCAGACATTTCCATTTACGACTTCCATGGTAGTGACTTCCACAGAGGAGTGACATACAGGAAAACATAATCCATTTTACTTGTTTTATGTTTATTTGCCATTGGTTTCATTGAGTAACCCCCTGTTCGTGGATTATAGAGAAAAGGAGGAATCAGTTGATTTTTTTGGCCCCTCCAGAAATTTAAGCAGCTTCAAGCTGTCCTCTCCCATTCTATGCCTCTCTTGGCCAAGTGTTTCCTTGATTTTAGTCTCATAGCAATCTTCATTTCTATGGCTCTTCAAGCACAGCTTGCTTTATCTGGATCTCTTAACTTTTCACTTGCTCTTTTTCAAGTGGAACTTGAAAACTTGGAACTGTGTTTACAAGAGCCCACAGTGAGATTGTTAGCTGGCAATTATGAGTTCATGCAGTCATTAGTGAACAGGCTGAATTAGCCAGATCACTTGTCTATGCTGACAAATAAACAACATAATTTCCAAATCATTTCGTGTAGCTGAGGTATAATTTATCATATATGCTAATAACTCAGAAATATACGTCTATAGTACTGGTCTGTCTTGTTGCCTCATGGCCTACCCTATTGTCTCTCAAAGTAGCAAGCTCAATTCAAATTGTACTGTGAAACCTCGATGGAAAACTCAGAGCCCCTACCTTCATCTCCATCCCAATTGCCCTATGCCAATACACTAAATACTCCCCTATGCCTCAGTACTGATTCCTCTCCATATCCCCAAGCTAGATGCCAATAAACAAATATAAGATGATAAGATAACAGTGCAAGGAAAGATATGATTTATTACACAGTCAGGGTAGGGAGGACAGAATTGGAATGGAAGGAAGGGCTTCGTTCCACTTAATCAACCAAAGGCCTGGTTTGTCAGGGCTACCCCTCAGCAAACATTTGGGGAGCTGGCCAGATTGTTCTTTGACCCCTTTCCCTTTGCATCATCCTGGGAGTGTACCATTTTCCCTATATGAAATTCCCTTCCTCACACCATGTATCAGAGATTTTACTAGTGTGCTTTGTGCAAAGACCACCAGGAGCCAAGTCACTTAAAATACTATTAAAATGCAGATTCTTGAGCCCTAGCAAGATGAATTGATATAAAATAAAACTGAAGAACTATTGCCTTTTATTTGTTTTGCTCAATAAGCAAATGGAGCAATTGCCTTTTACTTTAGAGGGCTGCTTAGAGAGCATTTCCATTTATATAGTCCATCATCATTTTCAACTCAACGTATCTAAACTTACTCTTCTTCCATTCTAAATTGCTTCCCTGCATCAACTCTTCCATGTACATCAGTGGCACCACCATACTCCCAGGATCCCAGAATCAAACCTCAAAGTCAACAGCAACAAACTAGGATGAATCCATTGTTTGTTCCTATTTTTGTTGTTATTTGTGATTGGTCTTTTTTTCCATGCATGTGTCGGGGGGTGGGGGGGGGGTCATAGTAGATGAAAGCTTGTTATCATTGCATAGACACTGTCGCAGCATAATTTTTTATAGCACAGTCTCCAAGCCCTCATCAGGCATGTGCTCTTCGGAGAAAACTTGGAGTCTCCGGAAATTCTGTTACAAGATCCAAACATCTTATAAGGCACTAATTAGAGTAGGGCAGGGTCTCAACTACTCTTCCTCTGGGTCAGTTTCACTCAGATCCATGAAATTGCTCCTCCCATGTGGAATCCCAGAGGCCACTCATTATCTAGCTGAAGCCTCTCTTTGTTAATGTCAAAGTGAGAAGCCTTCCACTTCATTATCTAGCAAGTGCTCTTCATTACTACTAATCAAAAGTTTCCATTTATGGAGCACTTACTGTGTACCAGGAACTGTTTATTCTAAAGACTTTACAAGGTTACATAGGCAGGCAGTGCAGTGTTGGGATTCAGAGCCAGTCAGTGTGGTTGCAGAGTCCAGGTTCTTAACCATCACATTATGTACTGCTAACTGTTGACAGCCTACAGGATCTAGGCTGTGCATGAAGCTGAAAGCTGTCTGCCTCCAAAGAATCATCAAAACCTCCTCTTTCTGTTACTTCTGGCAAAATGGTGCAAGTCTGCTACTAGGGAGTTGGCAAAGCCCTTAAAAGGGCTCCTGCTGCTACATACATATGTAGTAAAAGAATAAAGAAACCCACGGAATAGCAATTTCCTAATTTAGGATGGAAGTAATCTCTGGAGTAAAAGGAGGGGTTGTGATCAGAGAGGCACATGGGGGCTCCAACTACATTGGTAATAATCAATTTTCTTAGTCTGGCTAATGATTAAACAAAAAGATATACATACCTTTTGTATGTCTTTAATATTTCATAATAAACTATTTCAAAGGGCTCCTAGTGATCTCTCTGTCTCCCCTAATATAGCAAGTATTGAGCTTGCTATACTAGGGCCTGAAAAGTCTAGAAGTAAGGATGCAGGATTCTTGCTCTTCTCTTGCCTCACAAGGAACAATCCTTAGATTTACAACTTTCACTTCCTCTTACCCATTGTAAGCCTATTTCAAGATCTGGCAATAAGAAGTTGCTTAATATAATGTATACTCATATCCTATAATCCTAGAACTCCAGATCAAATAAAGGTTGATGAAAAAGAGGAATGAGGAGGGGCCTGTGGAGAGCTCAAGAGGTAGAGGGAAAACAGTAAAGTAGAGAAAAAAGAGAAGAGATCAGAAGAAAGAAAAAAGATGGGAGGAAGAAAAAAAGATACAGGGAAGAGTAGAGAGAAATGAACCAAATAAATTTCTGTTCATTCTAAGTTACTCAGTCCATGGTAGCTGACTGTGCTGCTATTCTGTTACAGCACCAGAAAACAAACTAAGACAGCCACCACCCAGGAATCCTTGGAAAACCCTAGGCAAGGATTGCCAGGTAAAGGTTAGGTGGGATACCACCAAACCACCTCATATAGGGAGAGCTCTCTCTTTGAAAGATGGAGCTCTTCTCTCAGGAAGCAATTGCTTTTCCTCACAGGACACAAGGTGGCAGCAGCAGCAGCAGCAGCTGTCTGATGAGGACCCTCTGGGCAGTCTCTGGGGCCCCAACAGCAGGCTGCCTAGTGGATTAGGGAGCTTTTGAGGCTGGCTTAGTGTTGCAAGGAATGGACGAGCCACAGTGTGGCACACACTCTTTCCTGGGATCAGATAGGAACTTGTGCCATCTACCCTGTTTGGATTCACAGGGTTCAATTTTGCATCAAGACATCCACATTCAGAAAAGACTGATCCAGTCAGTCTCAGTCCCCTGGACCCTTTTTTTCTAGGAGTACTAGGCAAAACTTGCAGAAAAGACTATTTGATACAAGACTCTAGTTCTTCCTCTTCCTGAGCTGCACATTATCCCCCAAGGGGCCTTTTTCTGGTCAAACACTCACTGGTCTTCATGGTTAGAAAAGATTTCAAAGATAATTTCTGTATAAAACTCCACTATTAAACTTCATTCCCAATGTCCCTTCAAAATGACAGCTTTTTAGTATCCCCTGGGGCTTCTCAGAAAGCCAGATACAAAGAGGCCATTTCTAGGTATTAAGACTCTCTGTGTATATATATATATATATATATATATATATATATATATATTTCAAATACCAAATATGTTTCTCATATTGTGCTATATTGCTATGTTTTCAATTTTTATGTGGAACAAAAACACACTTTTAATTTTAAAAAGACAATGCATTAATTTGTTTCTATCTTCTCATAAAGAGTTAATGATTAACATATTTTTTGACTGATTCCAATGTTCTGAATTTTTGCAGCTAAATGATGTCACAGGATTTTTGATGTATCAGAGACGATTTTGCCAATTAGGGGTTTGGCTGATGACTGTGCGTCACTCATAATCTATAGCTTAATTCTAATTTAAATATTTCACCACAGATGGCAATGTTCTACAATACAATTGTAGTAGTCACAAGATAATTGCCAGGTTAAAAAAAAATCACAGTGCAGGACAGGTAGTGGGTCTGCTGATGAGACTGTAAAACAGAAATAAGATCATAAGCCCCCCAGCTGAATGAACCACCTCCTCTTGGCCAAGGGAACCTCAGAGAAACCTGAAAAATGGAATTCCTGGCTGTGATGGGAGGGAAGGTCTGACATAACTCATTATATCCTCTCCTTTTTGGAGGTTGGGCATAACTGACTAGCATTAACATTAAAATAGAGGTCATAAAGCTGACAAAACAGATTGTTTGTGATAATAAGATACCAAATTCAAAGCTGACTATGGCATGGCATCACATGATAGATAGCAGGCCCTGAAGGAAATCAAAATATTTTACCCCAAAATAGATTTCTTTGATATATTTTAAACAGCCCTGCAAAGCTGTCTTTTGTGGGACAAATTTGCATCTATAGAGAATCTTCATTAATGAAACCAGGCCTTCCCTTTCTAGGCCTTTCCCCGATCGAGATGAGATTAACTAAGCATCTGACATTCTTTAAGTCCAAAAAGAGATATTCACCATCTATTCTCTCTGAAGGCTACTGCCTACAAGGCTTCATCTACATGACAGGAGCCTTGGCCTTCATAACCTCCCTTATATTAACTCAATCATTTCTTTCTACTAACTTCAAGTATTTAGACAAAGCTTAGCTCTTCCAACCAATTGCCAATCAGAAAATATTTAAATCCACCTATGAACTGTGGCACTTCCTCCCCCAACCCCTGACTTTGAGATGTTGTACCTTTTTGGGCTGAACCAGTGTATACCTTACATGTGTTGATTTATGTCTTGACTGTAACATCTGTCCCCCTAAAATGTATAAAACTGGTCTGTAACCCAACCACCTTATGCATACTTTCTCAGGACCTCTTGAAATTGTTTCTGGGGCCATCTTCCCTCATACTGGCTCAGAATAAACCTCTTTAAATATTTTACAGAGTTTGGTTTTTCCATTAATAAGACAGAAGCTTAATATGACAAATATCTTCTTTTCGTTGTGTCATTGTATTCTGCATATCTGGAAACTCATCTGGTAGTAACGTCAGAAGCTGAAAGTTAAAGCCCTTAGTGAATAAGATGCCCAGGTCAAATGATCTCCTTCCTTGTCCCCCACCCCCATGCCTTTTGGGGATTACTTATAAATATTTCTTAATAGTGGGCTCTCATGATAAAATATCTCAAAGAAATCTTGATTGGGAGCATTTCAGACCTTAGAAGGGGGTGATGTATTTTGGAGATTTAGTGCCCTTCAAATGGCATCGTGATGTGGCTACTCACTCTTGAGACACATCCTAGCTTTTGCTCCAGTGACCCAGAGCTGAATTGGGGGTGGCAGCATAAGAGGAGGACTGGTCCTTTTAATGATCTTTCTTTTAAATTCTGAAATATTTCAAACATATTATTATAAATGACCACCCAATTTCACAGCTTAAAACAACCACTTTTTCATTATGCTCATACATTCCTCAGGTCAGGAATTTAGAAAGTACATAATGAGGAGAGCTGTCTCTGTTCTAGTCTGGTGTCTCTACTGGGAAACTTGAAGGCTAGGGATGAATTGATGGCCAGGGTCTAAAATCATCTGAAGTATCTTGTTCACTCTTACTTCTGATGCCTAGGCTGGAAGGATTCTCAATGATTAGAAATGCTAACTCAATTGTCTACGTGTTGCCTCTTCACAATACTGGCTTCCTCACTGTCTAGTGGCTTCAGGGTGGCCAAACTTCTTACATAATGGCTCAGGGCTCCAAGCATAAGTGTTCCCAGCAAGCAAGGAGGAAACAGAAATCATCTTTTCTGACCTGACCTCAAAACTGACACACAGTGTCCCTCCCACAACATTCTGTGGGTTACAGGTGAACTTTCCAAGATTCAACAGGAGAGGACAGATACTCTGCCTATCTATAGGAAAAACATCAAGGACATCAGGCATGTTTGAAAAATATGAAACATAAAAATACAGAGAATAATATATAAACCACAAATTATCCATGACCCAGAGTTTATGTATTAACATTCTTGCTAGGTTTGCTTATGTTTTAAAAGCAAATGAAATGTCATTGTTAAAGAAAGGACTCCAGCCTATTGAGTTGCCTGTTCCAAGCATGGTGCTTATCTAGAAATTCTCCTTTGTAATACGTAGCATTATTTGAGCACTTGCTAGGTATCAGGCACTGTACTTTTATGTAGATTCCTGTCAACAACTTTATTACATTGGTACTACAACCACAGAAATGTAAGGGTTCTGTTAAACTCTACAAATATTTATTGAGTACTTACTATATGGGACTTTGTCTTATTCATAGAATTTATAATCTAGTAGGAGTCAGGTCATAAAAATAAAGATTGTGGAAAGTGCTATGAAGGAAATAATAGACTAATGTTTTAGGGAAGTGAGAAGAGCGGAGAATAGAGTCAATATTTGAACCCAGGCAGCCTAATTCTAAAATCTGCATGCTCAATCATTGCACTATATAGATTCATTTCTTTAATTTGGTTGAGGATTTAAGGTCTAATAAAGTTAGGCCTGTGGCATATGGCATCCTTGACTCTTCTAGGCTGCATGTCCTCCCTTTTGCCTTTATTTAGATTACTTTTGCCAGCACTCATTGATTCGTACTTGTTTATTTTGCTTCTTGTCTTGGACTTTTCCTGGTAGAACTCTCTTGGCAATAAGCAATCTTGTCGCACAGAGTGTCTATAAAGCAGACATGTTTAGACTATTTTTAATAAAATAAAGTGCCCCCTACCCCACAATTAACACTGGAGCATATATTTAAACCTGAAAAGTCCCCAAGTCCTGATTCATTTACCCTGTATTATAAAGGCATAAGTCTGTTTTTATCACTCAGTGAAATAATAATCAAATGATTTTCTTGGAAACTCTAAAAGCTTGGAGGGAAAGTTAAGTGGTTTGGGCCCTTAGGGTATATAATTCGATCTTCCAGGACTATTTGGCTAGGTTATGTTGCCCGAGGACTTAGAAATAAAAGGTTGATATTTTCACCCATGTTGACCTCAAGCATGTGACACACACGCTTGTGAGATTCTCCATTATGTGCCAGTCTTGGATTGCACTTTTATTACAATCAGGTTGTGTCTCTCTTGGAATTTAATTTTATGCCATTGATATGGTGGATCTTAATGAAAATGTCAGACTTTATGTCTTTAGAAATAATGACACAGGAAATGAGTTGGTTGCCCCTATGTGGCAAGCAAATAAATTAGAGCAAAATCCAGCCACAAGACTCTGTCTTTTTTTCCTGGTCTCAATTCCGCACCTGCTCTGTGCCTAGTTTCCTGGGGCTTAATGGAAGAAAAAGACTATAAGTCTTGACTTCTCTTTCCAGATTGACCAGGCCTATTTGTTTTTTAAACAGTTTTTTTGTTTTTGTTTTTGTTCTTTGAGACAGAATTCATATAGCATAAAATTTATCCTTTTAAAATATATAATTCAGTGGTTTTGAGTATATTCACAGGGTTGTGCAATCATCATGACTAGGTAATTCAACATTTTCATCACCCTCACCCCAAAATTCCCATACCCATTAGCAGTCAAACTCCATTCCCACCTACCACCCCTCAGCAATCACTAATCTACCTTCTATTTCTGTGGATTTACCTATTGTGGACATAAATGGGCCTATTTCTGCCTCTTTCCTCTCTCCCCCTTCTCCTTCTCTGACTCCCTGCAAAGCCAGGCTCCTGGATTGCTGGGACAGCCCTGTAGGGCTAGCTGAATCTAAAACAGGTTTTCTTTTCTCATTTTCTCTGGCCTGCTCTCCCATCCTGCCTTTTCTCTACCCTCTTTGTCTAAATCTACTCTCAATTATTAATCAATTATTGTCTATTCATTGAACACTAGGTACAAATAACTAATAATATACACATGGTTCCTGACTTAGGATGGTTCAACCTATGATTTTTCAATTTAATGATAGTGCAAAGGTGACAGGCATTCAGGGCACTCCTCATCTTATGATGGGCTTATTAGTATTTAACACAATTGTAAGTCAAGGGGCATCTGTATAAAATTGAGCACTTAATATGAGTCAAGAAGAACTGTTCTGATAACTTTTCTTGCATTAACTCTTAATACAAAACCTGAATGAAGTCAGTAGTATTATTTCCATTTTACAGATGATTAAACTGAGGCATAGAAAGAATAAGAGATTTATGTACAGTAGCAGAGCTGAGATATGCATAGTTATCCATGTCAGGGAGCAGGAATTGGGGGTGGCATGCAGGATGATAAAACAGAAGACATGGTTCCTTACCTCAAGGAGTTGAGAGAAGAAATAAACCAGATGCATATGCAATATTTAAGCAACAATAGAAAACAGTGGTTTTCATGTGTTATGTGCCTCAGAATCATCTGGAGGCTTTTTTTTTTTTTTTTGACAGAGTCTTGCTCTGTCGCCAGGCTGGAGTAGAGTAGCACGATCTCGGCTCACTGCAACCTCCACCTCACAGGTTCACGCCATTCTCCTGCCTCAGCCTCCTGAATAGCTGGGACTACAGGTGTGCGCCACCACGCCCAGCTAATTTTTGTATTTTTAGTAGAGACGGGGTTTCACCATGTTGGCTAGGATGCTCTCGCTCTCTTGACCTCGTGATCCGCCAGCCTCTGCTTCCCAAAGTGCTGGGATTACAGGCGTGAGCCACCGTACCTGGCCCCGGAGGCTTTTTAAAGCACACATTGTCAGGCCCTACCTCCAGGGTTTCTGATTCGGTAGGTACTGCGTAGGGCTGAAAGAACTGCGTATTCAGCTGGCTCTGATGCTGCCAGTCCAGAAATTTCAACATGAGAACCATTGTCTTAGAGTATAACTGTCTTTAGAGAGCATCTGGCAATGCAGCAGCAAGAAGTACAATTATGCACATTTAGATAAAGAATGAGGTTTGGTGTGATTTCTGTGTGGCAGCATGAGTTTGTTACCTAAGGGAGTTGGGGAAGGACAAACAGTCATCACACCAATGGGATTAGGTCTGTTCTTCCTTAAGACTCTCCTGTCCTTCCCGCCTCTTGCTCTTAACATGTCAAGCCCAAGCTGAGAGCAGGGCATCTGAGGCCCTTCACAGTATGGCTCCTATGTACTGTTCCAACCTCACAATCCTGACCTCTTGGTTATCCCCACTTTACAGTCCAGTGATTCCAAGTTCGGTGTGTTTCCAATTTTTCATGCTGGTTCATGCCCACTTCCTACTGTTTCCTCTGCCTAAAATGCCCCCACTCAAGTCCTCCTGGTGCCCGTGCCAGACTACCTGGATTCAAATCTGGCCTCTGTCAATTACTAGCCATGTCACCTTTGGCGAGTTGGTTAGCTGCTCTGTGCCTGAGTGTCCTAATCTGTAAAATGGGGGTAATAATAGTTCCTTCCTCATAGGGTTGTTGTAAAGATTAAATGAGGTAATACTGATATGATTCCCTTCCCTGTGGGCAGGGAAGTGCTGGGTAGAGGAGGAAGGGTCCATGGCTGGGGCTCTATCCCTGGGCCTGTGCCCATGGACCTAGGTGAGGACAGGCATTTCTGTTTTTATGCCTAACATTTGGGCATAAAATGCAACATTTGCATTTCCCAAGACCACCCTGGCCTGCCATGTCCCCATCTTGTGCCTATAAAAACCCGAAGACCCTAGTGGGAAGGGCACACAAGTGGCTGGACATTGAGGGGAACACACAAGCAGAAGAAGACACAAGCGGCTGGACGTCGAGGAGAACACACTGGAGGAAGAGCACACTTGCAGGCCATTGACCAGGGGAAAACCACCTTCCCATTCCATCTTCCTTCTGGCCTCCCCATCCACCTCGCTGAGAGCTACAACCACTCAATAAAAAACCTTGCCTTCATCCTCCAAGGCTACTTGTGATCCAATTTTTCCTGTACACTAAGGCAAGAAACCTGGCATACAGAAAGCCCTCTGTCCTTGCGATAAGGCAGAGGGTCTCATTGAGCTGATAAACACAAGCAGCCTACAGAGGGCAAAACTGGCTCATGCCTGTAACCCCAGAACTTTGGGAGGTCGAGGCGGGCAGATCACTTGAGGCCAGGAGTTCGAGACCAGCCTGGTCAATATGGTGAAACCCTCGTCTCTACAAAAAATACAAAAATTAGCCAGGCGTGGTGGTACGCATCTGTAGTCCCAGCTACTCGGGAGGCTGAGGCAGGAGAATAGTTTGAACCCAGGAGGTGGAGGTTGCAGTGAGCAGAGATAGTGCCACTGCACTCCATCCTGGGCGACGGAGCGAGACTCGGTCTCAAAAACAAAAAACAAAAAACAAAAAACAAACAAAAAAACCCGCATACACACAAAACTGAAAGAGCACACTGCAACAAACACCCAATGGGGCTTCAGCTGTAAATATTCACCCCTACACACTGCCTTGGGGTCAAAGCCCCACAATCTGCCCATCTGCATGCTCCCCCTAGAGGTTTGAGCAGCGGGGCACTGAGAAAGTGAACCACACCCCCAACGCACGCCCTGCAAGAGGGATAAGGGAACTTCTCCTGTTTCAATACTTTTTTTGTTTTTTGTTTTTTTTGTTTTTTGGACAGGGTCTCGCTCTGTCGCCCAGGCTGGAGTGCAGTGGTGAGATCACAGGACTCAAGCCTCATGCAGCCTTGACCTCCTGGGCTCAAACAATTTTCCCACCTTGGCCTCCCAAAGTGCTGGGATAACAGGCATGAGCCTCTGTGCCCAGCCAAAGTAATACTTATAAAATATTCAGTACAGAGTTTAGCACATAGCACATATTCAAAAATGTTGTATTTTCACTATTGTTAACGATTTTACTAAATCCAGCCTAGGCATTACCTCCAGAAAGTCTACTTTGTCATTCTCAACCCCATGCCCACTAGTATTATTAGTGATTCCCTCTCTCTCCTGTACTTTGTATCTCATACATGCTTCTATTCAATTCCTGGCTCTGTCACTTGTTAGCTGTGTGATTGTGAGCAAGTTATTTAGCCTCTCTGAAACTAGGTTTCCTTATCTGTAAAATAAAGATGATAATAGTATAATAATACTCATCTCAGAGTAATTGCTGATATTTAAAAAGGCAACGCATGAAGAAGCTCTTATCATGGTTCCCAGTACTTAGTAATAAAGGTAAATGTTATTTTGAACTACACCATGTGGTTGTGAGAAATAACGGCATCATTTTTTCTCAAGGTAAGGTGATGATGCTCTTATCTCAGCAAATAGTTGGGAGAAGCAGATGGTTTTATATATTGATTCCTGATTGTATCATTATTATCGCATCCCTTGACCTGATTTCTATCTACCTCCACACTTCATAGTGTGTTTTCTCATTACGCCCCACATCTTCTACCTAGTTTTCCAGCACACACCACACTGTTGCAAGCCTTTCTGCTTAGTCTGTTTCATTCCTGAAATATGCTTTCGTACTTTATTCCCTGGCTAATGCCTGTCCACTCTTAAAGATTCTTTTGCCCCAGTGTATGTTTTTATCTACTTTGTCAAAGATATGTAGATATATGGCCTTATTCCCGGGTTCTCTATACTATTCCTTTGATCTGTGTGTCTATTTTTATACCAGCACCATGCGATTTGGGTTACTATAGCCTTGCAGTACAATTTGAAGTCGGCTAATGCAATGGACATCCTTTTCAATAAATGGTGCTGGGAAACTTGCATTGCCATATGCAGAAGAATGAAACTGAACCTCTGTCTCTCACCATACACAAAAACCAGCTCAAGATGGATTAAAGACTTGAATGTAAGACCTGAAACTATAAAAATCCTAGAAGAAAACCTAGGAAAAAAAGTCTTCTGTACATTGGTATGGGCGAGGAATTCATGACTAAGACCTCAAAACCACAAGCAACAAAAATAAAAAATAAGCAAATAAGACTTTAAACTGTGCACAGCAAAGGAAATAATCAACAGAGTGAACAGACAACCTGCCGAATGGGAGAAAATATTTGCAAACCATGCAACCGACAGGAGACTAATGTCTAGAATTTACAAGGAGCTCATACAACTCAACAAAAACAACAGAAAACCAAATGACTCCATTAAAAATGGGAAAGGATATGAGCAGACACTTCTCAAAAGAAGACATACATGTGGCCAAAAAGCATATGAAAAAATGGTCATCATCACTAGTCATCAGAGAAATGCAAATCAAAACCACAATGAGATATCATTTTACACCAGTCAGAATGGCTATTATAAAAGGTCAAAAAAAAAAAAAGATGTTGGCAAGGATGTGGATAAAAGGGAATGCTTACACACTGTTGGTGGGAATGTAAATTAGTTCACCCTCTGTGGAAAACAGTATGGATATTTCTCAAAAAACTAAAAATAGAACTACCATATGACCCAGCAATCCCACTAGTGAATGTATATCCAAAGGAATTGAAATCAGTATATAGCAGAGATATCTGCACTCCTATGCTTATTGCAGAAGTATTCACCAAGCTTTGGAATCAACCTAAATGTCCATAAATGGATGATTGGATAAAGAAAATGTGGTATATATACACAATGGAATAGTGTTCATCTATAAAAAATAATGAAATCATGTCTTTTCCCACAATATGGATGGAACTGGTGGCCATTATCTTAAGTAAAACAACTCAGAAATAGAAAGTCAAATATCACATGTTCTCAGTTCTAAGTGGGAGCCAAATAATGGGTACACATGAACATGGAGTGTGGAATGATAGATATTTGAGACTCAAGAAAGGTGGGATGGTGGGAGGTGGTGGGGTATGAGAAAATAATGAGTAAAACATACATTATTATCATTATTATCTTTATGGTAGATCCATTTAGATGGACATATTAAAGCCCAGACCTCACCACTATTTAATATATCGATGTAACAAAACTGCCCTTGTGTCCCTTAAATTTATACAAATACAAATAAATTTTTGAAAAGATTCAGCTTTTAGTGTCACCAGCTGTAGATCCCTGAATCCCCAAACTGAGATGGGTGCCCCATCCTATGCTTACCCTATCACAGTGTTATGATATTGTTATAGAGCTTTTTGTTTGTGCGCCAGTCTCTCCAACTAGATTGCGCCTTTCTTAAGAGAGTCAGGCCCTTTCAACTTCATCTGTGTATCCCCAGCACCTAGCTCAGTGTTTTCAACACAATATAGACTCAAGGGGTATTTGAACTAAACTGAGGCGACCCAGCTGTACTGGAACAGGTTTAAGCTTATTTTTTAAATGTCAACAAGTTGCCACAGACAAGTTATCTTTCCTGAAATCTCAGCATGGAAAACTTCTGGACATTTTTCTGGTGGCAGGAAAGATGGTTAATTCGATCTAGGACTCATGAAGAAAATGGCATTAAACAAAGCTGACCTACTACTCTATTAAAAGTTTGGGCAACACTGCCATCTAGTGATGGAATTTAGATATGCTTGAGAATGAGATCTGTAGTTCTTCATGGAAGCCTGGAGAAAACCACTGAGCTTTCGTTTACACAGAGAAAGAGGAATGGCTAGTTTCTCTGAATAAGACATGTAGTTATGCGATGTACATTTCACTCGATAGATCGTGTTAATTGAGGGAAATAAAGGTCTAAATATATCATTTGTTAGCCACCAAGTCCTATTAATGTGGCTAGTTGCTGATGGGGTGGGAATTGCACAGGACAGTCCAGATGGAACCTATTTGTTCCCATTGTAACATTCAGCATCAGATTATGTACCTTATTTTTTTCAAAAGGAAAATATGGCTGGCACAGATCTGCTTTCAGGCATTATACAATCTAATTGGACACAAGAAGCAATTAAGGAATAAGACACCATTAAATTTGACTCAGGTCATTGATTGGCTGTGTGTGTGTTAAACATATCCAAATGTATGCATGAGTGTTTTCAGTCATTCAGGTGGTGGGGGTGTCTATACTTTTTGTAGGAATCCTCAAATAGTTTTGGAATACACTGCCCTTGGAATCATCCTGAGCCTGTTCTAACACGAATAAGAAACAGTAGATGTAATCTACCACACTGCAAGCAGCTGAATGTGTACTGCATTTGGAGTCAAACAGGTTGGAGTTCAGATTACTTGTCTATCACTTACTAAGTGCGTGGCCTTGGGCAAATTACTTAACCTCTATGCACCTCTTCATCTGCAAGATAAGAGTGCAAATAATACTCATCTCATTCAGGTTCTGTGAAGTTCTGTGAGGATTGACTGAGACTGGTATGTAAAGCACTGAAAGCAGTGTAGGCAATTTAGTAAGTGCTTGTAATTTTTGACAAATACTTTGCTACAGCCCCTTTACTGTCCTAAAATGAGACAGAGAAACTCATAGAGCAATGTACCTACCACACACATAATTTTATATATTTGTGTGTGTGTGTGTGTATATATATAAGAGAGAGAGAGGTCCAACTAGTGTGAAGGAGAAATAAAAGGAAATTATTGGTAATAAATAATGAATTTCCATCTGCAAAGATTGAGGCCACACCATGCTATAAGATGTAGGGGAACAGGTAGAAGCTTGCACCTACGTACAGAAACAGCATGAACTCAAACACTACAAATGCAGGCGCATGCAGGGGCATTGCATTAGTGACTCAATTACCATGATCAGCGTTGTTGTTGGCAATATGATCTTCAAAAATGTTAGACAACTCTTGGGAGAGTTCTGAACACAACAAAGAGCAGTTTTCCCTCAATTTACATGGTAGCTGTATTCCTGGAAATTTCAGCATATACTGAAATAAAACTGTGCAAAAAATACTTTGTGTTTATGTATAAATCAGAGTTCTGTTCTAGGCACAGCTAATTATTAACAGATTTTTTTAACCTACATGAATAACTGGGTGGGAGGTGGCATTCAAAATTTGGACAGAATATGGGGCATTCTTCACTGTGTGGAACTGTCTAGCACATTGAGGACGTCTAGCATCCTCTTTTCCATTAAGTGCTTCCCACCTCCTTTGTATACCAGTCTCTATCTTATACATATTCACATGCATACAGAACCATAGAATTAGACAGGTACAGACATAAACTCTCAAGGGGAAATAGAGTCAGGGCCTTGATATTCATCCAGGGCTAGCCTGGAAGAACCCAAGGATGGAGACTGGACAGTGGGTGGGATATGGAGAAGGTTCTTAAAACCTGTAGATTCAGTTATGTTTACAGTCTGGATGAGGTATGCAAGGAAAGGGGTGGTGAGAGAGCTGGGGTGGGGAAGTTGGTGGGAAGGATGGTATTCAGGTACTGAAGACTGAAGAAATGTTGGGAGTCATTGACGAGTAGGCAGCCAGCGTCAGGACCCAAGGTAAAATGAAGGCCCTGGAAAGGCAGAAACTTTGGAACCATGAAGACAGACCCCCAACCAGGATTGAACTAACGGAGCAAAGAAATGGGGTCTGAATACAGCCTGAATGTCTTCCATTCAGCTGGTTAAAAGTGCAGATGTAGAGTCACACAGACCTGGGCTCAAATCTCAGCTCTGCTACTTACTGTGTGATCTTGGGGAAGTCACTGCAAACCTCAGAGCCTCACATTGTTCTCGTCTGTAAATTGAAAATACTGATAGTGCTTGTTTCCTCCCTCAAATGGTGATTGTGAGAATTACACACGAGACCATATGTAAAGTGCTGGACACATAGTATATGTGCAATGTAGGCTAGCTGTTATCATTACTACCTTCCCCACCAAACTCCTCTGCCTTCCATGCCCACACCTCAGTGAGTGGCATCACCATCTACCTGTTCAGCCATCCAAGCCAGAAGCTTAGAGATGATTGTTGACCTTGTCTTCCTCATGTCTCACAATCCTGCCGATGTTTCCTCTGAAATTTCTTTTGTATCTACTGCTTCTCCTCCAACCCCACTGCCAGTGCTTTCACCTCAGCCCCTCAACACCTCTTCCCTGGGTTTATATCCTCTCTGTGGAGCTTGGCTGCACCTGGCGCGGTCGAAGAGGGGAGGACTAGTTCTACTGGGACTCTGCTTGGGCAAAGTCTTAATGGCTGAGTGGCAATGGGCAGGACACTTATCTAGAATGGGTGGGAACAAATGAAACCCAAGGTAAGACTATGGCCCAGAATTTAAAAGGGTATTATCAGAGGCATCACATGGCAAAGCAGGCTATAGGCTATAGCATAGTGATTAAGCCCATGGAATGTGGAGTCAGGCTTCCTAGGTCTGAATTCTGACTCTACTGCTTATCACTTGTTTCACCTTGGGAAAGTTACTTTACCTCTCCGTGTCTCAGCTTCCTCACCTCAAAATGGAAATAAAAATAGCACCCATGTCAGGAAGTTGTTGTAAGGATTGAATAATTTATTACATATAAAGGGTCTAGAATGGTGCCAGGCACATAGAAGCATGAAAAGTATTTGTTAAAGTATTTTTAAAAATTTAAGATAAGGTTAAACACAGAGCTGCAAGGAAGTAAATTGCACCTAGGCCATAAACAAGTTGTGGGCCTGGGCTGGCCATTCCTGATGGGTAATGGTGGCCTACCCGGGGCAGGGCAGCCGCCTGGCTGGATTGGGCTAGAACCCACCCTGGCCATCCCCCTTCCACCTCCAGCCCTCCTAAAGGCAGCCTTTTTAAAAACAGGTTTGCATCACAGAAGGCTAGAACCCTCTCCAGTGCATTCTCCATCCCAAATGAATCGTTTGGTTTTGTTGCTTCCAGACCCTTGGCAGCAGTGAGACTGCAAGTGTAGAAAACTAAAGTAGTGCCCAACAGAAGGCAGGAATTGCTACAGATCCTTAAGGGTTCAGAGGGATCCCTTCTCCAGGTAAGAAGTGATTTTTTTTTTGTCTGACTTTATGCAGATGCCCTGGGCACGTAGAAAGAACTGCCAATGAACTTTCTGTTTTAAATATGCTTATTTACCCGTGTTAATACTGTTGTAGTAGACCCAGTGGTGGCTGAACCAAGGACTTGATGGAGGAGAGAATCAGTAAAAATGAAACCCTGATACTGGGTTTTTGCTCATCAGCTGCTTCAAAGGCTGAGAATTCAGACCTATTACAAGACCTATTACAAGCTGCAGGCCGTTTACAGATGCAGGAACTGTCAGGGACAGGTCAGATGCAGGGACTGTCAGATGCAGGACAGGAAATTAGGGCCTAAGGAAAGGTTTAACTTCAAAGACCTTATCCAGAATTTTGCAATCAGGAATTCTAGAAATAAATTACTGGAATTTCAGCAAAATCATTTAGTTTAGTTTTACTTTTCTTTTGAATTTTCTGGTTACCCTTCTGAATCTGATCGGGGTGTTGAAGGCCTGGAAATCAAATTTTACCCCACCCTGGGTTCCTTGGGGGTTCATCCAAGTGATTGATTGGGAATTACCAGAGTTATGAAGGGTTCCATATGGTCACAGAATGGGCACTGGCAGAGCTGGAATTCTTGATATTTCTTCTTACAAAGAGTACTGGGTCCCTGCTAGGGAAGTGAAGGTCTGATGAAGCCTGGTATAAATTTATGCAGGAATGGTTGTGGCGGCAACTGCTAACAAAATCCTCAGATGTGCAAGCTGCAGATGCCCAGAGGATGGTAGGAGTTTGGCTTTGTCACTCCAGATGAGGCCAGGGATCAAAGAGCAAGAAGAAGCTGAGAGTTAGGGTTCCTGGGTGACATTACATCTGGCCAGAACATGTGCATAATGCTGTATGTGAACTCTCTTGTATACTGCAATGGTTATTAGTTTTCCAAATCAGAGGATGGGATATACTCATGGGAGGGCTGGTTTGAGCCATGTGAACTGGCTGGGGCGGGGCCCACAGAACTGTCTGAAGCCCCTTCGTCTACCAGGAGGGTGGAGGTAGTTACCAGATGTTCTAGGTTTCGCTAGTGCCCAACACACTGTGACTCAGCAGAGGGTGGGGCCTCGGGCTCTGTTGGAGTCCAGAGCAGGATCTGGCTTGGTTACCCTTTTACTAGCAGGTAGTGCTGGGCTTCTTGCTAGACAGGCAGACTAAACACCCACTTAGAGCCCCAGGAAATTAGGGCCTAAGGAAAGGTTTAACTTCAAAGACCTTATCCAGAATTTTGCAATCAGGAATTCTAGAAATAAATTACTGGAATTTCAGCAAAATCATTTAGTTTAGTTTTACTTTTCTTTTGAATTACATGTGAGTGGGAATGCCATAGTCTTTTCAGTGCTTCAAGGCCTCTGAAGGTCCTAATTGGGCCTTGACAATAAATCCTGAAAATTCTGAATAGTGACTATATTACTGTTACGATACAGTTCTGATATTGTTTGGCAGAGTCCCCTCCTGACCACCAACTCATACAACTGCGCCATCTTGTGGTATATGCTGTGCAGTGGAGAATGAGGTTTTTTTGTTTTTTGTTTTGTTTTGTTTTTGTTTTTGAGATGGAGTTTCCCTCTAGTTGCGTAGGCTGGAGTGCAATGGTGCCATCTTGGCTCACTGCAACCTCCATCTCCCGGGTTCAAGTGATTCTCCTGCCTCAGCCTTCTGAGTAGCTGAAATTACAGGCATGTGCCACCACGCCTGGCTAATTATGTATTTCTTTTTTAGTAGAGATGGGGTTTCTCCATGTTGGTCAGGCTGGTCTCGAACTCCCGACCTCAGGTGATCCGCCTCCCTTGGCCTCCCAAAGTGCTGGAATTACAGGTGTGAGCCACTGCGCCAGGCCACCAGCTACAGAGCTGGCTGTTCTGGCTTCCTATTTTTTTTTTAACTGAGGGGTAGGGAAGTAGAGGGAGTGTGGGCTCCTGTGGCAATGGTGAGGTCAGCCTCATACCTAAGTTTCTATTCTGTTCTGCTTGCAGTTTTAGCAATCAGTCATTGTTCCTTTGACCTGCTCCCCTGCTCCCCCACCTCCTACAGCTCCATCTCCACCAAGCCTTCCTAACATGGGCCCTCAGCTCAGATATACCCATCCCAGGTTCTAGGACCAAGTTTGACAGAATTCTTAAGAGTTAGGGTTCTTGACTTTTAGGTGTCATGGAACCCTTTGGCCAGCCTGTGAAGCCAACAGAACCCCTTATCAGAATCACGTTTTTAGGTGCCTAGAACAAAATACATAGGAATAAAAAGGAAACATATTACACTGAAATGGAATTGTCAAAATATTAAAAATGAACTTGTGATATAGTTATCACATATTAAGTAACACGATCTAGTGGCAGGTCTCTACTACTGTAATTTTAAAGTGGTCATGAGAATAAGCAGTATTAGAAGATGCTGTAGTGCAGCTCTTGTAATGTGATATGCAACCATCTGTGACTTCCATTGATGACAAAGTCACAGGTACTGCTGACACCACTGTGGGCTGTTGCTTATGTTCGTAATTGTAGGACATGCTACACTGAATTTAAGGAAACTGAAATTAGAGGTTAGTAAAGACAAAGATATGTTTTCTGAATCCAAATTCTCAGATCCCTGCTGTGGATGAACCCCATCTGTGAAGGCCAGGTTAAGCTGCCTTAGAGCACCTCTGGATAAGGAGGCTGCAGATTGCAACCTGGGCTACCCTCTTGGAAGGTTTTTAGAAGAGGGTAATCAGAAACCCCACGGAACACCCTGAAAGGAAACCAACCAGCTGCTAGAGCAGCCACCCTTCCCATTTTTTTAACTCCCCTGTGTTCAGGCTCCTGTACCAAGTGCCAGAGTCAGCTGCAGCTTTAGATGTCACTTTTCTGGAGTCACTTCCTCTTTTCTCCAGAGGGTGGCATAGAGGCAGAGCTAGAGATCCTTTGGCAGCTACACCCTGAGGCATCACCACCCGCAAAGGAGCAGTTTTGGCCTCTCTGTGGCTTACTTAGCTGCCAGGATGAGCACCTGCCAAGAGAAATCTGCCTTTTCCTTTCTCCGGGAACAGCGGGTGACCACGCTGCGAAGAATGAGCTGTAGACAACCTGTTTGGCTCTCTACCCCATGGGGTTCAGAGACCGAGGCTAACCCACCTAGGAAGAAGGAAAGAAGTGGGGGGATGAGGCTTGGTCCTGCAGGGCTAAAGGAAGAATTGGGATCCCTACTTGAGAGGCAAGCTGGACCACAAAAACTGGAGGGCCAGCCAAGTCAGTTTCCACTAGAGAAAAATAAAGGTGGGCTACTAGAAAGAGTCACCCTGAAACTCAAGTTTAAGGTCCAGAGGTTGCACAGGAAGTCAATCAAGGGGCTGAAAAGCCAGAAAGCCATAGGCAGAAGTAAGAACAGAACAGTCTGCAGGGTAATTATCCTGATGAGCAATGGGTCATGGTAGCTTGCCATTGTGGATCAGCTGGTGTGTCTGGTGTAAGCAGGGAAAGCTGGCTTCAAAGGTTCAGGGTGAGGGAGTCTGGGGATGCAGGAAAACATCCAGGGGGTGTCAAAGTTGCTGACATGGGATGCTCTGGACAAGGGACACCAGGAGCAATCATGCATGAATTAGGCAGTTGTGAAGTCTGAAGTGTTTAAACTCTTGTTTATGTGTTCCTTCTGCCTAAGGAGGTCACATGCATTGTGGGAAAGTGTGCAGGAACTGAAGCCGCACTGCCCAGCTCCATTGTGGGTAAGCATGCAGGCACTGAAGCTACACTGCCTAGCTTTATATTCCAGCTCAGCTTGTTACCAGCTGTATGATCTTGGGCAAATTATTTAATCTCTCTGTGCTTCTGCTTCATTAACTGTTAAAAGGAGATATGAATAGTACCCAACTCAACAGGTTAACATTAGGCAATGTAGGTAAAGTACTTAGGAAAGTGCCTGACACATAGTATAATTTTAATATGTGTTAGCTGTTATTATTATATTCTGCCAAAAGCAATAGAGCTCATTGTTTAAAGGTATAGGCTCTGGACACAGAGTAAGTTAAGTTTTAGCTCTGTCATGTGTTCTCCGTGTGAATTTGGGCACATTATCCTCTCTAAGCCTGTTTCCTTATCTATAGAATGACGATAATCATGCTATCTGAATTCATTAAGTTGTTGTGAGGATTAAATGAGACAATACATGTGAAGAGACTTGTACATATATAGGGCACATTCGGTGTTAACTCTTTTGACCTGTGGATGGCAAACAGGTAGGTCTGAAGCACGATGTCCACAGTCAGTAGTTGATAAATAAAACAAATCGGAAGGATACACAAAATATTGTATTGTTGATGGTGATTTCCTTTAGAGGATGGGGTGGGGGCGGGGAGTGAGAAAGAAGTCTCCACAGTTAATTTTGTGCTTTTTTGAACTTCTTGAATTATTTCTTTTACCATGTGTGAATTACAACATTCAAGAAATACTAATGGGCTATCAGTAATTATGGGCCATCAGTGATCACTTATACTCTTGTATTTAAAAGGGAAAGGCTGTTAATGGGACAATTGATCAAAGCATTTGGTTCTGAAGACTCTGAGGTGCAGAGCTCTTTTGATGAAGGTAGTGACTAGAGCTGAAGACAGCTGGGTGCAGGGGAAGATGTGGATCATATTTATAAAGATGTTGACAATGACCACTGTTTTGTGGCCTGGGAATGGTGTTGGTCTGTTAGGATGTCCAAGATAGTGTGTCTCAAATTATGGCCAGTGGACCAGCTGTAACATAATCTCCTACAGGGGCTATTTGAAGATCTCTGGACCCCACTCAAAACCCTTTGGATCAGAATTTCTGTGGTTGGGGCCTAGGGACATGTACTTATAACTAGCCTCCCAGGTCATTAATGTAAAATTAAAAGCAGTCTTCTGTTTCAGATAGACCTAAGCTCAAATCCCAGTCCAGCCACTCCCTGGCTGTGTTGAAGCTCCCACTCCTGACATTTGTCACTGCTAACTTGCTGGTTGGGTCCCAGGATCCTTTTTACAAAACTCTGCTCCAATTGCACAGGCTCAATTGCATGGCTACCTTTTTCCTGGCTGTGGGCAGAAGAAAATCCTCCTTTCTGTGTGTAACTGACCTCTTCTCTTCTTTACTGCACATGTGCAGTTATCTGATAAGCAGCCATCTTTTGTCCTTTTCTCCCTAGTCTCCTGTTATGAAATAATCGCCAATCCTCCTCCCCAAACATGGTTGCTAGGTGGTTGGAATTTACTGCTCTGACCAATCAGGGAGCTGATATTGTTTACTCGGCTATTGCTTTATCCAGCTCACTGCCCTTATAACAACTTCTATTCAAGTGCACACCTACACTCAGGTGCAAAAGCCTCTATATGTCTCAGAGTGCAGGGGAAGGTATGAGGTGCAATAATAATAATAATAATAGTGCTTAGTTAATGGGATTGTGGTTATTATAGGAGATAAGGCATATAAAATGCCTAGCACAGTTCCTAGCTGCTGTTATTAAATTATGTGCAGGATCCCCTCTCTGGCACTGGTGTAGGCTTTTATTCTCTCTCAAGTCCAATCCTGTCTCAGGGACTCAATGTCCCACATCCATAATTCCACAAGGGAAAGGTTAGGTGCAAGATGTCTGAAGTTCCTCTCAATCTTGTGACTTTTCCTTGAGGAATTGTCCAAAGAACAGCTTTGAACTGGCCCTAGGAAAGCTTCCTAGGTCACTTCCAGGCATTAGATGCTTCTGAGTAGGGTCTTGAAGGATAAGGAGGAGTCTGCCTGCGTATACTGTTGTCAGAGCAGCTCTTGCCCAAGCAACCAAAAGCTGACCTCCCTTGCAAACCCTGCTTGAGCCTTACAGCTACTTAACTGCCCTCTCCATCCCCTCCCTTTACCCCTACCTGCACAATGGTCCCTATTTGGAAAAGAATTTCTCTCACTTGCTAATGTGGACATCCCTTCTTCCCTTTACATCTCCCAGCTGTGCCTTGTAAGGAGCTGTTTGTAATAGCTGTTTCAGAAGTGTAGCTAACTGATGACAGTAAATAACCATGGCTTTTAAACTTTAATGTGCATCAGAACCACTTGGGGGCTTATTGAACACATGAATTCTCAGGTGCCACCCCAGAACGTACTCAATCAGCATCTTCAGAGATAGATAGGGCCTGAGCATCCATAGCAGGCATCACAAAGTGTACTCAGTCCATAGAACACCTGCATCAGAATGACTTAAACTGTTCGCTTAAAATGGAGATTCCTGGACTGGGTCCCAGACCTACTGAATCAGATTTTTAGGCTCAGGGATGATTATGTGGTTGTACTATAGCAGTAGTTCTCAAAGTGTGCCCCCACAACTGCCTAGCAGCATCAGTATCACCTGCAAACCTGTTAGAAATGCGAGTTCTTGGGCCCCATCCTAGACCTACTGATATGGTTTGGCTCTGTGTCCCCACCCAAATCTCATCTTGTAGCTCTCATAATTCCTACATGTTGTGGGAGGGACCCAGTGGGAGATGATCGAATCATGGGGGCAGGACTTTCCCATGCTGTTCTCATGACAGTGAATGGGTCTCACGAGATCTGCTGGTTTTAAAAATGGGTTTCTCTGCACAAGCTCTCTCTATTTTTCCTTCTGCCATCCATGTAAGATGTGACTTGCTCCTCCTTGCCTTCCACTACGATTGTGAGGCCTCCCCAGCCATGTGGAACTGTAAGTCCAATAAACCTCTTTCTTTTGTAAATTGCCCAGTCTTGGGTATGTCTTTATCAGCAGCGTGAAAATGGACTAATGCACCTACTGAAATAAAAATTCTAGGAGTAGAACCAGGCAATGTATGTTTTTACAAGACCTCCATGTATTCTGATGCAGGCTTAAGTTTGAGAGCCCCTGCACTAAGATATCACCACTCCTACATCCCATCCATTGGATGCCACATCATAATGTTTCTGAGTCTGGGCAGTTGGAATTTCCTTTTGTACCCTACAGATTGCTGCTGGGTATAAAAGTCAGTTACTGTTACCTCCCGATGAGATTCCAGCAAGCTTAGCCTCACAACATTTTCTGGGCAGATCTTTTTCAGGTACCCTCTTGTGATAGGATGGTCACTATGGCAATAGTGGAGGTGCCTGTCTCCATGAATCATGGATAAGTCAGGTCAGAGTTGCAAGGATTTTAGTGGAGGTAAATAGGCCTTAAACATAGTTAGAGTCAGAGGAAGGCTCATCTCTTCCTAAAGAGATCACTTAAGCCAGGCATGGTGATTCACACCTGTAATCCTAGCACTTTGGGAGGCTGCGGTGGGAGGATCGCTTGAGCCCAGGAGTTTGAGACCAGCTTGGGCAACATTGGGAGACTCTGTCTCTACAAAACAAAAAACAAAAAGCAAAGAAACAAAAAAAGCCAGGCATGGTGGCATGTGCCTGTGATCCCAGCTACTTGGCAGGCTGAGGTGTGAGAATCGTTTTAGCTTAGAAGGTCGAGGCTGCAGCAAGCCATTATTGCACCACTGCACTCTAGCCTAGGCCACAGAGAGAGACCCTGTCTCAAAAAAAAAAAAAAAAAAAAAAAAAGAAAGGAAGAGAGAGATCATTCAGAGGGGGAAAATGGACAAGACTCCAAGGTGATACCTCATTACCACCAGCAATCTCTGTGATCCATTTGCTCATTCAAGAATCCTGCCTTGCCACATTACATCTGAGGATGTCATGTCTAGCTTCAGCCAGGACATGACTTAGGAATTTATCCTCTGTGTTTTCAAATATGCATTTAAAAATATGTGTATATTAATTATTTTTTGTGTTACTTACACTTTCTATGTGCCAAGAACTATACTAAGGACTTTACATAGATTATCTCATTAAAATTCTTACATCAGCCCTGTGAGTCATGCAAGAAATTGAAGCTCAGAAAAGATTGCCCAAGGTCACACTGTTAATAAGTGACAAAGTTGAGATTTGAAACTACGTTTATCTGACTCCAAAGCTCATGCTTATAACTATTCATTCACTTGCTCATTAATTCATTCATTTATTCATTCAAGTATTTGTTGAGACAATACGATGAGAAAGACATGGTCTAGGTATTGAGCATACAATAGGGAACATGAGTAAGACGAATAAAAAATCTCTGCTCTCATAGAAGTTTTACTCTAATGCAGAAGGCACACAATAAACTACATAAGTAAGTAAAGTATATTATATAGTATATAAGATAATTGTAAGTGCCAAAGGGAAGAAAAGCAGACAAGTGGCAATATAATGTTTTTGGAGGGGAGGAAGTAAAAATAAGGTGGCCAGGTAAGATCTCATTAAGCAAGCGACATTTGAGCAAAACCCAGAAGTAAGAGATGGAGCAGCCATTCAGATGTCAAAGAGAAAGGTATGTAAGCAAGTGCAAAATCTCTGAGTTGGTAGCGGACTTGGTGTACTAGAGGACTAGGAAAGCAGCCTTTGTGATTGCAATGGAGCAAATGCAGGGGAGAGTAAAAGGAAATAAAGTCAGAGAGGTAATTGAACGACCAGATCATACAGAGCTTCTAGGACTTTATATCTTACTCTAAGCGAGACTGAGGTTTGACATCTGTCTTAGGTTATAACAGCATTGTCCCGATCACTAAGTAAGAATAAGCCAAAGGGAGGCATAGGCAGAAGTAGGGAGAATGGTTAGGAATCTATTGAAATAATTCAAGCAAAAGATGATGGAGCTGGGTCTGGCAGTTCCTCAAGTGGTTAAACTTAAGAATTACCATATGTGACCCAGCACTTCTACTCCTAAGCATATACCCAAGAGAAATGAAAACATATGTCCACATAAAAACTTGTAAGTGAATGTTCACAGCAGCGTTATTCATAATAGCCCAAAAGTGGAAACAACCCCAATGTTCATCAGCTAAAAATGGACAAACAAAATGTAATGTATACATGCAATGGATATTTGGTCATAGAAAGTGAAGTAATGATCTATGTTACAACATCAATGTATCTGAAAAGCACTTTGCTAAATGAAAGAAGCCAGTCACAAGACCACATACTGTATAACTCCATTTATATGACCTTTCGAGAAAAGGCAAAGCTACAGAGACAAAAGGTAGACTAGCAGTTGTTTTAGACTGGGGAGGTAGAGAGAATGGGCAACTAGGTGGGTGATAGCTAAAGGATACAGGGTTTTCAGAAGTGAAATATCTTTATAAAGGAAACTATAAAACAGTGATGAAAGAAATTGAAGAGGCTACAAAAAAAGGGGAAGATATCCCATGCTCATAAATTGGAAAGATTATTATTGTCAAAATGTGTACACTATTCAAAGCAATATATAGATCCAATGCAATCTCTATCAAAATACCAATGACATTCTTTGGAGAAATAGAAAAAAAATCCTAAAATTCATATGGAGCCACAAAAGTCCCTAAATAGCTAAAGAAATCTTAAGCAAAAAGAACAAAGCTGGAGGCATCACACTACCTGACTGAAAATTATACTGCAAAGCTATAGTAACCAAAACTGCATGATACTGGCATAAAAACAGATACACGAACCAATGGAACAGCAAAGAGAACCCAGAAATAAATCTACACACAGCCAACTCATTTTTGACAAAGGTGTCAAGAACATACATTGAGGAAAGAACCGTCTCTTTAATAAATGGTGCTAGGAAAACCGGATATCCATATGCAGGAGAATGAAACTAGGTCCCCATCTTTTACCATATACAAAAATCAACTCAAAGTGCATTGAAGACTTAAATGTAAGACCTGACACTATGAAAAATACTAAAAGAAAACACTGGAGAAGTGCTACAAGAAGGACATTGATCTGGGGAAATATTTTGGGGTAAGACCTCAAAAGCACAGGTGACAAAAGCAAAAAGAGACAAATGAGATTATGTCAAGTTAAAAGGCCTCTGCATAGCAGATGAAACAATTAATAAAGTGGAGAGACAACCTACAGAATGGGAGAAAATATTTCAAACTATCCATCCAATAAAGAATTCATAACCAGAATATGCAAGAAACTCAAACAACTCAATAGCAACAACAACAACAAAACCGCACCATATAATCTAATTCAAAGATGGGTCAAAGAGCCGAATAGACATTTCTCAAAAGAAGACAAACAAATGGCCAACAGGTATAGTAAAAAATGTCCACATCACAAATCATCAGGGAAATGCAAGTCAAAACCACAATGAGATATCGTCTCACCCCAGTTAGAATGGCTACTATGAAAAAAACAAACAAACAAAAAAAACGACAAATGCTGGTGGTGATGCAAAGGAAGGGGAATGCTCATACACTATTGATGGGAATGTAAAGTAGCACAGCTATTATTTAAAACAGTATGTAGCTTCTATAAAAAACTAAAAATGGAACTACCATATGATCCAATAAACCCACTGCTAGGCATATATTCAAAAGAAACAAAATCAGTATGTTGAAGAGGTATCTGCACTTCCATGTTTATTGCAGCACTATTTACAATAGTCAAGATATGAAATCAACCTAAATGTCCATGAATGGATGAGTGGATAAAGAAAATGTATATATACAAAATGGAATATTATTCAACCAAAAAAAGAAATTCTGTTATTTGTAGCAACATAGATGGAACTGGAGGTTATTGTATTAAGTGAAATAAGCCAGGCACAGAAAGATAGATATTACATGTTCTCACTTATTTGTGGGAGTTAAAAAAGTGTATCTCATGGTGGTAAAGAATAGGATGGTGGTTACTGGACGCTAGGAAGGGAGATGGGGAGGAGAAGATGAAGAGAAGTTGGTTAGGGGGTACACAAGTACAGTTACAAAGCAGAAATAAGTTCTAGTATTTGATAGAAAATAGGGAAATTATGGTTAGCAACAATTTATTGTATATTTCAAAATACCTAGAAGCAAGGAGTTGTAATGTTCCCAACATAAAGAAAAGATAAATGTTTGAGGTGATGAATATCCCAATTATCCTGATTTGATCCTTACATATTGTATACATTTACCAGAATATCACATGTACTCCAAAACATTTACAAACGTGTTTTATTTTATTCTATCAATAAAAATAACTTAAAGGTGCAGGATTTCTTTTGGGGGTGATAAAAATGTTCTACAACTGATTTTGGTGATGGTTGCAAACCTCTGAATGTACTAAAAACCATTCATTTTGAATAGATAAATTGTATGGAATGTGGATTGTATGTCAATAAGTCTGTTTTTTCTTAAAAAAAAAAAGATGATAGAGGGTTAGGCTGTAGCGGAAATAGTAGCAGTGGTGAAAAGCAGTTGGGCTATGGATATGTTTTGAAGGCAAAGTAGAAAGGGTTTGCTGACATGCTGAATGTGGAGTGAGAAAGAGAAGAATCAAGGATGAGTCAAGTTTTCTTCAGTTGAGCAACTTGAAGCGTGGAATTGCCATTAATTGATATTGGGAAGTCCATGAGAGGACAAGGTTTTTTGGGGTAGAGATGGAGTTCATTTATAGATATGTTAAATTTGAGATACTCATTAGACATCCAAGTAAAGAGTCAAGTAGAAAGTCAGAATTATAAGTCTGGTGTTCATAGGAAAGGTCCAGGCTGGAGATACAAATTTAAGAGCCAACAGCATAAAGTTAGTATTTGTCTATGGTGTGTGTGTAATTATGCTATATTGTCTCCCGTGTATGGTGGCTCTTCTGTAGTCACTCTAGAACGTCTAAATCAGCGCATTAAGGGAGACTAGATCTTGGGAGTATGTTAGTATGTTTTTGAAGAAACAAATCAGTTTCAGTCTTGTGAATGATGCCATTCATAAGGTGTGGATGTATCATTGAGGCACTGCATATGCCAAAGGGAATCATTAAATAGTTTAAACCTGTAAAGATCTAAAAATCTGACTTTCATTCATTTCCTTTGTGATTTAGAGAGGATCATGTTCTCCTCTCTAGGTTCAGGATTATGAATACTCAGTCCCCTGAGGTATTATGAAACTCTGGGCCTGAGCACAAAGTTCATGATCCTTTATTATTACTGCTTTGATATTCTCAGCATTTCAGCACATCCTCAACTTTATTCTCTCCTTTTTCATAAAAAGTACTAGGATTTGGAAAGGGGAGGTAGAGAGTCTCATTCATAGGTTTTCTTTAAATATTATGAGACTATAGATTGGTGGTTGCCAGGATGCTATACTACCTTATAAAGGAGGGCTATAATATCTTAGAAAGGGTGTAGACCCCAGACAGAGGGAAGTGCAGTGGGAGCTCACTCCTCTCTGTTCCAAGGACATCTCTGGAGAACTGCACTGCCTGGCTAGGTGGATGCTGTGGTCACACTGGGTGACATGTGGTCACAGTTTACAACAAAAAGCTGAGGTAGCTGGAGGTCTAGAAGCCCAGAACCCATGAATGACAAGAGTTTAGAACTAGGTAAGACTAATTAAAAGCAGATATGTTGGATTAAGGAAAGTTCTAGCCACTCAATATAGTCTATAAACTGTATGCTTCATGAGGACAGGGACTGGGTCTTAGCCATTTTTATATTAGTGAACTTCTTCTGTCAGGTGGCTAAGGTAAGTCCAGCCTAGGAGTGTTAGCCAAGTGAGCCAGTGCTGGGGTTGGAGTCATGAGAAGCAGAGTACATCTGTCTTCCTCACCCCAAGATAATCAGAAACATTAATGAGCCAAAGCAGAGAATTCAAATTATGAAGCACAGAAGGTCAAGCAAAGCAAATTAAGTACAAATTTTAATCACAAAAGGAAATAATGAAACTCAAACGAAGAAAGAGTGTCCAAAGTCAGGATGGTACTGACCTGGCAAACTTGTGCCAATCGTAGCATCCAACCTAGGCCCCCAGGACACCATCATTTGGGTCTGTCACATTCACTCTCCAGCTCCTACCTATCTGGGGAAGAATACTAAGCCCAACAGTAAACATTTAATATGGAAGAAAAATTATAGGAGCCCATCTTTCATTGTAGCAATGTATGGGAAATCATTAAGCTTTTCCACTGGAACCCAAACCAAGTCTGTCCTTTTCGTGAGTGGTTCATTAAGAGTGTAGTGAGGGTTGATAAATGGAATTCAGAATGAAGGTGCCTAATGATCTCCAAGAGCTACTTAAGAAGTTTGCTAGGCACAAAGGGACTAAGAACTTTCTGATGCTCAATGTATTTATACCCACACCTGGTGCTGAAGAGGAACTACATAAGAAACCACATATAGCATACCATGTTAAGAGCTCTGATAAAGGATGCTGTTACAGGGTGCTGATGAGTGGAGTGGGGCAGGCCCAGAAGTGAGAGTGATCACTTCTCCTTAGGGAGGCCAGGCAGCTTTATTAAGTGTTGAACTGAGTCTTGAAACACAAGTAACTGTTCTACAGATAGTGGGAGCAATATGAGTAAAGGTGAGAATAACGGCCCAGAAGGCCATCAGCATTGTTGGAGGGACTGAAGATGGGGGCCAAATCATAGAGCAGTGCTTTTCAAACTGCAGCTTGGAACTCATTGCAAGTGAAATAAATCTGGTGAGTCATGGCCAAAATTTTATTAAATGATATGAACTATAAAAGAATAGAAAATATAATGCATTGAGTATAGTAAGGGTAAACTTTTAAAAAAAAAATTTTTAGCTCTGTAAATACATATTTGTATAGATGAGTACTGGGTTGCGAAGTGAAATATATTATGTACTGTGGGTAACAGCCAAAAAAAGTTTGAAACCCACTGTCAAAGAGGGCTTTGTCAGCCCTGCTAATACTTTTGGACATTTTCCCGTAGGCCATGGCAAGCTATTGAAGGATTTTAAGTAAGGTAATGGCATTATCCAATTTGTGTTTCATCAAAAAGTTTAACCATCTTAGATTAAATTAGCCATGGAAAAGGTTTTAGAATCAAATTTAGTAAAGATAGACAGCTGATCTTTTCAAAATGAAATGTTCAAAATAATTTAATCTATATCTCACAAGGAAGACACTTCAACTTGTACATATTCATTTATTTGACAAATATTTTTAGAGTGCATATCATGTGTCAGGCACTGTGCTAGGCACTGAGGACACAATCAATGGTGAACAAAATTAACACCATCGCCACCTTCATGGAGTTCAGTCTAGTGAAAAAGACAGTAAAGAAAAAACCTGAATGAGTATGATGTGTTACAGAAAAAAGTACAGGGAGCTAGAGGCAGAATACTGGAGGAAGGGTACAGGAGGAAATAATGATTTCAACTGTGTGGTTAGGGTTAGGCTCTCTGAGGAAGTAGTCTTTAAGCTGAGACCTTATGGATAAATAGGAGTTAGAAACCAAGTGTGTGGGGAAAGAGTATCTCTGGTAGAGAACAGCAAGTGCAAAGGCCTGCAGGCAAGAAGGGAGCTTGGCATGTTCAAGAACAGAAAGGAGACCACTGTGGCTGGAGTGTGATGACCAAATGGTAAGAGCAGAGATCTAAGGACCAGGAAGGCCATTGTGTGATATTTGATGTAGGTGAAAGGCAGGCTAAAACTTTGGGGGAATTGGCTTGCATTGGGTTACTTACTAGGGCTTCTGGCACAGGCACACTAGGGGCAGTTAAAAGGACTAATGTGTAAAGAACACCATTCCAGCCAGGCGCGGTGGCTCATGCCTGTAATCCCAGCACTTTGGGAGACCGAGGCAGGCGGATCACAAGGTCAGGAGATCGAGACATTCCTGACTAACACGGTGTAACCCCGTCTCTACTATAAATACAAAAAAAAAAAAAAAATTAGTTGGGCGTGGTTGTGGACTCCTGTAGTCCCAGCTACTTGGGAGGCTGAGGCAGGAGAATGGTGTGAAACCGGGAGGTGGAGCTTGTAGTGAGCCAAGATCGCACCACTGCGCTCCAGCCTGGGCGAAAGAGCGAGACTCTGTCAAAACAAAAAAACAAAACAAAACAAAAAAACCCAGAAAACAAAAAAGAACACCATTCCATCTTTACAGGCTCCTGCTCCAAGTGGAGTGAACCATTTTTCCTTGGAGATTTGCCTAGAGGAACGTTCTAAAGTGTCTGGGAGGATTCCAGAAATGAAAATGTGCCTCTGCAAACCGTTATGGCATGCCGTGCACTGCACAACCCCAAGGGTATCATTCAGGTTGTTTGATTGTTTCTGGGGCCTTTACAACTTCCTGGGTGTCAATATTTAGACCTTTCCTTGAACCCACCACCACTTGCGTAATAAACTCACGTTTTTGAACTCGGGTTGTTGACTTCTTGCTGTGATGCTAGCAGTAAGGCAAGACTGGTTGGATGTGCATAGAGGAGGTCTGCTTGAACTGGAAGAGCTTTGAGTTGGCAACTTCTGCCACGTCAGAGTCCCCAGTAGTAACCTTCCAGATTGTAGAATAAATGAGTAGAGAATGGTGGATGAAAGTGGACCATCTGTTATGGTCCATTCAGATGTCCTTCCTGGTGGTTTAGTACGAATTGGTATTCTTCTTCTAACAATACATTAAAAAGTGAAGTTTTGTGGAGTAGCCTCTAGTTCCTATAGAGATCTTCTGGCTCCAGTGAGTTTGGGAGAATAGCAGTGGAAACTCTGGCTGCAGAGAAAGAAGCTGTTTTGAGAAATGGACTGCAGTGCTTTTAGTGCATCTCAGTTGTGCTGAGATAAGATCAGCTGTGTTTTGGAAGGAGATGTGTTTTGGAAGTGCATCTCCGTTGTTCTTAGTGCATCTCCGTTGTGCTGAGATAAGATCAGTTGTGTTTTGGAAGGAGATGTAGCAGAAGAGGTACTCCTCTAAAATAGTAGTTCTCAACCAGGAGTGCACTTAAATCCAGGACACATTTGGGAATGCCTGGGGGCATTTGTGGTTGACTCAAATGGGAGGGAAGAGTGCTACTGGAATCTACTGGGTAAAGGCCAGGGATGCTGGTATATGTCCTACAATCCACATGACAGGCCTCTACATAAAATAATTTTCTGGCCCAAATGTCAATACTGCCTCAGTTGAGAAATCCTGCTCTAAAATCTGATTTGTATGCTGGATGTTGTCACCGGTCTACTGGAATTAGACTGCACACAGTTCAAAATGGAGTAGCAAGTAGCACACGACCAAAATAAGCAAAAACTTGGAGGTTCAGCTTATATTCATGGTGATCATGAATATAAGCTGAAAAAAAAATAGAATGACTTATCTGGTGTAGGGTGATTTTTTGACTTTACCTTTTATGCTCCAGGTTGCAGTGGTCTGACAGCAGAACAATATGAGGTGGCCTTGGTGGACAAACAGCACTGATTCCAGAAGAAGCTTCCTAGAGAAATAAGTATAGAGATGGAAGTAACTAAGTTCTTCTGAAACAGGATGGCTCCCACTGCAATGAAAAAGGCATTGGTTTTGTCTGTCTAGGTTCAGGGAAGAATGGTCAGAATAGGAGAGTGTATACAAAAGGTCAGGATACAGATACATTTACAGACACATTTCTCTCCTGAGTGATGATTTTGGTTAGCTAGGCAGTCACAGTGAAGAAGGAAGGATTGAACCTTTGCTAATACCCAATAAATTCCAAGGAATGACTAGATGGCTTAGATTGTCTTAAGTGAGTGCAAGTCTAGCAAGGCTAACACATGTAACTTGACCCCTGACATCAGGGGAGAACTTTGGCTAAGTAACTCTTGACTCAAGAGTTAGACCTCATGGCTTTTAAATGAATACCTCTCCTAGTTGGTCTGAAGGCTGGATAGTTGAGAATGTCATCCAGCTAGACAATAAACTTCTGTCCAGGTAGTGGTGTGGAATACTGGTTATTTATTAATGGAGAATGACTAGATATTACGAAGGCCAAAGGGCAGGGTAGTGTATTCGGTTTAGCTGGGAGATTTTCGTAGGCTATTGTCCATTTCTTAACTTTCCTACCACAGATTAAATTGTAGACAACAATTTTTAAATCAAAGTAGTCGTGGAAGAGGCCAAGCCTTGAGATATTTTTCTTCAAGTGTGTATTGAATTTGCATACATTGACAATGAACAATCTAAAAGGAAGTTAAAAAACAATTCTATTTACAAAAACATCAAAAAAGATAAAATGCTTAGGAATAAATTTAACCAAGAGCAAGATTTATACTCTGAAAACATTGTTGTAGAAAATTAAAGAAAACCTAAATAAATGGAAGACATTCTGTGTTCATGTAATGGAAGGCTTAATATTGTTAGATGGCAGTACTCCCCAAAGTGATATACAGATTCAGCGCAATCCCTATCAAAACCCCAACAGTCTTTTTTTTTGCACAAATGTAAAAGCTGATTCTCAAATTCATATGAAATTGTAAGGAACCTCAAGTAGCCCATAAATCTTTAAAAAAAAGTACAAAGTTGGAGAACTCACACTCCTGACTTCAAAACTCATTACAAAGATATAGTAATCAAAACAGAGTGGTACTGGCAAAAAGACAGACATATAGATCAATGGAATAGAATTGAGCACCCAGAAATAAACCCCTCCGTCTATGGTCAATTGATTTTTTAGAAAGATGTCAAGATCATTCAGTACAGAAAGAATAGTCTCTTTACAAATGGTACCGAGACAACTAGATATCTACATGCAAAATAATGAAGCTGGATCTTTATCTTATACCATATACAAAAATTAACTCAAAATGGATCAAAGACCTAAATATAAGAGCTACAACTACAAAACTCTTAGAAAACATAGTGGACATGAATCCTTCATGTCCCTGAATTTGGCAATGGTTTCTTAGCTATAATACCAAAAGCACAAGCAATGAAAGAAAAAATGGATAAACAGGACTTTATCAAAATTAAAAACTTTTTGTGCATCAAAGCATACTGTAAACAGAGTGAAAAGACATACCACAGAATACGAAAAAGTATTTGCAAATCATATATCTGATAAAGTTCTCCTATCCAGAATATATAAAGAACTCTAGCAACTCAACAACAAAAGGCAAACAACCCATTAAATGAAAGATTCAAACAATTTGCATAGATATATCTCAGAAGAAGATATGCAAATGGCCAAAAAGCTCATGAAAAGTTGTTCAATGGTGTTATTAAGGACATAAAAATCATAACCACAATGAGATACCACGTCATACTCACTAGGTGACTATAATATAATAAAATAGAAAACAAAAATTGTTGGTGAGGATATAAAAAACTGGAATCCTCATTCATTGCTGGTGAAAGTGTAAAATAGTGCAACCACTCTTGAAAACAGTCTGGCAGTTCCTCAGTAAGTTTAACATGGAATTACCATATGACCGAGCAATTCCATCCCTATGTGTGTACCCAAAAGAATTGAAAGTAGGTACTATAACAAATACGTGCACACAAATGGTCATAAAAGCACTATTCACCATAGCAACAAGGTGAAAATGACCCAAATGCCCACGAGCAGATGAGTGGATAAACGAATTGTGGCATATTCATGCAATAAAACTTTATTTCACCATGAAAAGGAATGAAGTGCTGATCCATGCTACAACTTGGATGACACTTTAAAATATTATCTTAAGTGAAAGAAGCTACCCACAAAAGCTACATATTGTATGATTCATAATTTCATTTATATGATATATCTAAAGTAAGCAAATCCACAGAGACAGAAAACAGATTAGCATTAGCCAGGGGCTGGAGGAGGGATGATGGGAAATGATTGTTTAATATGTGTGTAATTTCTATTTGGGGTGATGAAAATATTATGGGAATAGGTAGTACGGTTGCACAACATTGTCAGTGCAGTTAGTGCCACACATTGTAGGCCTTCAAATGGTTACTTTTGTAAAGTTTTGTGTGTGTTTTACCACAATAAAAAATAAAAACTAAGCAGAGCATTGTGTCTTCTTTGGTGGAGGTGGAGGAATTGATGACTCTCCCATCACATCATCATCATCATCATCACAGTAATAATAGTAATTATTACAATTATGCAAATAGCTGGCACTTATTGAGCATATATTATGTGCCAGAAACTATGATAACCATGTTTCTATGCTTAATTAATCTCCCCAACAATTCTATTAGTACCTTGATTTAATGGGTAAAGAAAAGGGCTCAGAGGTTAGTTTGCCAAAAGTTACACAGGTAACAAATGGAAGACATAGAATCTGAATCCAGGTCTGTCTGACTGCAGCACCTGCACCCTTATCTGTAAGCATTAGAGAACCAAGCTAGATAGCTAGTAAGACCCTGAGTGATTTATATGCATTGTTTCATATAATTCTCATAGCAACATTATGAGATAGACACAATGGTTATTATCAGCTCCATTTTACAGAAGGAAATTGAGGCAGAGAGTGTCATACAGCTAATAAGGGAGAGTGTCACACAGCTAATGAGAGACCGAGCTAGGATTTGAACTCTGGTGTAATTGACCCCAAAACTTCTGTGCTTAACCGTCAAGCTATATAGTGTCAGTTGCCCTGTATTGATAGAAGGCCTAGGTTTTTGGCTTTGAGATGGATATGGGTACTGGATAGGTACCTTGGCTGCAGAGGCAGGTCTGCTTTCCTGAGTATAATTACTCCTGGGATCTGGGCCCAGGATTGACAGATGGCATAGGGCCCACAAGAAGGGTGGACATTATAAAGGGAAGAATATGGCTTTTTGAGAAAGTAGCTTAAAGTTGTAGGCTGCTAGCACCAAAAACCTTGTTGACCAAGGATAAAGATGGAGAGTAAATAAAATGTAGGTTTTGCTGTTGATCCTGGTGAACAACATTTAAAAGCCACTGTCATAGAGGCCTTGGGAGCTGTGCTAACTCATTTGGACAATTTCCTGTAAACAAGGATGAGCTATTGAAAGATTTAAGCAGAGTAGTGGCATGATCTAATTTGTGTTTCGTGAAAAGTTTTATCATACTTGATAAAAATTGGGACATGTCTTTTGATGTGCTCCCCACTATTCACATTTATATGAGATTGCACATCAGAGAGTTTCTGTCATTGTTATGCCCTCACAGGGCAGCTGGAGGCCTAGGTCATCAACTTACAGATGGTGGAGATGGCAGCCATGCTCTAGGTACATGAAGAAATAGTGCAGACAAACTGTACTACAAGCACAGCCCCACATCCTCAATGGGATCCAGGAGGAAGCTACACAAAGTCCCTGGTTCCAGTGGTTTCTGCAGGACAGATTATGGTACCCATGAGCATGTGTGTGAGAGTCATCTCATATTCCTAGGCTAGATACTGGGGCAATAATGCTTCTCATCTCTGTTTTAAGAAGGTTTAGCCTACAGCTAGTAACTGGAAATGATATTCTCTAGCATTACCAGGTTACTAAACATGAATGAGTCTTAATCAAAGCTGGAGCCCAAAATACAAAGGTAGGCAGAAAATGGGCCAAGATAGGAGATTTGCAGAAGTGGAAGGGAGCCAAATCTGGAAGAATTTTCCTTCATTTAGGGACTCAGTAGCAGCCTTGTATGCAGTGCCCATGGCCTTGGGTATGATCATACTGGCCACATTTAGAGGGGGTGCATATTAAAGTTGGCCATGATGTGTCGGATTCCCCTCCTATGCTGCAAGCCTGGCTAGGCATGTAGAAAGGACAGAGTATGGTTTAGAGCATGGGCTCCGGAGTCAAATGAATCTGGACTGGAATCTGTGTCTCTGTCTACCAGTGTGTTCTTGGCAAGTCACTTAACCTTAGTGAGCCTCACATTTTTTAGCTATAAGAAACTCTCAAGGAGTAAATAAGATAACAAACATAAAATGTTTAGCACAACGCCTGATACCTAGTAACAGCTCAATAAATGTTTCCTCTCCTTCTCCTCCTACTTTTCTTCTTTCTTATTGTTATTATTGTACTGAATGCAGTTCAGGGGAAGTTATTTGGAGCACTGTCCTGAGGAAATTCCTAGTCAGAGCCATCAGGAAAGTCCAAAATCAAGTTGCTAATCCACATAAGTCTAAACCAAAAGAGGGGGTAAACGTATGAATTTGAGGGAGATGGACAAAGAATGAGATCTGCAAGAGAGGTTGTGTACCCTGAGCGAATGAGCTGGGAATGAGGCCTGGAGTAACAACTGTGCCAGAATGCAGGTGACTTCAGTGGCTTTTTATCCAGTGCCCATGACCCCTGTCATGGTATTTTTAGAAGCATTAACATAGACAATAACAGAGTAGACACTATTCCCTTCTAGACTCCTTCTGACAGGTAGAGGATCCCAGGATTTTCCTGTATTTGCCTCATAAACTCTGGCCTGTTGCTGACCAGAGGTAGATTCCCAAGGCCAGTCTTTTGGCTGTTACCCTATCAACAAGCCAGGTATAGGTCTTATCATACTATCAACATGAACCCGATACCTTCCCTTTCTGTAATAGTGGTTTTCATTCTAGGCCGTCTGTGAAGGACACTGAAGTGCCAAATGGAAGACTAGATCATAGTGGGACAGGTGTAGCAGTAAACATGTCTAGAACAGGTTGGATATTCGCCAAAAGGCATGGAATAGGAAGGCTGCTGGTGTCAGAGACCTGCAGAGTTGATGATAGATATCTTAAAAGTCTCAAGCAGTGATCCCTGTGATCCCTGATCTTCCATGGTGCATATGTGCCCAGAGAAGACCCAGAAGTTGTCTTCCATATCAGGTTTTCCATTGTCTTGGCCCTACTCCATACCCAGTACTAGGAGGTCTATCCTTTGTACTGTTCTTTTTCCTTGAGACAGGTTCTTGTTCTTTCACCCAGGCTGGAGTGCAGTGGCAATCATGGCTCACTGCAGCTTCAAACTCCTGGGCTCACATGATCTTCCTGCCTCAGCCTCCCGAGTAGCTGGGACTACAGCACACACCACCACACCTGGCTAATTTTTAAAATATTTTTTTGTGGAGAGACAGGATCTCACTATGTTGTCCGGGGTGGTCTTGAACTCTTGGGCTCAAGCGATTCTCCCACCTTAGCCTCCCAAAGTGTTAGAATTACAGTGTGAGCCACCGTGCCTGGCCTTTGTCTTTGACCCACCAGAAAGTGCCCTAGGTAACTTTCTAGGCATCCTGAAGCTCCCCTTGCAGGGCAAAAGCTAATTACAAGGATGTCCGTGATGGTAGAAGTGAAATAAGTGTGAAGGCTAAGACTATAGTTACTGTGAAAGGAAGTGTTTCCAAAGCAGTATTACAGTGAGATGACATAGGAAACTTCTGCCATGGTAAAGTAGGTGGATCAGTCATTTGGCTGGTAGGCGGTAAAGCCACAGAGAAATTCTTCTGGCATTGGAATGATGAAACTTTTACTTAGTCTGTAGATGGATGGTACACTGATGGATGAAACTGGGCCAGATGGCTGGGAAGTCCACAGGGGCTAAGGATCTTGTAAGATAATTAAGGTTGTGGTGGTCTCTGCCTAACTTTACATCTTCATTTCCTATCAGTCTCCCACTCATTCACCATAATCCTGCCTCTTCTTTCTGTTCCTGAAACCTAGGCCCTTTCCTACTGTTGGACCTTTGCACTTGCTCTTCCTTCTGCCTGGAATGTTTTTTTTGCATAGCTTGTGCCTTTTCATAGTGTACATCTTACCTCAAAGAACTCTTTCCTGATCACTTTGTCTAGAGTTGTCTCTTACTAATTAATGTCTTTAAAATTACCCTATTAATTTACTTGGTGGAATTTATCAACATTTGCAGATTTATTTATTTATGTATTATTCCTCCCATTCCCAGATTATAACATCCATGTGGTCCAGGACATTGTCATTCCTTTTCAGCAGTGTTTCCACAGTACTGAAATGGTAGGTACTTAATACATATTTATTTGAACAAATGAATGCATGGCATTCATTTATTTGAACAAATGAATGCATGGCATTTATTTATTTGAACAAATGAATGCATTATGAGTGGAAGTCAGAGTCAGGATCTAATATGACAATTTTTTGTTAGAACACCCACCCAGCACTATCACAAAGATGATTTTGTGGCTATGGCAAAGGCCAGGTTGGAAATCAACTTGAGTGAGATGGTGTCCCAGGAACAGTGTGGTGTCAGGAGTAGGTGAAACTAATCTTTGGGTTGCCCAGATCTATCTTTGACCTGGATACAGGTGCCAGAGTTTGCAGTGTACTGGAGCATATCATATCAGCTGCCAGGTTGCCCATAGGCCCTGTATTTAAGGTTTGGAATGAGCTATGGTGGACAGCTGGAGTAATGTCAGGATGTGGGCATTCCTCTCCACCCAAGGCCATGGAGACAGAATACTCAGATCACCTCTGCTGGCTGTGGCTGTGTCCTGATAACCACAAAATTCCATGTTACATAGTGTGCCTAGAAGTTAAACCAGAAGTAAGCAGCAACGACTGTGTATCAGTTGCTCTAGACCTCAGTGATCTGAGTATTCTGTCATCATGTTCTGGGATCCTTGAGGAAGTAACAACATGCTTCTGAGAGAGCTTTGTTGGTCAGTAGCCTTCGTTTTCAAAAAAAAAAAAAAAAAACATTGATGATGTCTTGGTGACTCAGACACAACAGAAGTGAGCACTGGTGTTTGGGATTCACCTGTGATAGAATGGCTCCCCCAAAATAATGCTGGAGGAATCACCTTTGCTAGGATATTGCCTAGTTGGATAGACTAGAATCTGAGCAGAGGTAAACAGAGTCTTTATGGCCATGGCTATGATGGAAGATTAGAGGATCCCATTCTCCTCAGGTAAAAATCTACCTTTTACAATATCGTGGCAGAAAAATGGTGGATAAATGTTCAGCAGCACTTGGTGAACCTCAGGCTTCTAAGGGCATCTTTGATTAGCCTAAGGAGGTACTACTCCTAGGTGGTTAGCATATTAGTCAGACAAGAGTTAGTTTGAGAATTCTACCTCTGAACTTTGGAATCTGCACTTTTTACTGTGGGTTCAAGATGATACCACTACAGGTAGTTATGAACATGCCAGACCATGCTTTTTGTTTTGTTTTATTTTTGAAAGCAGGTGTGAAAATAAAATAGGATGTCATCCAGGTAGAGAACAGACTATCTGTGCAGGAGGTCACATAGATGTTGATCATTAAAATAATAATGACTAACATTTATTGAGCACTTATTATGAACCCAATCCTCTTTTTACCCCTATTCTATAGGTTAGCAAACTCAGAACCTGAAAGGATAGCTAATTTACCCAAAGATCACACAGGTACTAATTGGAAGAGCTGAGATTTAAACTAAGGTAGTGAGACTATAGAGCCCATGCTCTGAACACCTATGCTAAACCACTGTCAAATGCTATGCTGTCTTCCATTCCACTAGGATTTAGAAGATATTCAAGATTGCTCAGGCCAAATAATACTACAGCAGATTTACTTTGGCTGAAGTGCAACCTCTACTTGTCACCCCCCAGGAAATGAACAACTGTAGGGCCCCAGAGGTTCCATTTCATAGTGATACCTCACATAGCTTGTCCCAGAGATTTGAATTGAGCATGAACAGGCAGTGGTGATCATGTTGAGATCACTGGCATCCAAGCAAGGGTAGAACTCTTCATTTATCAAAGTTAAAAAGAAATCAGGAGTGTCATCAAGGGAAGTGAATGAAGCACTGCAGAAAATTAGTGTCTTACTCTTGGGCTCTAAGACACAATATGTGAACTGAGCAGTAACCTGAACCTTGGAGTCCAAGGTGACTGGAACAGCTAGACTTCTGCGTAATGTCAGTTTCCCTACTCACTGCAAGAAAACCCCTCATGATGGACAGTGTTCCATGTGATCCAGGACTGAGGGGCACAGGAGGAACATGATAACTGTATCATTTTGTTATAAATGGGAAATCCTGATTTTTCCAGATGATAACCACTTTGAAGACTTTTACCCAGGAAAGGGTGAGGGCCCAGCGGAAAGGTGGAGGTGGACCCTGTGTAATGGACTGCACAAACCTTATATTAGTCTATTCTCACACTGCTATAGAGAACTACCTGAGACTGGGTAATTTATGAAGAAAAGAGGTTTTAATTGACTCACAGTTCTGCAGGTTATACAGGAAACATGGTTGGGGAGGCCTTGGAAACTTACAGTGGAAGGGCAAAGGGGAAGCAAGTACCTTCTTTACATGGAGGAGCAGGAGACAGAGTGAAGAGGGAAGTGCCATACACTTTTTAACAACCAGATCTCATGAGAACTCATTCACTATTATGAGAACAGCAAGGGGAAAATCTGACCCCATGATCAAATTACCTCCCACCAGGTCCCTCCCTCAACATTGACAATTATAATTCCACATGAGATTTGTGTGGGGACACAGAGCCAAACCATATTAAGCCTCTTGGCGCTTTCTCCCATTTCCAGCTTGATGGCATGGCTCCATGTTTACTGATCCCTTTCACAAGTAGTGCCTGTCAAATATATCAGTTATTAATAGTAATAAGAGATAGCATGTTTTTATTACTTACTATGTGCCAAGCACTGTGCTGAGCATTTTACATGGAGTATTTCATTTAAGCCTCATGACTACTTATAATGCCTGTTCTATTAGTATTCCTATTCTAAAGATAAGAAAAATTAAGCACAGAGAAGTTAGATGATTTGCCTCAGGTCACAGAAAAGATAACAGAGCCAGTAACAATCCCAAGTGGACTAAATCCAGAACCTGCCCTCTTAACTACTAGGATGGAAGCAATTATTCTTGCCTCAAGGCTCCTACATTTGCTGTTCCTTTTGCTTGAAACAATTTCCTCCAGATTGTCACAGAAATGCCTCCTTCTCATCATTCAAATCTCAACTTAAATGTCACTCTATCAGAGAGGCCTTTCCTGATCACTCAATCTAAAATAGCTGTCCCCACTCTATGTCTGTCACATGACTACATGAAATCATGTTATTTATATTTTTGTATTTGTTTATTTTTATCTTCTCGACCCCAACCAGAATGAAAACCTTGTAAATGTGGGGATTTTTGTCTGTTTTTATCAGAGCTAAATTACCAGCACCTAAAACAGTGACTGGTACATGAAAGGAAGCAGGTAGGCATTTGTGGACTGACTGGTATCACTATGTCATCTCAGATCAGGGGGGCTTTGCGTTGGGAGGTGGGGACTTCAAAGCCTTTACCTAGAGATAGAAGCCCATTTGCTACTGTGAGTTCACATTCAATAGCACTTGGGCCTGTATATTCTATGCTGTTGGGCTCAATGTGTCTTTGACGGAAGAGGGCAATGACACTGTAGGTCAGGACACAAGGATTATGGTGTCATGGTACATGTTTAACTATCAGCTCTTCAAAAGGAGAAGCCCTGATTTGTAGTGTTTGCTGATTTTCATGGTATAATTATTCCCAGCATAATTCAAACCATCATGCTTCAAGCTGCCCACATGGTATCACTGAATATGGAATTGGGAAGAGATATACAGTAGTACACCATTATATGCTATTTCCACCCTACATATACAAAAGCCATAAATAACATCAACAGCATAGATGATGATAACAAAATAAAATAGTTAACAAGTGATAAATTTTGAGTATTATCTTTGTTTTTTATATAATTTAATTAGAAGTTTATATTATTTAATTTTTAATAATGGCTGTGTTTAATAATTTTATTAAAAATTAAATAATATTATGAACCCATTAACATTTGGCTCTTGTGAGCCAGTACAAGCCAGCTCCAGTACACATGACTGGACCAGCACCTCTGGAAAATAGGCACAGGTGCTTTCCCAGCCTTTGGAAACATACACTCCACAGTTGTCAATGAATGATGTGTGCAGGCAGCTGATTTTAGTGTGAGTTGGAGGGGCAATGTCAACAGCTGCAGTGGAAAATGCAGGTGGACTGTTAATAGGTCTGCCAGTTTTGCAGTTCTCAGGGGCTTGGGATCTGTACCCTTGAGATCATCTCAGAACTGTGTGTGTGAGGAAAATCATTTCATTCCAGCCCCATGCCAAGAACTGAAAATCACTAACATAGCAGAAATCCATTGCTCAGAAAAGATCATCCCAGATGGAATTGCTAAGCACATGTTGGCTCTTGTGAGGGATGTACTATTGAGCTATAGCAAGAGAATTGCCCACATTTGTGTGTTAATAGGCAACATAATGTAGTGGTTAAGAGAATGAGATCTAGAGGCAGATTGCTTGGGTCACCATCTTGATTCTGCTGCTTACTGGCTGTGTGAACTTAGGCAAGTTACTTAATATTTTTATGCCTCAGTGTCCTCATCTTTAAAATGGGTATATAATAGTACCCATTTTTGGGTTAATGTGATGATTAAATTAGTTAATATGTGATAGATGGTGAATGCTATGTTAGCATGCTATCATTTTTGTTATCTGCCTGTCAAGAGATCAGAAATGTAACATGCCCAACCTTCCCCTACATTCCTGGAGCAGAATGTCTTCAATGGAAAGTAGGACTACCACTAGGAATCATCAGTGATTTTCTGCAGGATTGGGAGTTTTGCAAGCAACAACTAAGGTTTGGATACTGAAACTCCACAGTTCCAATGCTGGGCTGTCACTTGGCAGAGTGTCTAAATATACCACTGCCACAGTCCTCCTCTGTGAAATGCAAATAGAAGCCCCCAGGAGTCAAGTGGACTCTAAAGCTTGTCTGACACCCTGCCTGTGATAAGTTGAGTCACAAAGGTTACTGTAGCTCTGATCAGAGGGATGTCCCTTATGCCTGGGCAAGCTGAAGAAGTGGGATGCCTCCTGCTCCTTGATGTGATATTTGGAATCAAAGAGCAGCTCCCTGAAGCAACTTCCTTAATAAGTGCAAGTTCAGAAAAAAGGAAAATATCTGTGCCAGGCCAGAAAGCCAAAGGAGACTTGTAAAAAATGGGAAGGTAAGGTACAAGCAGGGATTTGCTGGTCAATGTGTAATAACTGGCTCTACAGGCAGGGGAAAACCAGTGTGTGGCAATTTCTTTCATGTTAATATTTCTATTATGTGACATCATATTTCTATTATGTGAATTTCACATAATTTCTATTATGTGAATTTCACATAATTTCTATTATGTGAATTTCACATAATTTCTATTATGTGAATTTCACATAATTTCTATTATGGGAAATTCACATAATTTCTATTATGTGAATTTCACATAATTTCTATTATGTGAATTTCTATTTAATGTGGCATCACTGAATACAGAGTTGGGAAAAGATGCACACTTTCAGCTCTCATGAACCAGTTGTAGCAAGCTCCAGCCAATAAAAATAGTCTAAAAGCAGCCAAAGGGAAGAGATGTTAGAAGCTCATAATAGGGAATAAAGCTTATCCTAACTTTTGATTCTTAAGACAAGTAACTGCAGTAACATGGGCATGCAAGAAGCTTTTAAAGGAAATGAGAATTGAGTGAGCAACTACATTTTCTGCAACACATTCTATTTACCAACTTGAGTAATCGGGGCAGTTGTTGAGGGATAGCTCAGATGAAACAGAGAATGGTGAAATATGCAAGGGAGGACACAGAGTAGAAATGCCACCAAACTGACTGTCTCTTTTATTTTTAAGGGTATCAACTAGGCATCCTTCATTTGAGAGCGGAGGCAGGCAGAGGAGCACCCCCTGAGGCTGAGAAAAGGGCCAGCAGCATTCTAGTTATCGTCGTAGACACACTAGGGTGGTGGAGTGGTGGTGCTTCTGTTTATTTTTCAAGAACAAAAAACATGATTTTTTTTTTAACTTTTATGTCAAGTTCAGGAGTACAAGTACGACTTTGTCACATAGGTAAACTTGTGTCATGGGGTTTGTTGTGTAGTTTATTTCATCACTCAGGTGTTAAACCTAGTACCCGTTAGTTATTTTTCCTGATCCTCTCCCTCCTCCCACTCTCCACCCTCTGAAAGGCCCCAGTGTGTGTTATTCCCATCTATGTGTCCATGTGTTCTCATCATTTAGCTCCCATTTATAAGTGAGAACATGTGGTATTTTGTTTTCTGTTCTTGTGTTAGTTTGCTAAATATAATGGCCTCCATTTCCATCCATGTTTCTTCAAAGGACATGATGCCATTATTTTTTATGGCTGCATAGTATTCCATGGTGTATATGTACCATATTTTCTTTATCCAGTCTATCATTGATGGGCATTTAAGTTGATTACATGTCTTTGCTACTGTGAATAGGGCTGCAATGAACATAGGCATGCATATGTCTCTATAATACAATGATTTATATTCCTTTGGGTATATACCCAGTAATGGGACTGCTGGGTCGAATGATATTTCTTTCTTTAGATCTTTGAGGAATAACCACACAGTCTTCCACAATGGCTGAATTAATTTATTCTCACACCAACAGAGTATAAACGTTCCTTTTTCTTCACAACCTCACCAGCATCTGTTGATTGGCCTGGATATCCTTTAGGTTCTGTTTAGCCATTAGAGTAATGGAAGTACTAAATGGAAAACTGAAAAACTGTTTTCTCTGGAAGGGTTCTGCCTCTTGGAGGAGTGCAGTGGCTGACTCTGTGTGAATCCCACTTTAATAGGTTGGTAAAAAATGTACCTACTGTACATAAGAGGTGTAGCACAGAGTGATGCTTCCAAGTCCAAGAGTCCATTTAAAGGACCCACCATAACATCCATCTGCAGATGGTGACAGGTAGATGCAAATGTGGAGGGCTTTGACAGCATTCTCCAAAGCGGGGATACAAACATGACTTTCTCATGAGAGATCAGTGGATGTCACATTCTTGGAAATGGAGAATTTCCTTGATGATTTTGGCAGCAATGTTTGATACAACTGGAGTATTATTTCAAAGGCAGTAATATGCTACTTGAATAGTGGTGTTCTTAATCACTAGAATTATCCCCTAGAATTGACATCAGCAAAATGGCAGACTAAGAAGTCCCAGCCTATATCCCGCCTGCCAAAATAATGATTAACAACTACCCACTGATGAAAATATCTCTGGCAAAACTCTAGAGTACAATGAAAAAGCTGCAGCAACCTAGTGGAACACAAAAACAAAGGATGTTGGCATAGAAAAGTATAAGAAGCATTTTACCAGCATCAGCCTATTCCCCAGCTCAGCATAGCTTGGTGCAAAGATGGATTCCCTCAGCTGCAACTTCACCTTGTGGAAGAAAAAGAAGAGCAGGAAGACCCAAGGAGTCTTCACCAACAAGGACTCCAACAGTCTTTGACAATGCTAACTCCAGCTGGTGGAGCTGTTTGAAATTCATGCCACTGTGAACCCTGTGACTGGAGCTGTGACACCTTTTCCCTGCTATAGCACCACTGTGTGCACACCCATGCCCTGGGCCATGGCATGGTCACTGCTACACACACACTCATCTCTCAGGCCTTGGTGGTGCTGCTGTTGCACACACAACTGTGCTCAATACTCCAGCACCAAAAGGGATCACCTTGGTCATAACTAATGTTGATGGGAAAAAAAGGAGAGCAGGAGCACCCCAGCAGTCTTCCCTAGCAAGGATTCTAGCAGATCTTTCCACCATCATGGACACACACATCTTTCACTGCCAAGTACTTCTGTTGTCTTTGCCAACAGTGACTTCAGCTGACAGATTGGTCTGGAATTTATGCCACTGTTTCCTTCTGGAGCTAGACCCACTACACTCTACCTAGCTCATGCCCTTGCACTCACCTGTAAGTGAAAGTCTTTCCCCACTGAAGGTTGTTCATGAAGTCTTAAAGAGGTGACTGCTTTTTCCAATGTGCAGATATCAACACAAGATTATAAGGAACACAAATAACAGTGGAAACATGACACCACCAAAGAAACACAATAAATTTTGAATAACTAATCCTCCCCAAATGGAGATGTATAAATTGCCTAACAAAGAAGTCAAAATAATAGTTTTCATAGAAGCTCGGTAAAATACATGAAAACACAGATGGGAAACTTAACAAAGTCATGAAAGCAATACATGAAGAAATTAAGAAGTTCAACAAAGAGATTGAAATCGTAGAAAAACAACAGAAATTCTGGAGCTGAAGAATACGATGAATGAAATAAAAATGCAACAGAAAGTAGATTCACTCTAGCAGGAGAATGTATGAACTTGAAAACAGGTCATTTAAAATTACCCAGTCAGAGAAGAAAAAAGAAAAAAAAATTAAAAAGAGTGAAGAAAGCTTATGGGACTTATGGGACAACCATCAAGCAAACCAATATTTATGTTATGGAATTTTTAGAAGCATCAGAGAGAGAGAAAGAAGAGAAAACTTATTTAAAGAAATAATGACAGAAAATTTCCCAAATCTTGGGAGGGAAATAGGCATCCAGATTCATTAGGTATAATGCATCTCAGAAAGGATCAACAAAAAGAGTACTACATGGAGGCATATTAAAATCAATTGTCAAAAGTCAAGGACAAAAATAGAATTCTGAAAGCAACAAGAGAAAAGTGACACATAACATATGAGGGAAAACTGCCTAAGCCCATCAGCAAAACTTTTATATGGGGAGAGAGTGGCATGATATATTCAAAATAGTGAAAGAACAAACTGTCAACCAAGAATACTATATCAGCAAATTTATCCTTTAAAAATGAAGACGAGATCATCTTTACCACACAAACAAAAACTAAGGGAGTTTATCACCATTAGACTGCCTTAAAAGAAATGCTTAGGGGGTTCTCCAAATTGAAAAGAAAATATGCTAAACAGCAATGCAAAAGCATATGAAAGCATAAATTTCACTGGTAAGGGTAAACACATAGATAAATACTGAATAATGTAGCACTGTAATGGTGATGTACAAATAACTTTTAATATAAAAGTTAAAATAAGCCAAATTTTAATGGATACTCAATATAAAAAGAAGCAAACTCTGACTACAAATCACAAAGTTGTGGGGAGTAAAAGAGTAGAGTTTTTGAATGCGATTGAAGTTAAATTTTTTATCAACTTAAAATAACTACAAATATAAGATACTTTATACAAGGCTTGAGCTAACCACAAAGAAAAAAAAGCTTATAATGAATATGCAAAAGATAAAGAAAACAGAATCAAAGCAAATCACTACTAAAAATTATTAAATATCAATGAAAGACAGCAAGAGAGGCAGAGAGGAACAAAATAACTACAAAACAGACAGAAAAAAATTAATAAAATGGCAATAGTAAATCTGCACCTATCAATAATTTTTTTCTTTCCAACTTTTAGGTTCAGGTGGTACATGTGCAGATTTGTTATATGGGTAAAGTGTGCATCATGGAAGATTGGTGTACAGACATTTTGTCACCTAGGTAATAAGCATAGTACCTCATAGGTAATTTTTCGATTTTCACCCTCTCCCCCACCCTCCACCTTCAAGAAGGTCCTGGGGTCTATTGTTCCCTTCTTTGTATCCATGTGTACTTAATATTTAGCTCCCACTTAACAGTGAGAACATGTATTTGTTTTTTTTCTTCTCACATTAATTCACTTTGGATAATGGTCTCCAGCTCCACCTAAGTTATTGCAAATGACATTATTTCATTCCATTTTTATGGCTGTGTAGTATTCCATGGTGTATATGTACCACTTTTTTTTATTCAGTCCACCATTGATGGACATCTAGTTTCATTCCATGTCTTTGCTATTGTGAAAAGTACTGTGATGAACATACACATGCATGACTCTTTATGGTAGAACAATTTATATTCCTTTGGGTATATACCCAGTAATGGGATTGCCATGTTGAATGATAGTTCTAAGTTCTTTGAGAGATCTCCAGACTCCTTTCCACAGTGGCTGAACTAATTTACGTTCCCACCAATAGCGTATAAGCATTCCCTTTTCTCCACAACCTCACCAGCAACTGTAATTTTTTGACTTTTTATTAATAGCCATTTTGACTGGTGTGAGATAATCTCTTATTATGGTTTTGATTTGCACTTCTCTAATGATATGTGATGTTTATCATTTTTTCATATTCTTGTTGGCCACTTGTCATGTCTTCTTTTGAGAAATGTCTGTTTGTGTCCCTTGCCCAATTTTAATGGGGTTGTTTGGTTTTTGCTTGTAAATTTGTTTAAATCCCTTACAGATTCTGGATATTAGACCCTTGTTGAATGCATAGTTTGCAAATATTTTCTCCCATTCTGTAGGTTGTTTGTTTACTCTGTTGATAGTTTCTTTTGCTGTGCAAAAGCTCTTTAGTTTAATTAGGCCCCAATTTGTCAACTTTTGGTTTTTTTATAATTGCTTTTGGCATCTTCGTCGTGAAATCTTTGCCAAGGCCTATATCTAGAATGTTATTTCCTAGGTTTTCTTCTAGGGTTTTTAAAATTTTTGGTTTTATATTTAAGTCTTTAATCCATGTTGAGTTGATTTTTGTATATGGTGAAAGAAAGGGGTGCAGTTTCATTCTTCTGCATGTGGCTAGCCTGTTACCCCAGAAACATTCATTGAATAGAGTGTCCTTTCCCATGTTTATTATTGTTGACTCTGTCAAAGATCAGATGATTGTTGGTGTGTGGCTTTATTTCTGGGTTCTCTAATCTGTTCCTTTGGTTTATGTGTCTGTTTTTGTGCCAGTACCATGCTATTTTGGTTACTGTAGCCTTGTATATATAGTATAGCTGGAAGTCTGGTAGAGTGTGATGCCCCTGGCTTTTTTTTTCTTAGGATTGATTTGGCTATTTGGACCCTTTTTTGGTTCCATATAAATTTTAGAATAGTTTTACCAAATTCTGTGGAAAATGTCATTGGTAGTTTGATAGGAATAGCACTGAATCTGTACATTGCTTTGGGCAGTATGGACATTTTAACAATATTGATTCATCTTATCCATGAGCATGGAATGTTTTTCCATTTGTTTCTGCCATCTCTGATTTCTTTCAGCAGTGTTTTAAGAATATCATTGTAGAGATCTTTGACTTCCCTGGTTAGCTGTATTCCTGGGTATTTTAGTTTTTTTGTGGCTATTGTGAATCAAGTTGCATTCTTGATTTGGCTCTCAGCCTGAGTGTTGTTGGTGTAATAAGATGCTACTGAATTTCGCACATTGATTTTGCATCCTGAAACTTTGCTGAAGTTGTTTATCAGACCTATAAGCTTTTGGGCAGATACTATGGGGTTTTTTAAGTATGAAATTATATTGTCTGTGAAGAGAGATAGTTTCTCTTCCTCTCTTACTATTTGGATGCCTAGTATTTCATTCTCTTGCCTAATTGCTCTGGCTAAGACTTCCAGTACTATGTTGATTATGAGGGGTGAGAAAGGGCATCCTTGTCTTGTTCTGGTTCTCAAGGGTAATGCTTCCAACTTTTGCCTATGCAGTATGATGTTGGCTGTGGGTTTCTCATAGATGGCTCTTATTATTTTCAAGTATGTTTGTTCAAATAAATGCCTAGTTTGTTCAGGGCTTTAAACATGAAGGGATGTTAAATTTTATCCAAAGTCTTTTCTACATCTATTGAGATAATCACGTGGCTTTTGTTTTTCATTCTATTTATTTGATGAATCACACTTGTTGATTTGCATGTGTTGAACCAACCTTATATCCCAGGAGTAAAGCCTTGTATCCCAGGAGTAAATATCTTAGTGGATTAGCTTTTGATATGGTGCTAGATTTGGTTTGCTAGCATTTTGCTGAGGATTTTTGCATCTATGTTCATCAGGGATATCAGCCTGATGTTTTCCATTTTCTTGCATCTCTGCCAGGTTTTGGTATCAGAATAATGCTTGCCTCATAGAATGAGTTAGGAAGGAGTCCTTCCTCCTCAATTTTTTGTAATAGTTTCAGTAGGATTGGTATCAGCTCTTCTTTACGTGTCTGGTAGATTTCGACTGTGAATCCAACTGGTCCAGGACTTTTTCTGGTTGGTAGGCTTTTTATTCCTGTTTTGTTTCAGTAAACTCACTTCTGGATATATAGCCAAAGGAAATGATTTAGTATGTATAAGATACATCAGTTCCATGTTCATCGAACCATTATTCACAATAGCCAAGACTTGGAACCATCCTATGTGTCCATGGACAGATGAATGGTAGAGAAAATATCATGTATATATACACAATGGAATCTTATTTAACCTTAAACAAAAGGAAATCCTGCCATTTGTGATGACATCGATGAACCTGGAGGACATTATATGCTAAGTGAAATAAGCCAGGCTCAGAAAGACAAATGCTGCATGATATCACTTATATGTGGAATGCAAACAAGTTGAACTCATAAAAATAGAGATTAGAATGGTGGTTGCTAGAAGATGGGAGAGGGAGAAATGGGAAGATGTTGGTCACAGTGTACAAAGTTTCAGGTATGCAAGATGAATAAGTTATTGAGCTCAAACATACAGCAATGTGAATATAGTTAGCAATACATTATTGCATACTTGAAATTTGTTAAGAGAATAGATCTTCAGAAAATAGGAACTATATAAGGTGATGTATATGGTAAATAACTTGATTGTGGTGATTATTTCACAATGTATATCAAAACATTAAGTCATGCACACTAAACATATAAAATTTTATGTCAATTATACCTCAATAAAGATGGAAACATATATACAATCCCAGTTTAATGATGAGGACTTACAATAAGCTGGCTTCTACAGCAAAGGGTACTAGTGGCAACTCAAAATTGTCTTGGGCTGCAGGTGCAGCTGGATAAAATCTTCATTCATATATCCATTAAATACCGAGAGTATACTATGACACAAATACGGAAGCAGGTGCTACTGCTCTCAACTTTACAATAACACAACAGAGTGTATGAATGGCAAAATATTAGGCCCAGCCAATCCCATGGGTAGCACCTTTTCTCCAGCTGTTTTATATAGTGGGCCATCTCCCACCCATTGTTTTAGTAGTTGTTGTAGCTGCAGTGAAAAGGTGTTGGCGGGTGACAAAATAACATCATGCAAAAGTTTCTGAATCCCCAAAAGATTGAGAGACTTGGGCACATTTTCTATCCATTATACAGTGCACTTGAGGTTTTCCTAGAACCAGGCCTTCTGTGCAAGCTCTTTTAGTTGCTTAGGAAGCAGAATTCACTTGTAAGTGGAACTATTTAATGTACTCTCTCTTTCTTTCTTGACTGAATCAGCAGATTACGGTGCTGAAATTTTTGACAGATAAGGAGTGTCCACATGTTTCTCACTGTTTTCAGGAATTCCCTGTAATCCCTCCCTGAACAGCACACTTTTTTGAGACGGAGTTTCGCTCTTGTTGCCCAGGCTGGAGTGCAATGGCACAATCTCTTCTCACTGCAACCTCTGCCTCCAGGGTTCAAGCAATTCTCCTGCCTCAGCCTCCTGAGTAGCTGGGATTACAGGCACCTGCCACCACGCCGAGCTGTGTGTGTGTGTGTGTGTGTGTGTGTGTGTGTGTGTGTGTGTGTGTTTGTGTGTGTTTGTGTTTAGTAGAGATGGGGTTTCACCATGTTGGCCAGGCTGGTCTCGAACTCCTGACCTCAGGTGATCCACCCGCCTCAGCCTCCCAAAGTGCTGGGATTACACGAGTGAGCCCCGGCGCCTGACCTGAACAGTACATTTCTAGATTGCAGGAGATGCTTCTGCCAGATGTGACAAGGTATGTGGCTTGTGCAGACCTTCATACAAATCAATGATTCTATATACCTAACTAATATCCCCTGTCAGGTAAGAGGGAGACTTTAGCACCAGCCCTGGGTTGGGGTGCAGTGTCAGTGAGTATAGACTAGGCACAAGAGTCTGTCAAAGCTTGCCCATGGTGGAAGGCTATGTCTGAAACATGTGTGGGTGATCCAACGAATCTAAAGATTGAAACAAAGTGCAGGCATATAGATGGTTCACTTGAGTTGTCAATCCAAGGAAGACTACAGAATGGATAATTCAGGAATAAAGGGAACCAAACAAGAATGATAGGGTATCAAGCACATGGTAGGAGTCAGAACCTGAAAGAAATTTCCTGCGCTAACTGACTGCAGCTGCTTGTGTGAAGGGCCCATAGCCTCACGTGTGGAAAAGAAGGAGCTAATAAGAGCAACTCCACTACACTGACCTTGTCTCCTCTCAGATCTCCTCTGCCAGGCAGGACAGGGCAGGGTTGGATTTCCCCTCATACAATTGACAAAAAGGCTTACCTCATTCTAGTACTTTTTGGAAACCCAAGCCAGTTTCCCACAACCAGTTTTCCAGCCTGTACCTTTCTCAGTGCCTCATTCATTAAACAGATATTTATTGAGTACCTGCTACAACTGGGACTGCAGCTGAGCACAACATCCTTGAGATCCTTTTTATCCACAATAGTAGTTTAGTTGTGGTGGCAGAGCAGGACTTTGATGTCTCAGACAGAGTAAGATACAATGGAAGATGAAATAAATGCAGAACACAGGGAGGCTTGATTGGGAAGGCCATGGAGTTAGCTAGCAACCTCAGTTACCTTAAATATTCTCAGATAATGGTCCTGAAGGTTTTGACAAGAGCAGATAATGGACATATGCTAGGAAAAGATCCAGCCAGAAGCTCCAATTTGTGTGCCTAACCTTAATACCTGGTACCCTTTGAAATGCTCTTTGAATTAGCCCCATTTTTGTGTGTAGGAGGACATCCTGCAGGTGCTTCTAAGGGTCTTGTAGTTCTCACAGGTACTGCCTGGCTCAGGAATGTCCATGGTTCTGCGAGTAAAAGGGGACAGATTGTATTATTGGTAAATTTAAAAATGCTCGTTGTCAGTTCTTTTCAAATATCTAGTATGTTGGTCTTGGTCTTATATTACCTTCCGATTATTCCTTGCTCTTTTCCTGATCTGCCCTGTGTCACAGGAAAACTGTTCTCTACAAACTCCATTTCCCAGATTCTCATATTGGTGGGTTTCCAGTTAAGTTCAGCTAATAGAAAGCACTGATGCAAGAGTAGAAGAGGGGTGTTGTGCCTAGGGGTGGGGACTGAGAAGACAGGATATTTCTTCTCTGTCCTATCTGTCACTAGTGATCTCTTTGGCAGCAGGCATGTCTCTTCCATGGCTTCAGATTCCATCAGTCAGTACTACCCTGATTCCAGCTTCCATTCAGTGATCCTGGACCTTGGGCTCCGGTAAGCCTGTCTCTTCCCTTCATCCCTCCAGCCTAGGGATGGTAGAAGTTTCTTGGATCTTCAGGTTAGGCTTACCTTATCATTTTTTGCTGGCTTTTCAGTTCTTCTATTACCCATGTAACCAGTTATCTCTATTAAAGTCTTCTCATTCTAAACACTTGAGTGTTTTTCCTTTTCCTGATTAGACACTGATGAATACACTTGATTAATATAATTTATTTGAAAATAAGTATAGATAGTCAAAATAGTAAAATGATCTAGTGGACATGGACCTGAAAAGCTGGAAACTGTGTCCTCAAAACCATAGTAGGGTTGAAAGCAAATATGTAGTCCATGGAGGCAGAAGACTTCATTAAAAGGGGCTAAAATGCATTCTCTAGATGGGGATAATATAGGGCATTTTGTGTGGCATTCTCCACTACCAGTAGGGCATGGCACCCATGATGAAGGGAGAAACTTGGAAATGAAATGTGGGGTGATGATTACATAGAGTTATCTGGTGGTCAGAAAGATGTTGTAGGAGATACAAATCCACCAAAGACTAAGATGTTTGCTAATTCTAGGTGGTATCATGGCACAGATGAAGATCTGGGATCCCAGCCTCTCTGGCTGGGATGGACAGTAAAACAGGTATCCTCAACATTCTGTGCCTTCCTTCCAGGGGTGCTCCTCACTAGCTCTGATTTTCAGACACATTTTAATGAGAGCATCTTCTCAATGCTCATGCCAAGCCAACTTCATTGGCTATAGCTGAGACGGAATGACTGCAAAATTATCAGGCCAAATAATTTCTCCATGTGGAGTTGCATCATATACCTATGGACACTATGGCTTTTGGAAAGATAAATCTATTAGGCAGTTTTTGCATGGGCTAAGCTTCCAGATTTCACAGAGCTGCTACAGACTTAATATTCTTTGTACACTCTCATGGAATACACAGAATCCTCAATCTATTACCTTCAAGACCAAATTGACCAGTTAATATAATCTGGGCCCATATTTCTAGAGGATCAGGAGGTAGAGGGGCAGAGATAACAAGCTGAGCTCATCCTGGGACTTAATAACTGTCAGTACTATCTGGAGAATTCCAGGGACCACTAGGTGTTTCAGGTGGTCTTAGAGAGGGACCTTCCACCCATTGTCCACAAACAATTTGCCTAGCATTGTATGTATTTCATTGTTGGACAGAACATGGTATCCAGAAAACTGACCACAGAACTTGACAACTTTTATTTCTCAAGGTCGGGTCAGGGATGGTGTTGTTATAGATAGTCTTGGACTGGTTTAACTAGGGAGTACAAAGTACAAGTGAAGTCAGTTTAGGAGAGCTGAACAGGATGTTTTCCAGGTTAATTTTCTTCTTTCTAAGAGGTCAAACAAGGTGTAACAGAAAAACAGAGAGCCAAATCATGAATGAACTCCCATTCACAATTGCTACAAAGATAGTAAAATACCTAGGAATACAACTTACAGGGATGAGAAGGACCTCATCAAGGAGAACTACAAACCATTGCACAACGAAATGAAAGAGGACACAAAAAAAGGAAGAACATTCCATGCTCATGGGCAGGAAGAATCAATATTGTGAAAATGTCCATACTGCCCAAAGTAATTTATAGATTCAATGTTATCCCCATCAAGCTACCACTGGCTTTCTTCACAGAATTGGAGAAAACGACCTTAAACTTCATATGGAACCAAAAAAGAGCCCGCAAAGCCAAGGCAATCCTAAGCAAAAGGAACAAAGGTGGAGGCATCATGCTGCCTGATTTCAAACTATACTACAAGGCTATAGTAATCAAAACAGCATAGTACTGGTACCAAAACAGATATATAGACCAATGGAACAGAACAGAGGCCTCAGAAATAATACCACACATCTACAACCATCTGATCTTTGACAAACCTTATGAAAACAAGCAATCAGGAAAGGATTCCCTATTTAATAAATGGTGCTGGGAAAAGCAGCTAGCCCTATGCAGAAAGCTGAAACTGGATTCCTTCCTTACATGCTATACAAAAATTAACTCAAGATGGATTAAAGGCTTAAACGTAAGACCTAAAACCATAAAAACCCTAGAAGAAAACCTAGGCAATACCATTCAGGACACAGGCATGGGCAAAGACTTCATGATTAAAACACCAAAAGCAAAGGCAACAAAAGCCAAAATTGACAAATAAAATCTAATTCAACTAAAAAGCTTCTTCACAGCAAAAGAAACTATCATCAGAGTGAACAGGCAACCTACAGAATGGGAGAAAATTTTTGCAATCTATCCATCTGACAAAGAGCTAATATCCAGAATCTACAAAGAACGTAAACAAATTTACAAGAAAAAAACAACCCCATCAAAAAATGGTCAAAGGATGTGAACAGACGCTTCTCAAAAGAAGACACCTATGCAGCCAACAAACTTATGAAAAAATGCTTATCATCACTGGTCATTAGAGAAATGCAAATCAAAACCACAACGAGATACCATCTCATGCCAGCTAGAATGGCAACCATTAAAAAGTCAGGAAACAATAGGTGCTGGAGAGGATGTGGAGAAATAGGAATGCTTTTACACTGTTGGTGGGAGTGTAAATTAATTCAACCATTGTGGAAGACAGTGTGGTGATTCCTCAAGGATCTAGAACCGGAAATACCATTTGACCCAGCAATCCCATTACTGGGTATATACCCGAAGTTTATAAATCATTCTACTATAAAGACACATGCACAGGTATGTTTATTGCAGCACTGTTCACAATAGCAAAGTCGTAACCAACCCAAATGCCCATCTATGATAGACTGGATAAAGAAAATGTGGCACATATACACCATGGAATACTATGCAGCCATAAAATAGGATGAGCTTATGTCCTTTGCAAGGACATAGATGAAACTGGAAACCATCATTCTCAGCAAAGTAACACAAGAAGAGAAAACCAAACACCGCATGTTCTCACTCATAACTGGGAATTGAACAATAAGAACACATGGACCCAGGGAGGGGAACATCACACACTGGGGCCTGTTGGGGGGTCGGGGGCTGGGGGAGGGATAGCATTAGGAGAAATACCTAATGTAAATGACAAATTGATTAGTGTAGCAAACCAACATGGCACATGTATACCTATGTAACAAACCTGCACATTGTGCACAAATACCCCAGAACTTAAAGTATAATAATAATTAAAAAAGAATATTTGACCTATAAAAAGTAAAAAAACAAAAGAAAGAAAAAAGAAAATGGCTGGTGTATTAGTCTGTTTTCACACTTCTGTAAAGACTGAGTAGTTAATGAAGAAAAAAAGGTTTAATTGGCTCACAGTTCTGCATGGCTGGGAAAGCCTCAGGAAAATTATAATCATAGCAGAAGGCAAAGGAGAAGCAAGGTCCTTCTTTACAGAGTAGTAGAAGAGAGAGAGAGAGAGCAAGGGGGGAACTGCCAAACCCTTTTAAACCATCAGATCTCAAGAGAACTCACTCACTATTATGAGAACAGCATGCAGAAAACCACCCCCATGATCCAGTCACCTCCCACCAGGTCCCTCCCTTGACACATGGGGATTACAATTCAAGATGAGATTTGGGTGGGGACACAGTGCCAAACCATATCCGTTGAGATACTTCAAAGATAAAGAGTTATCACACTATTCTCAAGTGGACACAGACATACTTGGAAAGCTATTTATTCCTTTATTCTACAGGTATTTACTGGGTGCCTAATATGAAGCTACTTTAGAAGATAAAGGATTGGGGGGAATGGGAATAAACACGGAGACTATAGTAGTGTTAGTATAAGCAGAGCTCCCTTGGAGTGGCAAATTAGGGAGGCCAATCTTGCTATCAAAGAGAGATGTTTAGGTTCCTTCCTACAGAAATAGTGAAAGTTCTGAGGAACCCTATTTCAGAAAATTTTATTGCAGCATTACCAAGAGACTTCAGGTGCAGAAACCAGATGAATCACACATTACACTCACACCATCATACCCAATTATCTACGGCTCATCATTTACGTAACCTATGGCCAGAGATAATTCATCTAGTAGGTCCTGAAAAATAGTGTGCTAATCATTTACGGCTTGCCTCCTCGACATCTGTTTTCTCTCCTTCTAATGACACCTGAGTTTTGTTTGAAGATCCACCCCTACCCTACAACACATACATATGGTTTAGGTGATTCTCAAACCATGGATTCCAAGTATAATTATAGAACCTGAGCCTAAATCAATACATCTCATTTCCATAAGCATAAATATTGGTTCAAGACTGTGTCTATGACCATATCTTGAACCCAAACTGTGTGTGAATTTGGCTGATAATATTGGGAAATTGACACTTTTCCTCACTCCTCACTCCTGGTTTAAATATGGAAGAATGGGCAGTAGATGGTTCTACAAGTTATTTTCTTATCATGAGAGAAAATCTGTAGCAACTAGGTTCTACTACCTCAAGCTGCACTGTCTACTATGTGGCCACTAGCCATGTGTGGCTATTTAAATTTAAATAGGACTTCTGATACTGGGGTTACTATAACTCAAAATGAAGTAACAGAGACTACTTCATTCATTCTATTTAACCAACAAAAAAACAAAAACACAAACCGAATATAAAAAACAAAAGTTTTTAAGACACCAGATACTAGGCCCTAAAAGATGATGATCCTTGAGATATGAGAAATAACTGAGGTAAGCGTTATAATAACCTGGCTTAATGCTTTGAGAAAGTTTCTAGGACATGGCATGGAAAGAGAATCAGGCAGAGTGTGGTAGAATTCCTGAGTTGAAGAGATGAAGCTGAAAGTCCAGGAAACCAAGATAGCTAGAATACCCAGGAAACCATAACAGAGAGGAGAGATCCCACTAATCAATATCCCTAGGATCAGAGAGTCCCTCTCCTTGAGAATGTAGCAGAGTACTGAGCAGCACATCCTGGTAAGGATATCACCCAAGGCCTGGGGGGAGAATCATCCAAAATAATTAGAGAAAAGAGTGTCCAAAAAGAGTAAAAAGCATACAGGGCCAGGAACCATGCCTTTTTCTACCAGCCAGAGTGGAAAAAATTCATAATTCATGGGACATCAGGTAGAATACTCAGGAAGGTCTAGCCTCAGTAGTGGAGAATAATTATCCCTATACTGAGCACTGCTCCAGACCCACCTAACAAATAATAAAAGAATGACTGGAAAAATCAAACTGTTTCCAAATAGCAGCTATACCCAGGAAGAAAGAACCAGATTATTTATAGGAATACCCAGTGTATTACCTCATAAAACACCCAGCACTCTATGAAGTAAAATGTACAGTATCTGATGTCCAATTAAAGAATACCAGATGAGAAAAGAGACAGGAAAACATTTTCATTAATGAAAATAATAATCATTTATTTGAGAATAACCCAGAACCGACACATATATTAGAATTAGCAGAAGACAACATTAAATAAAATACTATAACTGTATTCCATGTGTTCAAAAAGTTAAATAGAAACATGAAAGATATAGAAAAGATACAAATATTACTTTTAGACATGAAAACTACAATGTGCAGGATAAAAATACATTGAATGATAAATGGCAGATTAGACATTGCAAAAGAAACAATCCGTGAACTTTAGGTTGAAGAGATAGCGATGGAAACTGTCCAAAGTGAAACACAGAGAGAAAAATAGAATAAAAAAAATGAAAACAGCATCAGTGAGCTATCGGACAACTTCATACATTTTAATTTATGAGTAATTGGAGTCCCTGAAGAAGAAGAAAAAGGAAGGTGAGCAAGGAAAATATTTGAAGAAATGATGGTCAAAACTTTTCCAAATTTGATAAAAATGATATATTACAAAACAAAGAAGCACAGCATACCACATGCACAAGAGACAAGAGAAAAATGATACCAGGTCACATCATAATTAACTTGCTCAATACCAATGATAAAGAGAAAATCTTAAAAGCAGCCAAAGGTAAAAGATGCATAATGTGCCGAGGAAGCAGGATAATAATGATGGTAGATTTCTGATTGGGAACAATGTAAGAGAGAAGAGTAGAACAATATCTTTACAATACTGAAAGAATAAAACCTGTCAATTTAGAATTATCTAGAATTCTATGTCCAGCAGAATTATCTTTCAAAAATTGGTGACACCAGATGGAAATACAGCTGCACGGAAAGGAATGAAAAGAAACACAAATCGTTACCAGATGGGTAAATATATGAATGTTCTAAAATTATTTAAATTACTTTAAAGGATAATGGAGTGTTTATATAAAATAATGATATATTAAAGTAACAATATGTTGTGGGTTTTTACAACATATGTATAAGGTGTGTGATGGAAATAGCATAAAGGCAAGGAAGGGGGAAATGATAGTGTACTATTGTAAGGCTTTTATATGTGAAGTCGTATAATGTCACTTGAAAGTAGACTGTTATGAGCTAATGCTTTATGTTATAAGCCCTAAAACAAACATTAACAAAACAAAGAATTATACCCAACGAGCCAACAAAGGAAAGTAGAATCACCAAAATACATACAATTAACTCAAAATCAGAAAGAAATAAAGGAGAAAAAGGAACAAAAAATAAATGAGACAAATAGAAAACAAATAGCAAGATGACAGAGTTCAACCTAATCATATTATCATGTAAAAGGATGAATAAAGATATATGTTGCCAACCCTATTAAAAAAAAAGCCTCTCTGGACCATAAAACAAGTGCAAGTAAATTGGAAATGATTCAAATTTACACAAAGTATGTTCTCTGATCACAATGCAATTAAATTAAAAATCAGTAACAGAAAGTTCTCTGGAAAATCTCTAAATATTAGAAAACTAAATAAAACACTTCAAAATAACCCATGGCTAAAAATACAAGAATTCAAAAGGGAAATAAGAAAGTATTTTTACTGAATGAAAATGGAAACACAAAGACAAATACTACATGATCTCACTTACATGTGAAGTGTAAAAAAGTCTAACTAATAGAAATAGAGAATAAAATGGTGGTTGCCAGAGGCTGAGAAGTAGGTGATTGGGAGATGTCAGACAAAGGACACAAAATTTCAGTTAGATGGGATGAATAAGTTCACAAGATCTCTTGTACGTCATGGTCACTACAATCAATAACAATATATTGTATATTTGAAAATTGTGAAAAGAGTCGATCTTAGCATTTTCATCACAAAAAATGATAAATATGCGAGGTAATGCATTTGTTAAATAACTTGACTTAGCCATTCCACAATGTGTACATATATCAAAACATCATGTTGAACACAATAAGTGCATACAATTTATATTGGTCAATTAAAACCAACAAATAAATGCGAAAAAAAGAGAATGAAAACACAACATATGAGAATCTGTGGGGTGCCACCAAAGTGGTACCTAAGGGGACAATTTAAAATTCTAAATGCCTAGTTAGGAAGAAAAGAAAAATTTTAAGTCAAAACTAAAAAGGGGAAAAAAGTTAAACAAAAAGTAATGAGAAAAAAAGAAATAACGAACAACAGAGAAGAAAACATTGCAACTGAAAACAGAAATTCAATTTTAAAAAGCAATAACATAGAAGCATAATCATAAAAGAGCACATTAATAGATTGGGCTTCATCAAAGCTAAAAACTTTTGCTCTTCAAAACGTGCTACTAAGGAAATGAAAAGACAAACCACATCCTGGAGGAAATATTTGCAATATATATGTGTATCTGACAAAGGAATGCTATTCAGAATATAAAAAGAATATTTACAACTCGAATAAGAGGACAAATAAACCAATTTAAAAATAAGCAAAGAGTTTAACAAACACTATAACAAAGAAAATATACAATTGGCTATTAAGCATATGAAAAAGTGCTCAAAATTATTTGTCCTAAGGGACATACAAATTAAGTCAACACTGAGATGTCACTACACCCACTAGAATGGTTAAAATTTAGAAGACTGATAATACCAAATGTTGATGAGAATGTGGAGCAAGTGAAATTCTCATGCATTCCTGGTAGGGATATAAATAGTATAGCCATTTTATAAAGAAGTTTGGTAATTTTTTATAAAGTTAAACATATGTGTACCAACTGACCATAATTCCACTCATAAGTATTTATCTAAGAGGAGTAAAAAGGATATATCCATACAAATACTTGTACATGAATGTTCATAGCAGCTTTATTTATAAAAGCCCCAAACTGGAAATAACTCCAATGTCTACTAATAGGTAACTGTCAAAATAAACTGTAGCATATGCATACAGTATCATTAAGTTAATCAACACTCTGTGTATTAGTCTGCTCTCATGCTACTGTGAAGAAATACCCGAGGCTGGGTAATTTATAAAGGAAAATGGTTTAATTGACTTACAGTTCTGCACAGCTGGGGAGGCCTCTGGAAACTTACAATCATGGTGGAAGGGGAAATAAACACATCCTTCTTCACATGGCTGCAGGAGAGAGAAGTGCAAAGCAAAGACGAGAAAAGCTTCTTATAAAACCATCAGATTGGCCAGGCATGGTGACTCATGCCTGGAATCCTAGCAGTTTGGGAGGCTGAGGTGGGTGGATCACCTGAGGTCAGGAGTTCAAGACCAGCCTGGCCAACATGGTGAAACCCTGTATCTACTAAAAATACAAAAATTAACTGAGTTTGGTGGTGGGTGCCTGTAATCCGAGATACTCACGAGGATGAGGCAGGAGAATCACTTGAATCCAGGAGGCAGAGGTTGCAGTGAGCTGAGATCATGCCACTTCACTCCAGCCTGGGTGAAAGAGTGAAACTCCATCTGAAAAAGAAAAAAAAACGCATCACATCTTGTGAGAACTCACTCACTAGCATGAGAACAGCATGGGGGAACCATCCCCATCATCTAATTACCTCCCACAGTTCCCTGCCATGTCATGTGAGGATTATGGGAACTACAATTCAAGATGAGATTTGGATGGAGACCCAGCCAAACCATATCATTCTACACTTGACCCCTCCCAAGTCTCATGTCCTCACATTCCCAAACACAATCATGCCTTCCCAATAATCTCCCGAAATCTTAACTCATTCCAACATTAACCCAAAAGTCCAAGTGCAAAGTTTCATCTGAGACAAGGCAAGTCCCTTCCACCTGTGAGCCTATAAAATCAAAAGCAAGTTAGTTACTTCCTAGATGTATTGGGAGTATAGGCATGGGGTAAATACATGCATTCCAAATGGGAGAAATTGGCCAATACAAAGGAGCTACAGGCCCCATGCAAGTTTGAAATCCAATGAAGCAGTAATTAAATCTCAAAACCCAGAAATAATCTCCCTTCACTCCATGCCTCACATCCAGGTCACAATGATGCAAGAGGTGGGCTCCTACAGCCTTGGGCAACTCCATTCCTATGGTTTTGCAGGATACAGCCCCACTGCTGGCTGCTTTCATGGGCTGGCATTGAGTGTCTGTGGCTTTTCCAGGCATACAGTGCAAGCTGTGGGTGGATCTACTATTCTGGGGTCAAGAGGATGGTGGCCCTCTTCTCACAGCTCCACTAGGCAGTGCCCGGTGGGCACTCTGTGTGGGGATTCCAACCCTGCATTTCCCTTCTGCACTGCCCTAGCAGAGGTTCTTCATGAGGGCTCCACCCCTGCAGCAAACATCTGTCTGAATATCCAGGCATTTCCATACATCCTCTGAAATCTAGGCAGAGGTTCCCAAACCTCAATTATTTATTTTTTTGTTTGTTTAATTTTCTTTTCTTTCTTTTTTATTATTCTTTAAGTTCTAGGGTACATGTGCACAATGTGCAGGTTTGTTACATAGGTATACATGTGCCATGTTGGTTTGCTGCACCCATCAACTCGTCATTTACATTAGGTATTTCTCCTAATGCTATCCCTCCCCCAGCCCCCCACCCCACAACACACCCCAGTGTGTGATGTTCCTCTCCCTGTGTCCAAGTGTTCTCATTGTTCAATTCCCACCTATGAGTGAGAACATGTGGTGTTTGGTTTTCTGTCCTTGTGATAGTTTGCTGAGAATGATGGTTTCCAGCTTCATCCATGTCCCTGAAAAGGACATGAACTCATCCTTTTTTATGGCTGCATAGTATTCCATAATGTATATGTGCCACATTTTCTTTATCTAGTCTATCATTGATGGATATTTGGTTTGGTTGCAGGTCTTTGCTATTGTGAATAGTGCCACAATAAACATATGTGTGCATGTGTCTTTATAGTATCATGATTTATAATCCCTTGGCTATATACCCAGTAATGGTATTGCTGGGCCAAATGGTATTTCTGGTTCTAGATCCTTGAGGAATCGCCACACTGTCTTCCACAATGATTGAACTAATTTACACTCCCACCAACAGTGTAAAAGTGTTCCTATATCTCCACATCCTCTCCAGCATCTCTTGTTTACTGACTTTTTAATGATCATCATTCTAACTAGTGTGAGATGGTATCTCATTGTGGTTTTGATTTGCATTTCTCTGATGGCCAGTGATGATGAGCATTTTTTCATGTGTCTGTTGGCTGCATAAATGTCCTCTTTTGAGAAGTATCTGTTCATATCCTTTGTCCACTTTTTGATGGGGTTGTTTTTTTCTTGTAAATTTGTTTGAGTTGTTTGTAGATTCTGGATATTAGCTCTTTGTCAGATGGGTAGATTGCAAAAATTTTCACCCATTCTGTAGGCTGCCTGTTCACTCTGATGGTAGTTTCTTTTGCTGTGAAGAAGCTCTTTAGTTTAATTAGATCCCATTTGTCTATTTTGGCTTTTGCTGCCATTGCTTTTGATGTTTTAGTCATGAAGTCCTTGCCCATGCCTATGTCCTGAATGGTATTGCCTAGGTTTTCTTCTAGGGTTTTTATGGTTTTAGGTCTAACATATAACTCTTTAACCCATCTTGAATTAATTTTTGTGTAAGGTGTAAGGAAGGGATCCAGTTTCATCCTTCTACATGGGGCTAGCCAGTTTTCCCAGCACCATTTATTAAATAGGGAATCCTTACCCCGTTTCTTGTTTTTGTCAGGTTTGTCAAAGATCAGATGATTGTAGATGTGTGGTGTTATTTTTGAGGCCTCTTTTCTGTTCCATTGGTCTATATATCTGTTTTGGTACCAGTACCATGCTGTTTTGATTATGGTGGCCTTGTAGTATAGTTTGAAGTCAGGTAGCGTGATGCCTCCAGGTTTGTTCTTTTTGCTTAGGATTGTCTTGGCAATGTGGGCTCCTTTTTAGTTCCATATGAACTTTAAAGTAGTTTTTTTCCAATTCTGTGAAGAAGGTCATTGGTAGCTTGATGCGGATGGCATTGAATCTATAAATTACCTTGGGCAGTGTGGCCATTTTCATGATATTGATTCTTCCTATCCATGAGCATGGAATATTCTTCCTTTTTTTTTGTGTCCTCTTTTATTTCATTGAGCAGTGGTTTGTGTTTCTCCTTGAAGAGGTCCTTCACATCCCTTGTTAGTTGGATTCCCAGGTATTTTATTCTCTTTGTAGCAATTGTGAAAGGGAGTTCACTCATAATTTGGCTCTCTGTCTGATATTGGTGTATAGGAATTCTTGTGATTTTTGCACATTGATTTTGTATCCTGAGACTTTGCTGAAGTTGCTTATCAGCTTAAGGAGATTTTGGGCTGAGATGATGGGGTTTTCTAAATATACAATCATGTCATCTGCAAACAGGGACAATTTGGCTTCCTCTTTTCCTAATTGAATACACTCTATTTCTTTCTCTTGCCTGATTGTCCTGGCCAGAACTTCCAACACTATGTTGAATAGGAGTGGTGAGAGAGGGCATCCTTGTCTTGTGCCGGTTTTCAAAGGGAATGCTTCCACTTTTTGCCCATTCAGTATGATATTGGTGGTGGGTTTGTCATAAATAGCTCTTATTATTTTGAGATATGTTCCATCTATACCTAGTGTATTGAGAGTTTTTAGCATGAAGGGCTATTGAATGTTGTCGAAGCCCTTTTCTGCATCTATTAAGATAATCTTGTGGTTTTTGTTGTTGGTTCTGTTTATGTGATGGATTATGTTTATTGATTTGCATATGTTGAACTAGCCTTGCATCCCAGGGATGAAGCCCACTTGATCATGGTGGATATGCTTTTTGATGTGCTGCTGCATTCAGTTTGCCAGTATTTTATTGAGGATTTTTGCATCCATGCTCATCAGGGATATTGGTCTAAAATTCTCTTTTTTTATTGTGTCTCTTCCAGGCTTTGGTATCAGGGTGATGCTGGTCTCATAAAATGAGTTAGGGAGGATTCCCTCTTTATCTATTGATTGGAATTGTTTCAGTGGGAATGGTACCAGCTCTTCTTTGTACCTCTGGTAGAATTCAGCTGTCAATCCGTCTGGTCCTGGACTTTTTTTGGTTGGTAGGCTATTAATTATTGCCTCGATTTCACAGCCTCTTATTGTTCTATTCAGAGATTCAACTTCTTCCTGGTTTAGTTTTTAGAGGGTGTATGTGTCGAGGAATTTATACATTTCTTCTAGATTTTCTAGTTTATTTGTGTAGAGGTGTTTATAGTATTACCTGATGGTAGTTTGTATTTCTGTGGGATTGGTGATGATATGCCCTTCATCAATTTTTATTGTGTCTATTTGGTTCTTCTCTTTTCTTCTTTATTAGTCTTGCTAGTGGTCTATCAATTTCGTTGATCTTTTCAGAAAACCAGCACCTGGATTCATTGATTTTAGAAGGGTTTTTTGTGTCTCTATCTCCTTCAGATCAGCTCTGATCTTATTTATTTCTCGCCTTCTGCTCACTTTTGAATTTGTTTGCTCTTGCTTCTTTAGTACTTTTAATTGTGACGTTAGGGTTTCTATTTTAGATCTTTTCTGCGTTCTCTTGTGGTCATTTACTGCTATAATTTTCCCTCTACACACTGCTTTAAATGTTTCCCAGAGATTCTGGTACGTTGTGTCTTTGTTCTCTTTTGTTTCAAAGAACATCTTTATTTCTGCCTTCATTTCGTTATTTATGCAGTAGTCATTCAGGAGCAAGTTGTTCAGTTTCCATGTAGTTGTGCAGTTTTGATTGAGTTTCTTAATCCTGAGTTCTAATTTGATTGCACTGTGATCTGAGAGACAGTTTGTTGTGATTTCTGTTCTTTTACATTTGCTGAGGAGTGCTTTACTTCCAATTATGTGGTCAATTTTAGAATAAGTGCGATATGGTGCTGAGAAGAATGTATATTCTGTTGATTTGTGCTGAAGAGTTCTGTGGATGTCTATTAGGTCCACTTGTTGCAGAGCTGAGTTCAAGTCCTGGATATCCTTGTTAACCTTCTGTCTCGTTGATCTGTCTAATATTGACAGTGGGGTGTTAAAGTCTCCCATTATTGTTGTGTGGGAGCCTAAGTCTCTTTGTAAGTCTCTGAGGACTTGCTTTATGAATCTCGGTGCTCCTGTATTGGGTGCATATGTATTTAGAATAGTTAGTTCTTGTTGAATTGATCCCTTTACCATTATGTAATGGCCTTCTTTGTCTCTTTTGATCTTTGTTGCTTTAAAGTCTTTTTTTTTTTTTTTTTTTTGCTTTCCATTTGCTTGGTAGATCTTCCTCCATCCCTTTATTTTGAACCTATTTGTATCTCTGCATGTGAAGTGGGTCTCCTGAATATAGCACACTGATGAGTCTCGACTCTATCCAATTTGCTAGTCTGTATCTTTTAATTGGGGCATTTAGCCCATTTACATTTAAGGTTAATATTGTTATATGTGAATTTAATCCTGTCATTCTGATGTTGGCTGGTTATTTTGCCCATTAATTGATGCAGTTTCTTCATAGCATCGATGGTCTTTACAATTTGGCATGTTTTTGCAGTGGCTGGTACCAGTTGTTCCTTTCCATCTTTAGTGCTTCCTTCAGGAGCTCTCGTAAGACAGGCCTGGTGGTGACAAAGTCTCTCAGCATTTGCTTGTCTGTAAAGGATTTCATTTATCCTTCACTTATGAACCTTAGTTTGGCTGGATATGAAATTCTGGGTTGAAAATTGTTTTCTTTAAGAATATTGAATATTGGGCCTCACTCTCTTCTGGCTTGTAGGGTTTCTGCTGAAAGATCCACTGTTAGTCTGATGGGCTTCCCTTTGTGGGTAACTGGACCTTTATCTCTGGCTGCCCTTAACACTTTTTCCTTCATTTCAACCTTGGTGAATCTGAGAATTATGTGTCTTGGGGTTGCTCTTCTCGAAGAGTATCTTTGTGATGTTCTCTGTATTTCCTGAATTTGAATGTTGGCCTGCCTTGCTAGGTTGGGGAAGTTCTTCTGGACAATATCCTGGAGAGTGTTTTCCAACTTTGTTCCATTCTCTCTGTCATTTTCAGGTACACCAATCAAACGTAGAGTTCGTCTTTTCACATAGTCCCATATTTCTTGGAGACGTTGTTCATTTCTTTTTACTTTTTTGTCTAAACTTGTCTTCTCCCTTTATTTCATTAATTTGGTCTTCAATCACTGATACCCTTTCTTTCACTTGATCAAATCTGCTATTGAAACTTGTTCATGCTTCACAAAGTTCTCATGCCATGGTTTTCAGCTTCATCTTTTTTCAAGGTTTTTAGCTTTCTTGTGATGGGTTAGACCATGCTTGTTTAGATCGGAGAAGTTTATTATTACTGACTTTCTGAAGCCTACTTCTGTCAACTCGTCAAAGTCATTCTCCATCCAGGTTTGTTCCATTACTGGCCAGGAGCTGCAATCCTTTGGAGGAGAAGAGGCACCCTGGATTTTAGAATTTTCAGCTTTTCTGCTCTGATTTCTACTCATCTTTGTGGTTTTATCTACCTTTTGTCTTTTATGTTGGTAATCTAGGGATGGGGTTTGGGTGTAGATTTCATTTTTGTTGATGTTAATGCTATTGCTTTCTGTTTGCTAGTTTTCTTTCTAACACTCATGTCCCTCGGCTGCAGGTCTGTTGGAGTTTGCTGGAGGTCCACTCCAGACCCTGTTTGCCTGGGTACCACCAGTGGAGGCCGCAGAACAGCAAATATTGCAGAAAAGCAGATATTACTGCCTGACCCTTCTGGAAGCTTCATCCCAGAGGGGCACTTGCCTGTATGAGGTGTCTGTCAGTCCCTACTGGGAGGTGTCTCCCAGTTAGGCTACACGGGTTTCAGGGACCCACTTGAGGAGGCAGTCTGTCCATTGTCAGAGCTCAAACGCCATGCTGGGAGAATCACTGCTCTCTTCAGAGCTGTCAGACAGGGACGTTTAAGTCTGCAGAAGTTTCTGCTGCCTTTTGTTCAGCTATGCCCTGCCCACAGAGGTGGAGCTTATAGAGGCAGTAGGCCTTGCTGAGCTGCCATGGTCTCTGCCCAGTTCGAGCTTCCTGGCCACTTTGTTTACCTACTTAAGCCTCAGCAATGGTGGACACCCCTCCTCCAGCCAGCCTGCAGCTTCACAGGTCGATCTCAGACTGCTGCACTAGCAGTGAGCAAGGCTCCGTGGGTGTGGGACCCACCGAGCCAGGCATGGGAGAGACTGTCCTGGTCTGCCAGTTACTAAGACTGTGAGAAAAGTGCAGTATTTGGGCAGGAGTGTCCCGTTTTTCCAGGTACAGTCTGTCACTGCTCCCCTTGGCTAAGAAAGGGAAATCCCCCAACCCCTTGCACTTCCTGGATAAGGCGACACCCTGCCCTGCTTTGGGTCACCCTCCATGGTCTGCACCCACTGTCCAAACAGTCCCAATGAGATGAACCATGTACCTCAGTTGGAAATGCAGAAATCACCCATCTTCTGTGTCAGTCACGCTGGGAGCTGCAGAATGGAGCTGTTCCTATTCGGCCATCTTGGAACGGTGTACCCTGTTTTCTTTGTTTATTTTTATTTTTGGGATGAGCTTTCATTCTTGTTGCCCAGGCTGGAGTGCAGTGGTGTGGTCTTGGGCTCACTGCAACCTCTCCCTCCCAGGCTCAAGCAGTTCTCCTGCCTCAGCCTCATGAGTAGTTGGGATTACAGGCACCCAGCGCCACACCCAGCTAATTTTTTGTATTTTTAGTAGAGACTGGGTTTCATCATGTTGGTCAGGCTGGTCTCAAACTCCTGACCTCAGGTGATCCACCCATCTCAGCCTCCCACAGTGCAGGGATTACAGATGTGAGCCATCATGCCCAGCCTCAATTCTTGACTTCTGTGCACCCACAGGCCCAACACTATATGTAAGCTGCCAAGGCTTGGGGCTTCCATCCTCTGAAGCAACAGCCTGAGCTATACATTGGCCCCTTTTAGCCATGGCTGGAATGCAGGACACAAAGCAGCAATACCCTGGGCCCCACCCATGAAACCATTTTTTCCTCCTAGGTCTCCAGGCCTGTGATGGGAGGTGCTGCCATGAAGACCTCTGACATGCTCTGGAGACATTTTCCCCATTGTCTTGGTGATTAACATTTGGCTTTTCATTACTTATGCAAATTTCTGCAGCTACCTTGAATTTCTCCTCAGAAAATGGGTTTTTCTTTTCTATCACATTGTCAGGCTACAAATTTTCTGAACTTTTATGCTCTGTGTCCCTTTTAAACATAAGTTCCAGTTCCAAACTATATATTTGTGAATGCATAAAGCTGAATGCTTTTAAAAGCACCCTAGTCACCTCTTGAATGCTTTGCTGCTTAGACATTTCTTCCACCAGATACCCTATATCATCTGTCTCAAGTTCAAAGTTCCACAGATCTCTAGGGCAGGGGCAAAATGCTGCCATTCTGTTTACTAAAGTGTAGCAAGAGTCACATTTATTTCTGTTCCCAACAAGTTCCTCATCTCCATCTGAGCTACCTCAGCCTGGACTTCATTGTCCATATCACTCTCAGCATTTTGGGTCAAAACTATTAAACAGATCTCTAGGAAGTTCCAAACTTTCTCACATCTGTCTTCTTCTAAGTCCTCCAAACTGTTCCAAACTCTGCCTGTTACCCAGTTCCAAAGTCACTTCCACATTTCTGGGTGTCTTTATAGCAGCACCCCACTCTCTGCAGTACCAATTTACTGTATCAGTCCATTCTCATGCTGCTATAAAGAACTGCCTGAAACTGGGCAATTTATAAAGGAAAGAGGTTTAATTGACTCACAGTTCTGCATGGCTGGTGAGGCCTCAGGAAATTTACAATCACGGCAGAAGGGGAAGCAAGCATGCCCTTCATGTGGCAGCAGGAGAGAGAACTGAAACAAGGAAAAGCTTCTTATAAAACCATCAAGTCTCCTGAAAACTCACTATCACAAGAACAGCATGGGGGAACCACCCCCATAATCACCTCCCAAGAGGTCCCTCCCCCAACACATGGGGATTACAATTCAGATTACAATTCAAGATGGGATTTGGGTGGGGACACAGAGCCAGATCATATCACTGCAGCATTTGGTCTCTATCAGTTTGTGCACACCCACCCTATCTTCTACCTTTCCCTTATATTTCTTGCCTGTGAAGCTTCTATTCTTCTCTCCCAACAACAACTCACACACACACACACACACAATTAGTCCTGACATCCCCAAATAATAGGTTCTTATTGACCCCACAAGCTCTAAAACTGGGTCTTCAAGGAAGAATTTTTACTCAAATCCTTCTTTTTTGGGAGGTGCAATGGGGAGACAATCTGTGCCTGGTCCAGCTAAGACGCTAGTCATTCATTTGGCCAGGATTGGGTTTGATAGTGCAGGGCTAAAGTGAAAGAGGAATGTTCCTATCATAGCAAATCTAGGGGCCCAAGAGCTGGAGGGGCAGATAAGCCAACATCCACTGGGAAGAGCTGAAGCTTTAATGCCAGGGGGATCAGGCCCAATGCTTAGCAGAAATCAAGACAGTAGTTCCAGCAAAAGTTCAGAACTGAGTGATGGTGGAATTAGAAGAAGAACAAGGTCCAAGATGAGTAAGTAGAATTATAGAGTGATTTCTAGGTACGCTAGCAGGAGTTTGTGGGTTGCCTTTATTGACAAGTGGGAAGACAGTGAATGGATGAGTTAGGCTGTCTTAAAGGGCTGTGCAGAAGGAAGACAAGAGACCAAAGAGGTGCCAGGAGAAATGTTGTAGGTACTCCCCTTCTGCCAGGCACACACAAGGAAGCCCTTACCCTTATTTGCAAGGGAGTTTGGTTGTAGGGGAGAGTGAGAAGAGTTTGATTACCTTGGCTCTGACTTTTAAACAAACCTAACTCACTCACATTCCAATCACCAGCCAGACTATAAAATCAAGGCTCAATCACCAAAGACCATTTGCACCAATCACTAGTCACTACCCCTCCATCTCTGATCATGTTTCAACCAACATTTTTTCTTAATCTCATCTCAATCTAATTTTAAACCCTTGCTCTCTTTACCTGATCAATCCTAACTTTGATCCTTTGGACTTGGTGTTTGTAGTTATCAACCACTTGGTGGGCATCTCAGTCAGATTATCTCCAAATTCCCTTGTGCATATTTGGTTGGGGGTGATTTCAACAAGTGGGAGTTCTAATCCTACTCAGGAAGTTCAGGCAAGTGCCTAAGGGATAATACCAGCCATCAGGTTTAAGGACAAGATGTAATGTTCTAAATAGAAGATAAGACAAGGAGTTTGGAGCCAAGGACAAGTTTGGAAGTGAAACATAAGACAGGTCATGGAAAAGCCCTTCACAATGTGGGCAGTGAAAAATGCAGGCATGCAAGATGTCCTTATTTATTGAGTGTTAATTTATTGAGTGCACCCTTCCTACTCACATTGCAAACTGCTTCCAGAAATCTGGAGTCACAATTTGGACCACGGCTGTATACAGCTTTTAACCATTGCTCCTTTGCAAAATGTGACTCCAGCACATAGTGTAAAAAGCCTTCCATGACCTGTCCTTTGTCACCTTTTTCTTTACATTTCATAAATTTCACTCTATTCTCCAGTAACACTGAACTTTTTGATGTCCATCCACCACCCCAATTTTGTTTCTTCTTTATGTAACTTTACAAAGGTTCCTTTGCCTGCCTGGAATGATCTGGCCACCTGTTTGCCTGACATGTTCTTATTCTTCAATTCTTGGCAGGAGCATCTTCTCTGTAAGACCCTTTATGCCTACTTCCTATGCAGAGTGGATTATGCTTTCCTTTGTGTCACCATTCTTTAATGACACAGGTAAGCATGACATTTAGAAGATAGAAGATAGAATCTGTAGGCCTTGATGATTAAGTAGATGGTAGGGGTGTTGGACAGGTAGGAGTCAAGGATGGTCCTAAGTTTTTGCTTAGGCAGTTGAGTGGATGGCAGGCCATTCACTAACCTAGCAAACACTGAAGCAAGAGCAGATTATAGGCATGATGAGTTCAGTTTTGAATATGTTGAGTTGAAGCTCTTTAGGAGACATCCAAGCGGTGTAGCTATCAAGTAGGCAGTTGAATATACTTGTGTAGAATATAGGAGAGAGACCTCACCTAGAAAATATGCAATATGCATTTTGGAGTCTTTAGTATATAGATCTCATGAAAGTGGATGAAATTCCTCAGGAAGACTGTGTAGAGTGAGAAGAATAGAGACCCATGAATTGCCAACACTTAAGGGGCCAAAGAAGAAAGGCTTCTGTGGGATCAGTGGTGATATCCCCTTTATCATTTTTTATTGTGTCTATTTGATTCTTCTCTCTCTGTATTAATCTGGCTAGTGGTCTGCCTATTTTGTTAATCTTTTCGAAAAACCAGCTCCTGGATTCATTGATTTTTTGAAGGGTTTTTCGTGTCTCCATTCTCCATCTCCTTCAGTTCTGCTCTGATCTTAGTTATTTCTTGTCTTCTTCTAGTTTTTGAATTTGTTTGCTCCTGTTTCTCTAGTTTTTGTTTTGTTTTGTTTTGTTTGACAGAGTCTCGTTTTGTTGCCCAGGCTGGAGTGCAGTGGCACAATCTCAGATCACTGCAACCTCCGCCTCCCAGGTTCAAGCAGCTCTCCTGTCTCAGCCTCCTGAAGCTGGGACTACAGGCACTGACCACCAGGCCCAGTTAATTTCTGTATTTTTATTAGAGATGGGGTTTCACCATATTGGTCAGGCTGGTATCAAACTCCTGACCTCAGGTGATCTGTCCATCTTGGCCTAAAATAGTGCTGGGATTACAGGCGTGAGCCACCACTCCCGGCCTTCTCTAGTTCTTTTCATTGTGATGTTAGGGTGTCAATTTCAGATCTTTCCCACTTTCTCGTGTGGGCATTTAGTGCTATAAATTTCCCTCTAAACACTCCTTTAGCTGTGTCCCAGAGATTCTGGTACTTTGTGGCTTTGTTCTCACTGGTTTCAAAGAACTTACTTATTTCTGCCTTAATTTCTTTATTTACCCAGTAGTCATTCAGGAGCAGGTTGTTCAGTTTCCACATAGTTGTGTGATTTTCAGTGAGTTTCTTAATCCTGAGTTCTAATTTGATTGCATTGTGGTCTGAGACTGTTTGTTATGATTCCCATTTTTTGCATTTGCTGAGGAGTGTTTTACTTCCAATTATGTAGTCAGTTTTAGAATAAGTGTGATGTGGTGCTGAGAAGAACATATATTCTGTTGATTTGGGGTGGAGAGTTCTGTAGCTGTCTATCAGGTTCATTTGGTCCAGAGCTGAGTTCAAGTCCTGAATATAGTTGTTAATGTTCTGTCTCGTAGGTCTGTTTAATATTGACAGCGGTGTGTTAACATCTCCTACTATTATTGTGTGGAAGTTTAAGTCTCTTTGTAGGTCTCTAAGAACTTGCTTTATGAATCTGGGTGCTCCTATATTGCGTGCATATATATTTAGGATAGTTAGCTCTTCTTGTTGCATTGACCCCTTTACCATTATGTAGTGCCCTTCTTTGTCTTTTTTGGTCTTTTTTTGTTTAAAGTCTATTTTATCAGAGAGTAGGATTGCAACCCCTGCTTATAAACTACCATCAGAGAACACTAAAAACACCTTTATGCAAATAAACTAGAAAATCTAGAAGAAATGGATAAATTCCTAGGCACATACACCCTCCCAAGACTAAACGAGGAAGAAGTTGAATCCCTGAATAGACCAATAACAGGTTCTGAAATTGAGGCAATAATTTATAGCCTATCAATCAAAAAAAGCCCAGGACCAGTCAGATTCACAGACGAATTCTACCAGAGGTACAAAGAAGAGCTGGGACCATTCCTTCTGAAACTATTCCAAACAATAGAAAAAGAGGGGCTTATCCCTAACTCATTTTATGAGGCCAGCATCATCCTGATACAAAAACCTGGCAGAGACACAATAGAAAAAGAAAATTTCAAGCCCATATCCCTGATGAACATCAATGCGAAAATCCGCAATAAAATACTGGCAAACCGAATCCAGCAGCACATCAAAAAGCTTATCTACCACGATCAAGTCAGCTTCATCACTGGGATGCAAGGCTGTTTCAACATATCCAAATCAGTAAACATAATCCATCCCATAAACAGAACCGATTACAAAAGCCACATGATTATCTCAATAGATGCAGAAAAGGCCTTCAATAAAATTCAATACCCCTTTATGCTAAAAACTCTCTATAAACTAGGTACTGATGGAACATATCTCAAAATAACAAGAGCTATTTATGACAAACCCACAGCCAATATCATACTGAATGGTCAAAAGATGGGAGCAATCCCCTTGAAAACTGGCACAAGAAAAGGATGCCCTCTCTTACCACTCCTATTGAACATAGTGTTGGAAGTTCTGGCCAGGGCAATCAGGCAAGAGAAAGAAAAAACATATTCAAATAGGAAGAGAGGAAATCAAATTGTCTCTGTTTGCAGATGACATGATTGTATATTTAGAAAACCCCATCATCTCAGCCCAAAATCACCTTAAACTGATAAGCAACTTCAGCAAAGTCTCAGGGTACAAAATCAATGTGCAAAAATCACAAGCATTCCTATACACCAATAATAGACAGACAGCCAAATTATGAGTGAACTCTCATTCACAATTGCTACAAAGTGAATAAAATACCTAGGAATACAACTTAACAAGGGATGTGAAAGATCTCTTCCATGAGAACTACAAACCACTGCTCAAGGAAATAGAAGAGGACACAAAGAAATGGAAGAATATTCCATGCTCATGGATAGGAAGAATCAATTTCATGAAAATGGCCATACCGCCCAAAGTAATTTATAGATTCAATGCTATTTCCATCAAGCTACCATTGACTTTCTTCACAGAATTAGAGAAAACAACTTTAAATGTCATATGGAGCCAAAAAAGGAACCCATATAGCCAAGACAATCCTAAGCAAAAAGAATGAAGCTGGACGCATCACACTACCTGACTTCAAACTATACTACAAGGCTACACTAACCATAACAGCATGGTACTGGTACCAAAACAGATATATAGATCAAGGAACAGAACAGAGGCCTCAGAAATAACACCACACATCTACAACCATCTGATCTTTGACAAACCTGAGAAAAACAAGCAATGGGAAAAGGGTTCCCTATTTAATACATGGTTTTGGGAAAACTGGCTAGCCATATGCAGAAAACTGAAACTGGACCCCTTCCTTACACCTTACACAAAAATTAACTCAAGATGGATTAAAGACTTAAACATAAGACCTAAAACCATAAAAACCCTAGAAGAAAACCTAGGCAATACCATTCAGGATATAGCCATGGGCAAAGACTTCATGACTTAAACACCAAAAGCAATGGCAACAGAAGCCAAAATTGACAAATGGGATCTAATTAAACTAAAGAGCTTCTTTACAGCAAAAGAAACTACCATCAGAGTGCACAGGCAACCTACAGAGTGGGAGAAAATTTTTGCAATCTATCCATCTGACAAAGGGCTAATATCCAGAATCTACAAAGAACTTAAACAAATGTAAAAGAAAAAAACAAACAACCCCATCAAAAAGTGGGCAAAGGATATGAACAGATACTTCTTGAAAGAGGACATTTATGTGGCCAACAAACATGAAAAAAAGCTCATCTTCACTGGTCATTAGAGAAATGCAGATCAAAAACACAGTGAGATACAGTCTTACACCAGTTAGAATGGCACCATTAAAAAGTCAGGAAACAACAGATGCTGGAAAGGATGTGGAGAAATAGGAACACTTTTACACTGTTGGAGGGAGTGTAAATTAGTTCAACCATTGTGGAAGATAGTGTGGCGATTTCTCAAGGATCTAGAACCAGAAATACCATTTGACCCAGCAGTCCCATTACTGGGTATATAGCCAAAGGATTATAAATCATTCTACTATAAAGACACATGCACACATATGTTTATTTCAGCACTATTCACAATAGCGAAGACTTGGAACCAACCTAAATGTCAATCAATGATAGACTGGATAAAGAAAATGTGGCACATATACATTATGGAATTCTATGTAGCCGTAAAAAAGGATGAGTTCATGTCCTTTTCAGGGACATGGATGAAGCTGGAAACCATCGTTCTCAGAAAACTAACACAGGAACAGAAAACCAAACACTGCATGTTCTCACTCATAAGTGGGAATTGAACAATGAGAACACATAGACACAGGGAGGGGAACATCACACACCATGGCCTGTCGGGGGGCGAGGTGGCTAGGGGAGCGATAGCATTAGGAGAAATACCTAATGTAGATGATAGGTTTATGGGTGCAGCAAACCACCATGGCACGTGTATACCTATGTAACAAACCTGCATGTTCTACCCATGTATCTCAGAAATTAAAGTATAATTAAAAAAAAGAGGGAGAAGGAGGAGAAGGAGGAGGAGGAGAAGGAGAAGAGGAAGAAGAAGAAGAAGAAGAAGAAGAAGAAGAAGAAGAAGAAGAAAAGGAAGAAGAAGAAAAGAAGAAGAAGAAAGAAGAAGAAGATGAAGGAGGAGGAGGAGGAAGTCAAGGAGCAGGAGGAGGAGGAGGAGAAGGAGCAGGAGAAGAGGAGAAGAAAGGCTTCTTACATGCAGAATATGTTAGGGGTAAGGGGCAAGCCAAAAGGAGACTATATGACTTAAATTTGGGCTTTACATCTAGAAAGTAAGAAGTAGTCTCTATTGTGTGTATAAAAAGCCCGAGGAAGTGCAGTATATGGTTCCTCTTATATGAGGTACTTAGAGTAGTCGAATTCATAGAGATAGGAAGTAGGATGATGTTGCCAGGGGCTAGAAGGAGGGGAGAATGGGGAGTTGTTGTTTAATGTGTACAGAGTTTCCATTTTGTAAGATGAAAAAAGTTCTAGAGATTGATGGCACAAGAATGTGAATGTACTTAACACTATTGAACTAGACACTTAAAATGGTTAAGATAGTATATTTTACATAATGTGTATTTTATCACAATTTTAAAAAATTCCAAAGAAGAAAGAATCTCAACCTAGACTAAGAATGAAGGAGATTACGGCTTTCTTCTCCTTTCCTCAATAGTTATTTAAACACCCAAGAACGCTATATAGTCCTTTCTCACCCCACAGAATCATATATCCCATCTCCTCTTGCTGTTGGGAACATAATTCTAATAAACTGTGTTTATTAGAATTCATTGTTTAAAAATCCTTCCAGCTATTGACTACAGTCTAACAGTGAAATAAAATGGCCTTCCATTTCAACTGATTAATACAGATTTCCTCACCACCTGAGAATGTTTTTTCAAGATATGAACCTTGCTATTCTCAGGAGTATTCGTTTCCCTATGGTATTTTCCTGTTTTATAGACAGCAGTCTGTGTTTTCTGCTACAGTAAGCACATGCAGAAGTGGTTGAGTTACATAGGCCCTGGAAGTCTGAGGCTTCTGTGGATATTAGCAAAATGCCAATCACTCATCCCTGGGCTCCAAAGACAATAACAAAAGAGAGTGAAATTGACTTTGTAAGAGCTGGACCAAATTGTCGCCTGAATGGTTCCCAGGGAGAATTTGCCATTAAATGAGGATTATTTTGTTCCCTATGAAGTAAGGAGATGTAGGATATATAAAGAGACTGGGTAGCAAGGTGAGGTGAATAAGGTATGAGCAGGATGTTTTTGAATGTGAATGCAGCACCATTTCTGAGCACAAATAATCTTTGCATCTCCCACTGCAAGATCACAATTCATTGTTTCTCAGTAACTATTGACTGGGTCCTAGACACCCAGATCAGCACCAGGTGCTGTGAGGAATACTGATATAGACATCTGATCAGTCCTACTCTCAATAGCCTTATTGTCTAATTGGGGAATAATCCAGGGCAGATTTCAAAATATTCACTTTTTCTAAATCTCAAATACATTAGCTGTTCTTTGAAGTCAAAAAGAGAAGAGACTCATGTGGATTGGGAGAGATGGGCCTGGAGCAGGGCATGCAGAAGATTAAATAGGTTGTCTTCTCCCAAGAGCACCTGTTGTGGGGGCAAGTGGGAGCTGAAATCCATTCTTCACCCCTATTTTTTCAAGCTGTGTTCTGGCTCACTGCATGAACCCTGAAGAAGGGGTGTGTTTCTCCTGGTTTGTCTTCCCAGCAGGTCTGCCTTTTTTTTTTTGGATTGCTGCATCAGGGGTGCCTTTTGTAATTCAGCCAATGATGCCATATGTGCTGGTGGAGACCCTGCCTGGAGATAGATGATCACATTGTTCAGGGCCAGTGCTAGGAAGATCATGTATCTGCTGTCCAGATGAAGATTGGGGTGCATACTTAGGGTTCCCAAAGGCAGCCTTTCCACCACTAGGACTTCATTTTGACATAGTGAATAGTAGCATGTCAATAAGTTGCTTTTGTTTTCAAGCTAGTCCACAGAACATCTTTTGTGTATGACAAAAAGACTCCATTCTAGGTGGGCAAACTACAAAGTGGCCTTTTCTAGTAACCTGGCAAGGGTAACAAAGGTTTTGTTGTTGTTCCAATGTGTTCCCTGTTCCAACTTGGCTGGGTGCATTTGTGGAATGTAAGAAATGCACATCTATCTGTGTTGGCCCTGGCTAGCCTGTAGCCAAAAGTGCGGATACTGAGACTTTTCCAGCCTTATTTTTAACCATTTAAGATACTCCAGAAAGAAGCTTAAGAATGTTAAGTTTCCTTCTCTACTTCTGAGTACATTGTTAGCATCAGATATGAAGGTAGGGCCAGGCTTCTGGAAAGCACATAGAAAAGAGCTCCCTCGGTTTAGATGGTAGGGAGGAATGGCATAACAGTAGCATGGCTAGACTCTACAGTATTACTGGCCAGTGTTCAAATCCCACATCCACTGCCTGCTATCTATCTGTATAAGCTTGGGATCATTACTTTATCATCCACTAAGCCTCATTTTCCTCCTCTGTACAATGGGGATAAAGTCTCGCAGTGTTGTTCTGAGGATGAAAAATTACAACATATAAAATGACTGACATGTAGTAAGCACTTGATAAATGCTAGCTGCTTTTATTTCCCTGCAATTTCTTCAAATATCACATAATAAGGCACCACCACTTTTACAATGGATGGTATACTTTCATCCCAGGAGAACCCAGGAACTGACAGGCAGAGGCTAGGGAGAACTCTGTGTCACAGCCTCAAACAGGACTTTCTCTCACTTCAGTTAACACATGCCATGTGGCAGGTGGTGGGGCGAGGAAGATTCAATAGCAGCCCTCCTTCAGCAATGGGAGAGATGCGATTGTCACTTGGCTTGGCAGAAACCTCACTCTTCTCCTTCCAGGCAAGAGTCTCCTCACTTGATAGGCATTTACTCTAGCAAAGAAATGGTGGCAAGCTGATTTCCAGATGTTCTCCTAGGTTGGGTATGAGTCACATGTCGGATCTTATTTCAGCAGCACAGTCTGCTAACTCTGGAGAGTTGAGGGTTGTTTTTTTTTTTTTTCCTTTTGCTCTTCAGAAAAGTATTCCTTACTGAAAAATGAAAGTTCTCTATTTGTGTCAACAGGGCTAGCTTTCAGCAAAACTGAGAGTTAGGTGAGAAGTGTGTCTTTGGCTGCTTTTCATTTTCCCTTTCCATTTCTCTTCCCTCTGCATTCCCAGATCCCATGGTTTATTCCCACAAGGCCTTAATCTTTTTTCACTTTTTAATTTTTTAATGTAAGATACAAGTTTATAAATTTTAAGGTGTTGCCCTTTAAGATCTATTTTCCCAAATAAACTTGGCAGCTATTGGGAGATAGGATCTATGTGTGTCCAAGAATTCCCCTGGGGCTTGGGAGGTCTCTCAGATGATTCTAGATATTGCCCATTCTGCCAAACCCATTTGAGGTTTGGACTCCCACAGCAAATGCCATCAAAGGCCTTCCAGCTTGCTGCCTGACTCCAGTCCCTGACCCTACTCTGTGTTGTATTTTTTTAATTCAAATGCAGTGGGTCAAAAGAAACCAGAAAAGTCAAAGAAATCACCAACTGTAAGACCTGAGTGGGAGCTGTTTGTTAATTAGGATTTAATGAGCAATTACTATGAATCAGGAAATGTCCTTGGCACTTTCCCACTCCTAACCTCATTTAACACTTCCAGTACCCCTAGGAGGCAAGTATTTCCATCCTGATTTTATAGGTGAGGAAACTGTGGCTCAGTGCAGTCTTGTCACTTACACAGCTACTAAGCAGCACAGCTTATGTCTGAAGCCCTAATCTATACTCTGGGCCAATGGACATGAGCCAGAGCCGGGAGTAATTACTTCCCTGTATCTTTATAAAATGCCTATTAATCATCCTATTCATGAACACTTCATGGATAGCTACTCTATGCCAGGCACTGTGCTATGGACTGGATGTACTACTTGAATAACTAGAGTTGGCCTAGAGTGACCAACTCACCCAGTTTGCTTGAAATGTGGCATTTTGAGTGCTAAAACCAGGGTTGCACCTTCAAGTTACTTACAGTAACATTCCTTCCCATCTCTGCTTCAGTGATGCTATGCTGATAAACTGAAATTTGCCATGGTGGGAGTGTTTATTTTGCATAAATCACTAAACACTACAAATCAGGGCTTTTTTTTTTTTCACTTTCCCAGGAAAGCTGATTATAAGCATTTATCAGCACACCACCATTTACAGTCTAGTAAGAAATTCATCCAAGTAGATAAGCAGTATTTATATTTAAAATAGTGATACAGTCTGGATGTTTGTCCCCTCCAAATCGCATGTTGAAATGTGATCTCCAGTGCTGGAGGTGGGGCCTAATAGAAGATGTTTGGGTTATGGGGATGGATCCCTTATGAATGGCTTAGTGCCATCCTCACAGTAATGAGTTCTCAGTCTAATAGTTCATGTGAGAGGTGGTTGTTTAAAAGAACCTAGCACCTCCCTCCCTCTCTCGTTAGTTCTCTCACCATGTAATAGGCTGGCTCCTCCTTTGTCCTCTGCCATGATTGGAAGGTTCCTAAGGCCCTTACCAGTAGCAGATTCCAGCACCATACCTCCTGTACAGCCTTCAGAACTGTGAACCAAAGTAAACATCTTTTCTTTATAAATTACCCAGTCTCAGGTATTTCTTCATAGCAATGCAAAATGGACAAACAGAGTATCTCATGCACTATAATGACAAAAGCTAATGTGTTGAGAACTAATGATGTACTAGGCACTATTTTGTGTGCTTTAGATAGATTTAGTCTTTACAACAACCCTAAGAAGTAAGAACTATTGTTATCTCCATTTTGCAGCTGAAGAAACTGAAGCTTAGAGAGTTTAAGTAAGTTGCCCAAAGTCATACAACTAATAAAGTAGTAAAGCCAGGACTCAAACATCAGTGTGTCTTATTCCAAATCTGTACTCGAGGTAGCCTATGGTGACAGATTTCAGGATGAACAGCATAGTCGTGGCTGCTGCAGGTGGGCCGTTGAGACAAAGAGGAAATGGGTCAGTTTTGTGAGGTGGTGTTGTAACACACATAAACACACACAACTTAAAACAGTGTAGGGGATACACTAAGTGTTATATTGTTTGCTGCCATTATTGTTACTATGGTTGTGTTGTGGCCCTGAGGAAAGCGAGTCAGAGTTGAAGTGCATAACAGTGACATAGGGCAGTTGGGCCTTTCCCTACTGGTACTCAAGTGTGGCTGTAGGAGCATGCTGAAGACAGCTGGTTTGAAAGTGAGGCCAGAAGGTCATGCTAGTTGTGTTTAGGGCTTTCAATCTGCTACTGAGATCTACTGGAGTAGCCTTTGTGGCCTGAAGTTGTATCTTTCTGACTCAAGAATATTAAAATCCATTATGGAAAAGACTTATAGAGAAGTCCTCTGTCACTGTAAGAGCTCCAAGGCCATTCCCCAAAGCTCTTGACTTGCTATTTAATCCAGGTTATCTCTAATAACAAGAATGGGCCAAGACAACCTCAAATTTCTTAGGCCAGAGGTTTTACTCTCTCCTAATTTAGTTTCTCAAGGATAATTCTTCTTGGTCCTTGGCATCTTCTGATTGGAAAATCACATGCCACACATCCCCCCTCATCCCACTCTTATTACTTGGAAAATCCATGTTCTCTGCCTTACCTCTGCATTCTGCTGCCAGGGTTGTTTGTACCCTCTAGGGTCTAACTCATCTGTCGTGTGAATACCTGGGCCAAGAGCTGTTCTGGAGCATAGAGGAAGAATGGCTGCAGCCTTCTCATGAATGTGGTTGGGAGATCATTCCAGTACTCAAGGCTAATTTTTCTGCAAGCATGTACCCATTAGAGTCCAACATCTAGGCTTTCTGAACATTTGTAGAAGCTACTTTGTAGGAGGAATTCACCATGCCCCCAAACTCCCCCCACAAAAGCCCTGATACTCCTTGTGAGGAAAAAAACAAAAGAAAACAAAACAGGATGCTATATCCCTGCTGGGATTTCTGTGGCTGCAATATGCTTACTCCTTTGATTGCTGACCTCTCAGAACACAGGGCTGACCTCTGATAGGCCTACAACTTTGACATAGAGAGCAAGAAATGGAGGCTGACTTTCCACGTGGGTCTCGACCAGTCTGAATGTGCTGTTCACTTTTGGGCCTATGTGATGCCTGATACCTCGTGTGTACAGCTCGGTAGTTGACAGCATGGATTCCAGAGTAGACTGTGGATTCAAATCCTGGCTCCACCACTTCCCAGCTTTGCATCCTTGGGGAGACTACTTAATTTTCTGTGCTGTCATTTTAGCAACTATAAAATAAAGATAATTGTAATAATGATAAATATGATTATTATGAGGGATAAACATGATAATCCATGTGAACTTCTAGAATAATACCTAAGCATATAGTAAGCACTCAATTAATGTTAGCTAGTATTATTACTCTTATTATCTTCAGCAGGGGTCAACAAACTGTTTCTTCTATGAATGGCCAGATCGTAAATATTTTAGGCTCTGCAGGCCAAGAGCAAATGCAAGGATATTATGTAGGTGCCTATATAATAATAAGGAAAACAAATTTCTACACATTTTTATCAATACAGTTCCAAAAATAATAATGACCGAGTAGAATCTATGGGTCTACTAATGATAAAAGTGGATTTTTTTGGAATAACATTTCATTTAATTGGGTTTCAAACTTAATATTCCTTATCATTAAATTGGTTGCAAAGATTTAATCAGTTAAAACCATTCTTAACTTGTGAGCCAAACAAAAACAGACAATGGCTTGATGTGGGTCTATGAGCCATAGTTTGCTGACCCCTGATCTTATACAACCTTGATGACAAAAGGTTTGTAATCTACTTGGAGGATATCCTAATTTATTCCCATCATCTGAGGATATCCTAATTTATTCCCATTATCCCATTATCACAAGAACACCAAGTCCAGGCAGTTCTGAGCCATTTGAAGCAGCACTACCTCTGGGCAGACATTGAAAAGCCCAGAGGTGGCTTTCTTGAACCAAGGCACAGCCACCCAAGATGTGTCCATGTTGCCTGATAAAGTACTGGCCGTATCAGATTGGGAACCCCAGGTCAATCAGAGTGGTCTGTTAATATGTGATGTTTGTGGAGCATCCCTGCTACTTTTCACCCTATATCACCACACTTACTAACCTCCAGGCTGACATTATCAAGAGGAAAAAAAGGATTTATTTTGTTCACATCATAGCTTATCCTTCTAGCAGCTAAAGCCACTTTTAATCCTTGCCTCTTAGGTCTAGATAACCCCATAGCACTGAAACCAATGCCATCAAAAATAACTATAGAAGCCTACCTAACTTGAGGACCATGGCTACATCACTGTCATTTTTTGTGCCTGTTTCCCTGGGAAGGAAATATCCCTGCCTGTGTACTACCAACTTTGTGTAGCTGTAGAGGTCACTGGCCACCAAGGCTAACCTAGAAATGCAGAGATGTTGCTTCAAGGGACTCCAGTCCCCATGACTTGTAGTCACAGACGACCACAGACTAGAGCAGCTAAGAGATCCAACAGCTCAGCTTTACAAAATGAAGAGGGTCATCTTCTTTGAGCAGTTCAGCCTCTCCATTGTGGGTGTAGTAGGCCACATTTGAACTATTTCCATCTGTTATTGATTATATATCAGGCTTCAGGATGGCTGGGAGGATACTCTGCCTTTACAAGCTGAGTCAATGCCCTTTCTAATGTCTTCTGCTCATGCTGTGGTCAAAGGCACCCTATAAAACTTATTTGTGTGTATGCTACATAGCTCAAGGAATACTCCCAGGGTCCTCCTCTATCCTCTTTTTAACAAAAACAACTAACATTCATAGATAACTTACTAAGTGCTAGACACTATACAAAGCATTTTATAGAGATTACCATATTTAATCTTCACAAGCACCCTGTGATCTATGGGATCTTTTTAATCTCTATTTTTATAGATGAGGAAATTGTGGAATAAAAAGTTTAGCAGTTCATCCAAACTGTCAGCTAAATAAGTGGCTGAGGCAGAATTCAAACCAGGTTTAAATAACTCGCTCAAGGCAACTCAACTTGTATATAATGGAATCAAGTTGTAACCAGGCCCTTTCAAGCTTTTAAGTAATTTTGCCACTTTCTGCTCTGTTGCCTGGATTATAAATTCTCTTGCTCTACCCAGCCCATTTGGACTGGCATTTAGATTTAATTGTTTGACTGGCTTTGGTTTCAGTTTCTCCCCAGAATTTTGCCTTTTGGATTGCCCGCCTCTGTTCCACACCCCGCAGGCTGCAGTCCAGCTCTGCCCTATCTCTTCACCAATGGAAGTTTTAGTGATAGTATACTCCAGTCTAAAACCAATGTCTTAGAGCTCCAACTGTCTGGAAGGAGAAATTCAACATTATCTCAGAAAAAAAACTTGACTAAGGGAGAGATATGGAGGCAGACCCACCCTGGTAGATTCTGCAGGAGACCTTCTGGGTTATATGGTCCCAAGTAAAATAATAACATTAATCCTATGCTCTAAGTACAGGGATAAATACTTGACACTAATTGTTTCATTTAAATCTTCATAATAGTCCTTTGAGGTTAGTACTATTTTGATCTCTAAGATATTAGGAAACAAATGTTTACATAAATTAAGTGACTTATCTAATGTTGAAGAGCTGGGTTTTGGATTCAGATCTCTCTGACCGTAAGTCCTACATCACTAAACTCTACAATTAGCAGATACAATCCAAAGCAGGCTGCAAATGGATGCCTACTTGTAGCAGCACTTGGATGAGATCCAGGCCCATGCAGTGAGAGCTCTGAAAGGCCGAGAATGTCAGAGTTGCCTACAATATGAGAGTGGATTCTCATATTTCCCAGCTGGAAAGGCTCAAACACAAGTAATTCTCTTGTGCTATGATCCCACCGTGCTGGCCACTGTGATTCATTCAAGTCAAAACCTTGAACATGGTCTTTTTAGCAGTGGCTCCATCTCTGATACAACATCTCTAATGAGTCATCATTTATGATAGCTGCTTCCAAGTCATGGAGTAAACAAGTAGATCCAAGAGCCTTCCATATCCACTTCAGATTACTGAACACCTGAGGAATACCATCTCACAGTGAACTATTTCTAGTATATTCCCTTTTAATGACCCCACACATTCCTGGCAGTGGCAGATGTCTTGAAAAAAATGTATCATTCATTGTATACTCAGCCTATCTACTCCAACTGTGGTTATTTTGTTTATCAAAAGAATCTTCTGGTACCAAATTATCCGCCTATGTGATTTCTGATTATTACCTGCAATTATCATTCTGATTTTAAAGGGCACTGTTCAAGGCCCTTCACATTAGTATCCATTTGTCAACTTCCTACCACTAGTAGACACAAAGGTCAGATTGGAGATATCAACCAAGTACTCACTTGAGGAGTAAATCTCCTATTTCACCTTTTACTAATAACACACTGGTTTCCTCTCCTTACTATACAGATGTTCCTCACCTTATGATGGGGTTGCTTCCGATAAAACCATTGTAAATTGAAAATATCTTACGTCAAAAATGTATTTAATACACGTAATCTACTAAATATCATAGCTTAGCCATGCCTACCTTTTTTTCTTTCTTTAAAAAAGGATCTGGCCCCGTCAATCAGACTGGAGTGCAGTGGTGTGATCTCGGTTCACTGCAGCCTTGACCTCCCGGATTCAAGCAATCCTCCTGCCTCAGCCCCTCCGGATAGCTGGGACTACAAGTGTACACCACCAAGCCTGACTAATTTTTTTTTTGTAGAGATGATTTTGCCGTGTTGCCAAGGCTGGTCTCAAACTCCTGGGCTCAAGCAATCTGCCTGCCTCAGCCTCCCAAAGTGCTTGGATTACAGGCATGATCCACTGTGCCCAGCTAACTTGTCTACCTTAAACTTGCTCAAACACTTACACTAGCCTACAGTTGTGCAAAGTAATCTAACACAAAACCTATTTTATAATAAAGTATTGAATATCTTATGTAATATATTGAATACTGTACTGAAAGTGAAAAACAGAGTATTTGTGTGGGTACTCACCATTAATGTACACAGCTGAAAGCACACTGAACCTGTAGAATGTTTGAAGCATTGAACTAAAATTAATTGATGAATGATGGGGATACTACAGTGACAGGGTCATCAATTTCTCTGTCTTCTGATGAGGCTTGAGAATAGCTAGTATTGATGGTTTAGCAGGCATAGTGTTCTTCAGGAAAATATCAAATATCAGTTGTTTACCTTTGTGACTGCATGAATGACTAGGAGCTGCAGCTCGCTGCTGCTGCTGGCAGAACCACAAGACAGTATTGTACGGCACATCACTAGTCCAGGAAAATATCAAAATTAAAAACTCAAAGTACAGTTTCCTCTGATGCGTATTACTTTCGCATCACCATAAAGTAAAAATATCATTAAACCATCCTAAGTCAGAAACCATCTGTAACTGATTCCTCCCTCAATTTATCTCATTCATCAGCCAGAAAGACTTATTTTTATGGTAATTATGGCTTCCACATCCACTGCTTTCCACACTCTCCCATGCAATGTTGGACATAAGGAGTTGTAGGCTACCAGAATGCTGAAGGTCATAACACGTGAAGTATACTGAATAATCCTGGGTCCTTGAGAAGAACATCAGCATGGGAGACAATCATATATACATGCATGCACACACATAAACACCATCATATGGAGCACTTCAAGGCAATGAATGTTATCAACACCATGGGTTTCTGACTCCAGCTAACTCCTCTATGTCAATCCACCCCATCTGCCACCAATCTTTGCTATATCTGACCTACCAATATTTCTCCACCGTATCAATAGCTAAGTCTTCAGATTCTAGGAAAGCAAGGTTAAGGACCGAAGATGGTTGGGAAGTGTGCGATGAGCAGCAGTGTCCAGCTACATCTTCCTATATGCTAATCTATGGAGGTGATCTTGAGGCTCATAGGTCCCCCAATCAGAAACAACCATTGGTAGTTGTTGTTTACATGGTGGGGGTTACAAATTGAACCCAGTAGGTGACTGGGTTCCCTTGACCAGAGTTTGGCCTACCAAGCTGCTTAAGGCTCCTGAATCTATCCTGTCCTCAAGTGAGAGACAAAATGCACTGGCTCCCCTATGACAAGTTAGGCTACCAAATATATTTCTCAGATTAGTTAAGAGACCAAGTAGTTTATTAACATGCAAGAGACATAAGCCTCACTAACCCATGTCTCTAGGCATTTGGGAGACAAGAAAGACCAATAAAAGAATCTTTCTTTGGTTCCATGGTGAAAGATAGTTGAATATCTTTATATATAGCAGCATACGGGGCCCAAAGCTGAATCTCTATCAAGCTAGAACATATGCCAGCACAGTGACCATAACTTCATCCTAGTAGCTGATAGATCGCTATGCCCAAGGAGAAAGTTGCCCTCTAAAATACTGTCTGATGCCTTTCCAATAATGTAAGGATAGGAAGGAGGGTAGCCCAGATAGTCCCACAAGTCAGGGATGGGAAACAGGATGGGCTTCTTTCTGCAGTCCTTGGTCACAGAACTTGAAGGAAGAAATAGTAAAATTGTGTCCAGAGGAAAAATCTCTCTAAAGTGGGTAGTCATGCAAGACAATCTTAGGACAGCAATAGAAGTTGAGGGCAGTGCCATATGGGGAGAAACAGGAGTGGCAAGAATGGCCAGAGGAATATCACTGAGTAGGTCAGAGTGAATAAACAAAATAGGTGGTGTCTGAATGAACACCAAAAGCAGGGGCCCAGTGAAAGAGGCTAGTGTTATACCTGTTCCAGGTATTACTTGCATGAATGGGCCAAGTCCAGTCAATGGGGCAGAATAAATACTAAACTTAGAGTTTAAATAAATAAATAATAAATAAATGTGTTTTTTTTCTTTTTTTAAAAAAAATTTTTTGAGATTGAGTCTCACTCTGTCACCCAGTATGGAGTGCAGTGGCGCGATCTCGGCTCACTGCAACCTCTGCCCCCTGGGTTCAAGCGATTCTCCTGCCTCAGCGTCCTGAGTAGCTGGGATTACAGGTACCTGCCACAGCGCCTAGCTAATTTTTGTATTTTTAGTACAGACGGGGTTTCACCATATGGGTCAGGCTGGTCTTGAACTCCGGATCTCATGATCCACCTGCCTCGGCCATAAATGTCTGATAAACTGCACATACTCTCTGACTCAGTGACTCAACCTCAGCAATTCATCTTCTTGATGTATTTGCAGAAAAGCATAAATGTTAGGATGACAATTGCAGCATTAATTGTATTAGTAAAAGACTAGGTAGAATAAAATGTTTATCAATACTGGACTGGCTAAATAAATTATAGTACATTTATAGAATATAATATTATTCAGCCATTAATGAAGAGAAAAATAAACCAACTGAAACCCAATCCAGAACTGACACAGATACTGGAATTAGCAAAACTATTAAAACAGTTACTTTAACTGTAGTCCATATGTTCAAAACAGTAAGTAAAGACATGGAAGATTTTTAACAATGACTCAGAGCTTCAGAAAGGAAAATGTACTAAATGGGATGTACAGCAGATTAGATATTTCAGGAGAAACAATTAGTAAACTACATAATATAGCAATAAAAACTGTTCAAAATAAAACACATAGGGGAAAATACCAATATAATGAAAAGCACATTAGTGTGCTATGAAGCAACTTCAGGCAGCCAAATGTATGAGTAATTGGAGTCCCCAAAGAAGGACAAGGAGAGGCCAAAAAATATTTGGAGAAACAATCATTGAAAAATTTCTAATGTTGATAAAAACCATAAACCCACAGATTCAAGAATCTCAGAAAACCTAAACACAAGAAACATGAAGAAAACAACACCAAACCACATCCTAATCAAATTTATCAAAGCCAATGACAAAGAAAAAATCTTAAGACCAGCCAAATAAAACAGACAAGTTATATAATGAGAAACAAACATAGAGATGACAGTAAATTTGTCTTCAGAAATGGTGCATGTGAGAAGAGAATGGAACAGTATATTTAAAACAGTAAAACAAAAGAGCTGTCAACCTAGTGTTCTATAACCAGAGAAAATATATTTTTAAAAGGAAAGACATTGTCAGATATACAAAATTTTGAAAGAATCACCACTAGCAATCCTGAACTACAAGAAATGTTAAAGGATGTCTTTCAAGCAGAAGAAAAATGACACCAGATGGAAACGTGGATCTACACAAAGGAATGAAGAATACTGGAAATGATAACTACCTGTGTAAATATATACTTTTTTTTCATAGTACTTAAATATCTTTACAGGACAACCAAGTCTTTAAACAAATACAACAACAATTGTGGTTTATAAGTATGTAAAAATAAAATGTATGACAATAATAGCATAAAGGCTTGGAGGAGAAACATGGAATTATACTATTTTAGGTTATTATACTATATGTGAAGTGGTATAAACTCACTTGCAGGTGGCTTGTAATAAGTGAAAAAATGTTTTCTCCAGGCATAGGTAGTCCCAGCTACTCAGGAAGCTGAGATTGGAGGGTCACTTGAACCCAAGAGTTTGAGGTCAGCCTTGGAAATATAGCAGACTCTTGCTGTAAAGAAGAAGTATAAAAGTTTCTAAAATAGCCAAACAAAAGTTATAGCTAATAAATCAACAAAGGAGATCAAATGTGATCATAAGAAATACGCAATTAATCCAAAAGACGGTGGAAAAAGAGGAAAAGGGGAGAAAAGAAGAGATGAGACAAAAACAAATAACAACATGATACACTAAAAACTAACCATATCAATAATCACATTTAGAAGTAAAAGTCTAGTCTTCCTAATAAACAAGTAGAGATTCTCAGATTGGAAAAAAAAGCAAGACACAAGTTTATGTTGCCTTCAACTTTATAAACAATTTAAATATAAAGACACAAATAGGTTAAAAGTAAAAGAATGAATTAAGACATACCATGCTAACACTAGCCAGAAGAAAGGTGACATATCTGAATTAATGTCAGACAAAGTTAACTTAAACCAAAGAATATTACAGTGATGAAGAATGTCATTTCCGGGTTGATGAGTGCAGCAAACCACCATGGCACATGCATATATACCTATGTAACAAACCTGCACATTCTGCACATGTATCCCAGAACTTAAAGTGTAATGAAAAAAAAAAAAAGAAAGTCACTTCATAATGATAAAGAGTCAGTTCTTCAAGAGGACATGACAACCCTAAATGTTTATACCTCTAACGAAAGAGCTTTAAAATACATGAACAAAAACTGATAGAACTGCAAAAAGAAATAGACAAATCTATAAATTATAGTTGGAGATCTCAATATTTTTCTCTCAATAATTAATAGAACGGGTAGAAATTATACAGCAAAAAATATAATAGACTAGAACAACACCATCAATAAACATGACTGGCATATATAGAACATTCCACCTAACAACAGCAGATGACATATTCTTCTCAAGTATATATGGAACATTTATCAAGGGAGATCATACTCTTGGACATAGAGCAAGTTTCAATAAATGTAAAAGGATCCAAGTGGTATAATGTATATTATTTGAGGACAATGGAAATAAATTGGAAATTAATAACGGAAATATCTGGGAAATTTTTCCAAATATTTGAAAGTTAAACAACACACTGCTAAATAACCTATGAATCAAAGAAGAGATCAAAAGGGAAGTTAGAAAATTATTTTGAAATGAGTCAAAATGAGAATTCAGCATATCAGAATTTATGATATGTAGCTAGAAGTAGTTTAGAAAGGTCTTAAATCAATGACTTCACCCTTCATCTTAAAAAACTAGAGCAAAGAAGAGCAAATTACACCCAAAGTAATCAGAAGAAAAAAAAAGAAGGTTGAAGTGTAAATCAATAATAAGGGAAACTGGAAAACAATAGCAGAAAATAATGAAACCAAAGCTGGGCCTTAGAGATCAAAGAAATTGGTAAACCTCTAGCCACACTAATCAGGAAAAAAAGAAAGAGAAAACAAATTTCCAATGTCAAGAATGAGAAAGGGGACATCATTACAGATTCTACTGTTATTAAAAGGTTATTAAGGGAATATTATTAATAACTTTGTTTCAATATATTCAACAATTTAGATAAAATGGTCAAACTTCTTGAAAGACACAAACTATCAAAGCTCCTTGTAGAAGAAATAGATACACACCATGGAATACTATGCAGCCATAAAAAGGAAGGTGATCATGTCTTTCGTGGGAACGTGGATGGAGCTGGAGGCCATTATCCTCAGCAAACTAATGCAGGAACAGGAAACCAAATAGCAGATGTTCTCACTTATAAGTGGGAGCTAAATGATGAGAACTTATGAACACAAAGAAGGAAACCACAGACACTGGGGTCTACTTGAGGGTGGAGCGGGGGAGGAGGAAAAGGAGCAGAAAATATAGCTATCGAGTACTGGGCTTAATTCCTGGGTGATGAAATAATGTGTACAACAAACCCCCATGACATGAGTCTACCCATGTAACAAACCTTCACATCTACCTCCAAACCTAAAATAAAAATTATAAAAAGCAGAAACAGATAACCAGAATAGCTATATATCTATTAAATAAATTGAATTTGTAGCTTAAAATCTTCCCACAAATATAACTCTAGGCCCAGATGCCTTCACTGGCAAGTTCTAACAAATACTTAAGAAAGAAATAATACCAAATCTACCCCAATTTTTCTTCAAGAAAATTAAATGGAAGGGAATATTTCCCAACTCATTTTATGAAGCCAGTATTACCCACATACTAAAATCAAAGAAAATATGTTGCAAAATAAGAAAACTATCAACTACTGTTCTTCATGAATATTGATAGAAAATGTCTAAACAGAATGTTTGCAAATTAAATCCAACAATATATTAAAAGTATAAACACTATTGCCAAGTGGGACTTATTCCAGGAATGCAGGGTTGATAGAACATTTTAAAATAAGTATAATTCACCATATTAACAAACTAAAGGAGAAAACCCATATGATTATCTCAATAGATGAAGACACAGCATTTGACAAATCCCAACATCCATTCCTGATTTAAAAAAACCAAAAAGTCTCATCAAGCCAGGACTAGAAGTGAAATTCTTCAACCTGATAGAATGTATCTAAAAACCTATATCTGGCATCATGTATAATGATGAAAGACTAAAGGAATTTTCCCATTAGGTCAGGTGCAAGGAAGGATGTCTGTTTTCACTTCTATACAGCATTGTACTGGTGCTTCTGGACAGTGCAATTAGGCAATAAAAAGATATAAAAGGAATCCCGATTTGGAAATAAAGGGAAATAAAACTGTTTTTATCCAGAGATGATGTTGTTTATTTAGAAAATGTGATAGAATTTACAGAAAAGCTACTAGAATGAATGAGTTTAGCAATGTTGCCAAATACAGAGTCATCATAGAAAAATCAAGTATATCAATCAAAAAATGAAATCTTAAAAGATACCATTTATAAAAGCTAATCCACCAAAATCAAGAAGGTTTATCCCTGGGTTGCAAGGTTGCTTCAACATACACAAATCAATAAATGCGATTCATTACACAAACAGAACTAAAAACAAAAGCCATCTGATCATCTCAATAGATGCAGAAAAGACTTTCAATAAAATTCAACATCTCTTCATGTTAAAAACTCTTAACAAACTAGGCATTGAAGAAACATACTTCAAAATAATAAGTGCCATCTATGACAAACACTTAGCCAATATCATACTGAACGGGCAAAAGCTGGAAGCATTTCCCTTCACAGATGCCCTTTCTCACCACTGCTATTCAACATAGTACTGGACGTCCTGGCCAGAGCAATCAAGCAAGAGAAAGAAATAAAAGACCTCCAGATAGGAAGGGAGGAAGTCACACTGTCCATGTCTGCAGATGATATAATTCTATACATAGAAAACCCCCATAGTCTCTACCCGAAAGTTCCTTAATTTGATAAACAACTTCAGCAAAGTTTCAGGAGACAAAATCAATGTGCAAAAATTAGTATCATTCCTACACACCGACAACATCTGAGCTGAGGGCCAAATCAAGAATGAAATCCCATTCACAACAGCTACAAAAAGAATAAATACCTAATACAGCTAACCAAGGAGGGGAAAGACCTTTACAGTGAGAATTACAAAACACTATTCCAGGAGACCAGAGATCACAGAAACAAATGAAAAAACATTCCATGCTCATGAGTAGGAAGAATCAATATTAATAAAATGGCCATACTGCCCAAAGCAATTTACAGATCCAATGCTATTCCTATCAAACTACCAATGACATTATTCACAGAATTAGAAAAAAAACTATTTTAAAACTTATGTGGAACAAAAGAGCCCAAACAGCCAAAGCAATCCTAAGTGAAAAGAATAAAGCTGGAGGCATCACATTACTGACTTCAAATTTCACAACAAAGCTACAATAACCAAAACAGCATGGTATTGGTATAAAAACAGACACACTGACCAATAGAACAGAATAGAGACCCCAGAAATAAGATTGCACACCTACAACCGTCTGACTTTCAACAAAGTCAACAAAAACAAGCAATGGGGAAAGGACGATCTGTTAAATAAATGGTGTGGGGATAACTGGCTAGACATATGCAGAAGATTGAAACTGTACTCCTTCCTTACCCCATATATAAAAAAAATCAACTCAAGATGGATTGAAGACTTAAATGTAAAACCTAAAACTATAAAAACCCTGGACGATAACCTAGGAAATACTATTCTGGTTACAGGAACTGGCAAAGATTTCATGATGAGGATGCCAAAAGCAATTGCAACAATAATCGACAAATGGGACATAATTACACTAAAGAGCTTCTGCACAAAAAAAGAAACTATCAACAGAGTAAACAAACAACCTACAGAATGGGAGAAAATATTTGCAAACTATGCATTCTGGATTCTGATATCCAGAATCTATAAGGAACTTAAATTTACAAGCAAAAAACAACCCCATTAAAAAGTGGGCAAAGACACTTTTCAAATGAAGACATTACACATGGCTAACACATTTAAAAATGTTCAACATCACTAATTATTAGAGAGATGCAAATCAAAACCACAATGAGATACCATCTCACACCAGTCACAATGGCTATTACTAAAAAGTAAAAAAATAATAGATGCTGGCAAGGTTGGGGAGAAGAAGGAACTCTTTTTTTTTTTTTTTTTTTGAGATGGAGTTTCACTCTTGTCGCCCAGGCTGGAGTGCAATGGCACGATCTGGGCTCACTGCAACTTCCGCGTCCCCGGTTCAAGTGATTCTCCTGCCTCAGCCTCCTGAGTAGCTGGGATTACAGCCGCACACCACCACGCCGCCTAATTTTTTTGTATTTTAGTGGAGATGGGCTTTCGCCATGTTGGTCAGGCTGGTCTCAAACTCCTGACCTCAGGTGATCCGCCCACCTCAGCCTCCGAAAATGCTGGGATTACAGGTGTGAGCCACTGTGCCTGGCCAGAAAAAGGAACTCTTATACACTGCTGGTAGGAATGTAAATTAGTTCAGCTTCTGTGGAAAGCAGTTTGGCAATTTCTCAAAGAACTTAAAACAGAATTACCAGTTGACCCAGCAATCCCATTACTGGGTATATACCCAAATGAATATAAGTCGTTCTACCATAAAAACACATGTATGTATGTATTCATCACTCACAGTAGCAAAGACATGGAATTAACCTAAATGCCCATGAATGTTAGACTGAATTAAAAAAAAAGGTGGTACATATACATCATGGAATACCATACCAGCCATAAAAAAGAATGAGATCATGTCCTTTGCAGCAACATAGATGGAGCTGAAGGCCATTTATCCTAAGCAAGCTAATGCAGGAATAGAAAACCAAATACTGAATGTTCCCACTTATAAGTGAGAGCTAAACATTGAGTACTTATGGACATAAAGAAGGAAACGACAGACACCAGGGCCTACTTGGGGATGGAGGGTGGGAGAAGGGTGAGGATGGAAAAACCACCTATCAGGTACTATGCTTATTACATGGGTGATGTAATAGTCTGTACACCAAACCCTGGTGACATGCAATTTACCTATATAACAAACCTGCACATATACTCCTGAACCTGAAATAAAAGTTATACAAAACAAAAGAAAATAAAGATACCATTTATAGTTACACAAAAATATGAAATGCTTAGAGATAAATATGACAAAAGATAGGAAAGACTTGTACACTGAAAACTACAAAACATTGTGAAGAAAAACTAGAGTATACCTTCTTCATCGGTTTGAAGTCTCAATATTGTTAAGGTGTCAGCCTTTTTCAAATTGATCTATATATGAAATGCAATTCTAATCAAAATCCCCACAGGCTTGTTTATGGAAATTGCCAAGCTGGTTCTAAAATTCACACAGAAGTTTAAAGGACATAGTGCAGCCAGACACCTTTGAAAAAGAAAAAAGTTAGAGGGCTATCTCTATCTGATTTCAAGACTTATTATTAAGCTATGGTAATGAAAGCAATATGGTATTGGTATGAAGATAAATAAATCTGCCAGGCATGGTGGCTCACACCTGTAATCCCAGCACTTTGGAAGGCTGAGGTAGTTTGAGGCCAGGTAGTTTGAGGCCAGGAGTTCATGACCAACCTAAGCAACATAGCATAACCCCGTTTCTACAAAAATTTAAAAATTAACTGGGCACTGTGGCACACACCCATGGTTCCAGCTACTCAAGAGGCTGAGGTGGGAGGATTGTTTGAGTCCAGGTGTTCAAGGTTGCAGTGAGCCATGATCCTGACACTGCACTCCAGTCTGGGCAACAGAGCATGACCCTGTCTCAAAAAAAAGAAAGATAAATAGGTCAATGGAACAGAATAGAGAGTCCAGATATAGACCTACAGATCCACACATATATAGATTACTGATACTTTGCAAAGGTGATGTAGTGGAGAAAGGACAGTCTTTTTAACAAACAGTACTGAAAAAATTGGATATTCACATGCAAAAACATGAACTTCAATTCATACCTCAAAATATATGCGAAAGTTAACTTAAAGTGGATAACAAACCTAAATATAAAGTCTTAATCGGTAAGATTTCTAAAAGAAAACATAGGAGACAAGTTTTGTGACCTTGAGTTAGACAGAATTTTTGGATACAATGTCCAAAGCATAATCTATAATAGAATAAATTAATATAATAGTCATTGATATTTAAAATTCTACTCTTCAAAAAACATTCTTCAGAGAATGACTGGGAAAAAAATCTTTGCAAATAATACATCTGAGGAATGACATGTGTCCAGAATATATGAAGAACTCTCAAATCTCTATAATAAGAAAACAAACAATTCAACTAAAAAATGGCCAATGGGTGAGGAGCAATTTGTACTTGTATAAGTTGTTCTCTTGTATGTAATCTGAGATGCCCTTTTGAAGGGCAATTTGACAAAATAAAAAAAGTGTAAATGTACTTTATTCTTCAATACAGCATGCCCTTTGTAAATACTGTATTTTTCCTAGAAAAGTATCTGCTCTTGTGCACAAATAGGCATGTACACAGTTGTTTACTAAAACATTGTTTGTAACAGCAAAAGTGAACACAATCTATGTGTCCACCAGTAGAAAAGTGGTGAGTAAACTATGATTCATCCATCATCATCCATATAACATTGATCTATATAATACAACAGCTAAAATGAATGCGAGCTATGTGCACTGACATGAAAAGAATTCTGAGCTTCATAGGTAGACTAACAAAGAAAACTGCAGAAAAAATACACAATGTCATCCTAAGACTAAGTAAAATCATTTATTTGTATAGTTATACATACGTATGAAACTTATTTAAATGATCTGGAATGACACATATCGGACTTCCTACAAAAAGAAGAGGAAGGTGGGCACAGACTATTGTGAAGGGGCATTTTCTTTTTATGCTGCATATATATGTATATACATATACATATATATATATACTGCTTTATTGAGATATAATGTATATAACATACAATTCACACATTTAAAAAGTGCAAGTAAATCGTTTTTAGTATATTCATAGGAAATGAGGTTTCAGAAGGTTAAGTGGCTTACACCAGATCACACCTAATAAAGGAGAGACCTGAGATTCAAGCGTCTGCTGTCTGGCTCCAAAGGCCATTCCCTTAATCACTATGCTGTGCTGCCAATTGCAATGGCTTTCTGGTAAGGGTATTCTCTACAACAAAAAGAGTGTTGTGATTATGAAACAGGGAGTAGATTTGTGATCAATCCATAGCAATGGTGTCAAGGGTGTGTTCGAGGATTGGTAATGGGTATATTAATCTGTTGATCCTTGTAGATCTATTCTTGATTAGAGTACAAGTGCTCCAAGTGCTTGTATACTAAGTGTCATTGTGACAGATATGGGGCCACCATAAGTCCCTGCATTCTTTGTTCAAGGTTTTGAATAGGCCACTGTAGCTGAGTCAATGCTCCTACCAGGACATAATGCCTTTGTATAGTTAGCATTGGCCTTTCTATCTCCCTTACATTAGAATATTCTGGACCCTTAGCCAGTGTTCCAGCATAGAGGCATTTGCCTGCTGTCCATTTCCCTTTCCTCAGTCAGGTGCACCTGACCTTAATGACAGTAAAGCTCACAGGCCAGAGGACCTCTTGGGGTGAAGCCCTGGCTGCATCCAGACTTAAATAATTGGGCATCTTCTCAATGAGACACAGTGGATGTGAAAATTCTACCTTTACTAGAACAGTGCCATTTCATCTGGCAAAACTGAGCTTCTAGCTTTGCTTCAACAGTAAGATGATGCACAGGTTGTGCTATACCATTATAGGTACAGAAACCCTCATGCTTCAAAGATAGCCTTGATTGCCGGCAGTTCCTGTTCCTACACTGATATACTTTGGATGTTTGTCCCCTCTAAACCTTATGTTGAAATGTAAGCCCCAATGTTGGAGGTGTAGCCTGGTGGGAGGTGTTTGGACATGGGGTTGGATCGCTCATGAATGTCTTGGTTCTGTCCTCGCAATAATGAGTAAGTTTTCTCTCTGAATTCATGTGAGATCTGGTTGTTTAAAAGAGTGTAACACCTCCCCCGCCCCTCACTCTTGCCCCTGCTTTCAATATGTGATATGCCAGCTCCCTCTTTGCCTTCCATCATGATTGAAAGCTTCCTGAGGCCTCACCAGAAGATGAGCCAATGCCAGCATCATGCTTCCTGTGCAGCCTGCAGAATCGTGAGCCAATTAAACCTCATTTCTTTATAAATTACCCAGTATCACATATTCCTTTAGAGCAATGCAAAACAGACTAACACATATATTGAGTAATTCACCTCAACCTCCGTTGGGGCCATTTTCCCAGAAAGGGAGGCACATGGGTAGGAATGCCTGGGCCGTGGTCTCCTTCTATTAGGGTCACTTCTACCTCAATATTGGAGGTGTTAGTTTAAATATGTAAGGCTGAATTGGCTCAGGTTAAGTCAGGATCAGGGCAGAAAGTTTTCTTCACTACCTTATTGAGGTATAACTGATATAAAATATAATGCACAAGCTTCAAATAATTACCATTTATTTCTTTTCTGTAATTTTTCTTTTTTTTTCAGTCTCACATCACTGGTTGGAATCTCCAGCATAATGCTGAACAGGACTTGTGATAGCAGATATCTTTGTCATGTTTCTTATCTTAAAGGAAATAATAGTTTCAGTATTTCCCCAGTAAGTATGATGTCTGCTGTAGTTACTGATATGATGCTCTTTATCAGTTATAAGAAAGCCCCTTCTACTCCTAGGTAGCTAAGAGGCTGTTTGTTGAAATCATAAATTAATGTTAGATATTATTGAATATGTCTCCCGTATTATTAAGATGATTGTGAGTTTTTGCTTTTTTTCTTTAACCTGGTAATATGATGAGTTATGTTACTTAATTCTCCAAAATAACCTTGTTATCCTGGAATAAACCCAACTTGGTAAATATTCATTATCTTTTTATACATTGCTGAACTTACTTTGCAAATGTTTTGTTTACAATTTTTACATCTATAATCATGAGTGAGTCTGACTTGTAATATCCCTTTCCTATATAATACTGGTCAGGTTTGTTACCAAAATAACCTGGGGAGTGTTACTAATATCCTTTTCTCTGGAAGAGTTTAGCTAATATTGGAACAATATTTTCATTGAATTGTCAGAAGAACTAGCCTCTCAAGTACAGCAGACTTGGTATTTTCTTTGTGGGAGTAATTTTAAGTATTGACTCATTTTTTTCCTTTATGGTTAGAAGACTTTTTGAATTCTCTATTCTTAAGTTACTGTTAGTAAATTTCATCTTTTCTAAGAATATATCCAATTTTAAGTCCAAGTTTTCAAATGTATTGACATACAGTTTTTCGTATTATCTTTTTAATCCTTGCAGCATCTGTAATTATTTCCTACTTTTTATTCCAAAATGTATATTTATGCTACCTATCTTTTTTTCCCTTGATTGACCCTTGCTAGAAATTTTCCTTTAGCAAATTTCATTTTTTCAAAGACTGTGTCCAATTTTAAGTCCAGGTTTTCAAATGTATTGACATAGAGTTTTGCATATTATCTTTTTAATCTTTGCAGCATGTGTAATTGTTTCCCACTTTTTATTCCAAAATGTGTATTTGTTCTATATGTCTTTTTTCCCTTGATTGACCCTGCTAGAAGTTTTTCTATTTTATTAGTTATTTCAAAGAAACAACTCTTGACTTAGTTGATGTTATTATATATTTGTTTTATATTTCATTCACATGTATTCATATCTTTATTATTTCCCCCCTCTGCTTTCTTGAGGATTATTCTGATATTCATTCTCTAATTTATCAAATCAAATGTTTGGCTAATTAATTCTGAGCCTTCCTTCTAGTGTGAAAGCTTTTAAGTCTATTCATTTCCCCCTTAATATCACTTTGGCTAATCCCATGAGTTTTGATATGTAGAATTTTAATTATCTTTCAGTTCTAAGTATTCAGTTCCAAATCTAGTTTTCATTATGATTTTTCACCTGTAAATTTTATAATATTGTTTTACGTTGCCATAAATGGAATTTTTGTAGTCATATTTTTAGACTGATTTGTAAGTTAATTGTAATTAGAAAAGTTGGTGTGATATGTTACCAATCTTTGAAATTTGTTTAAACTAACTTTAAACAATGATTACATATGTTCCAGATGTGCTTGAAAATAATGTATATTCTCTGATTGTTTGCTGGAATTGTCTATATATGTCTGTTATCCTAGCTTGTTAATTATGCTGTTCAAATCTTTTATATCTTTAACAATATTTTTCTGCTTGATTTATCAGTTATTAAGAAAGATGTATTAAAATCTCCCACTGTGATATAGAGTTTACTAATTCCTCCTTGTTGATTTGTCAAATTTTGTTAAAAAATTGTTTTGAGAGTCTTCAGCTAAATTGGGGTTCCAGTGCCACAGTGGCTAGCAGCCCTGCTCCAACGGGAAATGAAGAAGAGCTGGACATGGGTATTTACAGTGTGTCTTTCAGGGGATACTTCTTTAACCTCGTGGAAGACCTAATGCCTAGTTGTTCAACCTGTGAACAGGGCATCCCTCACAGAGAAACTTGTTTATACTGGCAGATGCCCCTGTGGCTCTTGTCTGACCTGTGTTCAGTTTATGCCTGCCTGACCATCACTTTGGTGCTGGGAGCACAACCTTGTGTTCCCCCAGGAATCCCAGGGAAAACTCACCCAGGGGTTGATTCCGAGGCAACATAAAATTATAAGTATTCATTATAATATGTTAAAATTGCTATATTTTGCTGGTTAATTTATTTTTTCCATTATGAAATGACTCTATTTATCTCTTGTAATCCTTTCACCCTAAATTTTAAAATCCGATATTAAAATAGCGACTTCAGCTTTCTTTTGGTTAGTTTTTGCCTAGTAGTAATTTTTTTGGTTCTTTGACATTCAGTCTTTCTGTATCCTTACATTGAAATATAAATGAAGATATTTATCTTATGAACACTATACAACTGAATGTTTGCTATAGTTTGGATTATGATGTGTTTTCCCTGTAAATCTCATGTTAAAATTTAATCCCCAGTGTGTCAGTATTGGGAAGTGGGACCTCATGGGAGGTGTTTGGGTTATAGGGGCAAATCCGTCACGAATCCTGGTAATTAGTGACTTCTCACTCTATTAGTTCCCATGTGAGCTGGTTCTTTAAAAGAAGCTGGCACCTCCATCCCACTTCTCTCTCTTGCTTCCTCTCTCCCACCATGTGATCCCTGCACATGCCAGCTTCCCTCATCTTCTGCCATGAGTGGAAGCAGCCAGAGGCCCTCACCAGAAGCAGATGCTGGCGCCATGCTACTTGTACAGCCTGCAGAACTTTGAGTCAAATAAAACTCTTTTCTTCATAAATTATCCGGTCTTAGGCATTCATTTAAAGCAACACAAAGACAGACTAAGACAAAAAACTGGTACCAAGAATGAGGTGTTGTTATAAAGATACCTAAAAATGTGGAAGTAGCTTTAGAGCTGGGTAATAGGCAGAGGCTGAAAGAATTTGGAGGGCTCAAAAGAAGACAGGAAGGCAAGGGAAAGTTTTGGACTTCTTAGAGATTGTTTAATTGACTGTGAACAAAATGTTGATAGAAATATAAGCATTAGGCTGGGAGCAGTGGCACACACCTGTAATCCCAGCACTTTTGGAGGCTGAGGTGGTAGGATTGCTTGAGGCCAGGAGTTCTAGACCAGCCTGGTCAACATAGCAAGACCCTGTATCTACAAAACAAAACAAAAAAAGTTAAAAAATTAGCTAGGCATGGTGGTACATGCTTGTAGTCCCACCTACTTTAGAGACTGAGGTGGGAGGATTGCTTGAGCCCAGGAGTTCAAGGCTGCAGTGAGCCATGATGGCACCACCATACTCAGCCTTGGTGACAGAGTGAGACCCTATCTCGAAAAAAAAGAAAAAAACAAAGAAACAGGTAGTAAAGGCCATGCAGAGGAGGTCTCAGATGGAAAGAAGAAACTTATTGGGAATTGGATCAAAAACCACCCATGTATGCCACAGGAAATAACTTGGCTGTATTGTGTCCATACCCTAGGGCTTCTTAGAAGGCCACACTTAAGAATGATGACCTAGGGTTTCTGGTGGCAGAAATTTCTAAACAGCAAGAAATTCAAGAAGTAGTGTGGCTGCTTTTAACAACTTACAATCAGATGTGGCAGCAAAATAGTGTCCTAAAGGTGGAATTAATAATTAACAGGGGAGCGGGGCATAAAAATTTGGAAAATTCACAGCCTGGCTATGTGTTAGAGAAGAACAGGGATTTTTAAGTAGAGCAATCCAAGGGTACTATGGGCAACAACTAACTAGAGAGATTAGCACAGATAAAAGGGAGTTGGGTGCTAATAGTTGGTACAATGGAAAAAGGGCCCCAAAAGATTTCAGAAATCTTTGAAGCCTCCCCTTCCACAGGCCCAGAGGCCTAAAAGGAAAGAATGGTTTCAGAGAACAGGCTAGGAGGGCTGCTTCCCTGCATTCCCACCCCTCCAGCTCCAGTCAAGTCTCAAAGGGTCCCAGGTACTGCTTGGGCCATCACTCTGGAGGGTGCAAGATGTAAGCCTTGGCAGCATCTACATGGTGCTAGGTCTGCAGGTCCACAGAATGCTAGAGCCACGGAGGCTTGGAAGCTTCCATCTAGATTTTAGACGATGTATTAGAAAGCCTAGGAGTGCAGGCAGGAACCTACTGCATGTGCAGAGCTGTCACAGAGAATATCCACCAGGGCAGTGCCCAGTGGAGCTGTGGGAACAGGGCTGCTGCCCTCCAGACCTCAGAATTATAGAGCCACAGGTAGTGAGTCATCCTAGTTTGGAAAAGTTGCAAGTACCAGACTCAAACCCATGAAAGCAGCCACATGGGCTGTGCCCAGAAAAGCCACAGGGGCAGGGCTGCTTAAGGCCTCAGGAGCACTTGAACCAGTGTACCCAGGATGTGAGACAGAGTCAAAAGTGATTATTTTGGAGCTATAAGATTTACGTTACTTGTGTGGGGTCTATTACCTCTTTCTTTTGGCCAATTTCTTCCTTTTGGAATAGGAGTGTTTGCCCAATGTCTGCTTCAACATTGTAGACTTGGAAGTAAATCATTTGTTTTTGATTTTACAAGCTCACAGCTATAAGAAACTTACCTTGAGTCTCAGATAAGACTTTGGACTTTGGACTTTTTAGTTGGTGCTGGAACAAATTAAGACTATTATGATGGAGTGATTGTATTTTGTATGTGAGAAGGACATAAGATTTGGGGGCCAAGGTTGAAATGCTATAGTTTGGATATGGTGTGTTTAACCCCTCTAAATCTCATGTCAAAATTTAATCTCCAGTGTGACAGTGTTGGGAGGTGGGGCCTAGTGGGAGGTGTTTGGGTCATGGGGATGGATCCTTCATGAATGGTTTGGTGCTATCCTCACAGTAATAAGTGAATTTTCACTCTATTAGTTCTTGTTAGAGCTGGTACTTACTTAAAAAGAACCTGGCATCTCCCCTCACTCACCATGTGATCTTTGCACACACCAGCTCCTGCCATGTGTGGAAGCAGCTGGAGGCCCTCTCCAGAAGCAGGTGCTGGCACCTTGCTTCTTGTATATCCTGCAGAACTGTGAGCCACATAAACTTATTTTCTTTAGAAATTACCCAGCCTCAGGTATTACTTTATAGCAACACAAAAAATTGACTAAAACAATGTTGTTCTTTTATTCACTCTGATAATCCTTGATATTTTAATTGATGTATTTAATCCATTTAGATTTACAGCAATTACTAATCTGTTTGGATTTATTCCTACCCTCTTCATATGTGCCTTTTATTTGTTCTATTTTCTGTTTAATTTTCCTACTCTTATTTTCTTGACTTATTTTGAATTAAGCTTTTTTCCATTTTTTTAATTCAATTTTTCCCTCTACTTATTTCAAAGTTACATATTTTATGTCTATGCTTTTGTTGATTACTCTTGCTATTTTAACATGAATACTTTAAAAAGTCTAAAATTAATTGTTTTCCATTTTCTTCATAATTTAACTTTCAAAGGGACCACTCATACCACTCACACTCACCATGTATCACCTCCAACATAGAAATCTGAAAGCCATGGGTTATGTAGCAGTCTTTCCACAAGGCTTCAACTTTTCCTAGTTTTGCAAAGAGATGTGTGCGTAAAAATTATAACCCCATTTCGTAGATCAAAAAATTGGGTCCTGAAACAATCAAATGACTTGTCTGTAAAATTAAGTCATCTAATCAAGAAGGGAAATCAGGGCTTCAAATTATTTTTCCAACTGTGAAATTCAGGAGATTGCCTGGGGAAACTTTTTTTCCACATTTATTTTATTTTTTTGTTGCAATTTTGATATACATTGACACCTAGTTCTCCAGGAAAGTTATACTAATTTACACAGAGAAATACTTGGAGTCCATGATCAATAGAATTCTGAGTTCTTTCCTTCCAATACTTAGAGAACAGGAACCATGTCTTTTTTCACATTTGTATTATGGAACATTTCAAACATATACAGAAGTAAAGAGAGTAGTTAATAAATCTCGTGAGAATTTTCTAATCCCAAATAACTGTCAACTGCTTAGACAGAAAACATGAAGATAAAACAAAGCAAAGCAAACTTAAATAGAGTTGGGTTTTTAATTTTATTTTTTAAAGATCAGATTATTTTAAATCATTTCTGTGTTTTGAGATTACAATAAAGCCTTAATTAGTAGGACTCTAATAAACTGGAAACTTTCACTGACTAGATTCTTTTTTGGTTCTCTCTGTTTTGAGAAAAGGTTTATTATAATCTACTCATAACAGGGATTTATTCTAAAATTTAAGATTCAATGAGTGATCTAGACTCTGTCCACCCTCAGTTTACTCTCATATCTCTAGTATTATTTCCAGTTTTAGGTGCTTAGCATAACAAAGACCATTCTTCATGTTAATCTTGCTTAAAGTGGCCTCAGGATGAAGCTACTAGGAAAAAAAATAACTTGTGAGGAGAAAGCCAAAAGAAGCAAAAAGAGGACTGCACCTTCCTTCCTCACTTCTATTCTTGTTTTCATGCCATTCCTATATATCTGAAAAAATGTTTCAAATATCAGTTTCTAAGCAATTGCTCCTAGTTTTCTTCTTGGCTGTTGGAGTATCACAGTGTGGTGGAAAAAGCTCTGTGCTTGGAATTCAAGTCATGGCTCTCTTCTTTGAGCTATGTGCTCTTGGGAAAGTCACTTAACTTTTCTGAGCCTTTATTCAATCACTTACTAAACAAAGGGGTTGAGCTGGAGTAACTAATGCCTCTTAGTGTTCTCCATTTCTGTTGTGTCATGAATTAGAATTCCCAAAGTCTGGTTTTATTCATGGAGAGTCTCATACCAAATATGATTTGAAGGCACTCAAAGCATTTCTATCACCCACAGTGCCTGAACTTTTATCATTAGTGATCCATTCATTTTGCTGGGTTTAGCATTGTCTCCTCCTGTTAGTCTTTCTTTTGAGAAGAAAAGCATGTAAAGGCACTTCTTTGTGAATGCATTACTCACATGGCCCTTTCCCTGGCTTAGAAAGTAGAGATTTTGATGTCTAGAGGTTGGAAGTGGGAAGAAAAGGGTGAAACACAGAGAGACTAGAAGGGTATCAGAGACAGATTTCACCTCCTTCATAATTTTTCTGCAGCTTGGCTCTGAGCATTGTTATGACTCAACCTCCTCTGTTCTTGGCAAGGCTCAAACAAGACAAGGTACTATTTGGTAGCAGATTGGAACAGGGAGTCCCTGGCTGAGTATCAAATTCAGGTATTTTTGATAGATTCTGAATGGAGTTCTTTATTAGGTCTTTTGATCAACAGGAATGTGTTTAGAAGAGCCAAAGCACCTCTCTAAGTAAAACATGTACATTGTTGCAGAACCATTAACAGGCATATCCTCCCATTCAATCACAGTAGCCATGATTGGCAAGAATCTGGGTCATAATCCATCACCCAATCTTAAGTGTCCTCTCTTCATCATCCTCTTCTGGTCCCGTTCTCTTCTAAGTTCCATGTTGGTCCTCAATATTGTAGAGAATCTCTCATTTTTACTTGTGTATCATGCCTATTTCCTGACACCAACACTTTATCTCTCCTATCCCAGAGAAAAGCAATCTCTTCCTCTGCATTCCCTCAATGTTGGGACACTATTGGTAATAAATCATTTCTGCCTTTAATGGAGAAAGATTCATTAATGAAGTTGTTTTTTTCTCTAATAATAACAGTTATTGTTTTACTGAGCCTTGCTGTATCTTAAGCATTTGCATCACTTCATTTCATTCTCACACCTCTACCACCCATTTTACAGGAGAAGCCATTGATATTGGGTCATCTTCCAAGGTTTTCCAGCTAAGGCAGTCTGTCTCCAGAGTCTAGCTTTTGTCCACTGCACTAACCTGCCTCTCTTGTTTGATATCCACATGCTTGGGATTGCCCAGGCTGGTGTGTAGGAGATAGGTTTCCTCCATGGATGGCAAATAATGATTCATTCTCATGACTTAGAGGAGACAGATCTAGCTTGTGGGGGAATCATTTACAAGTTTATCACCCTGGGAAATTCAGACTCTTTTCTTATTGTCCTTTCTGCAACTTCATTTCAAATTTTTCTTGTAGTAGCTGGTAGCAGAATCAAAGGAGTAATTATGTGTGCTGATTGGGGTCTGAGGCCTAAAAGTTAATTCTTTTTTGTCTACTGATCTATGGATTGCATCTGAATGCATCGATTTAACTGAAAATATTTTTTAAACTCTCATTCTAGTTAGCAATTTCAACTTCCCTCACTAAACCATTACTTCCAATATGGAGATAAATAGATGAATCTGAAGGTTCTTTCCAAGATATAATTTTAAAAAGGAACTTTGGCCTGGAAATCCAAAGGCCTGGGTTCCAGTTCTGGATCTGCCACTTATTAGCATGTAATTTTAGGCACATCCACTTAACCATGCTGAGACCTAGTTTCTTATCTGTAACACAGGAATAATGATATCTTCTGTGCCTAATTTACAGAGATGCCATGGTAGGGAAGTTGTTATTAGAAAGTGCTTTGTAAATCTCAAGGTACTCAACAAGCATAAGCCATTAGGCAAGATGAAGCAAAATGCTATGCTGAAAAGATCAAGAGTAGGAAGGAGATTTTCATCAGGGCTCCAAACACCAAGAATTGAATCATGGGGGAAGTTCATGTCTCTGACAATTGGTTTCTTACTTTAGCTTTAGGGATGCAGGTCCAAACTGGATCTCCAACTGGATCCGTGATGACCTTCAACCCTCTGATCCCCAAGAAACCAGTCTTGGTCCTCATCTAAACTGAGTACCCCACTCCTAGAGGAAAAATGCCAAGAGGATTAGTTGACCCCTTGTCACCAGAGAAGCCAGGGGCCAGCGTAATGTTGATTGGATAAACTGACTAAAAAGTAGAGAATTAATTTTATGCCACTTGCTTACAGGGACAGAGTTATTGCAATGGAAAGAAATAGAGGAGAAAGGGTAGAATGTAAATGCTGTATGAAGTTATAGGCACTCCAACTTGTAAATGTCGATCACAGTGAGAACAGAACTTATCTTCTGACTAGTCCAGGCATTGCCCAGTACGGTGTGAGTGCTCACTCAATGCAATGTGTTGGTGATGGTAACTGTCCTTGGTCTCTTTCCTTTCTCCTTGGCTATAGAGTTTTCAGAGAGATGTGTTGATGCAAGCTACCAGTGCCCAGAAAGAAGATTGAAGAAAGGGGTACGGGCACCTTCTCCCCGCCCTCGCTCCCCCCAGCCCCCATCCCACCGACCTAAACAGTCAGGCTTGAGAGACTGGAAGGGTTTCACTTCCGCCTGGCTGCAGGAACCACAAGTTCCAGACTAGGTCGTAATTGGAATAATCACAGTCAAAATACACCCAGATGCTCTCACACACCCAGACGCGCGCGCATCCCCGGGCCATGGGGCGCACGTGAGCCCGCACCCCGCGCACCCAGCCCTGCCTCTCGCCAGAGCATCCTCAGCAGCTGCCACCGAAGCAGCCTCCTCCTTCTCTCTTCCTCCTCCTCCTACCACGGCCGCCGCCACCACCGCTGCGGCTGTGATCTCCTATCCCCTCTGGTCCTCCTTCCTCCCCCAGTTCCTGCTCCTCCTCCCATCCCCTGCTCCTCCTGCCCAGCAGCGAAGGGCAGAACCCTCGGCTGCCGCCCTCCTTCGCTCTGACCAAGAAGAGGCTGGAACAGGTCTGTGCAGGGGGGGCGCTTTGTTGCGGGCTGCTGGAGCTCTTGTGGCTCCAACAGCCACTGGGAGGGCACGGGGCGGGAGGGATGGTAGATTATTTCCCAGTTTTCAGTCTTGCTGTATGAATAGATGCAGGGCGAAAGGCTGGGAAGGCAGCTGGTTCCCTTTGCCAGTTCGCCTTCCTTTTTGGTTCATGGCGAGAGAGCACTGAAGCTGCCCGGACTCCTGCCCCCGCCCACCCCTAAAGCTCTCTTTCTTTGCGTCCCCACTCCCTGCATCCACTTCCCCAGGCTGAGCTTTCTCTTGTTCAGGGAGCTCAGGGATGGGGGCGGGGAGAGATGGATGGAGATGATCCAGCCGGGCACCTGGGTGCCTGGGGCTTTGTTACATACAACAAAACCAGTCCTCCTCAGCTTCCAGCTCCAGGCTAGGCTGCGGTCCGCCGGCAATGTGGGGTGTGGGTCGGGCCGACTAGGGAAGTGAGAGAATGTGAGAGGACACTCCCTGTATGTGACTACACACAGGAATGCAGTGGTGTGTGTCGTGGAGATGGTGTGGGTTTTGTGTGGAATTCAGTGAGTGCGAGTTGGAGTGGTGTGTGTGTGTGTGTGTGTGCGTGTGTGTGTGTCTGCGCCATGGGGCTGGGCTACTCTTGGCATTACATGTCCTTGGGTCTCATTCCATGCCAAGCCAGACTGCAGCAACACGCAGGTGGATCAGGTCCAACCTGTTCTGCCCACATTGGAAGGATAATGATTGTTTTCAAAGTGATGGAAATCCCCCCAGCTGGGACTGTTGCTTAGGACTTTCTGGATGCGGAATTTCGAGCCAGGTTGACCAAGCCCTACCAGATAGCGTTATTGTTCTCCCAAAGATGCCCAACTTTCTTAGCAGGGTTTCCTCTCTCAGCCAATGAGGATCCAAAGCTCTTACAGTGATCCCTGCAGTGCCTTCCCACACCCATTTTAATTAGCGCATCCTAATGTCTTCAGGTCTTACTTACTACAGTGAAGTTAGTGGTGTGCTAGGATGTAGTTCTATGTTTGAACTAAAAAGAACAAACTAAATGCACCTATGTGTTAGTCATGAATTTGATATAGAGGTTTTTTTTTTCTTTCTTGAATGATAAGGTATGAACTGGTATGGCCACTTTTTAATCAAAGAAAGAAGAGGTCAATAAAAATGAACAAAACTGCTAAACCTTCTCTTTGACATTTTTATTTGTGGTTTTAATAAAGCATTGTTTTTCAGGGTCCAAAAATATACAGTTAAAGGTAGTGATTAATCAAACAGCAGACATTTTTTGCATACCTGCTATGTGTTATTAATGTTAAGTATTGAAAGTATATAAATGAATAAAACATCATCTCAGCTCACAGGGAGTGCACAATCTGGTAGGCAAGATAGAGCGTGTAAACAGACAATTAGAGTAAAGTATGACAAGGGGCAGGCAGGGTATTGTGGGAGCCCAAGGGAGGTATGCTTGATTGGGGATGGGGGTTATGATCAAGAAAGGCTTCATGGGCGAGGTGACATTTGAGTTGAGTCTTGAAGAATTAATTCACCAGGTTACTAAGTGGAAAATGGTATCCTAAGTTGAAAGAATGGCATGTATGAAGGTAGAGAGGTCATAGTTAAGTGAGACTGCAGGGAGTCCTTGGAAGTGTGACTGCCAAATTCTCAACAAACTCAGAATGGGTCTTTCTGGTTTGGAGTGATGACTGGTGGCCAAAAAAAAAAGCCAGTATTGCAGATTGATAAAGACCACAACACATCTCTATATTAAGAAACATCTGGCTCATTTATTAATATTAGTGTGTTTTGCTTTAAGCAAATCTGATATATGTAAATGTGAGATTCCAAGGCAAATGAACTAAATGGACAATATTTACATTGCAGAATTTGCTGCTTTACAAAAGGATTCATAATCAGATTATGTTAATTAACACTGCCTCTCTGACCTTTACAGTGAATTTCTTTTAACCAAAAATCCACTAACGGAATTTTTCCAATAGTCCATGAATGGATAAAGACAGGCATACCTGCATTACATTTACTTTTTGCACAAAAATTTACCAACTTCAACGCAGGAATTTCCTCTCATTCTGTGGATGTTTAATAAATACTAAAAGAAAATATGAAAATGCTAGTAATGAATATTAAATCCATTGGCTGTGATCTTTTATCATTCAAACTGTATATAAAATAGAAACTAACCTGAACGGGATCTTGAGGAATTTTTACATTTTAGGTACTTTTAGTAGTTTCACTGGTAATTAACAATGGTACAAGATTTCTGTGCTGTATGTTAGTTTTAAAATGGATATATAATAACTGCTCTAATGCTCGTGCAATTAAGCCAGAACAGGGGCACATTCTGAGTCTCCTGTTTTGTTGTGTTGGTGCTGATTGCATTCATAGGCTGATAAATGGCCCTGGGAGTGAGACTAAGAGACTGATTATTTCTACTGGAAATGCCTGGTGGTCACAAAATTATGCTAGGTAAGAGTGTGGGTTCTGAGAACATGGATCAGCACCCATCTGGAGCACCTCTCCCCTTAAATGAAGACCAAAAATAGCCCTGGGTTCTATTTGAAAGGAATGACAGAAGTAGATGAGCTTGAATGACTTCTTTCCTCGTCTGGACAATACCTTGCTGTGGAGGAGTTGATGGCCTAGGGTACTTTGGGCACATAAAGGTCCTTTGTTCACTGGCTGTCAATACCAGAAGGTATCAGGCAGTATCTCTAAGATACATTCTCCAAAGCTTGGGCTGGAATGGAATCGATCTGTCAGCTGTGTTGATGTTCAGATCTGTCTAGTTACTAGACAGTGTTTTTTGATGTAGGTTCTAAAGAAGACTAGTTCCATAGAATGTTAGTAGGGCACACCTCTCCCCATCCACACACACACACAAACACACAGGGTTTTGTGGTCAAGTTAAGTTTTGGAAATTCTTACTTAAACATAAACAGGTTTCTTTCCTGCAGGGCTTCTAAAAGTCTTTACTAGGCTAATGAATATTGTGACTCTCCAGGAGTATAAAATATGCAGCATTTCTCAGATGGAATTACCCATAGAGCATGGTGTTCCAACAAGCATTTGGGTCTACTGGTGTTGAGAGACACGTTCTTTGGGTAAAAGCATTCTCTGCTGAGTTCTGAGTTCAGAGGCTGTCGGCATCTTGCTGGGTAAGCTTGGATGACTCGCTTTACCCCTCCAGGCTTTCCTTCCTTCCCCCCTCTTTAAAATGAGGTTGATAATAATCATCACTCTCACTGACTGTGATGGTGTGATGACAACTAAGATAATATCTCTGTAAGTATTTTGAGCTGCTTAGAAGAAAGGCTGTATGTAAACTCAAGGTTATTATTAAAGTGAAGTGAAGAATTAAGGCAATTATCCTGATAATGCAGGCCCAAATTCTGTCTTTCTGCTGAATTATTGGGCAGACTGCCTCATTTCTCTGCTCTGCTTTGACTGCAGAGACCTATCCTCATTCAACCTTGGCTGACTCAGTTCTCTGGGTTTATTTCCTTTCATATTCTGAAAATTTCAGCATGGCCTTTAATATCCTGGTCCAGAGGTATCATCAGTACAGCCTTCAGAAAAAGTCCATCAATCTGAACATACACTGCTGACTAGAGAACCCTGGAGTTAGGAATTAAGTTTAGTTGGAAAGTTGCTTTTATCCTTCAGACTAATTGTCTTTCAGAAGCATTTGTAAAGGGCCATGTTGGAAGCTAGCTGGTGCAGGATTTCTCTCCAGTAGCCCCAACACCCAACCTGGGCTGGAGTCCTGTTTACAGGAGACGCTTCTTGAACAACAGTTTCAGGGGTCCATTTTGTCAATGGGAAGCTGAGGCCATCTTTAAGGAAATTTAAAGATAAAGGAAATAGCATTCATGTGACTATTGACCCTTCTTGGATCCCTTGACTGCTATTAATTCCCAGAACCTTTTTTTCTTTACAAACTGCCTTGAAAGGAGAATGGAGTTCTTGAGACTTAATGGCTGATAATCATTGCAAACTGGGTTTGGGGTAGAGACTGTTGCACAAGGCATTCAGTCTCTACCCCAAAATGAACGTCAAGACATTCGGGTTGCTGGTTCTAGAGTACTCTATACTCAGATTAGCTCTTCTCTGCATGAAAGCAGCAAGCTTCAGTTGTAATAGGAAGGATTTCTGTTAGCCACAAGAGATAACTGTGTGACTTTAAGACTGTGTGATGCTGTAAAGCCAGAGTGAAGTTATTCGCTGTTCTGGAGTACATAGTGGAGATGCTTGTTCAGTGGGGGACATTCATAGAATGGTAGAGCTACAAATGCCTATGGAAGTTTCTCTGTTGTAAACCTTATGTTTGGATGATGAAAATGAGGATGGAAGAAGTGAAGTGAGTTGTCCAAGGTCACACAGCTACCACATGACAGAACAGAAGTCATTCTAAGAGTTGAAACTCAGATCTGCTGCCTCCCAGTGTTCTTCTCTTTGACTTAACTGCCTTCTTGTGTAGTTCAGGGGAGTGAGGATTGGCTCATTTGGTGGGACTTGGAGGTCATGTCCAGTTCTGAGCAGTGTGGGCTCTCACATTGCAGTTTTAGCAGAGGGATAGGTTTCTAGTGGAGACCTAAAAGACCATGCTTCTCTCTCTCCCTCCTCATTCCTCTTGAGTGTATAGTTGTCTGATTCACCAAGCCAAGCACCCAGTTGGTAACCTGAGGACTAGATATTCTACCTGAGATTCATGGTGGATGATTTGATCATCCTAGTCCTTTTACTTTGGTGATTGATTAATAACCATTTTCTGTGTGCCAAGGATCCCCTTGAAAGTCATGAAAGCTACTGATGCACTCCCCAGAGAAGGCCTCTCATCCATGGACATGTGCATGTAATTTCAAAGCATTGTAGGTCGAGAGCTCTTGCTCTGCTTGCTGTTGGTATTGGTACACAGCCTAGGGTGACTGGTAGAAGCTCCCTAAATATGAAAGATTCCCAGAGGTGGAATTGTCAATCTTAACTCGGAGGGAAATGGAAATGCTGGGATGAGCTTTGTGCCAAATAGACAGGGGACAGGGAGTAGAGTGGAATTTCTTATGGATAAAAGAATGGAATTGGATCCTGAATTCGAGATAAAAATAGAAAAGGAATTGAAGTGAGCTAACCATGTCCCCTTCCTTCAACCTTATGAAAGAAAGTGAAGTGGGGAAGCTAGGCAGGTGGGAAATTTGGGAGGACTGGGGAGGGGGTCAGTCCAGAAAGGATGGCAATCATGCCATATTTAAATGAAATAAAAATTCTTCCCAAAGAATGAGACAACTCTTTCACTTCTCTCCAGATTTCTTACCCTAGTCAAACACCTAAATACCAAAAGCTCAGGGCTTTGGGTATTAGAAGTTGTCTTAGATTCTGGAACACTGTCTCCTTGAAAAGGACACATTTAAAGGCTGGGAGTGGGGGCTGGACATTGTGGGGGAGTGGCACAGCATGGCTCTCTTCTTGTTTACAAAAGCATTTTTATTATCAAAGAACACATGCTCATTCTTGCTTATAAAAATAGAGATATGATGTAGAATGTTCCTTCCTTGTCTCTCCAACACTGATCCCCCACCATGTTCACAGGTTGGTATGTATCACATTGTGCATGTTTTTATGAATATTCACATAAATACATTCATGTACATAAAATAATCAAAGATGTGACCATGTGCTGTTCTACAGAATGCTTTTTACTGAACTATATGTCTGAAGATCTTTTATTGCCAGTAGACATCTAGTTATTTCATTCTTGTTTTTAAATTTTACTTTAAGTTCTGGGATACATGTGCAGAATGTGCAGGTTTGTTACATAGGTATACATGTGCCATGGCGGTTTGCTGCACCTATCAACCCATCATCTAGGTTTTAAGCCCCGCATGCATTAGGGATTTGTCCTAATGCTCTCCCTCTCCTTGTCCCCCAACCCGTGATAGGCTCCAGTGTGTGATGTTCCGCTCCCTGTGTATTTTATTCTTATAAATAACTGCATAGTATTCTATTATATAATTGTAATATAATCTCTTTAATCCAACCTTTGTTGATGAATTTTTGCATTATTTCTGATTATTTTTACATTATTAAATATTGGTGCAATGTACCTTCTTGTACATACAACTCTGCATACCACTGTGAGCAATTTTGTCATATAAATTTAAAGTAGTAAAGTTGCTGGTTTGGAGTTTGATTTGCACATCTTTGATTTTAATAGAGCCTGCCAAACTGCCTCTCAGAAAGGCTATCACAATTTACCTTCCCATCAACAGTGGCCATTTCTCCACACTCTTCCTCATCAATTTCAGATATTATTGATCTTTTTAATCTTAGACAATGTGAAGGCTGAAAAAAAATCTCCTTTCTCTTTGCATTTCATTGAGTACTAGTGAGGTTGAACATCTTTTCATGTGTTTTTTTGGCCATCTGTATTTCTTCTGTGTTGCCATTTCATATCCCTTGCCTGTTTTTCTTTTGAGTTGTTCTTTCTGCTTCTGATAACTGGGTTCTCCTTCTTTTGAGTTGTTCTTTCTGCTTCTGATAATGAGGATCTCTAAATATTTTGGATAGTAACCATTTAACTCTTCTCTATGTTGCAAATATATTAAGCAGTTTATCGTTTGTCTTTTAACTTTGATTTGGATGTCTTTCACTGTACAGAAATGTTTATGATTTTTGTAAAAATCACAATTTTCAATCTATTCCTTTATAAGCCAACAATGCCACAATTAGATATCCTTGCACTATGTCATATACAGTTGGCTCATTATTTCCTTAAGATAAATTCCTAGGATTAGATTTGTTCAGTTAATATTTTTCTCGATATTGCCAAATTGCTTTCTAAAATATTTCTAGCAAGTTACACTCCAACTACAGTGTATACAAGTACATTTTCCCCCTCCTCCTGACGTCTTCTGATAATTCAGGTTTTGGCTCTTAAATCAAATGCTAGGCTGAAATTCATATTTGACTGGGAGGAAAGGCAAGACTGAGAAAGGCTGGGAGCAGAAATCCCTAACTGCACGTGGAACACCTGTAATACATGTTTCACCTTCAATTATTTAAGTAAACATGCTCTTTAATTCATTTCCAACTAGAACTGTGTCGAAAGCGTTTTCCAACGTTAAATCACTCTAAATTCACTGTGAAATGAATGACCATTTAGGGTCATCTCTGCTGGCAGCATCTGCAACAGCAGGCAATGATGAACTAACTTTAGAGCTCTATCTCATCTTAAGACACTTGGAAAAAATCTACTGCTGCATCTTCACTGATCTCTGAGGTCAGCTAGATTGGTTCCATAACTTTCTGAAGGCTGAGTGGTGAGTAGGAATCAGTTTCTATTTAACTTGGCTTCCTGCAAAGAGGACAAGTTTGAGGTCCTCCCATGAGAAGTTATTCTAACAGAAATAAACAGTGATGTCACACTCTGCAAAGGGTATAGTGCCAAACAAGTACAGGTGTAGCTTTTTCCCTTACTCTGCCTGGGCTTGCTTCATCTTCTTGTGCCTGTTTTCTGCCAGTATCCAGATATGGTCAAGGGTATTTTGGTGTGTGCTTTAGGCCAAAGGTAGGGTCTGTGGATTAGAAGATGGAAGTCTGAGTGGTAGTTTATGTAGCTTACGAATATCTTTTGTCTGAAGAGCACAGTAGCAACCTAAAATCCTTTGGAGGTGGCAGGGCAATGGGGAAACATGAAAAAGTGGTGATGATAGTTGTTGCTTACCCATTTTACAGATGGAGAACACATCTGGAAAGGAGAAATGCTCCAAGAGTTGGACACTGCTGGAAAAGGATCCTGGCATACCTCCTAATACTTGCTAACTAAAGATTTGGCAACTTCTCTCCTCTAGGGATATATGTATGTGCCTTTAAAGTGAAGCTTCCTGATTTGATATGTTTAATAATGCCCTTTGTACTTACCCATCATTCACTTTATCTAGTGTGGTACTGACACAGCCCACCCCAGGGACGATTTTGAGCTGTCAGAAGATGGGTGGATTATTGTCCCCAAAGGAATAATTTGGATTACTTGAACTATTGACAATTATGAGTTGTGGTTTTCCACTTACCTCAAAATCTTGGTATTTGGCAAATGACTTTAGATTGTATCTAATATTTGTCTTTTTTTCTCCTTTTTAAAGATTTGGACTAGAGTAAGCATAGTTCACAGAGGAAATGATGGCCAGATAATATAATTATTAAATTTTGCTGCCTTGAAAAAAGTGGTTTTAGTTTTTATGCTAATGAATGTCCTGTTTTAAAACTAGTGTTTCTCTTTTTAATTGCCAAATAATTTAAAATTGAAACATCATAGCCACAGATATGGATTCTATGCATAAATCATATGATACATTTATACTTTTTGATGGTTACAAGTGGAAAGGTCATCTTTCTTTTTAAAACTATGCTTGGTGCTTTAAGTAGAATTGGAAATTGTCATGTTTTTCTTTTCTAATGAACTATTCTGCAAAGGTAACATTGTTTTTTTAACTCTGATTAGAACTGGAAGGGGATGTCTGACTCCATACTTAATCCAAAAATAAAAACCTCATTAACAAAGAGGCAAAGAGAGTCAGTAAATGGAGCTTACATTAAATTGGGAGGCAGAAGTCCAGGGTTCGAGTTCTGGTTTTGTTATTAATTAGTTGTGTGACCCTGAACTAGAGCTTAAATGCCTCTGAGCCTCAGATTCCTGACATATAAAATGAGGGCATCGTTAGGAATTGATGATCCATATTGTAATTCCTTCAACTTAAACAAGGCATTCTCCTCTCCAAAGTCAATGTTTGCTTTGTGACAGAATCACTTGGGGACATTTTAAAAATATATTTTGAAGGCCCCACCTCAACCAGTTGAATCTGAACTCCAAGGGTAGACCCAGGAAACCTATTTGTTAACTAGCTTCTTAGGTGATTTGGGAGAAGACTGGAACACCCTCCAGAGGTAACTTTCAGGAGGCAAGATCTCCTGGTGTTTTCTGGCTTGAGGGAATGAAAGCATTTTCAAAAGTGGGGAAGTCCAGGTCACCTAGGAGCTCTGGCTTAGAAATCTATGATATGAAACTGCACTTGAGGAGGCTGGCTTTTGGCCTAGCTCCCTGGGACTGGTTTCTGCAGAGGTGAATGGAGAGCACAGTGTTCTTCTTAAGAAGAGCGAGTTTGGACGAACAAACTGACCAGTCATTTAATAATGAGTATATTTCAAGCCCTTTGGCACACTACCTTGAGAAGAAGCATTACTGAGAGAGGGCACAGTGATTTCCATAACTCCTAGACTGTTTTGGCCCAAGCTTTCCTTTGAATCCTATTTCAAATTTCTATTCCCTCTTTGACTTTTTCAACTTTTGTTCTTCTTCCCTTCATTAAATTCACAGTGTTGCAGTGGGTTTTTCCCACTTCCCCTTGATCTCACTGATCTTATTTCCTTCAGCCATAGGCACTCTCTCAATACCATCCTATCTTCTAAATGCCAAAAAGAAAGGAGTCAGCACTAGTGTACACCAATTTGCCCCACTATTTCCTTCTGCGCCAACTTTCAGCCCTTCACTTCATTATGGGAGTAGTTGGAGCTAGGGAAATGCTTCTCTAAGGCAAACTTTCAGAGACAGCAAGTGTTTCTTTTTATATATAGCTCCCATTTATTAACTGTTTGTTGTGTGTCAGGTATTGCACTGCTCTTTGCATGTGTTGTCTCATTTAATTTTCTCTGCAACTCTGTTAGGTTAATACTGTTAGCATTCCATTTTACAGAGGAGGGAACTAAGGCTCAGAGCAGCTAAGTGATTTGCACAAGTTCACTCAGATGGTGAGCAGCAAAGTGAATCTCTGTCTGGTCTTGGGGTCTGAATGGTTAAACAGAGTGTTCTACTATTAAGGGCTTCCTGTGGTAATAAGACTGTGTTACACCAAAGGGGAATGTATGAAGCAACAGATCTTCTTGGGTGTGACCAGTCTGAGCCTTGAAGCAACAATAAAGACCAGGAAAGAAAGGGGAGGTTCATTTTAATGGCAGCAAAATGTTGCCAGAATTATTGTGTGTCATTGTAGGGGTGGGGCTCAGAGATTAGTCTTGATTCTTGTGAATTGTTAACTGAGTAAATCTCTAAATATTATCATTGAGAGATAAATTCCTGATATCCCCATGACTATTGTTTGTGTCACAAATCATGGGAATGTGGAACATACTTTTTGTTTTCCTCCTCCTACTCCCAGCAGGAGACTAGTGCCAAGGGTATAGAGGACCTCTGGGAGGCAGGGAGTGACTTCCTGGATGTTTTCAGCTAAAGGGAGCCTGGGTGGGGGAAGACAACCAGGGAGAGGACCCAGAATAACATGAATAACAGTGTCATTGGCTGGGATTATTGGGTTTCCAGCTCACTCAAGTTCTTCCTGTCTGATTCTCATTATCAAACTTGCAGCATGCAGCAAAGGATATTTGGCATCCAGCAATACAGACTCATTGATCTACGACTGATACGATTCAAACTCATGAACATAACCAAAGCATGCACTGCAATTTCCAGACTATACGTATGGGACCAAATCCATCCTTAAACCCTAACCTAATGCCCTTTTTGAAGTAGCCGAACTTTTCACTTTGACTGTAGTATAGGGCATTGAGCAATTTAACATCACTGCACAAAAACAGACCATTTGTTTTCTTTCCCGCAGCTCTTTCCTAGAAAGATCTTCTACTGGCTATAATTTCTCTAAAAATTCCCTTCCAATTGGAGCCCTCAGGGGAGGACTTGCACCCATTTCCTGCAATATCTGTCCTCTTTATTGCCGTTTCCGGTAATGAGAGTCAATAGGCATCAAGAAACCAAAGATGAGCCAGGCATGGGGGTGTGCACCTGTAGTGCACCTCAGCTACTAGGGAGGCTGAGGTGGGAGGATCACTTAAGCCCACGAGTTTGAGGCTGCAGTGAGCTGTGATTGTGCCACTACCCTCCAGCCTGGGCAAAAGAGTGAGACCCTGTCTCTTGATAAAACAGGAAAGAAAGGGAGAAACCAAGAAACTACGGTCTTGTAAGGCCTCAATTGCTTACTCCATGTCTAATGCCAGATAAGTCACTTTGCCTCTTTAGGCCTCAGTTCTTCCATCTGCAATGATTCTAATTCTCCCTTCTCTGTGGAAAACTTGGAGCAATCAGATCACTGAAAACAGACTACTTTGAAAGAAAAGTGGTCCAAGATATATGACTGTGAATGTCTTCATGTTTTCCCTGGCAAAAGAGCTGTTTTGGAGCAAAAAAGAGGGTAGGGTAAAGGTTAAAAGATCACTTGCTTAAGTTTAAGTCCCTGCTCTGCCTTCTGCTAGCTGTGTGGTCTTGGAAAGTTTCTTAACCACCTAACTGCCTTGGCTCTGTAAAATGGAAAAAATAATATTAGTACTTACCTCACAGAGTTGTGGTGAGGAATCAAAGAGATAATCTATGTCTGTCCAATAGATAGTGTTTATTTATGGCAACTATTTTTATTTTGAATGCATGAAGCTCCATGAAGAGGTTTGGATCCTGGCTCAGGCACTTTGGACAGTCATTTAGCCTCTCTAAACCTCTGTTTCTTCACTTGTGTAATGGGGATAATAATAGTAGCTACGTTTTTGGGTTTCTTGAGGAATATATAAGATAATTCCTGCAAAGTTCTCAGTACACCACCTGGTACACAGACGTGCTCAATAAGCTATTGCTATTATCATTCGGTTGCCATCCTCAGAGGACTTGTGGATCCCTTGGTCCCTGCTTTTCTATATCTGGACCACCTATGGGCCTGGCTCCCACCCCAGAAAATATTTCTGGTGCCTGTGATGTACTATTATCCTCATTTACCCTTGTTTGGGTTAAGTAGAGGAGATAGCCTTTTTGCATAGGGGAGGCCCCAAGACTGAGGGGACTTCTTGCTAAAGCACTGCACAAGGGCTGCTTGTGGAGAACAGCTGATTCCTTGACCTCGAAAATGTTTCACACAGTGACCAAAATGGGAACAAAGCAGACCCTGCTTTACGACTCCCACTGGAGCCTGGTCCCATGAAGCACAAAGTTCTGTCATTGCCCTCCCCACGCCTCCCCTGTCGGCTCCACCAGCCATATATTCCCTTCTGACATTCCTCCAAGACAACTGGTCAGAGAGCACTTAGTCTCCTCCCCACATAATATGTTGAGTAAGGCAACCAGATGCTGCCATAGTGACAATTCCTACCTGATCAATAGAGCTGGGAATTAAGCCCTGGTGACAGGACCTTCTTTGTGGAGGGCCTCCTCCCAGGGCATCGCCTAGCTCAGCCTGGTGATGAAGCAACCTGCCCTACCCACCACTGTCTGTGTACTAATCTCTGGGCCTTTCTCTATACATTAATCCACATCTCTGGGGCCCCAAAGTGACCATTTCAGAGAAATTTTGACCTCATTGGATTCCCCAATGTTTCTGCCTTGGTTCAGACCTTCATGATTTCTTGCCTGAACTATATCATATTATTGTTCCTGCTACTTTTACTTCTATGAATAACAATAAATTATAGCTAACAGTTATTGTGTACTTATTATGTCCTAGTTGCTGTGCTAGCATTTGCATGTATTATCTCATTTAATAGTCACAAAAACCCTATGAGGCAGGCACTATTATCCCCATTTTACAGAGGAGCAATTATAATACCAGCTAACATATATTGAGTGCTTACCATGTGCTAGGCACTGTGCTAGCTGCCTTATATATTTTTTTCTCATTTAATCCTCATGATAACTGTATGAGGTAGGCATTATTACTACTAATAGAGATATCTGTAGGCCTCTGGTAGTAAAGGACTGGATAAGAACCCTGATACTTATGAAATATTCAGAAGGGTTGCATGACCCAAGAGGACTTTGGATGTACTTTTACAAGTCCTTCCTCACTAGGTGCTTGGGTACAGTAGACATTGCTCATTTTGAATCTTGCAGGGACCCTGGCCATGGCTGGTGATAGGAGAAGGAGTGGTGAGTCTTTCTTACCCTGGGTTGTTTTAGGGATATCTGGGATCAGGCTATGGTAGAGGCACAAAAATTTTCATGCCTTGCTCATGGTGTTTTCCTACTTGGTCTTCTCTAAAAATCCTTCTCAGACCATGTCACTTCTTTCTTTCATTCCTTTAGTCATTCATCCTTTCATCCCAAGGACACATGTTGATTACCTACTATATACTAGGTAATGTGCTAGACATTCGGAATATTATTATAAGCGAAACAGACATAAAACCTACCCTCATGAAGCTTATGGTCTAATGGAGGAGACAAACATTAAACAAATAAACTCAGACACATATAATTGTAAATTATAGTAGTGCTGTGAAGGAAAAGTATAGGGTAGGAGAGACAATAGCAGGGGAGACTTCATTGAGATGGTTGAGGAGCATGAAGAAAGGCCCTTCTAGGGGAAATGACACCTAAGCTGAGGCCTGAAACGTGAATAAATATTAACAAAGAGTGTTTCATGCAGAGAGAGCAAATTGTACAGACACCCTGAGGTGGGTACTTTCCATATTCAAGTGACTAAAAGAGACAGTGAACCGGGAGAAAGTGATGCTCAATGAGGTCGGAGACCATGCAGAACCTTGAAGGCCATGGTAATGAGTTCCCTTTTTATGCCAAGAGCAGATGGAAGCCAATGAAGTAGAATCAGTGAAGTAAGGGTAGAATCAGGGTAATGTAATTCATAGTTTTACAATATCATTCTGGCCGCTATATAAAATGGAACTTAAGAGTGGCGAGAAGAGAAAGAGGGGCAAGCTAGGAGGCCATGACAGTAGTCCAGGAAAAGAGATGGTGGTGGCCTGGACTAGAGGTGACAGTGGCCATGAAGAGGAGGGCAAATGCAGCATGTGTTTCAAAAGAGCTTGCTACTAGACTGGATATAAGGACTAAGAGGAGAGAGGAATCTAGGAAGACTTCCATGTTTCTAGCTTGAATAACGTGATGAAAGGTGTCCATTTATGGACATGGGGAAGTATCCTGAAGCAGATTGAGTTGAGCTCTCATCCTGTGCCATATTCAGTCTAAAATGCTCATTTAGCATATAAGCTCTATTACCTTGTTTTGATGGTAGTTAACATGAATGCATTTGTTCTCTCCCTAGGTAGGTTTTAAGCCCCTTGAGGACAGTAGCTGTGTCTTACTCATCTCTATATTCCCCAAGGCACCCAAGATATGATGTATTAAATGCTGTATGATTGATTAACAAAGGGAAGAGGTTCCTTTCTCTTTCAACCTTACTCTTCTTGCCAAGGCATGGGACATTACTCTGGATTATGCTTTTTTAAAAAAACAAATGTGACGCACTCAATGATATATATTATTTGATATAGACTTTGAACTTCATTCAATCATTAATCACCTTTTGAATAACTCCTGCCATATGAGCAAGATACATAAGGCACACATACGTTTGCTCTGCAGAATACCCTTCAGCAGTGCAGTACAGGCTATGGAGTCACAGAAGAATGGTCTCACGGGAATGTGTGGGCTAGGTCAGGATTGGCAGAGCAGAAGACTAGAAGTAGCCTAAAAGCCTGAGTTGTTTAGGCAGTTAGTTTTAACTCTGGAACAACTTCACTCCAATGATTTCCTCCCAAAAGGGTCTATTCAGAGTTTCGAGACATCTTAATTCCCCATAATGCCTCTCCATTTCTGCAATCCACTGCCACTACCCCAAATGTAAGTTCCTTTCCTCTCCTAGGGATTTTCATCCTCATACATGTTTCTGCTTTCTCTTTACACTCTATCCTCTTTCTCGGGCTTTCCGTCTGTATCCTTTGAGATCTATGTTGCATATCAACAAACTCCTCTGGTCCTTCACCCTCGTGTACATCACAGTGCTGGCTACATGTTAGCATCACCTGGGGAGTTTTTTAACGGGTACTGAAGCCTGGACCCCATCCCTAGAGAATCTGATTCATTTGGCCTGAAGAGGGACCTGGGTTTCCGTACTTTTTAGAGCTACTCCAGGTGATACTAGTGTGCTGTCAGGTTTTCACACCACTGGTACCTGCTTGCCTTAATTGACACATCAGTTCTCTTGCAGCTTATCAAGTGTAAGCCGCTCATTCTCCTGGGTTGCACATTCTACAGAGCTGAGGGGTGATAGCCACACTCTCCTATTTCCCCAGAACTATTTTTAGGCCTTTTAAGTTCATCCTGAAAAAGAAGCGAAAAAAGCCAACAGATAACAAAATTAAATGCAAACTAAATTCATTGTTTTTTTTAAAAAATAAATTGATTTTAAAATAAAAGAAAATAAAATGACATCAATGCTCCCTGTAAGTGTCATGGCATCTATACTGCTCACTCTTTTCTTTTGTCAACTCTTGTCTTCCTCATGTACCCACACTTTTCCTAAATGTTTAATACTTGGTTTATCAGTTTCCTCTCCAACCTAAGTCCTGCTTTTCTCCTGGAGGACTTTAGTGCCCTTGTTGGCAATCTATCCAACATTCTGGACTTATGGTTCCTTCATCACTTTGACAAATATTTATGGAATGCCTATGTACCAGGCACTGTTGTAAGTAAGTACTAGGTATGGAACAGTGAACATATGGACAAAATCCCTGCCCTCCAGAAGCTCATTATCAGGAAGGTGCCAGTGAGGGGGATAATCAACCAATCAGTAGGCAAATAAATGTTAATAAGCATTGTGGAAAAATTTAAGCAGAGGATGAGGGAATGCTGGGAGAGAGGGATCAATTTTAAATATAAGGGAATAAATTTCAACAAGAATAGCCTTCACTGAGCTACCCTTGCAAATATCTTGAGGGAGAGCATTATAAACATAGAGAACAGCAAGTGCAAATGTCCTGGGACAGGAGTGTACCTGGCTGTGAGGAGGCAAGTCTAGCTTAAGCTGAGTTAGAAGGTGAGGTCAAGGAGGTAACATGGAGATGGGTCTTATCAGGCCTTACAGGAAATTGTAAGGACACTGGCTCTTACTTTGAATGAGACAGTGAACCACTGGAGGGGAGGGTTCTGGGTAGGGAAAGGAATAGGGTGTGACTTTTATTTGAAGTTTCCTTGATATCAGTTATCTCCACTCACTTTCATCTCTACTGCACTTTGATAACCTGTCCCCATTGCCAGCTCCTGGATTTTGTCCCCAAACTGTTCTACCTCTGAAATCTTAAACTCTAGTATTTTAATTGAGAGAGCTTATATATCCAGCTCCCTCATGCTAATTATACTTTCTCTTTTATTTCATCTAAATCTCTCATCTGTTGATTCTACAGTGGTCTTCGTGGATGTTAGTCCCTCCTGGCTTCCCTCTTTTCCCTCTCCCTCCTAAATTCCATAGTGCATCTTTTCCAGCAATTCTCATGTGTCAATATATTTTTTTTCCTATTTAACCCTATATTATAGTGGTTTAGCAAAACCCAAACCATAGATCATTCTAGTGGATCTTGTTCCTGGCTGCACATGAGAATGACCTGGGATGCTTAGAAACATACTGATACCTGATTTCACTGGTTTAGGATGGGGTCTGGATATAGATATCTTAATGATCCCCAAGTGATTGTAATGAGCAACCAGATTGAGAACCTGTGGACTAACCCAGCATCTGCCTCTTCATTTTCTATATCTTGACATCTGAGCAGAAAACCAAATCTCAACTGCTCCCTGTAAATTGCTTGGAAATCTTACAAAGTGACGTTAGTAAGCTACATGTCACTTTTCTGTTATGTTAAACCAACCTGCACCACCCTCCTCTAGGCTTCAACCTCACTTCTGTCTCTGTCTCTCCTAGAAGATGACTTCTTTTCCCATTTCATAAAGAAAATAGCAGCTTCTAGCACCCCAAGCTCCTGCCCTTCTACCTCAAACCTAGATGTACCTGTGTCCACTTTTATCCTGTTGTCTCCTCTGGCACTTCCAAAACTTTCCTCATTCTTGTAGATCTTCAACATCTTGCCACTGGGTCTTTTCAAAATATCTACAATCTCTTTTGTCTTTAAAAACCTTCTCTTCACCTCTAGATTCTCACTTGCTAGCTACTGCCCTATGTCTCTTCTTCCCTTCACAGCTAAGCTTCTTGAAAAAAGGAGTCTTTAACCAATCCCATTCTCTCACCTTCCATTCACTTTTTTAGTCCCCTGGAATTTGGTTTCTGGTTTCATGAAACACATTTTGCTGTGGACACCAGTGATTTCCCAAGTGACAAATCTAATGAATAGTTCTGTCTTTTTCTTTACTTGTTGTTTCTGAGTCATTAATTTTATACTGCCTGTCTTCCTGAAAATCTGTTCTTTCATGGATTCCATGAGAGTATTTTCTTGATTTACCTCCTACTTCTTTGGCAGCTTCTTGAGTTCTTCTTCCTTGTCCTAGACCTGAAATATGAGTTTGGAAAAATATGAGGAATCTCTTCTTACTAGTTCACATTTCTTTCTCAGCAATTTTATGCATGCCTTTGGCTTCAAGTATCACCTACATGTTCATGACTCCCAGATATATTACCCCCACTATGGATTTCTCTCCTGATCCCTAGATCTGTTTATCAGACTGCCTATGGACTGCCTCTGCCTAGAAATTCTGCAGGAACCTCAAAGCAGTGTGTCCCAAACTTAACTTGGCCTTTTAGAAATACTCTGACTCCACCAAACCAGAAAGCGGAGTCATCCAAGATTCCTCCTTCATCTCCCTCACCTTCCACAATTACCAATCCTCCCAAGGCTATCTCTAAAATCTTTGTTATCTATTTGCTTCTTGCATCTTGACTGCCACATCTCTAGATTCTCATCATCTCTCCTCTGGACCACTACAATATCTTCCTAACTGGATTTCTTGGCATTATAACAGCCTCCTTCAAGCTGTCTTGCAAAGTTGAATAATCTTTCCACCATGCAAACCTTACTTGTTATTTCTCTGCTCCTATGCAATTAATCATTAATGACTCCCAGGGACTTATAGCAGTGGTTTTCAAGTTATACTTCATGCATCCCTGTGTGTGTTCTGGAGTGAAGTTGGGGGCAGCAGGCCGAGCAGGCCACATAACAGGGCCAAGCCGCCAAGCCTCTAATTTAACTAGGACAGCTGTGCTTTATATCTGTTTATCATCCTGGCCTCTGAAGATATTTCCCATTAGAGTGAAAATTCTACAGCCAAAAGAAATATTTGAATGCTATTGATGTTGACCTTCATAACTAATAAGCTTAGTATTTATCAGGAACAGAAGGGTATCTCTGACATCAAGAATGTGAAAGCTTCATAGGCCTTGTGTCCAGGAACTTTATCCCCCCTAGATGTATTCGTTTGGTTGCAAGGCCCAGAATGAGGCCTCTCACAGCTTGATGTGACCTTTTGTGTGTTGTAAGGCCCTTTCTCTGTCTTTCAGGGCTGCTGGTGCCTGTTATACACATGAAATACAGAACTCTGCCTGAAGAACAACCATGGCCTTGATGCAGGCACTATCCCTGGTCAGCATCAGATATGAAATTGCACATAGTTCTATAATTTGCATTTTCTACTTAATATATGTCTAATATACTCCTGAGTGATTGTAGAGCCTATTTAAAAGCAGCAGAATATTCCACTGAATTAAAATTTTTTACATGTTTACTTCATGAAATGAAATTCTGTTGCCTTTATCAGAACTGGGAGAACCTTAAGACATCCTGTCCAGTCCTCATGCTGTGGTCTCCATGGGAACTAATTCCCAGTGAGCTCTTTGTTCTCAGGGCAGCTTAGTTGCCCTCATTTACTCTTCCAAACTGTGATTAAGCTCAGGCTGTAGGCTTTTCATCTGCATCCAGGAAAAGGGAAAGTGCACACTCTTACCTATAAAAAGGGAAATTTGCCATTGATAAATCTGGTGGTTCCCAGGCCCATGCTATAAAATTGCCTCAATTTTTCCAGTTCAGAGAATGTTCATGGTGAGTGGAGCCTATGGCCATGGCCAGGCTTGACTGACCTAAGCCTCTAGTGTCATCTCTCCCTAAACAAATATTCTTATTAAAACTGCTGTTAAGTAAAAGCACTGAATTGAAAATTAGGTTTTCATCAGGTTCTAGTGCTGATTGTGCCACTCAACTAACTGTATGACCTTGGGCAAGTCACTGAACAATTCTCATTTGAACACAGAAAGGACGATGTTGAACCAAGTGATCTCTAGGATTATTTTCAGTTCTGATACCTTGAGTCTTTGATACTAGGAGATAATTGCTATGTAAATGCTTTCAAAAGTTCAAAGTGCTATATCAGCGTGAGGTGTTATGATTAATTAAACTTACTGCTTTAAGTTCCCACAGAGCATAAGGAGAAGTAAAGGAGCCTTCCTGATACACAACTGGGCAAGTCAACATCCGAATCATCTGAAGTTAGCATGGTAGTGTTATTTACTGGGAAGAAAAATAATAATAAGAGTTATTATTCATTGAAACATGACCACATGCCAAACAGCATGCTAGTCACTGTCACATACATTTTTATTATTCATCCCCACAATGAATCCATTGTTACTATTATTTTTGCCCTTTTACAAATGAGAAAACTGAGTTCAAGGAGGTTAAGTGACTTGATTGCCATCATACCCCTAGCAATCGATGAAGCTAAGGTTTGAACCACAATTTTTCTGATTCAAAAGCTCAAGCATTTTCAAGTGTGAGAAAATGTGAGATCCAAGGCCATGTTTTCTATCCCAGTACATCTAAAACTCTAATTCGTGTATGAATCACCAGGAGTTCTTGCTAAATTCAAATTGCTGACTCCATAGGTCTGGGGTGGAGCCTGAGCTTCTGCATTTCTAACAAGCTTCCAGTTGCTGCTTGATGTAGCAGGTCCATGGACCACACTTTGAGTAGCAAGAGACTAGAGACCTTTATATGGAAATCATCTGGCCTATATTTGCCCCTGGAGCAGGGCTGCACAGACTGCACTGCACAACTCCAGGGAGCACTGTTCACATTGCAGTCTCTGTGCAGTGTGCCTCTTGAGTTGTGTACTGTGCTCCCCTTGTCCTAGAATGAGAACATTGTGAGTAGTGAGTAGATCTACAGAATCTTCCTCTACCTGTGCCACGTCTGAAGAACAGGAAGTGTTCTTTCCCTCACAAATGAAAAATGGATCAATGCTGTTGAGAAAAGCAACACAAATCCAGTCTGCCCACAATGAGGGTGGCCCATTTGGTGTTCTAAGGCAAGATGGGGAGGAGGGGGAGAAGGAAGCTAGCTGGCAAGCTGGCTGGCTGGCTGACTGACTGACTGGCTGGCTTGCTGGCTGGCTGGCTGGCTGGTTGGCGTGGCAGGCTCCATTCTTATGCTAACAAAGCTCTGATTCCAGGCAGCAGCTGCTGCTTGTGTGGGTGCTTGGGCCATTCATAGCAGCTTGCTTTACCAGTGCCAGACCCCCAGAACAGGTGCGGCCGCACTTGTTATTTTGCTCAGTCCTGACCGTCCAGACAGGGAGCTGATTATCACTATGAATCTGGGATTGCTGCTGATATTCCAGCTTCTCCTGAACAAAGGGGCCAGCCTTGAGACAGCTGTCTTTTCTGGCCACAGTGAGGCTGACTGCCCTGAAGGCCATGTGGGCCTTGGGGAGGTGGGTTTGCATTGCAAATGGGACGGAGAAAATCAGACCCAGGTAAGCAGTTCTTCTGAAACAGTTCAAAGTGTCTGAGAGTCAGAAAGTTTGGGGGCTTAAGCCCACAGTCCCCAAGCAGGAGCTCCAAACCTATTGAGATCTCTCCAAGCTCCTCTTCTCTGGTCAGGTGCTGTTGCCCTTAGCCTTCCCTTGGCCTAAGGTCTGCTGCAGTGGCCAAGGGCAAGAGAAGGGCAGCTGGCTGACATTGTCCCCTTCCTCCTTTGCTCAGCCTCAGGACCAGGCTTTGGGAACCAGGAAATTAGCTTCTATTCACAAAAAGGATGGAGAACTATAGCACTGTGGTTAAGAAGACCAGCTCCAGGGTGAGGCAGCCTGATACAGATCTTAACTTGATTACTCACTAGCAGCAAGCATGAGCTTAGGCAATCATTTGATTTATTCAAGCTTCAGTTTTGTCACTTCTCATAGAAGAATAACAATAGTACTTCCCTCAGGGACTATTATGAGGATTTATTATTAATAATAATGAAAGCTAACACTGACAGAGCACCTACTGTGGACTAGGTACTCTTCTAAGTACTTTACACACTGTAATTCACTAAATCCTCAAAATGATCCTGTGAGAGGGACTTGTATTATCCCCATTTTATAGATGTGGAAGCTGAGGATCAAAGGGGTTAAGTAATTCGCCCAACGTCACAAATCTGGTGAGCAGCAGAGCTGAGAATTGAACCTAGCAGTTTGCTCCAGAGGCCACGTCGTATGCACTATGCTTTACTGCACAAACTTAAAGTGGAGTGAGCACAGTGCCTGGCACACATAAATCCTTGCTAAATGAGGGTGGTTATGATTCACTAAACTGATTTAGCCTCACTGTTTCAATGAATAGCTAAATATGTGTCACCTAAAAAAGAAATGTATATTTTTTTCAATAAGAATATGGGTTTCCACAGCTGGAGTCTTCATAATGGAAAGAGTAATAGTCTTTCTTGGCCCCAGGGCTCCAGTTCCATTCATTCATACACAAAGGAGGGTAGGACAATTCATTTTCCCACTTGGCTTAGCAGACCATTTTTGATTCCCAGAGCAGCTTTTCATCTCTGCCCACCAAACCACCTCCTCTTAATTCTACCGCCTCTACAGGCCCACTGCTTCCCCATAACCTTTAGCCCTGTGAATTTGATTCACTTATTATGTGAAAGAAAGGGAGGGACTCAAAAAAGGAGGGAGGGAGGGTAGGAGAGAAAGAAAGGAGAGAGAGTGAGAGATCAAGAACAGAGAGAGAGAGAGAGATCAGGGGTGGGAAGGAGATACTTCTAAAAAGAAAACAAGGAAGAAAAAATAGTCAAGACAGTCCTATTCAAATCTAATCTTAAATAAATTTTGACTGCAGTTTTAGAAGAATGTTTATTGAAAAGGGAATATGTCCATAATATACAATTATGTGAGAAAAGCAGGCTGCAAAATAGTGTTACACCATTTTGAAGTGTGTATGTACAAATATAAAAAAAAAAGACTGGAAGGAAGTATTCCAAAATGTTAACAGTAATCATCTGTAGGTAGTCAAGTTGTAGATTATTTTTCTTCTTTAAATTTTCTGTAATTTTTCCAGAATTCTAATGAATATAAATGCTTTTTGTAATTTTAACAAGATCTAAGGAAAAGGAAAAAGCAGGGATAGGATATGTCGGTACTGCCTGCATGAGGGATGGATCCTGCCCCCAAGAATGCCCTGTACTAGACAGAAATGATTGTTGTCCTATGTGTATTGCAAAATTGCATTTTCTGTGTGCAAGGGAATGCTAGATTACTCAACAAGACCACAGAGAGCTTTGAGGCACATGCTCAGCTCCCAGTCAGCTCTGAGAGTGTCTGATCTTCCTGCCCAGACAAACCCTGACCTGTGGTGTGTCCACTTAGAATACCATGTGTCCCTGACTACAGTTTGGGAACCCAGTGGTAGAGTTAACATTCTACAGACTTGCCATAGGGGCAAAAACCAGAACAGGGCCAAGGGGACAAAAGCAAACAGATCAGGGACTACGAGTGCAGAAGGTCAGAGCTGACAACAGGAAACAGAAGGATAGTATCTTCAGTGAGCTGGAGGGGGTTAGTGCTGAGGTGTCACGTGCAAGATTCTTGTTTTGGGTATGGCTGTGTTGGAGACGGGTAAAAAGAGTGTAAGTAGGCACAGGGTTAGGGACAAAGGCATAACTAGGGGCCACAAACTCAAATGCCTTTGGGGACCAGACTGGTAGCTTAATGATTGCAGGGGCCTGGGTGAGGACTGTGCTGAGCTGAAAGAGAACGATTCCCATGGAAGAGAGCAGTGGGAAGCCTGGGAATTTGGGCCCACATTTACATGTCTTATGAATTTTTAAGAGAAGATAGATATCCAGGTATTTATGTAAAATCTCTTAACAATTAATTTTTTTTTCAATGTCAAGACACTACGGGCCAAGCAAAATATATCTGTGAGCCACACATTTAAAAACATTTCACTTTTAAATAATTATAGATTCACAGGAAGTTGCCAAGGTGTTACAAAGGGGTCTCTGTGTACCTTTCACCCAGTTTTCCCAATGGTTACATCTACATAACCATCATGTAATATCAAACCAGGACAATGACATTGGCACAATGTGTGTGTCTAGTTCCATGTCAGTTCATCTCATGTGTGGGTTTGTGTGTCCAACAACACAGTCAAGATACAGAACTGTTCTACCATTGCATAGATCTCCCTCGTCACATACTAGTCACATCCATTTTCCTCCCTCCAACATTCCTTACCCTTGGCAACCACTAATCTATTCTTCATCTCTATAGTTTTGTCATTTCAAGAGTATGACACAAGTGAAACAATATATTATGTGACTTTTTGAGACTAGCTATTTTTACTCAGCATAATGCCCTGGAGATCCACCCAGGTTGTTGCATATACTAGTAGTTCATTCCTTTTTATTGCTGCATAGCATTTCATGGTATGGATATACCAGAGTTTGTCTAACCATTCACCAATTGCAGGACATTTTTGCTGCTTCCAGTTTTGGGCTTTACAAATACAACTGCCATGAACAATCATGTACAGGTCTTTGTGTGGACAAAAGCTTTCATCTCTAGAATAAGTGTCCAGGAGTCTGATTGCTGGGTCATAAGGTAAGTGCATATTTAGTTTTATAAGAAACTGGTGAACTGTTTTCCAGAGTGGCTATACCATTTTACATTTTCAGGAACAATGTATCAGTGATCCAATTTCTCTACATCTTTGCCAACATTTGGTACTGTCACAAATTTTTTACTTCAACCAATCTGACAAGTGTTAGTGATATCTTGTGGTTTTAATTTGCATTTTCTTAATGGCTAATGATATTAAACATCTCTTCATGTGCTTATTTGCCATATATATAAACTCCTCAGTGAAATGCTGGTTCATGTCTTTTGTTCATTTTCTAATTAAATTTTGTGGTTTTTGTCATTGAGTTTGAGTTTTTAAAAATATATTCCAGATAGCAGTCCTTTGTTAGATGCATGATTTGCAAATATATATATTTTTTCAGTCTTCAGCTTTTCTTTTCATTCTGTTAACAGGGTCTTTCATGGAGTAAAGTTTTTAAATTTTTATGATGTCTGATTTATTCATTTTTCTTTCATGGATTATACTTTTCGTGTCATGCCTAAGAACTCCTTACCAGCCCTGGGTTTCTAAGATTTTTCCCTTATGTTTTCTTCTAAAAGTTTATAGTTTTATGCTTTACATGTAAATCTATGATCTATGTTGAGTTAATTTTGTGTGAGGTATGAGAGCCCGGGTTTAAGTGATTCTCGTGCCTCAGCCTCCTGAGTAGCTGGGATTAAAGGCATGTGCTACCAGACCTGCCTAATTTTTTTTTTTTTTTTTTTTTTTTTGTATTTTTAGTAGAGACAGGGTTTCACAATGTTGGCCAGGCTGGTCTCAAACTCCCGACCTCAGGTGATCTGCCCACATTGAGGTATGAGATTTAGGTCAAGGTTCATTATTTTGCCTAGGGATGTTCAATTGCTACAGCATTACTTGTCAAAAAGGCAATTCTTCCACTGACTTTTTTTTTTTAATAGAGTCTCACTCTGTCATCCAGGCTGGAGTGCAATGGCGCGATCTCAGCTCACTGCAACTTCTACCGCCCGGGTTTAAGCGATTCTTGTGCTTCAGCCCCCTGAGTAGCTGGGATTACAGGCGTGTGCTACCAGACGTGGCTAATTTTTTTTTTTTTTTTTTTTTTGGATTTTTAGTAGAGATAGGGTTTCACCATGTTGGCCAGGCTGGTCTCAAACTTCCGACCTCAGGTGATCTGCCCACATTGGCCTCCCAAAGTGCTGGGATTACAGGCATGAACCACTGCACCCAGCCCTTCCACTGAATTCTTTTTGCACCTTTGTCAAAAATCAGGTGGGCATATTTGTGTGAGTCTATTTCTGAGTTGTCTATTGTGTTCCATTGACCTGTGTGTCTATCCTTCCACCAATACAATGCTCTCTTGATTACTGTAGTTTTGTGGTAAACCTTAATATTGGGTAAAACAATTACTCTTGCTTGATTCTTATTTTTAGAAATTGTTTTAGCTATGCTAGGTCTTTCCAAATATATTACAGAATTATATTGTCTATAGCCAAAAATCTTGCTGGGATTTCTATAGGAATAGTATGAAATGTGTATGTCAATTTTGGAAGAATTGACACTTTTACTATATTGAGTTTTCTAATCCATGGGATCTATCCATTTATCTAGGTCTTTGATTTCTTTCATCATTGTCTTTACATTTCAACATACAAGTCCTGTATAGATTTTGTTACATTTACACCTAAATAACTCATTTCTTGAGTGATTATAAGTGCTCTTGTATTTTTAATTTTGGTTTTCACATGTTCATTACTAGCATATAGAAATACATGTATCTAATGACTAGTGATGATGAGCTTTTTTTCAGATGTTTGTTGGCCACATAAATATCTTCCTTTGAGAAGTGTCTGTTAATATCCTTCACCCACGTTTTGATGGGGTTGTTTGTTTTTTTCTTGTAAATTTGTTTAAGTTCCTTGTAGATTCTAGATATTAGACTTTTGTCATATGGATAGATTACAAAAATTTTCTCCCATTCTGTAGGTTAGGTTGCCTGTTCATCTGATGTTAGTTTCTTTGGCTGAACAGAAGCTCTTTAGTGTAGCCATAAAAAAGAATGAGTTCATGTCCTTTGCAGGGACCTGGAGGAAACTGGAAACCATCATCCTCAGCAAACTAACAGAGAAACAGAAAACCAAACACCGCATGTTCTCACTCATAAGTGGGAGTTGAACAATAAGAACACATGGACATCGGGAGGGGAACATCACACACCAGGGCCTGCTGTGGGTGGGGGGAAAGAGGAGGGAGAGCATTAGGAAAAATACCTAATGCATGTGGGGCTTAAAACCTAGATGACAGTTTGAAAGGTGCAGCAAACCACCATGGCACATGTATACTTATGTAAAAAACCTGTACGTTCTGCAAATGTATCCCAGAACTTAAAGTAAAATAAAATAAGTACAATTGGTTTTTGTATGATGATATTGTATCCTGCAAACCAAAACTTCATTGCTAGATCAAGGCTCATTTTTATAAATTCGTTGACATATTATTCTGTGTAGATGATCATGCCATCTGTAAATAGAGACAATTTTATTCTTTCCTTTTGGATGTATAAGACTTTTATTCCCTTTCTTGTCTTATTGCACTGGGTAGTACTACCTCGAATAGCAGTGATGAGAGTAGAAATCAGTGCTTCATTCCCAATCTTAGAGAAAAACATTCAGTCTTTCACCATTGTGATGTTAGGTTTAGCTTTAGTTTTTAAAAATCAGCTTGAGATAAGATTCACATGCTGTACAATTCACCCATTTAAAGTACAAGATTAAAGACTTTGAGTATATTCACAGAATTTTGCATTCATCACCAGAATCAATTTTATTCAGTGCTCTCAAAATAAACCACATACCCCTTAGCTGTCACCACCCAATCCACCATCTTCCCCGGCCATAAACAACCACTAGTCTCCAGTTGGTCTCTATAGATTTTTCTATTCAGGACATTTCATATAAATGCAGTAATACAATATGTGGCCTTTTGTGACTGGCTTCTTTCACTTAGCATAATGTTTTCAAGGTTCATCCATGTTGAAGCATGTATTAGTATTTCAGTTATTTTTATTGCTGAATAATATTGCATTGTATGCACATACCATAATTTGTTTATCCATTCATCAGTTGAATATTTAGGTTGTTTCCATTTGTTGGCTGCCATAATGTCTTTTTATTATTGAGTTACAAGAGTTCTTTAGATTCTAGATACAAGTCCCTTATCTCATATATGATTTTCAAATATTTTCTCCCATCCTGTGGGTTGTCCTTTCATTTTCTTGATGCTGTCCTTTAAAGTACAAATGTCTTTAACTTTAATGATGTCCAGTAGTTTATTTTTTCTTTTCTTGACTATGCTGTTAGAGTCAGATACAAAAACTACTGCCTAATTCAAGATCACTAAAATTCACACCTATGTTTTCTTCTAAAAATTTTCTAGTTTTATTTTGTACATTTACATCTTTTTATCCATTTTGGGTTAATTTTTATATGGCATGATGTAGGAGTAAAACTTCATTATTTTGTATGTGGACATACAGTTGTCCCAGCACCATTAGTTGAAAAGATTATTCTTTTCCTAATAAAACTTCTTGGCACCCTTGTTGAAAATCAAACGGCCATAAGTGTGAGAGTTCATTTCTAGACTCTCAATTCTATTCCATTGTTCTACGTATGTATGTAGGTATGTATGTGTATATATACACACATATATATACACACACACACATATATATACATATCTATCAATCTATCTATCTATCTCTCTCTCTATATATGTATGTATGTATAAGACTTTTATTCCCTTTCCTGTCTTATTGCGCTGGGTAGTACTACCTCGAATAGCAGTGATGAGAGTAGAAATCAGTGCTTCACTGCGTTTGAGCTCTGAGAATGGACTGACTGCCTCCTCAAGTGGGTCCCCGACCCCCGTGTAGCCTAAATGGGGACACCTCCCAGTAGGGAGTTGGCTGCCCCTCTGGGGAGAAGCTTCCAGAGGAAGGATCAGGCAGGAATATTGCTGTTCTGCAGCCTCCGCTGGAGATACCCAGGCAAAGAGGGTCCGGAGTGGATCTTCAGCGAACTCCAACAGATCTGCAACTGAGGGATCTGACTGTTAGAAGGAAAACTAACAAACAGAAAGGAATAGCATCAACATCAACAAAAAGGTCATCTACACCAAAACCCCATCTGTAGGTCACCAACATCAAAGACCAAAGGTAGATAAAACCACAAAATGGGGAGAAACCAGAGCAGAAAGGGGGAAAATTCTAAAAATCAGAGTGCCTCTTCTCCTGCAAAGGTTTGCAGCTCCTCGCCAGCAACGGAACAAAGCTGGACATAGAATGACTTTCATGAGTTGACAGAAGTAGGCTTCAGAAGGTTGGTAATGACAAACTTCTCCGAGCCAGAGGAGGATGTTCGAACCCATCACAAGGAAGCTAAAAACCTTGAAAAAAGATTAGACGAATGGCTAACTAGAATAAACAGTGTAGAGAAGACCTCAAAGGACCTGATGGAGCTGAAAATCATGGCACAAGAACTTCGTGACGCATGCACAAGCTTCAATAGCCGATTCGATCAAGTGGAAGAAAGGGTATCAGTGATTGAAGATCAAATTAATGAAATAAAGCAAGAAGAAAAGGTTAGAGAAAAAAGAGTAAAAAGAAATGAACAATGCCTCCAAGAAATATGGCAGTATGTGAAAAGACCAAATCTAAATTTGATTGGTGTACCTGAAAGTGATGGGGTGAATGGAACCAAGCTGGAAAACACTCTTCAGGATATTATCCAGGAGAACTTCCCCAACCTAGCAAGGCAAGCCAACATTCAAATTCAGGAAATACAGAGAACATCACAAAGATACTCCTAGAGAAGAGCAAACCCAACACACCTAATTGTCAGATTCACCAAGGTTGAAATGAAGGAAAAAGTGTTAAGGGTAGCCAAAGAGAAAGGTCGAGCTACACACAAAGGGAAACCCATCAGACTAACAGCAGATCTCTCTGCAGAAACTCTACAAGCCAGAAAAGAGTGGGGGCCAATATTCAATATTCTTAAAGAAAAGAATTTCCAACCCAGAATTTCATATCCAGCCAAACTAATCTTCCTAAGTGAAGGAGAAATGAAATCCTTTACAGACAAGCAAATGCTGAGAGATTTTGTCACCACCAGGCCTGCCTTACAAGAGCTCCTGAAGGAAGCACTAAACATGGAAAGAAACAACCAGTACCAGCCACTGCAAACACAGGCCAAATTGTAAAGACCATCAATGCTATGAAGAAACTGCATCAATTAACAGGCAAAATAACCAGCGAACATCATAATGACAGGATCAAATTCACACATACCAATATTAACCTTAAATGTAAATGGGCTAAATCCTCCAATTAAAAGACACAGACTGGCAAATTGGATAAAGAGTCAAGACCCATCAGTGTGCTTATTCAGGAGACCCATCTCATGTGCAAAGATGCACATAGGCTCAAAATAAAGGGATGGAGGAAGATCTACCAAGCAAATGGAAAGCAAAAAAAAGCAGGGGTTGCAATCCTAGTCTCTGATAAACCAGATTTTAAACCAACAAACATCAAAAGAGACAAAGAAGGACATTACATAATGGTAAAGGGATCAATTCAACAAGAAGAGCTAACTATCCTAAATATATATGCACCCAATACAGGAGCACCCAGATTCATAAAGCAAGTCCTTAGAGTCCTACAAAGGGACTTAGACTCCCACACAATAATAATGGGAGACTTTAACACCCCACTGTCAATATTAGACAGATCAATGAGACAGAAGGTTAACAAGGATATCCATGGCCTGAACTCAGCTCTGCAACAAGCAGACCTAATAGACATCTACAGAACTCTCCACCCCAAATCAAATAGATGCAATAAAAAATGATAAAAGGGATATCACCACCGATTCCACAGAAATACAAACTACAAGAGAATACTATAAACAACTCTATGCAAATAAACTAGAAAATCTAGAAGAAATGGATAAATTCCTGGACACATACACCTTCCCAAGATTAAACCAGGAAGAAGTTGAATCTCTGAGTAGACCAATAACAGGCTCTGAAATTGAGGCAATAATTAATATCCTACCAACCTAAAAAAGTCCAGGACCAGATGGATTTACAGCCAAATTCTACCAGAGGTTCAAAGAGGAGCTGGTACCATTCCTTCTGAAACTATTCCAATGAATAGAAAAAGAGAGAATCCTCCCTAACTCATTTGATGAGGCCAACATCATCCTGATACCAAAGCCTGGCAGAGACACAACAAAAAAAGAGAATTGTAGACCAATATCCCTGATGATCATTAGTGCGAAAATCCTCAATAAAATACCGGCAAACCAAATCCAGCAGCACATCAAAAAGCTTATCCACCACGATCAAGTTGGCTTCATCCCTGGGAAGCAAGGCTGGTTCAACATATGCAAATCAATAAACATAATCCATCACATAAACATAACCAACAACAAAAACCACATGATTACCTCAATAGATGCAGAAAAGGCCTTCGACAGAATTCAACAGCACTTCATGCTAAAAACTCTCAATAAACTAGGTATTGATGGAACAAATCTCAATATAATAAGAGCTATTTATGACAAACCCACAGCCAATATCATACTGAATGGGCAAAAACTGGAAGCATTGCCTTGAAAACTGGCACAAGGCAAGGATGCTTGTCTCACCACTACTATTCAACATAATGTTGGAAGTTCTGGCCAGGCCAATCAGGCAGGAGAAAGAAATAAAGGGTATTCAATTAGGAAATTAGGAAGTCAAATTGTCTCTGTTTGCAGATGACATGATTGTGTATTTAGAAAACTCCATCATCTCAGCCCAAAATCTCCTTAAGCAGATAAGCAACTTCAGCAAAGTCTCAGGATACAAAATCAATGTGCAAAAATCACAAGCATTCCTATACACCAATAACAGACAAACAGAGAGCTAACTCATAAGTGAACTCCCTTTCACAATTGCTTCAAAGAGAATAAAATACCTAGGAATCCAACTAACAAGGGATGTGAAGGACCTCTTCAAGGAGAGTTACAAACCACTGCTCAATGAAATAAAAGAGGACACAAACAAATGGAAGAACATTCCACGCTCATGGATAGGAAGAATCAATATCATGAAAGTGGCCATACTGCCCAAAGTAATTTATAGATTCAATGCCATCCCCATCAAGCTACCAATGGCTTTCTTCACAGAATTGGAAAAAACTACTTTAAAGTTCATATGGAACCAAAAGAGAGCGTATGTTGCCAACACAATTCTAGGCAAAAAGAACCAAGCTGGAGGCATCACGCTACCTGACTTCAAACTATACTACAAGGCCACAGTAACCAAAACAGCATGGTACGGGTACCAAAACAGAGATATAGACCAAAGGAATAGAATAGAGGCCTCAGAAATAACACCACACATCTACAACCATCTGATCTTTGACAAACCTGACAAAAACAAGAAATGGGGAAAGGATTCCCTATTTAATAAATGGTGCTGGGAAAACTGGCTAGCCATATGTAGAAAGCTGAAACTGGATCCCTTCCTTACACCTTATACAAAAATTAATACAAGATGGATTAAAGACTTAAATGTTAGACCTAAAACCATGAAAACCCTAGAACAAAACCTAGGCAATACAATTCAGGACATAGGCATGGGCAAGGACTTCATGACAAAAACACCAAAAGCAATGGCAACAAAAGCCAAAACAGACAAATGAGATCTAATTAAACTAAAGAGCTTCTGCATGGCAAACAAACTACCATTAGAGTGAACAGGCAACCTACAGAATGGGAGAAAATTTTTGCAATCTACCCATCTGACAAAGGGCTAATATCCAGAATCTGCAAAGAACTCAAACAAATTTACAAGAGAAAAACAAACAACCCCATCAAAAAGTTGGCAAAGGGTGTGAACAGACACTTCTCTAAAGAAGACATCTATACAGCCAACAGACACATGAAAAAATGCTCATCATCACTGGTCATCAGAGAAATGCAAATCAAACCACAATGAGATACCATCTCATGAGAGTTAGAATGGCAATCATTAAAAAGTCAGGAAACAACAGATGCTGGAGAGGATGTGGAGAAATACGAACACTTTTACACTGTTGGTGAGAGTGTAAATTAGTTCAACCATTGTGGAAGACAGTGTGGCGATTCCTCAAGGATTTAGAACTAGAATTACCATTTGACCCAGCAATCCCATTACTGGGTATATACCCAAAGGACTGTAAATCATGCTACTATAAAGACACATGCATATGTATGTTTATTGTGGCACTGTTCACAATAGCAAAGACTTGGAACCAACCCAAATGTCCATCAATGATAGGCTGGATTAAGAAAATGTGACACATATACAACATGGAATACTATGCAGCCATAAAAAGTATGAGTTCATGTCCTTTTCAGGGACATGGATAAAACTGGAAACCATCATTCTCAGCAAGCTATCACAAGGACAGAAAACCAAACATCACATGTTCTCACTCATAGGTGGGAATTGAACAATGAGATCACTTGGATACAGGGAGGGGAATATCACACACTGGGGCATGTCAGGGGTTGGGGGGCTGGGGGAAGGATAGCATTAGGAGAAATATCTAATGTAAATGATTAGTTGATGGAGGCAGCAAACCAACATGACACATGTATACCTACGTATCAAACCTGCACGCTGTGCACATGTACCCTAGAACTTAGAGTATAATAAAAAAAAATCAGTGGTTCATTCTCAATCTTAAGAGAAAAGCATTCACTCTTTCACCATTGCGATGTTAGGTTTAGCTTTTGTTTGAATCATCTTGAGATAAGATAAAATATATATAAGATATATATGTATAAGATATATATATATTTTATGACAGTACTACACTCTCTTGATTATTGTACCTTTGTAGTAAGTTTTAATATTGGGAAGTATTAGTCCTCCAACTTTGTTGTTCTTTTCCAAGATTGTTTTAACTATTTGGGGTAACTTGCATTTCCATACAAAATATTGTAAAAATTTTAGGATCATCTTGCCAATTTCTATTTTAAAAATGCAGCTGGAATTTTGATAGGGATTTTGTTGAATCTATAGATCAATTTGGAGAGTTTTGTCATCTTAACAATATTAAGTCTTCTAATCCAAGGACATGGAATGTCTTTCCATTTGCTTAGGTTTTCTTTAATTTCTTTCAACAATGTTTTGTATTTTTCATTTTATAAGTTTTCCACTTATTTTGTTAAATTTATTCCTAAATATTTTATTTTTTGATGCTATTGTAAATGGAATCAATTTCTTAATTTCATTTTTGGTTTGCTTACTGCTACTGTATACAAATAAAATTGATATTTTGTATAATGATCTTGTACCCTGCAACCCTATTTAACTTGTTTATTAGTTCTAATTATTTTTAGTGGATTCCTCAGGATGTTCTGGACACTGGTCATGTCATCTGCAATTAGAGATTATTTAAATTCTTTCTTTCCAATCAGGGTGGCTTTTATTTCATTTTCTTGCATAATTGTCCTGGCTACAGCCTCCAATACAATGTTGACTAGAAACGACAAAGGTGTTCCTAATCTTAGGGGGAAATCTTTTAGTCTTTCACTATTAATTATGACGTTAGCTGTGGGTTTTTCATAGATGCTCTTTACCACGTTGATGAATTTCCTTCCTATCTGTAGCTTGTTGAGTGCTTTATCATAAAAGGGTGTTAAATTTTGTAAAAAGTCTTTCTCTGTGTCTATTGAAATGATCATGTGGTTTTGTCCTTTATGGTATTGAAGTGGTATATTACATTAATTGATTTTGCAGATGTTAAAACAACCTTGAATTCCTGGGATGAATCTCGGTAGGTTATAATTGTGTAATCCTCTTTTATTTGTTATTGGTTTCATTTGGCTATTTTTTTGTTTTTGTTTTTTATTTGTTTGTTTGTTTTAAGGCAGTCCCCCCCTCTACTCCTAGTTTTCTGAGAGGTAGGTTTGGTTTGTTTTTTTTATTGTCAGGAATGAATGTTAGATTTTATCAATTGCTTTTCTGCATCAATTGATAAGATTATATTATTTTTCTTATTTAACCTATTGATATGGTGGATTACAATGGTTGATTTTGTAATATTGAACTAACTTTGCATCCATGGAATAAACCGTAGTTGGTCATGATGTATAATTCTTTTCAAATAATGCTGAATTCTATTGACTAATATTTTGTTAAGAATATTTGAATCATATTTATGAAGGATATTGGTTTGTGCCTTCTTTCTTTTTCTTTCTTTCTTCCTTTCTTCTTTCTTTTTTCTTTCTTTCTTTCTCTCTGTCTCTTTCTTTCTTTCTTTCTTTCTTTTTCTTTCTTTCTTCTTTCCTTCTCTCTCTCTCTCTTTCTTTCTTTCCTTCTTTCTTTTGTACTGTCTTTGTCTGGTTTTGTTATCAGAGAATAAATACTAGCCTCAAAAGTGAATTGGAAAGTGTTTTTCTCCCCTTTCCACTTTCTGGAAGACATTGTTGAGAATTGGTGTTAATTCTTCTTTGAATATTTGGTAGAATTCCTCAGTGAAAACTTCTGATCTTGGAAACCTTGTTGGGGGGCTTTGAAATTACAAATTCAGTTTTCTCAAAAGTTATAGGTCTATTCAAATTATCTATTTTATATTGGCTGATTTGTGATGCATTATGCATTTCAAAGAATGATTAATTTCATCTACATTGTCAAATTAATGTGTATAGAATTGCTTGTACTACTCCATTTTATCCTTATAATGTTTATAGGGTCTGCAGTGATATTTTCATTCAGATGTTGGTAATTTGTGTCTTCTCTCTTTTTCTTTATCAGTCTTGAAGGATCAATTCAGTCAATTTTCTTGATCTTTTCAGAAACCAGCTCTTGTTTTATTCATTTTCTCTATTACTTTTCTTTTTTTTTTTTTTTTTTTTTTGACAGAGTCTGGCACTGTCACCCAGGCTGGAGTGCAGTGGCGCCATCTCTGCCCACTGCAAGCTCTGCCTCTCGGGTTCATGCCATTCTTCTGCCTCAGCCTGCGGAGTAGCTGAGACTACAGGTGCCGCCACCTCGCCTGGCTAATTTTTTGTATTTTCAGTAGAGACGGGGTTTCACCGTGTTAGCCAGGATGGTCTCGATCTCCTGACCTCGTGATCTGGCCTTGGCCTCCCAAAGTGCTGGGATTACAGGCATGAGCCACTGCACCCAGCCTACTTTTCTCTTTTCAACTTCACTGATTTCTGCTCATATATTTATTATTTTATTCCTTCTACTTACTTTGAGTTTATGTTGTTTTTCATTTTCCAGTTTCTTGAGGTGGGAGCTTGATTACTGATTCAAGACTTTTCCTCTTTTCTAATATATGCATTGAGTGCTATAAATTTCCCTCTCAGCACTGCTTTAGCAGTGTCCCACACATTTTGGTATGTTGCATCTTCATTTTCATTCTGATCTGTAGGTTAGAAGTCCTGGCAGACTTGACAGGGCTTTCTGTTTAAAGTGTCAGCTGGGTTGGACTCATATCTGGAGGTTCTGTGGATGAATCTACTTCCAAGCTCATTCAGGTGTAGGCAGAATTCAGTTTCTTTGGGTTGTAGATTTGAAGTGCCCATTTCCTTGCTGATTGTCTGCTAACAGTCACATTCTGCTCCTAGAAGCCACTTGAATTCCTCCTTAGTGACCCACTCCATCCTCAAAACCATCAACTAGCAATCTCGCATGTCAAAATATTCTCATGCCTCAAATCTCCCTGACTTCCTCTTCCATTTATCAGTCAGAGAAAACCATGTTATTAAAGGGTTCCTATGATGAGATTACACACACTCAGATAATCTGTTTTGCCATGTAATGTAACATAATCATTGGAGTAATTTCTCATCATGTTGATAGGTTCCACCCACACTCAGAGGGGAGGGGATTATACAGAAGCAAGGGTCATTTGGGTGGTCATAGTTAAAATTCTCCCTACCACAGTAATTATCTAATTCAAAGAAAAATATTGGGAAAATGGTATGACCAAAATATTGAGGAGTGCATGACAACAGTTTGGGACCCAACGGAGTAGTTCATTTTAAGGTCCATTCCAAATTCTATGATTCTGTAGTAGGGAAGTCATGGAATATTCTGCTTTTCTGTCTATTGTAGGGGCCAAGGGATAACTTTCCCCTTGGCCTTCTGAAGGTTCCCTGAAAAATCAACTCATAAAAGGCAGATGGATAGGAGAAACGACATACACATTTAACATACGTGTACATGGGAGCCTTCAGAATGAAGACCCAAAGATACAGAGAAAATTTTCCATTTTATGCTTAGGTCAAAAAAGTATGGACAGCCATGTAGAAATATGATTAGACATAAAGAGCATAATCCAATGCAATAGACTCAGTGGGGAAATACATCAAAGCCTCTCTGTCTAGATTCTTCTAGGCCTCTCTGAACATGAATTCCTTTCTTCTGGGTGTGGGGCATGACCCTCTCTGGAACAGAGATCTTATGACCTGCAGTCAAACAAGGTAGGTCAGATCGTTTCTTTGTGGTTAGTTTATACACAGAAAGACAGAGGGAAAGTTAGAGTAATATTTTTAGGTTTCATGGCTGGATTTGGGGAGAAGGGGTCGGTTTCTATCACTCGTCTTAGGGAAAAGAGATTCTAGGTTCTGTGGCTAGCCTCCAGGGAGGATGGGATTGAGAGACAAGAGGGCAGGAGAAGGTCAGAGAATAACATTTGCTTCTGAGGCCTTCATTTTGGGGTACTGTTTTCTGAGCTCCAACACTCCAGTGAGGTGAGGTACAGCAAAAACCAGAGGCCAGTATATTCTTTAAAAATATCAAGGTCATGAAAGATAAGAAAAACTGAGAAACTGTTTCCAATTAAAGGAGACTGAAGAGATATGGAAACTAAAGTTAAGAATTCATTCATATTTGGATCTTTTACTAAATAATTTTTGACCTTTTGTTCTAAAGGTTGACATTGGGATAATTGGTGACATTTGAAAGAGGTTTTTAGATTAGATCATAATGTTGCATGAATATTAATTTCCTGATTTTGATAATTGTGGTTATGTAAGAGAATGCTCTTGATTTTTAGAAACATGAACTAAAGTATTTAAAGATAAAGGGGCATGATCTCCATCTTACTCTCAAATGATTGAGAAAAAATAGTGTGTGTGTGTGTGTGTGTGTGTGTGTACAGAAAAAGAGAAAAGGATAAAGAAAATGTTGCAAAGGTTAACATTTGGGGAATCTGAGTGAGGAGTACGTGGAAATTCCTTGTACTTACATTTATCCTTTCTACTAACAGAGCTTCAGATGAAAATCACAACCCTGGCCAACACCTTGATTTCAATGCAATGAGACCCTAAGTAGAAGATTCAGGCATACTGTGCCTGTACTTCTGACCCACAGAAACTGTACAAAAATAAATTTGTGTGTTTTTTAAAAGTGAGGCCAATGGTGTGTAAGAAGAATTTGAAGTGGGAAAAAAGGGTAGATTCAGGAGACATTATGGAGAGAAAATTGCCACAATATGGTGTTTTCCTTGGCTAGATATGGGTAGAGAGAGAAGAGTTGGGGATGATTCTGAAGTTGGGAGCCTAGAAATTGGGATAATGCTGGCAGAAAGAGGCAAATAGAGGGAGAGCTGGGTGGGAGAAAAAAAATGATGTTTTAGAAATTCTGAGCTTGAGTGAACAGAGGACATGAGTAAAAGGGAACCATCTAGTGGAAAGGAATTGGTTAAGGATTGAAGCTGAACAGAGAGGTCAGGGCTGCAGCCAGAGGTTTGGGAGGCATCACCATTGTTTTGGATGTATTTGGAATCCCTGTTGTAAAGGGAAGAAAGAGGCTGAAAATAGAACGATATATTTGAGTCCACTCCTGCACACCAAGTTGGTTGTGAGGACTTGCACTGAAGACAGACAGATCTAGGTTTAAATCCTGGCTTTGCTCATGCCTAGCTCTGTGACGCTGAACAAGTGCCTAAACCTCTCTGAGCCTCTGCTTTTCTTTTATTCAGCTATGAAATGGTGACACTGATCATACCTGCCTTGTGGTGAGGACTAAATGAGATAACCTATATATAAAGCACTTAGCTCATCGCCTGGAACATAGGTTGCGCTGAAGAAATTGGGGTTATGATTGTTACTGTTGTTTCCTTTCATGTGATTTTCTGCATTAGGCAGCCTTCTCCCGAAAAGAACCCTGACAATTCAGATCACTGTGTGTTTTGTTTTGTTTTGTTTTGCTGGTGGGAATGAGGCAAGGCGACCATAGCATGGCATCTTTTGCTTATGGAGGGCAGGTCCACAACCTGTTACTGAAAAGGGTGAACTTTTTCTTTTTCTGTCAATACGGGCAGATGAAGAGAAAAGCACAAGGAGCTCTAGGAAGGGAAAGTTGGAGCTGTGGCTAATGGAGCAAGGGCAGACCCCAAAGACTCATCTAGATCATCAGTGATGATTCATTCCTCCGAAGCCTTTCCTAGGCCATTCTGAGAAACACTGGAGGAAGTGGGATGGCATGATCTAGTGTGAGTGATGGGCACTGTGCACAAGGGGATGATTTGTATTTATGAAAGGTTCTTGGTGCCTAGGCTGCCTGATGCATGTCTAAAAAGGCAGTGGGTTCCAAGTCAATGTGCCTGGAGTGAGGAGATTTAGCTTCACCTGCTGGCACTGACTTTCCCTACAGAAGATGTAGCTCTGGGCACCACACTCCTAGCTTACATTTGATCCCTCCTGCTGAAGCAGTAATCAATCTGCAGTCTTCTGCTATTAGATGTTAATGCAATCAAAGAGATCACAATGACCTTAAGATTTCCTGATTAATTCACTTTTTCCCCTAGTCAGCATTACCTTCTTTAATTTCTCAGCACTTGGCTCGTTTTCTCAGCTCACTTGGCTCTGTTTCATGCTACAAGTACCTTTTTCCTCTACTGAGGAGAGGGTTTGGGTAGAGTGATGGCGTTCTGGGCTGCCTGGTAGTGGAAGATGGAGAATCCCTGTCCTTGAATAAAGGTGTACTACCCAAAAAGAAAGGTTTTGGGGTTTTGACAAAAAGCAATCTTAGAAAAGGACATTTGGAAATGGTAAGAGAAAGACAGAGAGAGAGAGGATGTGTGTGTTTGTGTGCATGTGTGTGTATGTCTGCGTGTGTGTGTGTGTGTGTGAAAGAGAGAGAGAGAAATCTTGAGAAACTGGTAGGAACAAAGTAAAATTATTATTTCCTCTCAAGTCAAAGAAGGTACAGAAAGAAAACTGCCGAGGTGAAGATACGTATCAGGGATTACCAATTTTCCAGAGCCCCCCACGCATAAAGTGCTTTAAGATCCTCAGTGAGGAGAAGCTTAAGATACAGAGACTGATGATCTGCCACCATAGGTGGGCAGCTGGAGTTGATACAAGCTGCCCAAAGCAGAATTTGTGATTTTTTTCTGCAAATACATTCCTCTTCCAGTCAACCCCACTCAGTAAATGGCACTACCGCTCACCTGGTTGCTTAAGTCAAACTCCTGGTGGTTATCCTGAGTTCTTCTTGTTCCCTTACACATCACATCCTAGTCATCAGCAAATCCTGTTCATTTACCTTGAAAATATTTACTGAATTTCATCACTTTTCACCACCTCCTCAGCCATTAGCTAGTGTGAGCCACCATCATCTCTTTCCCAAACCACTGCAACAGCCCCCTAAATAATCTACTTGCTTCCGCTCTTACTGCCAGGCCTGCCATGTATGGATGTTCAGGTTGTATACTACACAAGGGCACCATAGCTATGGGTGTGCCATTTATATCACAGACACATACATACTTACATAAGATTGTGCAGATGGGTGCAGACATTCTGGGCTTCTTGGCTCTAAGTCTGACAACAGCGGAAGAGAGCCTGCTCCTACTTAAAACTGTACCAGTGCACATGGCCTTGCATAGACTCAGGAAAGCACAATCACACACACACATACACACACATATACATCCATAAATGTACATACTCAGTGGCACACACAAGTGGACTCTATCCTACCCAAGCCCTGGGTGTCCCCTGAGTTTACTTCTCTCTCTACTACCCATTGTTCCCACAGGCTGAAGTCCCATCCCTCCCACTTCCAGCTGCCTCAGCTGGAGAGGGGATAGAACAGTGGGGGGCAAAGTGTTGTTGATGGTGCATCTATTCCAGTGACAAGAAATGCATGAGTGAGAGGAATAATGTGGGTGCTCACAACACAGGCTGCTGCCCACCATGACTCTGGCAAACTTTCTTGGGCAGGACTTAAATTTGTTTAGGTTGTACAAGAAAAGACTAACATAATTTTTGTTGTCATTTTTAAAATGAGGAAGGGGTGTCTTTTTTGTGATTCACACAGACACTGTATCAGATAGTGGCAGCCTTACGCCCCCCCGCCCCCGCCAAATCTCAACTCCAACCAATCTCTACTCTATATAACAGTCACTAAGAACTTTAACAAACAGGCTGGGTACAGGGGTTCAAGACTGTAATTCCAGCACTTTGGGAGGTCAGGGCGGGCAAATCGCTTGAGCCCAGGAGTTTGAGACCAGCCTGGGCCATGTGGTGAAACCCCATCTCTACTAAAAATACAAAAATTAGCCAGGCGTGTTGGTGCACACCTGTAGTCCCACCTACTCAGGAGGCTGAGGTGAGAGGACTGCTTGAGCCCTGGAGATCGAGGCTGCAGTGAGCTGAGAAAAATAAAAAAATAACTTTAACGAACACTTGAGTATGTTGATTCTTTGCTTAAAGCCTTCCATTTATATTTTAATGTTTTTAGGATAAAGATAAAACTCCTTAGATGGCCTACAAAGCTTGAATGATCTGGCCCCTGCCTTCCTCTGCAACCTCATCTCATATCACCCTCCCTCTCATGACTGCCCCAAACCCCACCCACACTGATTTTCTGTCCCTTGAGTTCACCAAGCACATATCATTGTATTTCTTGTTTATCTGCCTCCCCCTTCCTCCTACCTCCCTGCTTCTAGAGTGTTAACTCTGTTAAGCAGGGACTTTGTCTTTTTCATCATTATGTCTTCATCACCTAGCACAGTTCCTGGCATTTAATAGGTGGTCAATAAGTATTTGCTGAGTGAATAAATAAGTGAACAGGAAAATGAGCAATTTTGCTCCCTATTCCACTCATTGGCTCTAAGATGAACCTCAGCTCAGCCTCATCTCTAGTGTGCTTTGAGATCCTCTGGTGAAATGAGATGGCCAGAAAATGCAAGGTTGTTAAACATCAGAAAGTTGCAAGACCAGTTTGGTCAGGAGGAATAATAATCAGTATAACCAGCACGTATTGAGATATTAGCATGTGCTGGGCATTGCTCTAGGCTTTTTTCTCATTTAATCTCCACAGTAACCTTATAAGGTATTTCCTAGTATAGAATTATCCACATTTGATGATGAGCAAACTGAAACCCAGGTGATTCAGTGACTTGGATGCAGACACAGGCAGTTCGATTCAAAGCTTTCTTTTGTGTTGTGTGAGAATGAGAACAGTCTCATTTCCACTGATTTCTTTTTCAAACCACCCTAGGATTATCCCTCTACCCCCTGGCTTCTCTTCAATCTCATAATCTTGAATCCAGCCCTGAGGAGCAGGTAGAAAAGAGCCATGTACTACATTGGTAAGCTGCAGTGAGTGTAGGTCTAGTTAGTGTCCCCATAGGGTAGCAGCTACTTTGATGATTGACAATATAAATTTAAAAGCTGAGATATCCTGTACTATCTTGATACTGAAATCAATAAAACCATCAAATCCTAAGCCAGCCTCACCAAACTAAAAGGGAGTTGCAACCACAAAGCAAATTTAACACCTCTTGGAATCTTTCTGACATCACATGAAGCACTACCTCTGAGGTGAGAATGGCATTAGCTTGAAGCTCTACAGGGCTGAAACCTTAGCTATTACAGGGCTGGATTGTATCTGCCACCTTCACATGGGAAGAGAAATTGACATGGGGGGAAGAGACAACTGACTAGGCAGTCTTTGCAGCTCTGACTGTGCATAAAGAGAATGAAAAAATAAAAGAAGAGAGGGAAAACACAGCATAATCCTCATTGTTAAGATGTTATCATGCTCATGGGCATAACAGAAATTACTGTTCTTCATCTCACCTTATGATTCCCTTTAACAAAAGACAACCATTGAAAACACAATTTGAGGCCAGTTTACCCCTTCATGCTCAGAGCCTGAATCACAAATTCATGGGCTGTATTAAATGCTTTCCCCACTTATTTTATCAGATTCTTAGAACCAGAGAAGGAACCTAATAGAATATCTGGTTCAACTCATTCACATTTTCTAGATAGGGAGACTGAGGCCAAAAGAAAGGGGTCTTGATTTCATTTTCACCAAGTGTACGCGTGTGTGTGTGTGTGTGTGTGTGTATGTGTGTGTCCATTCGTGTGTTGCATGAGTGGGAGGTTTGCTTCAGGAGCTGTTAAGGGGAGAGATGGAAAGTTCTGTATTCTAAAAGGAAAGGGGTGAAAAATGTTAGAATCAATACAGTGTTTGGTAAATAACTAGTAATTTGTCACATAAACATATACACACTACAAACACCACTGTCTGTGGCAGAAACAGAGGGATGTTCTCAACAGAGGGAGGGTCTCAGCCAAGAAGGATAAATGAGGGCCATTCATCCTTTCAGACCCTTTCTGCCATTGGCAAAGATTGGTCCAGTCCACTGCCTAGGTTTTCTGTGGGCTCTCAACATTTTGCTCAGCAGAGACTTCCCAAGGCTGCTTCACTAGTGGCTGGTGGCATTTAACCTCTGTGGGAGGGATGGAGCTTTTTCTTTTCATCATGGAATCCATTATTTTTCTTTGAAGCATAGTGCAAAGCTTCTTACAAATTGCATGGCAAAAATAGAAATGCAGCCAGTTCTCAGCACAGCCTTGTGGAAGTCGGGGCAACCTGTCCCTCAGGCAGTGTGGATGGAGAGTGTGTTCATTTCTGAACTTGATGGTAAATCCTATGGGGAAGGAGGCAGAAAGCAACCCATCCCTTCCTCTTCTCCCTTAAAGGGAACTAGACCTAAAATGTGTTGGAGCTGTGAGCCCTGGAGAAAGCCAGCCCAATTGCAGTATTAGACCCCGCCAGAGGGAGTCAGAGTGTGGCAGCTTGGCTGTGAACTTGCCGTGAGACCTGGAGTAAGTTGCTTCCCCTCTTTGGGTCTCTGTTTTTTCATTTAACCCTCATGCTTCACAGAATGATTGAAAGGTACAAATGTAGAGAAAATAGACCCACATATGCTTTGGAAACAGTAAAAACCTGATATTAGTACAAAATATTTTTATTGTCATTGTTTTATGTCTGCTCTTTGTCTCTGGTGGTTGACCTGGAATTTGGGTATCTGATCTGGAATTTGACTTGGTATAGAATATTTCAGGATAGGTTCAAGGCCTCTGGAGCTGCAGAAAGAAGAATTGTTGGAAGAGTCAATGCAGGTTGAACACTGGGCTCAAACAGACCCCTCACAAATCACAGCCCTGCTCCTTCATTAATCTCCCCGGGTATGTCTTCCAGCAGCTTATCGAACCTCTGAGCTTCAGTTTCCTCATCTCTAAAGTGGGGTTGTTGTGGGAATTTAAGTGAGATAATAAATGAAAGCTATTATGCTGAAGCACTGGTGTGGAGTATGCATTTGATAATAATTCTTTTTGATGTTATTTGCATCTGTGTGCTGAGAATAACTGTGATTCCTTAATGTCAGTGCACAGCTAGTCCTTGTTAAAACATACAGATTCCTGGGCCTTGCCCTAAAGAAATTCTGATTCCATAGGTTTGGAATGGAGAACAAGAACATGTGTTTAACAAGGACTCCACGGTATTCTGATGTGGGTCCAATTTGGAAACCATTGGTGTAGAGCACTGTTATTCAAGCTGTCAATTGTTACCCACTGCTCAGAAAATCAATTTAGTGGATAGTGACCAGCATTAAACACACATACAGGAATGGAATGGGAAATAACAGGGTACACTGCACACAGTAAGGGTAAATATTGAGTTATAAAATGTTTATAATTACATATAATTTTAAATATAAAGACAGTTATATTTATCATTTATAATATAGTTGTATATACATCGTTTGTGTGTATGTGTATATATATACATGCAAACATTTCATGAGGCAATACTTACCCTCACTGTAGATACCTTGACATTGGACAAAATTATTTGAAATACTCATTTCTTATTTGGAGAAACTGGCATCCAGAGAATTAATCTGTCAAGTCTCAGATAAGACAAGAAATGACCAACAAGGGAATGGAGTAGGATCCATTTCTCCTCTCTCCCCATCTCTCCCATGCTATTCTTGGATCAACAGAGTTGGTGGTTCTCTAATTAGAATCAGTTCTAATATCATATAATGGCCCTGGCCTGAAATGTAAGGGCAAGTTAGGGAGGCGGCTGCAGGTATCAGGCTAATGGCATTGACCCCATTAGACGGAAAATGCATCTGGGTTTATGGGATGTTTAGCTGCTCTTGGTTAGTGAAGGCTTTGTATAAGTGTGCCAAGCTCTTGTCCAAACAACTGCTCCTCCTTTCCTTCTCCCAGACTTTGATATTGATTTTACCATTTGAAACTCTTTTGTTGCCTCTGTAAAATCAAATAATTAGCTTAAAACTATCCTTCCGGTCACATCAACCAGCATCATCTTTTCAGTCCTGACTTGATATGTTGAAGATGTTAGCACCCCTAACCTTTCATCCACATGCTCTGTCTAAAGGGAGCAGCTATTTCTGGGTTCCAGTTCATTATGGTCCTGTGGGAATGTGGTCACTTTGCCAGTGAGGCCTTCTGTGTCTACCCTCTGTGATACTCTAGGCCTTGCAGGAACCTACTACTCTTACCATTTCAAAACTCTTCATCTCCTACCTGACTTTGTATTTTCCTGATGGTACTTATCATACAACTTAACATAGTATATTTTAAATAATAAACAGATAATGAAAATAATCCCATGTGTCCAGATATTTTTTTTCTAGGAAGATTGAAAATCAAATTTTATGTGAAGTTTTCCAATTTTTAATGCTGCCAGATATTTTGATTTTTCTAGAGAGCTTGGACATCTGAATATTCATGTAAAATCTTGTAATTTTTCAATGTCGGTTACCAGTTCATAGAAAATTTAAATACTATTTGCACCAAAGAAAATATGTTTGTGATCCAGATAGAGTCCAAGGTTCACCCTATTGTGATCTGTGTCATAGATCTGTAGAACACTGGCGCTGTGAGAAGCCTTGTAAATTGGCAGCTTCTAATGAGGAAGTACAGACTCAGAAAGATTAGGTATCTTCTGCATTATCACACAGCTGGCTTGTAGCAGAACTGGATCTCGAACCCAGCTTTCCTGCCTCCTAGTTGCTCTGTCATAGTCACCATGCTGGCTGCCTCCCTTCTGCTGAGGGTTGAGTTAATCTGCTCTGTGTAGAGGACAGCTTTCAGTCTTCAGTCCCCTCCTCCTAAAGAATATAACAGACGCATCACCACCCATCTGATAATCCCCAGGCACTTCTCACCAGAGTGTATGAATTTACCTGCCTTCCCAATCTCAACTGAGGATATTGCCTCTTGGCGCTCTTTATTGCTTTTGCTCCAGTGATAGAATCAAGACAAAGTCTTTATAGGAATGTTATTATCATTGCTCCCAGACAGCGGTGTCTTCCGGCAGAGTCATAGAGTCGGTGTGGTCTAATGCAAAGAATCTGGGGCTCAAAGTCCAGACAGCTGGGCTCAATTCTCAGATATGTGACCTGAGACAACTTATTTAGCCTCTCCGGCACTCAATTTCCTTAACTGTAAAAATGAGAAAAATAAGATCTGTCTCTCTTGTGTCTCAGAGCTGCTGTGAGGCTAAAGTGAGATGATATGTATAAGAGCACCTTGGAAACAGATAAACATTTTACAACGATGAGGGTATAGTATCATTAAATCAGCAAAATAATGATTAAGCACCTACTATGTGACAGTGAACATACCATTTATGCAGGGCATGCCAAGAAGCATAGGCCTATCTGCCTCCATGAGCTTATAGTCTACCTGAGAAGAAGGGACATAGCTGAGTGGGAAGAGAGCCAGCACTGCAAAGCTAGAGACCAGGGCTGAAGGAAATGTATTGACCGTAGAATGAGAGAAAGAAATTGTGGTAGAAAGGGGTGACCATGGAAGGATTCCTGGAGGGAGTTGCATTTAAACTAAGCTTTGGAATAAAAATTCACAGGCTAGGGCTGGCAGGAGTTAAAAAAAAAAAAAGGATATTCTTTTACTGGTCAGGGGCAACAGCACAAATAAGGGCTGAAATCACAACGTATGCTGGAGGTCTAATCTACATGGACAGAAGGGTTCAAGTAGTGGCTCTCAGATTATTGCTTATCCAGCTTTTTCACTGGCCTAAAACACAAAAGAGAAAGTCAAGGGATGCTTGCTATGAAGTCAAGGTGGGGCCAGGCACGGTGGTTCATGCCTGTAATCCCAGCAATTTGGGAGGCTCAGGGAGGCATATTGCTTGAGCCCAGGAGTTCGAGACCAGCCATTGGCAACATAGCAAAACCTCATCTCTAAAAAATACACAAAAATTAGCTGGGTGTGGTGGTGCAGGCCTGTAGTCCCAGGTACTCAGGAGGCTGATCTGGGAGGATCGCTTGAACCCTGGAGGCAGAGGTTACAGTGAGCCACTGAGATTGCACCACTGCACTCCAGCCTGGATGGCAGAGCCAGACCCTGTCTCAAAAAAAAAAAGAAAAGAAAAAGAAAACAAACCAAGGCAGAGGTTAAGTGTGGGCACAGGTTTGGTTAATTACATCACAGGAGGGCCTAATACTATAAAATGATCATAATGATTATTTCTGCCTCATAGGGCTTTTCTCAGCTTTAAATTACATGATGTGTGTTAAACATTTAGCATAGCACCTGATACATGATTAGTACTCAATAAATGTTAGCTATCATCATCATCACCAGTTTTCATCTTATACTGAAGTTAGGGGACAATAACATGGGCTTTGGAATCTGTCTAATATTAGTTGTGTAGCCTTGGTCGAGTCACATCACTTCCTCGTTTCTCGGTTTCCTGGTCTTTAAAATGGGAATGACAGTAGTGCCAACTGAAAAGGGCTATTGTGAGGATTAAATGAGTTAATCCAAGTAAAGTACTTATCACCATGCCTGGTACATGATAAGCATTCAATAGATGTTAGCTGCTACAGTTATTATGGCCAGTTGACCATTAAGGTAATATGACAGCATAACTAAAACATGAGAAAATTGAGAAAAATAGGCAATCATGCCAAATCTTACTACTAAGACACATCTTGTTATTATTTTTGGATTTGGTTCTTAAATTTAAAATTTCTTTTGTTGAGAAAATCAAGACTGCAGGAGATGGCATGGATTTGGGATGCAGCAGGCATTTCGTTAAACACTTAATAAGTAACTACTGTGTGCTAGCCAGTGTTCCAGAAGCTGAGATATGACAAGAAAAAAAAACACACAGGACAGGCATTATTCCTGTATTTAAGGAATTTATAGCCCAATAGAGGTAGTATGGAAAACAAAATAATAAATATAAAATATTGTGTTATGTGATATTAAGTACTATGGAAAATATCTTCAGATGGGGTGATAAGGAGTTGTAAAATGGTCAGGAGTGGTGAGGGAGGGTTGGAGAGTGAACCCTGCAGAGCCTATAATTTTAGAGGGTGGTCAGGGTAGGCCTCACCAAGAAGGTAATCTTTTGAATCCAGCCCTAAAGGAGGTGAGGGAGTAGGTCATGTAGGTATCTCAGGGAAGAGCATTGGGAGCAGAGAGAACAGGAAGAGCAAGGTCTTTGAATCAGGAGGATATCTGGCATTTATGAAACTGCCAAGAAGCCCATGTTGCAGCAATGGAGTGAATGAAGGGAAGAGTATTGGGATGGGAGGTCAGAGAGGTCACAGAGACAAGTTTGTTAAGGGCATTGACTGCCATTTCCAGGGAGTGAGATGGAAAGCCACGGAGGAGCTTGTTCAGTGAAGGACATGACCCAACTTATATGAGCTATTTGGCACTCCTATAAGCAGTGGGTTTTGACCCCATAGATCCTGGGCAATAATAAACAAGAGGCAGCAACTCCACCATTCCCTCAGAACTCTCCTTACCACTCTGTAGACTGCAGAGAGTGGACTTATTGATCCTGAGGGCGACACAGAGAGGAATTGATGGCACGGAGAATAGGGGAAAAAGATGTAATCTCTTAGAGCTGAAAGGGACTCAGTGCAATTCTGCCACCGGGCATCTGTTCATTCCGCCTCGACTAAAACCGTCACTGCCTTATCAGCTTGCTCAGCCTCTTCTTGCAGGACCTTCTCAAGGTCGGAAAGCCTTTTGATGGGTTTACTGAAAATCTGCCTCCTTTTCACCACCGGGTGGCAGTAGTCCTGGTTCTATCACCTGAGCAACCCAGAATAAGTGCATACCTTCCGCAGGAAAATACTTGAGATTTGAAGGCAGGTGGATATCTTATATATCCCCCAACGTTTCTCCTTTACAGGCCCTATTGTCTCTTCTACCTTCAAGAGTAACTCCTATTATAGAATGGTTTTCTTTTGTCAATCTTGCAACCCTCTTCTGGAGGTTTTCCACTTTCTTAGTGACTCTCTTAAAATGTGATGTCTAAAATTGAACAGGAGACGGCAGGAGTGAACAGAGGAGGTTACAGTGCAATGATTATATTCTAGGATCTAGAAACTGTACTTTGATTATGCAATCTAAAATTGTGCTCTGTTTTTAGCGACTAAATAATTTAGGTACATTAAACTGTTGGCTCGAATTGTGCTTGTGGGTCAATTCAAGCCCCTTGATCTTTTTTAGTTTGTTTATTTGTTTGATGTGAGTTGCTGTGAAGCCACACTTCCCCTATTTTGGCCTCACAAAATGGACTTTTAAAATTTGAATTGATGATTTTTTTTCTTTATCTCATTTATATTTCACCATTTAAATTTTAGCCCAGTATTCCAACCCGTCTGAGCTTATTTTGAATCTCAATTTTGTTCTTCAACATATTCCGACATCCCTGCCAGGTTTGAGTCATCTTAAAACACAGTAAGTACATTTTCTGTATCACCTAAGTTATTAATAAAAATGAAAAAGTCTTGTGGCCCTTCTCTGGAGAACTTCTGCTGGATTGCCAATCCATTTGACTGTATTATAACTTGATCAATATGTTACTATCTTGCTTTAGTTCATTCATGAGAAAATTCTGAGACAAATTCAAATGCATGGCTAAATCCAAGATATGTTGTCAATGCAAAAGATAGCATGGATGAAGGTGATCTAAGATAGGATGTTTTTGTTTTGCAAAATGGAAATTCTAGTATTGTTTTTTCCAATTATAAGGTGATATTGGCTTGTTGTAAAGGTCAACAGCATACATAAGTATACAAAATACAAAGGGAAATTTCCTCTGTAATTCTGTGCACCGACACTGTACTAGATAACTATGGTTGACAGTTTTATGCATATATAAACACAGATCTATGGTTTTACTGGGATCATGATATAGAGACTGTTACATGACCTGCTCTTTTCACTTACAATCCTTTGGAAACGTCTGTCCTTCTCAGAAAGTACAGTTTTAGCTCCTTCTTTTAAACAATGATATAGTGTTCTTTTCTTTGGATGTTTCATAATTTATCTCATCAATCTCATATTGATGGGCATTTAGATCATTGGCAATTTTTGCCGTTACAAGCAGTATTACATGTTGAATTGTCTTTGCTGACTCGATGAGATGTTGTGCTAGATGCTGGTTGTTGCCTTCTCTGTATTTCCCATCCTCTTGTCCTTCTCAGATATTGTTGTCAATGTCCTAAATGCCAAAGGGCTGCTTCCGCCTAAGAACTAATGAGGGGGCCAAATTACTACTCATCATGGTTTGAGTTTGAAAATCTATACTTGCCCTACTTTCGAGTGTGTTTAAGGCTTTTTGAGCTGCCAGGGGCTTTTAGAGGATCAAGGCACCCCAAGATCAAGCCTTGAGGGACAGACAGTCTTGATAGGAGGCTGCAACCCCTGTTTGGCACATGTGAAGTGGTTAGGGGCAGAAAGGAGAAGGAGAACTGCCTTGCCATTGGGCCACAATTCCTTGTTATACACCCTCAGCCCTGACCAAGCAGGACACTTGCTGGTCCCTGAATAAGCTCCTCCTTTTTCATGTTCACACCTTTATTCCTCCACAGGGTCTTCCTCCTTTCACACGTGTACCTCCCAGAACAAGGTAGGAGCCATCTGCTCTGAATTCCCAGAATGCTTTAAAACCATGGGCTTGGGAGTTGAACCAATGTTTGAATATCAGAGCTTGGCAGTTGAACCTAGCTCTGTGATTTTTGGATAAGTCTTTTATCCTTTCTGGGCCTAGTTATCCTCATCTATGGAGTGATGATATGCCTATATATTTTGAAACACCTAGCCCAGTGCCTGGCTTAACAAACGTTTGCTGTTATTATTATCATAATTACCATATGTGATTATATTACCTACTCCACTGTTGTGAAAATTAAATGAGAACATATGTAAAGCACACAACACAGTGCTCAGCCTAAAATGGGTATTAAATAAATTATGGCAATTACTGATTGTATTCATATCTTCCTTTGGATACTTATCTTACTCTCTTGTGTTACTCCTATTTGTGTTTACGTCTTGATCTCCTCCTTTAATTAATAAGTTCCTTCAAAAGCACAGTGTTTGTCCTCTTCCCTCCTCCTACCCCTCTCCCCTAGAAAGCATAAAAAAACCAGTGTTGGGGTTAGTAGGGCTCTTTAAAATTTAGGTGCCGTCAGCGAATGCCACCATCACTTTGTCTAAGCCCCTTTCTGATTGGATTTTCTAGTTAGAAAGCACTGTCTCATTAACAGATCAACTGGGCCCCCTTTCTAGGGCAAGTCATGGCATACATATTCCAACCCCTGAGCCACTGATCAGAATTAGCAAGCTATAGAATCTTAGCTTTGGAAAGATTTTCAGAAACCAATGGCTTTGTGTATGAGTTTACCTGGGCAGAATGGATTCATGTACCACTCTCAGGCCTTTGCTATCTAGATGGAAAGGAACAACATTAGGCCATTAGCCCAGTCCAGACCACTGTTGAGTCCCTCTTAGACTACCAAAACAGTCTCCTAGGCTTTTTCCTGCTTTCGCTCATGCCTCTACACAGCAGCAAGAGCAATCTTTAGAAAATAAAAAATCAGATCACATGATTTCCCTCCTCAAAACCCTCCCATGGCTCCCATTGCATGTAGTATAAATTCATATTTCCTTCCCATGGCCTAGAAGACCCTGAATAATCTGGCTCCTGTGCATCTCTCCACATTCATCCTGTTACACTCTTCCCCTTGCCCCCTGTGCACCACCTGCGCTGATCTACTGTTCTGAGGATACACCAAGCTCATCCCTGCTTCAGTGCTTTTAATCTTGTTTTGACCCTCTACCAACAATTGAATGCCAGCCTTGCCCCAACTTCCCCATGTTTCTTTTCGTCCTTCAGGTTTCCATTTCAATTATACTTTCTCAGAAGAACATGAAAAGCCTTCCCTGTGCACCCTGTCTCAAGTAGGTTCTTGTCCCCACGTTATTCTCAAACTCATTGGTTCTCAGGCTTGCTTCAAATTGAGAATCACTCAGAGAGCATTAAAAAACAAAACAATGGCCAGGCCTCTTCTAGATGAAGTAAATCAGAATTTCTGAGAATGGAACTCAGCTATCTGTATTTCTAAATGCTCCTCAAGTGGTTTTAATGTGTAGCCAAGGTGGACAGCCTTTGTTTTATCTGTCAACTTGTTTATTTCATTCTTGGTGCTTATCACAAACTATAATTATTTTGCTTATTTTAGCAACTTATTTAGTAAATATTTATTATGCCCCTACATGTGCCAGGCACTACTCAAAACATGGAAATTAAACTAGTGGACATACTAAACACAAATCCCAACCATTATCAAACTTCAATTCTAGTGGAGGAGGCAGACAATAAACAAGATCAATAAAATATATAGTGAAATTTTTATAGTGTTCTAGACTAAATGGTTGTGTCTTCCCCACCAAATTATTGTGTTGACATCTTAACACCCAATATGATAGTATCTGAAGATGTGGCTTTTGGGATGCAGTTAGGGTTAGATGAGGTCATGAGGGTGGGGCTTTGATCTAATGGGATTAGTGCCTTGATAAGAAGAGACACCAAAGAGCCTGCTCTCTCTCTCTCTCTCTATCTCTCTCTTTCCCCCACCACCCCACCACCCAACATGCACAAAGAAGTCATATAAGCATACAATGAGATGGTGGCTGTCTACAAGCCAAGAAAAGAGGCCTCAGAATGAAACTTACCTTTCTGGCACCTTGATCTTGGACTTCCAGCCTCCAGAACTGTCAGGGATAAATGTCTGTTGTTCAAGCCACCCAGTCTGTAGTATTTTGTTATGGCAGTCCAAGCACATTAAGACATATAGTATGTTAGAGAATGATGAGTGCTAGGGAGAAAAGTAAACTAGATAATGGAGATATAAATTTTTTGGAGGAGAGAAACACTTTAGACAGAGTGACCTCGATAGATAAATCTTGAGTAAAGACCTGAAAGAAGTGACAGATATAGATCTGCAGCTATTTGGATGACGAACTTTTAAGGCAAAGAAGAGTCTGTGCAAAGGTCCTAAGACTGTATCATACCTAGTATGTTTGAAGAACAGCAAGGGGGCCGGTATGGCTGGAGGTTTGAAGACAAGGGGAAGAGTGGTAGGTGATAAATTCAGGAATTTAATGGGGTTGGGGGGGCAGGTGTTTGGAACTTTGAAGGTTATTGTAAGAGCTTTGGCTTTTACTGAGTAAGAAGGGGTATCATAGAGCAGAGGGTAATATCATCTGACTTAGATTTTAGTAGGCTTACTATATATGGTATGTTGAGAATACACTGAAGAGGGAAAAGAGTGGAAGCAGAAGAACCAGTTGGAGACTACTGTAATAATCCATGTGAGACATGATGGGGGCTCGAAGAAGGATGATAGAAATGGCAATGATATGAGAACCAATAAGAAATGGACACAAACTGTATGTGTTTTGAGAGATAGAGTATTTAGGATTTGCTGACAGACCTATAAATAGGACATGAGATAAAGTACCCAGTCAAGGATGATGCCATGGTTTTTAGCCTAGGCATCTATAATAATGGAGTTGCTATTTACCTGAGATGGGAAGAACTGTGGGAGAAGTAGGTTTTAGGGGAAATATCAAGGAATTAGTTTTCAACTTGTTAAGTTTGATGTGCAGCTGTGGTCTGAAAATTTGTGTTCTCCCCAAAATTTCTATGTTGAAATGCTAACCCCCAAAGTGATAGTATTAGGAGGTGAGAGCTTTGGGAGGTGATTAGGTCATCACGGAGGAGCCTCTACGAATGGAAGGGATTAGTACCCTTATAAAAGAGACCTGAGAGTGACCATTCACTCCTTCCACTACGTGAGGACACAGCAAGAAGATGCCGTCTATGAGAAAGCGGGCCCTCACCAGACACCACCAGCACCTTGATCTTGGACGTTCTAGCCTCTGAAACTGTAAGAAATACATTTCTATTGTGCATGTGCTATCCAGTTTATGGTATTTCATTATAGTATCCCAAATGGACCAAGACAGATGCCCATTAGACATCCAAGCTGGAGATGTCAAATAGAGAATTGAATATACAAACCTTGAATTCATAGGAGAGGTCTGGACTCGGGTCAGAACTTTGGGAGTCATAAGACTGAATGATCACTTAGAGAATAAGTTCAGGTAGAAAAGAGAAGTCCAAGGACTGATCCCTAAACCACTCCAATGTCTAAAGGTTGGGTTGAAGTGCAACAAGCAAAGGAGACTGGAAAGAAGCAGCCAGAGAAGAAAGAAGAAAACCAATAGAATGTGGTTCCTGGAAGCCAAGAGAAGGTGATTCAAGGAAGAGAGAGTGGTCACTTATGTCAAGCACTGCAGATAGCTCAAGTAAGATGAGAACTGAGAATTGGCTGTTGAATTTTGTAACATAAAGGTCACTGGTGATCTTGATCAGAGCAGTGATAAAAGTGAGTTCAAGAGAGAAGGGAAGGAGACAATTTGGAGATTATAAGTATAAACAAATGCTTCAAGGTTTTAGTAAAATGAGGAGGACAGCAATGGGGCAGTAGCAGTATCTAGAAGAGGAATTAGGGTCAAAAGAGGGTTTATTAACTTTTTTAGGTAGGAGAAAAAATATTCAAATGAAAAGATCCACCTCCTGCATTAGAATGTAAGCTTATTGAGGGCAAGGACTTTGTCTTGTGCATATTCAGCACCTTCTATGGTCCCTAGCACATAGCAGGCACTCAATAAATTTTGTTGAATGGTGAATGATCAAATGAATGAAGAAATGAATAAATAAACAAAAGTAGATGTCAATGAGTTGAGCAAGAAATACTAGCAGGATAGAGTGGCAGGTGAATTGAGTAGCACCTTGGCTTTAGTTCTAGTCATTCCTGCCACACTCCTGGCATACCAAACTTATCCCAGGCCCAGACGGCTTGTGAATGAGTTGGCATGGCACAACTCCCTTTGCTAAGAGGGCATGTTATATCTCTGTAGTCACTTGTTCCAGGGAGCAGACAGGCTGTTGGACTGTAAGAATCAGGTGCAGCCAGGTGAGACTGTAGAGTCCAGGAGTGTGCCAAAAGAGATGCCCCTTTGCATCATCACCATTCTCTGGTCCTGATCTGTCTGTGATGCAGGACATGGGTGAGACACATGCTGCACTGGCATCCCAGCCTGCTCTTACTTGCTGGAGGGTAGTTAATAACCTCATGTAACACAGGCCAAGGAGCAGCTAAACCAAAGTTTAAGAAGAAGAAACACATGCCCATGCAGTGACCAGAAGCTTTGGCACCCGGCTCATCTCAGTTGCTGCATTGCACAATCCCCACAATTTAAGGTGATGGGTTGGCCCAGTGGGGCTCTTGCATGGTGCCTATGACTCAGTTTTTGCTAGAAAGATGGCATGGCCCCACTCCAGGCTGGCACATAGGAGGTGCTCGGCAAGTTTTGAATAAATAAACCCCTTGGGACTGAGGAAAGAATGCTTCTTTCGCTTTGCGGAGTTCTTCAGTGCTCAGCCAGAGCCAGATTGTGAATCTAGGCAGTCTGGCTTCAGGGCCTGTAGACTCAGCCACTTAATTTATACATGCAAGGTATTGGGTTTTATTGGGGGAGTGGTGGTGGTGGTAGTGGTATTATTTTTTATAAAAGTAAAAAAAAAAAAAAAAAGCCAGGTGCAGTGGCTCATGTCTGTAATCCCAGCACTTTGGGAGGCCAAGGCAGGTGGATCACTTGAGGTCAGGAGTTTGAGAACAGCCTGGCCAACATGGTGAAACCCTGTCTCCACTAAAAATCCAAAAATTAGCCAGGCATGTTGGCAGGCGCCTGTAATCCCAGCTACTTGGGAGGCACGAGAATCGCTTGAACCAAGGGGGCGAAGGTTGCAGTGAGCTAAGATCGCGCCACTACATTCCAACTTGGGTGACAGAGTGAGACTCTGTCTCAAAAATAAATATATAAAAGTTTTTTTAAAAATCTTGCTATCACATTATCCAAATATTATATCCATATTCCCTCTCACTGGGGCACATACTACTTGGGTTCCTTTGCCTATTATTGTTTTGCTTTTTGGTAGAGAACTCCTACCATACCCAACCATATTACCTTCCCCTTCTTCAAAAGAGATTCCCAGGAATCCTAATATCCCACAGAACATAATCTTTCCATTTCCAGAAAGGAATATGGATGCCTGTTGGTTTTGTCCCTTTGTGTCTTCACAAGTACTGAGTGCCTACCATGTGTCAGGTCCTGTTTTAGTCAACTGGGGATATAGCAGTGACCAAAACAATTTTAAAAAATCCCACCCTCCACAACATCACTTCCATAGCATTCTTGCCAAAAAATGCACTACCTTAATCTAACTGTAAGAAAAAAGCAGACAACACCTGATTGAGGGAAACTCTACAAAATAGTTGGCCTGGACTTGTCAAATTGTCATGAGAGACAAAGGTTGAGGAAGCATCACAGATTAGAGGAGGCTAATGAGGCATGGCAACTAAATACAATATGAGATCCTGGATTGGATCCTAGAACAGGAATAGGACATTAGTAGAGAAACTGGGAAAATGTGAATAAGGTCTGTAGATGAGTTAATCTTATTGTATCAATGTTAATTTCCTGGTTTCAATAATCTTAGTATTATTATGTTAAGGTGTTAAGATTACAGGAAGCTGGGTGAAGGGTATATATGGTAACTCTCTGTGCTATGTTTGCAATTTTCCTGTAAAGTCTAAAATTATTTCAAAATAAAAAATTAAAACTAGCCCTGCCCTCCTGGGGCTTAAGTGCTGGAATTGACAGCCAGAGAGAGAAGAAGGGAGGGAGAGAGAGAAACAATAAGTAAAACAATCAGGATATTATTTAGTATATTAGCAGGCAATGGATGTTATGGAGACAAAGTAGGAAAGGGAAATGAGGAGTAGAGGGGCTGTATTCAAGTAGGATGGTCGTGGAAGGCCTCACTGAGATGACATTTGAACAAAGCCTTTAAAGAAGAGGGTGCAAGAGCCACAAGGTAGAGCACACCAGTACGAGGGAAATGCAAAGGTGCTGAGGGCATGGAATGCCTGCCCAGTTTAAAGAACCACAGGAAGCCTAGTGTGGCTAAAGCCCAATGAGCAAAATCAGTTTGCCGCATTCTGTGGTTTTAAAGGTATCGGAAAGAGACTGACCACAGAGGAAAGATTAGGGAAGTCAAACAAAGGACATCAAATGGAAGGCCTGCTGTTGTCCTCTGTTTCCAACCAAGTCACAGATGACAGAAACATGAAGGGAAGGAAAGAGCAGGGAAGTAAAATCGCTGAAGTCTAGAATCACTGTCCAATTTCTGGTGAGTAAATAGATCCTTATTAAGCACCATAACAAGTTTCTGAGTCTCCTGTGTTTTATTCCTCTCCAAGCACTGAACTATAATTAATGCTGAGTGTGGCACTGGTATCACACAGCCTGTGACATCTTCCTGATTTTGTGCTGTGTAAAATCATGAGAAGTGTAATTGGTAGCACAAACGGGTGGGCTGATTTTTCTTGGACTAATGAGTGGAAATGATGAAAAATCCAGAACATTTTTTTGATTTGGCTTATGTTTATTATCAAAAATTCTCGACTTATTCAGGTAGCATCACTTGGATGTTTGAGGCCTGGTAATGCATGCACTAAACAGTATGCAGTCAATGATGTTGCTTGGCAAGCAGCCCCCTGGCCTGATGTATACTTACAAAAGACAGGCCAGGTACCAGCGGGGTTTCCTAAGGGTTCCTCAGCTGGTAGCTTTGACTGAGGATGCTTCCTCTTCACCAACTATGCAGAAGCAGATATCCACATGGGAGGAGCCAGCCTAATTCATGGGAGGCTTGGTGACAGCAATGTTGTTTTAGGAACATCTTTGACCAGTCCACACAAGAGTGCTTAAAAAAAAAAAAAGATTGTATGAGAGGATTTAGTGCTTAGTATTCTGAAAAGTGTAAAATACTGCATAAGGTATTACTATAATAATAATTATTATTATGTACTATGATGAGGTTTAAAGAAATTAAAAGGTCTATAGCTATAATGTTTTCTAGTTCCTTACTTGTTTAGTGTTATGAAGGATGCCATTACCCTCTTTTTAGAAAGGACAGCTACCATTTTGAGCACTTACTATGTGCCAGGCACTATAATAAATGCCTTGCATGTATTGTTTCATTTAGCCCTCACAATAACACCATGAAGTAGGTACTGTTGATATCCCCATTTTAAAATTGAGGTAAGTGAGGCTAAGAGATGTTAAATAACTTACCCAAGGTTGCACAGTAAGTGGTTAGAACCAAAATTATATGCAGGAGATTGGCTCTAGAATTCTGTGTCCTTACGTCTGTGCTACAGTACCATTTAAAATAAGGGATGCAGGACACACATGCTCTGAAAAGGCAGATTTAGGTCTCCAAGAGGGAAGGCATCAGCTCTGCTTTTGGGGCTCCATACACAAGGATAACTGTTAAGAAGGCCCGAAGCATGTGGGGCAGCTGGAGCTCAGACTGATGTACTTGGATGTCTGAAGAGGTGCTAAGGGGCTATCTGGCATCCCAACTTGAAAGACTGAGCTAGGATGAAGAGCAATGGACAAACTCTGAATTCTAGAACTACCCAGAATAGCCGTCACCCACTTCACCCCATCCTTATGTCTGTGAGGAAACTAGAGAGGCAGAGCACTGCTGACACGTGCCCAAGGTCACACGGTTCTCTAGAGCCAGCAGCTGCAGTAGAACTCTGGTCTTCAGGCTCCCAGTTCAGTGCTCATCCTCCAACCCCACCCCCATTAGCCCCTCGCATTCAGTGGGCAGCAGTCAGAAAGAAGGCATCTCCTTTTGAGTGAAGCTACTGTCTGGAGCAGTGGTTCTCAGTGTAGCCCAGGGACCTGCAACATCAACATCACCTGGGAACCTGTTAGAAATGCCAATTCTTGGGTCTTTCCCTGGACCAACTGGGGCTGGGGCCCTACAATGTGTGCTGTAACAAGCCCTCTTGATGATTCTAATGTATGCTGAAGTTTGAAACCCACTGGTCTAGACTGACAAGCAAAGCACTGAGTGCTGCAGATATCAATATGCATGTGGAGCATCAACTTGCACAGCACAAAGGATAGTCTTCATAGGGAAGGAATGTGGAAAGGACTGCAGCCCTCGAGCCACACCTGCAGCACAGTGTCACCTTCAAACACACATGATAGTCACAGATAGATACACAGAGACTGGGAGGGAGGGTGTAGCCAGTTTTTGTTGATCTTCAGCTGCATCAAAGATAATGTAGTTTTGCCAGCTCAGCAGTTCGCTAGAGACATGCCAGCTACTCGGCTTGGTGCTGTGGAAGGTGAAGTCCCTGCACCTCGGGGAAACTGCCACCCAGGATTATAGAACTTCCAAATTGGGAGGGAGCTTAGAGATTATCTACTCCATTATCCACCTCTACCACTCCTTGGTAATGGCATCCCTGACTGGCACTTTCTCAGCTTCAGCATTACAGGGCCATAGTGAGAGTGAGCTCAGTTTCTTTTAGGACAGCTTGGAGGTGGGAGGGAGAAGGGAACTTACACACAGGTAACTACCATTACAAAAAGTAGTATAAGTGTTAGAGCCAATGCTGTAAGAACACAGAGCCAGGAGGAATACATTTTAGCTGTGGGAGATCAGGGATGACTTCATGGAGGAGATGTCCTTTGAGCTGGGCAAGATTTCAGCAAGCAGACACAGTGGAGTAGGAGGGGTTATTTCCAAAGAAGACAATATCATGAAAAACACTTGAAGGAATGAAAATCCAGAACAAATTTCACAAAACTATTTAGGCAGGCTAGGTTGAGAGGACACATTCTGCAACGAGACTGCTTAGCTTAAAATACTGACTCTGCAACTTACTGGCCACTTGACTTTGGGCAAATTATTGAACATCTCTTGGCCTCTGTTTTCCTACCTGTAAAATGAAAATAATACAACATACCTGTGCTATATCATATTGGGTTGGGAGAAAGAGTAAATGAGATAATGCTATGAACTAGCTAACACAGTGTCTGGCATATAGCAAGTGCTCCAGGACAGTTTGGCAAGCTTTCTTCATATATAACAGGAAATTTGTTTGGAGCACTGGCAATAGAACTGAGAGTAGTGGAGGTAATCTTTGATACTAGGTTGTGGAGAGAGCTTAGAGTGCCAAACTAAGAATTTGGGGCTTTTATTCTGAAGGCAGGGGATATGCGTAGTAGGAGGATGAATGGGAACAGCGGCAAGGGATAGAGAGAGTTAAGAAGCCACTCGATCTTACTTAAGGCAGTGACAAGTTACCTGAAAGGAACAGGACGAGAATCAGGTTCAGAGGAGAGATATTTGTGTGAGTGTATGTCTGAACTATACTGTCACATATAAACCTGACTTTGGGTTAACAGCCTGAAATGTACACATGTGTCTATTAAATAATTGGAGAATAAAAATTAATGGTTGGAGAGAATATTCGTCATTTGTTCTATTGTGAAAGACAATCCTTTGTTAGCTCGAGTGAAGCTATGTGAAATATTATATCCTATGAAAACACTTCCTAAAGTTGGCCTTTTTGTAAGAAAATTTGGGATATGTGCAATTCACACATACTTGATCAATTTAAGCACATTCTGTTTTACTGGCAGGCACCAAAATCTGTAATAAGACAAGGAGTCCTCCAGTGAAAGAGATGATTAGAGATTGCAATAGCAGTGCACACTGAGCTCCAATTAAGGAATTTCCTAATGGTTGTCTAGGAATACAAGTGCCCTCCATTTGGGCTTTGGTGATAACTAGAGTATTCTTTAGTTGTTAATCAGAGTGAACACAATTCAAAATGTTCTCGACTCGTGGGTCAGAGGGAATGATCTCATTTGGCACATTATTGAGTTTCTGAGAAGAGGAAAGATACTAACAGCTCACAAATATTTTGTTATTGACTAACTGCAAAGATGCATCTGTTAAAGCAATCCATCTGAGTTGGCTAGTTCTCTCGAATATTAAAGAATATCAATATATACTAAAAGCAAGTCAATTTGTCAAGCATTTACAAAGCAACTTTGAAGCCAAATGATACCTTTTCTGCCTTCCCTTCTCTTCTAGAAGATACTCACAAACACATACAAATCTGGACTAAATTCCCTCTAACAGACCCTTTGTAAAGAAAGCTCACTTTCTTTGGCTGCAGTGACACAGATGTTTGGGTGGGAGGGGGTGCGGAGGGTGGCGGAAGCATGCTGGTTCAATGCTTGAGAAACAGTGCTGCACCCAACAGACTGAATGTCATGAATTCTTTGTCAGCTCCCCCTCAGACCCTCCAGGCTTTCCCTTTGTCTGCTAAGGGATGGAAACAGAACAGATACATTGAAGCCGGTAGACTGACCAGCTAGATTGACCCAAATTCATTCAGGAAATGCAAAAGCCTGCTGGCTCCTGGGATTAGCTGGCTGGTGTTTGAATCGCTACCCATCTGTACATTTCCTTCTAGTCCAGTGCAGCCCCAGCTTGCTACATCTGCTCACCTCAGCAGCTTGCTTTCCAAGACAAGATAATTTGAGAAGAGTCTAGTTGTGAGAAAGCAATGTCCAATGCTAGGGAAACTTTGTGGCAAGCCCGAAGAGAAATTTGGCCCTTATGGTAAGTGATTTGCTATATCCCCGGTGTTCTTTTCCCACCATCTGCCCTTGCTCTTCTCTAATTCTAGGTAATGCAGCCAACTTGTCAGGCTTAGCTTTGTCGAGAGGATATACCATTTTCAAGGCTTCATTTTTTCATAAGGACTGTGCTAAGCAGCTGTAAGAAAAAATAGGATGAAAAAATGAATGTTTTGTTTACATTAGTGAGGTGGCATCAAAAAGCAATGAGGAAAGGCCCAGTACATCTCATAGACAGTTAATTATGTCAGAACTCAGACTAAAGGAGACATGGAGGTCTAGACAAATTATACCCAGGGTTTACCCTGCTGACAAGAGTTCCTATCCCAGCAATAGACAGGGGTCACAGAAAAAGCCTATAGCACAGTATTTCTCAGCCCTGCACATTAGAATCTCTTGGAAAACTTTAAAAAATATATATGCAGAGTCCCCTCCCTCAGAGATTATGTCTTAATTGCTATGGAGTTAGGGCCACAGCATTGGTACTTTTTAAAAGCTCCCCAGATGGAAAACAAAATTGCCACAAAGGACATCATTGAGACAATTAGCCACATTTGAATATGGACTATATATTAGGTAATATAATTGTGTCAGTGTTAAAATTACTGAACTTGGTAACCATGGTGCTGTGATTACGTAAGAGGATGTCCTCCTTCTTAGGAAATATGCACTAAAGTATCTAGCGGTGAAAGGCATGATGTCTGCAACAAACTCAAATGGATTAGGGAGAAAAACACCTAGAAATGTAAAGGAGGAATAAAGCAAATATGGCAAAATGCTAACAATTTGGCTCATCTGGGTGAGGGGTATACAGGGTTTTTTTGGTACTATTCTTAGAACTCTTCTGTTGGTTTAAAATTATTTTGAAATACAAAATTCTTTTTAAAAAATAAAAAATAAAACAGATCCCCTGATGAAATAAAGCCCAACCAAATTTGGAAACCATTGGGTTCAGTCAAATAGAGGGAATGGGGACCTGCTATAGATAGGTGAGACTGAAAGCCTTTCTGAGACATTATCCTACATCAGTGTTTCTTCCACTTTAATGCTCATACACATCTCCTGGAGATCTGGTTAAAATTCAGTTTCTGATTCGGAAAGTCTGTAGTGGGACCTGAGAATCTGCATTTCCCTTTCTTTCTTTCTTTCTTTCTTTCTTTCTTTCTTTCTTTTTTTTTTTTTTTGATAAGTTTTCCCTCTGTTGCCTCTGCTGGAGTGTAGTGGTGTGATCATGGCTCACCGAAGCGTCAACTTTCCAGGCTCAAGTGATCTTCCCGCCTTGGCCTCCCAAACAAAATGTTGAGTTTACAGGCATGAGTTACCATGCCCCCCTGAGATTCTGCATTTCTAATAGACTCCCTGGTGATGCCAATGAGGTTATTCCATGGGCCACCCTCAGAGTAGCAATTCTTGGACTGAATTACCCCACCATAAATTTGTCAGTCAGTAAACAAGTATTTTGGAACTGCAAGAAAAATTCTCTAAGTGGAGTGGGCCTGCAGAGTTCTATGGATTGGCAGCCCCATCATCTTGACCCCTTGACCATGGCAACTCCCCGTGAGGGATTCAGAAAGTCTGCAGTGGGGCCCAACCTGCCCTGTGGGAGTCACTCTGATCCACAGAACAGAACAGAGCACCTAGCAGAATAAGCATAAACAAAGGCTTGCAGCAAATGGAAGAAGGTATGAATGGTCTCTTCAAAAGCAAGTTTATGATACAAGTCCCAGGAGAAGTGCAGCCCTTTCCAGTGGGTGGCAGTGGAGCCAAGCTGAGGCTCTTATAGAGAGCAACATAGTTCTGATGAAGTGTCAGGGTACAGGCTGCGTGGGTCCAGCTGCCTCCTCCAGGTGAGGACCCCTTTCTTAGAAATAAAATTCCAAGGAGGATTCCCATTTCATGCTGGCTGTGGCATGCTTTGAGTTTGTTGCTTCCACTGTAAGTGGAGAACCAAAATGTCTCTCACTTGGAGGACCCTGCTTCCATCAGAACTTCCCAAACCTTGCTCTACCATTTCCCCCTCAAGGTAGCTCCTTTCCCCTCTGCCTGTGTGTTGTGATTGTGCTTTCCATGCATTGAATTAGAGGCTATCCTGTTATTTATATCTTCCTTGTTTACATCCAAATCGAGGCCAACTAGTGTGAATGCACAGAAGGCAACTGAGCTTTACTGAGCATGCAACCCCAGAGAAAAGCTCTAGAAGACAAATGAGAAAGGCCCTGGAGTTGGTCAGCCCTGAGTTTGTATCCTCGCTTTACCACTTAATAAGTGTGTGAACTCGGGCAAGTTACTTAACATCTCTGAGCTTTGGGTTCCTCATCTATAAAATAGGGTCAATAATTGTACTGACTTCATAGAGTTGTGAGTATTAAATCAAATAGCGAGTACAGCAAGTGCTCAAGAAATGGAAGATAGTCATGGACTTGATGGGCATTTATTAAGTTTCTTCTATGTGTAGACAAAGAGTAGTTCAAATCCAGTCTAGTCCTACTTGCTAGTTGTGCAATCTTGGATGAGTTGCTTTGTTTTACCTCTCTGAGCCTCAGTTCCGTTACTCTTAAGTGACACTGGTGCTGGTATATAAATCACAGAATTGCTGTAAGGAATAAGTGAAGTCAGACATGTTAAACACATGTCAGGCACATATAAATGTGCTCAGCCAACATGAAATATCATAATTGTTGTGGTTATCATGTCAGCTCTTCTCTGAGCACCTTTGTATTATGAGATTTACTTAGCAGCCAAGCACACTTTGCAGCCTCCTCCAGTAGACCCTCTCCAATCTTCACTGTCATTTCCCTGAGGGCGGAGGCCCTATCCTTTATACCATTTCTGGTGTCTCCATGACACCTGGCAGTGAGTAGGTGTTCAGTGCATGAAGCAGAGAGCACTATGCTGCAAGCACAGCCATCAGAAGCATCACTGCCTGGGTTCAAGTTTTAGCATGTCCACTTTACTTGCTGGGTGACTTTCTAGCAACTCCTGGATCTTCTCTGAGTCTCCATTCTCTCACATGTAGTAAGGGTGTGATAATAATTCCTACCTCTGGGGATTGCTGCAAGGATTAAAGCTGGGTACATAGTGAGAGCTTAATAAGGGTTGAGTGTTTTAATTGCTGTTATTATTTGAGAAAAGTCTTACAGTCAAGGATCACAGGAGCTACTCTGAGAAATCATGCACACACATGCATAGATACACACGAGTGGGCAGCACTGAGAGGACAGGTTACAGGAAAGACACAAATAGGCATTTATTGCCCATGAAAGGCTCTTTGAACCCCAAGCCAGAGCCAGTGTCTGCCTAAAATTTTCTCTGTAACCATGGTACTGAGAGCCCCTGAGGGTTTTTTTTTAATATTGAAGTAAAATTCATATAACAGAAAATTTATCATTTTAACATGAAGAATTCAGTGACATTTGGTACATTCACAGTGTTACAGAACCACAGCTCTTCTGAATTGATTACCCCTTTAAGCTGGCTGTATCCAGAGGAAGGCAGGGCTCATTGCCTTCTGTAACCCTTCTTGTCACTATTCCATACCTCTTCACATCCCCACTTTGTTTCTCCTTCCTCATTTTTTCAATTGTACTCTCTCTCTCCACTCTCCTGCTCTTTGGGGGCAAAGGGATATGTGTCTCTGATATACATGTACTTTTAGGAAGAGTGAGGATATTTACCCACTGGAAAGATTCCAGGTCTAAAAGATGGCACTGGAAGAGTGCAGAATGGGACTGGTGAAGCCACTTCTTGCCAGGACAGGCTTGGCACACCTGAAAGCAGGCACAGCACAATGTCAGCTGCCCATTGACCTTAGTCTTCGTGGCCCCAGGGTCAACAGACAACCTGAAAAGGCTTATTATCAATTATGACGTCTGAGAATCACAGTCCTGTTTGTTATCATGTCTTCTATCTTTGGCCTCCCCGTTATTATGAGTAAATTTGCTTCATATTAAAGCATCTATTGCAGAATAACCTTCATAGGCTCCACAACCTCACAGAATCTGCTTTATATTTGTACCTATCGGCAAGAGCCACATCTTAAATATATTAAACAATAAGAATAATACTGCATATGTACTGAATTATTCCTGCATGCCAAGCACTGCGCTAAATGTGTTTCATGAGTTATCTCATAAATGAATCCTTACAATGACTCTAGGGGCCAGGCATTGTTAATATCTACTTTTAATAGATCAGGAAACTAAGGCACAGAGCCAATGGCTGATTTGTCCAAGAGCAAGTGACAAAACCCATGCTTTACACGGCTGAGTAATATTGTGGCCCCATAATCCCACCATGGATAATTAACAGAAAAAAAAATATTCATTTGCAACCACAGACAGTAGCTTCCTTCATCCACTGCTAGACTTTAGTCTTGGTTCATGAACTTCCTAGTTTTTGACGTTAGGCTGTTCACCTAACCCATCTGAAACTGTTTCTTCCTCTATATAATTGTGGAAATTGTCCTGCCTTACCTCGCTCAGATTTATGAGTATAAAATATAAAAACATGCAGGGAATGTTTTTGCAAAATGTAAAGTGCTATGCCAATGTCAGGAACTGACATCATGAATAATGGCTTCTTGGGATTATGTGAGAACCACCCAGTTTCATGCTGGGGAATTAGAGCTCCCTAGGAGCTCTGTGATAACCCCGGGAAGCTGCAAGTTCTTCTAGCCAAATCAAATCCTTGACAAGCCACGCCCATTTCTACTCTTCATGGTTGTGTGAACTCTTAAGTGCTAGCTGATATGGTTTGGATCTGTATTCCCTTCAAATCTCATGTAGAAATGTAATTCTCAGTGTTGGAGGTGGGGTCTTATGGGAGGTGATTGGATCACTGGGGCAGATTCCTCATGAATGGCTAAGTGCCATCCCCTTGGTGATGAGTGAGTTCTCATTCTGAGTTCACATAAGATCTGGTTGTTTAAAAGTGTGCAGCACCTTTCCCCTGACTCTCTTGCTCCCTCTCTCACCATGTGATATGCTGGTTCCCCCTTCACCTTCTACCATGATTGTAAGTTTCCTGAAGCCCTCACCAGAATCCAAGCAGATGTTGGTGCCATGCTTGTACAGCCTGCGGAACTGTGAGACAATTAAACCTCTTTTCTTTATAAATGACCAAGCCTTAGGCATTTCTTTACAGCAATACAAAAATGGTCTAGCGCACTAGCCAACTTCTCTGAACTCCTAATCTGTGTCTTTAAAATGTACTTGGAACAGCACTGGAAAAATCCTCCACTTTTGATATATCCGGGGCTGAATAAACCCAGTGAAAGCCTTATAAGATGTCTTCTGCCTGTTCTAGTTTTGAAAAATCACAGCCTACCTATCACAGAGGTTGAGATGCAGATTAACTTGAGGTGATAAATTTGAAAGTGCTTTGCACAGTGCTTGCCTCATAGTGGGTGCTCAAAAGATGGTGCCTCTTTTGTGATTCAGATTGTTATTCTTGGGGCTGGGGGTGGTTAGGTAGGATGCCAAAGAAGAGAGAGGCTGCAGCAAGGGGAAGGCAGTTTGGGCAGTTGGGACTCCTAGACCACACGGCTTGCCAATTTCCTGATTCCTCGAAATGAAGGCATGATTTTGAAACACAGCTGCCTCTTACTCACACAAAAGCAGTTTATGCACAAGGCTGTGTCTGACTTCCCATGTAGGTTATTTGTGTTTCCCAGAAATGTTGGGAAGGTGTAGGAAGATGAAGCCTAATTAAGGGTCTTCCTGTTCCACCACACTTCATCTCCCTGGCATGCAAGTGGTTTAGCAGCAAAGCAGGCAGACAAAAAGTCTCTCAGCAAGAAATAACTTTTATTATCCCTCAATGTAGACATGCAGGACAGTGGACCAGAAAGGCTAGGAAGCAGTGGAGGGTAGCAGTCTTTTAAATACTACATATCATTCTTTTAAAGAATTATTAAGTGTTTTCAGAAATTGTAAATTTTCCACGTATTCATTGCCCTCAGTGAAACAATGCACAGGAATGTTCTCCTCCGTTCTTCTGCTTCTGCAGTGTAAGCAGTATTAACAGCCTGGGTTCAAATCCTCCCACAACCTTCTTTGTGCACATGCAACCTTCTTTGTATTCAGGCATGTAAGACATCCATAGGGGATTTTGCTGTTTGTACTAGAATGGGATTGTGAGATATATGTTTCTCTACAGCTTGGCTTTTGCACTTAACAGTGCATCACAGACCTCCTAGCACATCAGTAGTTATAGATCTGGTACATTCTTTCAAACCACTACATGATACTTCATAATATGAACAATATGAATATGCCAGGATTTATTAAACTGTACATCTATCGATAAGCACTTGGGTTGTTTAGAACATTGTAGTCATTCTCAGAGACTTTTTGTCTGCCTGCTTTGCTGCTAAACCACTTGCATATCAGGGAGATGAAGTGTGGTGGAACAGGAAGACCCTTAACTAATTATAATATGGTAAACATATTTACCAGTGTTGGTAAATATGGTGGGAAAGATTGCTGGGTCAAAGGGTTTTAATTTACTTATGGAAAAATTGCTTGGCTGATATTCATAAATTGCATTCTGATTCCCTCATCCTATTATCAAAAAGTTTATTGTTGATCAGTTAAGCAGATTTCATTTGCCTTCCCAATAATCAACGTATGACCCATAGTAAAGGACGGTTGTAAAGAGTGGGCATCCAAGGATATGATCTTCTCTTCATTGGGATCCCAGAAATGGTGGGTTGTAATTTATCTAACTGGACTAATTTCTCCAGATGCCTTCTTTCACTGACACAATCCAATTATTCTCCTGCCTTTTCTAGCCACGATCACCTTAGGCTCAACCTTGAGAAACAAAAAGAAAACAAATTTTGTTGGCAGCAGACATGTTTTGGTTCTCCCTCAGATAAAGTTTCCTTTGCAGGACAATAAAAGGGGAATTGGAAAGGCTGGAAAAGTAAGGTGAGCACAAGTTAACAGAAGATGAGGAACATCAATCTGCTTTACTAAAGGAATTACTTTTGCAAAAGTATTGCTGAATAGTGCTTTTAAGTATCAAGGACATGGTGGGTACATGGGGGTTCACTGTAAAATTATTTCACATTTGTTTTACAAACTCTTAAGGTGTTATTTTTTTATTTGCATTTTTTTGAGACAGGGTCTTTCACTCTGTCACCCAGGCGGGAGTGTGGTGGTACAATAATGGCTCACTGCAGCCTTCACTTTCCTGGCTCAAGCAATTTTTCCTACCTCAGCCTACTGAGTAGCTGAAATCACAGCCATGTGTCACAGCACCCGGCTTATTTTTTAATTTTTTAAAAAGATGTGGTCTCGCTATGTTTCCCAGGTTGGGCCGAAGCAAGCCTCCCACCTCAGCTTCCCAAAGTCTTGGGATTACAGGCGTGAGCCACTGTGCCTGGCCCTGTTAAGATGTTCATATGTGGTTTGATTTATAAAAATTCTGCTCACATGCCACTTTCCAGGCATAAAATATCTGTATCAAGATACTTTGCTGTGTGTGATACTTTATGCTTTTTAAAGCAATTTCATTTCACAATCCAATTCTACCCTCACAGCATCATAGTATGACAGGAATCACTCTTCTCATTTGACAACAGAGATAATTAGGCCTGGAGAGGTAAATGACTTGTCAAAAGTCACATACATAATTAGCAGCAGAGCTAAGCCTTAAATTAGGGATTCCCCATCCAGCATTTGTCTCACTTGGGGAAGATGGGTAGAACATGAGACCCTAATTCCATCTCTCATTAGGTCTCTGCTTGAGTCTTATTTGGCCTAACTCAATTTCTGTTTTACTTCAGGCATGTAGATCCATGCTTCTTTCCATGGCTAATATAACACTGATTGAGCACCAGTAATGCACTAGGTGCTCTAGAGACTATTGAATTAAATCTGGTTGCTGCCCTGTAGCTCCTATTCTGAATTTGTTGGAGCCCAATCTAAAATAGTTATTGCTCTGCACAGATAGTACAGGCGTATAAGAACATTTCTCCAATCTAAGCTTGTATCTCACCATTTTTCTTTAGGACCCCCAACAGAATTTCTTCTTATCAGGCAGGAATATCCCACAACTGGTCTCTGAGTAGTCTTAAAAAACAGCCCTTTATTTTGCCTGACTCACTCTTGAAGATGAATGCATCAGCTTGTTTTCTCTTCCAGAATAACATACAGAGGACAGCTTTCTCTTCTGAGGAGTCAGAAGTTCAGTTCGCCCAACATGGAATGACTTGAGGTACACTTGAATGGTCTCTGTGTCCCTAAATATCTTCCTCATCAGCAGAAATGTCCTCTTTGAAGATGTGATTCCTTGACTACTTCCTGCCTCTTCATGTTGTGTCAGTTACGTGATCCATTAACCAGGCTGTATGTATATCCTTTGAAATGTTTCAAACATCTTTCCCTTTGCTAACCACTCCCACTTGCCACTGGCTTTGTTATCTTAAACAGCAAAGTCCCAGCAGATCTCCCTACTTAGCATCTTTTCCTCCAGTCTACACTATATGCTACTGGCAAAATTATATTTCTAAAACAAAGCTCTGATTATATTATTCCCCTAGTCAAAAACCATAGTCGGCTTTCCACTGCCTGTTGCAGTGGTGTTCAAAGTCCATTTGTTCATTTGTCTGTTTGTTCTTTGGTTTCAAATCAGCAGCACCTTTTTTTTCAAGTAAAAAAAATTAGGTAGTTAAGATCCCAAAATGTAAAGCAGATAAAAGTAGACATGCCTTAAAAAATATGTAGACACACTGTAGTTGAAGTGAGAAGTTGGGGGTGAGAAAGTAGGGAAGCTCTGGGCCCCTTGCTCCTGGCAGAACCCTTGGTCCTCAGGGAACACAGTGTGAAGACCACTGGCCTGCTCATAAGTTTAAAATGCCTTTGCTTGCCATTCAAGACTGCACTAACCTGGCCCTAAACTGCCTCTCCCATGAGACTTCCAATTGTCCTTAAAGGAACCCTTTGCTTCAGCCGTTCGTTCTGCTCTCTGTCTTCCCCACACAACTGGGACATTCTTTACCTTTGCACTGCTAAGCCCCCAAGCCTGAAATGTCCACTACTGTTCTTGGTTCCTGTCTGACTTGCATTCACCCTTTGAAAACCAGCTCTAGTTCTACTTACTTTAAGAAATATTTGCCGGCTTCCTTGTTCCGCAGGGACTCACTTACTGGAGCTGTAATGACTTTATCTTCCAAAAGAACAAAAGAGAAGCAGCCCAGGAAATAAATTCCTATCAACTCTGTTTTTATGTGCTCCTTCTGGCTAGAGAAGCCTTATGATGTTACCACTCTCTGAAGTCCCTCTTCTGTAAAATTGGGACAATAATAGTAGTCATCTCAGGGATTATGCAAGGATTAAGTTATATCAAGCTCCTAGCCCAGGGTTTAGCACTAGTAAATAGTATAACTTACTAGTTATACTAGCAAGTGTAACTGGTAAGTAGTATAACTAGCAAGTTATACTACTAACTAGTATAGTAAGTAGTATAGTAAGTAGTATAACTCGCGAGTTATACTACTAACTAGTATAGTGACTGGCTTCTTTTTTGTGACTGGCTTCTTTCATTTATCATAATGTCCTCCAGGTTGATCCATGTTGTAGCATGTGACAGGATTTCTTCCTTTTCTATGACTGAATAATATTCCACTGTATGGATATATCATACTTTGGTTATCCATCCATCTGTTGATGGACACTTGGGTTGCTTCCACCTTTTGACTATTGTGAATATGCTGCTATAAACATTGGTGTACAAGTATCTCTTTGAGATACTGTTTTTGACTCTTTTGAATATATACCCAGATGTAAAATTGCTGTATCATATTGTAGTTATTGTTTTGTTTGCTTGATGAATCTCCATCCAGTTTCTCATAGTGGCTGCACCATTTTACATCCCTACCAGCAATGCACAAGGGTTCCAATTTCTCACATCCTTGCAAACCCTTGTTATTCTCTGTTTTCTTGTTGATAATGGCCATCCTATTGGGTGTAAGGTGATATCTCATTGTGGTTATGATGTGTATTTCCCTAATGATTATTGATGTAGAGCATCTTCTTTGTGCTTATTAGTCATTTGTATATCTCTTTGGAGAAATGCCCATTCAAATCCTTCCACCATTTTTAAATCAGGTTATTTGTTGTTGTTGTTGTTGCTGTTGCTGTTGATTTGTAGAAGTTCTTTATATATTCTGGATATTAATCCCTTAACAGATATGTGGTTTGCAAATATATTCTCTCATTCAATGGGTTGCTCTTTCACTCTTGATTGTTTCCTTTGCCACACAGAAGTTTTTAAGTTCAATGTAGTCATATTTGTCTATTTTTGCTCTTTAGTGTTATTTTAATGTGTCTATATCCTGTCTTCTCACTGAAACTCAAAGCTTTCCAAAGGTACAGTGCATGATTCCTCTTGTGTTGTCTGTTGTGTCATGCTCTGTGCCACGCACATAGTAGGTGCTCACGAATATGTACCAACCAATTAATTGAATCTCCATATGCACATTAACCTATTATCAGCCATGAGTGCCTTAGCAAAATTATTTTTTTAGTTAACTGGAAGCTTAGAGGATAGCATCTATGATTGGGCCAAAGGAGAGACATAGGTTGGAGGAGTGAATAGAAAACATGGGGCCTTCTCAGGAAGAGGAGACTCTATGGCAGCAGGTGGGGACATTGTGCCTGACATACGGAAAGGTCCCCATAAATGTTAGCTGGTATCATTATTTGTGCACTAGCTGTCTGAGACAGGGAGAGGCAATGCTGGGATAACTGAATGGAAATATGAGAAATTCAAAAGAGAAACTTTTTGTCAGCTTGCCTTCTTAAAAGTATGTGTGTGTGTGTGTGTGTGTACATATATATGTGCACACGTGCTCAAGTGCCAAGATCCAAATTTGTTTTGCGACCAGGAAGATAATTCACTGTTTGCGTTATTTCCAAGAGTAACCATTAATGCAGGTAGAGAGGAGGACCACAAATGTGATTACTATTCAGTAGACTCTTTTTGGATGATGTCCATGCATTACTTATCTCACATATACTACATCAGTGCTAAAGAAGAAAGGAAGGAAAGAAGGAAGGAAGGAAGGGAGAGAGGGAGGGAGGGAGGGAGGGGAGAAGAAGAGAGGAGAAGAGAGGAGAGGAGAGGAGAGGAGGCAAAAGAAGAAAGGAATAATTAGGAGTTGATTAAAGCACCTGCCCTAGGACTCTTGGAGATAAATAGGATTTTCTGACCTGTTACTTTATTTTAAAATTAATGTTGCCTTTGGGGCTCTCAGTGCTAAATAGTGAAAACTCAACAAAGATAGTAGTCCCTGCTTTGGGCTGGAAAACATCACAAGGGAAATTAGAAAACACCTTGAGATGAATGAAAATGAAAATACAACATATCAAAATTTATGGAACACGGTGAAAGCAGTGCTAAAAGTGATATTCATGGCTATAAATGTTTACATTGAGAAAGAAGTTCTTAAATCAACAACCTAACTTCACACCTTAAGGAATTAAAAAATAACAAGCTAAACCCAAAGCTAGCAGAGGAAAGAGACCAATAAAGATTGGAACAGAGATAAATAAAAATAGTGAATAGAAAATAAAATAAATAAAATAGAATAAAATAGAGAACAGCAATGAATCCAAGAGATGTCTCTTTGAAAAGATCAACAAAATTGACAGAGTTTATAGCTAGATCGACTAAGCAAAAAAAAGAGAAGCCTCAAGTAACTAAAATCAGAAATGAAAGCACAGACATTACCAAAAATGTTAAAGGAATAAAAAGATTATAAGGGAGTACAATGAAGAATGGCATGTTAACAAATGTGGTAACCTAGATAAAATGGACAAATTTGTAGAAACATACAGCCTACCAATATTGAATTATGAAGAAATAGACAATGCCAATACACCTATAACTAGTAAGGTGATGAAATCAGTAATCAAAATAATTTAAAGGAAGAAAAGCCAAGATCCAATGGGTTCACCTCTAATTTCCACAAAACATTTAAGAGTAATTAACATCAATTTGTTTCAAACTCTTAAAAAATTAAAGAAAAGAGAATATTTCCTAACTTACTCTATGAAGCCAGCATTACCCTGATATCAAGCTAGAAAGAGACACTGCAAGAGAACTACAGACCAATATACCTTATGAATATTGATGCAAATATCCTCAGCAAAATACTAGCAAATAGAATTCAATAGCATATTAAAAGGGTTATATGCCTTGAGTAAGTGGGATTTATTCCTCAAATGCATTGATGGGTCAACATTAAAAAAATCAATCAATATTATACACCACATTAACAGCATGAAGGGGAAAACCACATGACCATCTCAAGTTACACAGAAAGAGCATTTTACAAAATTCAACACCTTTTTGTGATTTTTAAAAAGAACTCAATAAACTAAAAATAGAAGAAAACTACCTCAACATAATAAGGCCATATATGAAAAACCTACAGCTAACATCATGCTTAATGGTAAAAGACTGAAAGCTTTTACTCAATGATCAGAACAAGACAAGGATGTCAGCTTTTTGGCACCTCTATTGAACATAGTATTAGAATGCCTAGACAGACAGCAATTAGGCAAGAAAAATAAATAAAAAGAATCTAAATTGAAAAAGAAAAAGTAACATTATCTCTCTTTACAGACAATATGATCTTCTATATGGAAAATGCTGAAGATTTTATTTTAAAAACTATTAGAACTAATAAATCAATTTGGGAAATTGTCAGGCTGTAAAATCAACATACAATAATCAGTTGTAGTTCTATACACCGACAACAAGCAATCTGAAAAGGAAATGAAGAAAACGATTTCATTTAAAATAGTGTCAAAAAGAATAAAATACTTAGGAATAAACTTAACCAAGGAGACAAATAAATGTGTACTGAAAAGTATAAAACATTGCTGAAAGAGATTAAAGACACAAATAAATGGAAATATGGAAATACATCTCATGCTCTTAGATTGAAAGACTTAACATATTTATGATGTCACTACCCAAAGTGATCTACAGATTCAGTGCAATCCTTATCAAAACCCCAGTGACTTTTGTTGCAGAAATAGGAAAATCCATCCTAAAATTTATATGGAATCTCAAGGGACCCCAGATGAGTGAAACAATCATGAAACAGAGCAAAGTTGGAGAACTCACACTTCTTAATTTCAAAACATACTACGAAGCTTACAGTAATCAAAATATTGTGGCACTGTCATAATGACAGACACATATACCAATGGAGTAGAAGAGAGCCCAGAAATAAACCCTCATTAGATGGTACCTTTTTGTACCCTTTTGACAAGGGCACAAAGTCCATTCAATAGGGAAAGAGCAATCTTTCCAACAAATGGTGGCTGGGAAAACTGGATATCCACATGCAAAGGAATGATGTTGGGCCTTTACCTTACACCATATACATAAATTAACTTAAAACAGATAAAACACCTAACCATAATAACTAAAACTATAAAACTCTTAGAAGAAAACATAGGGGAAAATCTTCGTGACATTGGATTTGGCAATGATTTATTGTATATGACATCAAAAGCATAGGCAACAAAAAAATGGATAAGTTGGATGTCATTAAAATTAAAAACCTTTATGTATCAAAAGACAATATCAGAGTGAAAAGGCATCCTACAGAATGAGAGAAAGTATTTGCAAATCCTATATCTGGTAAGGGATTGATATCCAGAATTGTAAACTCAACAACAACCACAAAATTCGATTATAAAATTATGCAAAGGCCAGGCAAAGTGGTTCTTGCCTGTAATCCCAGCACTTTGTGAGGCCAAAGCAGGAAGACGGCTTGAGCCCAGTAGTTTGAGACCAGCCTGGGCAACATGGCAAAACACCATCTTTACAAAAAAAAAAAAAAAAATTAGCCTGGCATGTCTCCTGTAGTCCCAGCTACTCAGGAAACTGAGGTGGCAGAATTGATTGAGCCTAGGAGGTTGAGGCTGCAGTGACCTGTGGTTGTGCCACTGCAATCCAGCTTGGGTGACAGAGTGAGACCCTGCCTCCAAAAAAAAAAAAAGAAAGAAAGAAAAGAAAAAGGGGGGGGGGCAAATGATTTGAATATACATTTCTCCAAAGAAGATATACAAATGACCTATATACACATGAAAAGGTGCTTGACATCACTAGTCATTGGAGAAAGGCAAATCAAAACAACAAATGAGATACCACCTTACACCAGTAGGATGGCCATTTTACAAACCACACACACACACAAACACACAAAAAATAACAAGTGTTAGCCAGGATGTGGAGAAATAGGAACTCATGTGCATTGCTGGTGGGAATGTAAAATGGTACAGCTGCTATGGAAAATGGTATGATAATTCCTTTAAAAATTAAAAATAGAATTACCATATGATCTAGCAGTTCTACTTCTGGGTATATACCCAAAGAAATTGAAAGCAGGGACTTCAGTAGATATTTACACATCCATGTTCCTTGCAGCATTATTCACAATAGCTAAAAGTTAGAAGCATCCCAAGTGTGCACCAACAGATGAATAAAGAAAATGTATATGTTACTCATCCTTTGAAAGGATGGAAATTCTGACATATTCTACAGGAATGGATGAACTTTGAAGACATTATGCTACGTGTAATAAGCCAGACACCAAAGGACAAATATTGTATGATTCCATTTGTATAAAGTACTTAGAGTACTCAAATCCATACAATCAGAAAGTAGAATGGTGGTTTCCAGGAGCTGAGAGGAGGGGAGAATGGGGAATTGTTGGTTATTGGGTATACAGTTTCAGTTGGGGAAGATGAAACATTTCTGGAGAGAGTGATGATGATTGCACAACAATGTGAATGTAGGCCTGAGGGAGGATTAAGATGGCAGATAGGAGGCAGGACTAGCTTGCAGCTCCCACTCAGACAGACAGAGCAGTGTATAGAGACTCTCATCATGAACTTTTGCTCCAAGAACTACCACAGGAACATACCAGGGAAGCCGAGAGAATCCACAGACCCTTTGAAGGAACTGGATCACCACTGCAGGTTCCCTGAGATGTCAAAAACCTGTGTCTGTTTGCTTTCTCAGCCAGTGGGGAGGCTTGTGGTCTGGGGTAAGTTCTCAGCCCTGATCATTGGCTGCCTAGAAATAGACTTGGTGCTGTTGTGGGGGTATGGTGGAAGTGAGACCGGCCTTTAGGACTGTGGGCTCTGTGGGAAAGGGGTGAGGCCTGTGACTGCCAGCTTTCCACCACTTCCCTGGTGACCTGTGTGACTTATCAGAGGCAGTCATAATCCCCCTGGGTATATAACTCCACTGGACTGGGAACAACACCCCCATCCCCCACAGCAGCCACAGCAAACACTGCATAAGGAGAGGCGGAGCTCAGACATGCTTATCCCTATCCCCAACTAGTGGTCTTTCTCTACCTGCCCCCGGGAAGACAAATGTCATAATCTCTTGGGAGCTCTATTGCCCTTCCTACCTCCTGAGAAACCTGAATACTTAATCAGGTGTCTTTGCATCCTCCTTGTAGGGCCACAGTTGATGCACTCCTGAAAGGGTTACCTCCTGGCTGGGGGCCAACCAACACAAAACCAGCCCACTACACAAAAACACAACCAAAGACCCTCACAGAGTCCATTTTACTCCCCTGCTACCTCCACCAGAGCAGCTGCTGGTATGCAGGACTGCAAGACCTGAAGACAGATTACATCACAGGACTCTTTGCAGAAACTCCCCAGTACCAGTCTGGAGCCCAATAGCTCCACTGGGTGGCTAGACCCAGAAGAGCAAAAACAAATCACTACAGCTTAGCTCTCAGGAAGCCTCTTTCCTAGAGGAAGGGGAAAATAACACATTAAGGGAGCACCCATGAGACAAAACAATCTGAACAGCAGCCATTGAAACCTAGATATTCCTTCTGACATGAGAAGGAACCAGAAAAACAATTCTGGTAATACGACAAAACAAGGTTCTTTAACACCCCCCAAAGATCATACCAGCTCACCAGCAATGGATCCAAACCAAGATGAAATCTCTGCAGTGCCAGAAAAAGAATTCAGAAGGTCAATTACTAAGCTAATCAAGGAGGCACTAGAGAAAGGTAAAGTCCAACTTAAAGAAATCAGAAACATGATATAGGATATGAACGGAAAATTCTTCAGTGAAGTAGATAGCATGAATAAAAAAAATCACAACCGCAGGAAATCAAGGACACACTTAGAGAAATGCAAAATGCACTGGAAAGTCTCAGTAATAGAATCAAACAAGCAGAAGAGAGAACTTCAGATCTCGAAGACAAAGCTTTCAAATTAACCCAATCCATCAAAGAAAAAGAAAAAAGAATTTTTAAAAATGAACAAAGCCTCCAAGAAGTTTGAGACTATGTTAAACATCCAAAGCTAAGAATAATTGGTGCTCCCGAGGAAGAAGAGAAATCTAAAAGTTTGGAAAACATATTTGAGGGAACAATTGAGGAAAACTTCCCCAGTCTTGCTAGAGATCTAGACATCCAAATACAAGAAGCTCAAAGAACACCTGGGAAATTCATCACAAAAAGATCACCACCTAGGCACATAGCCATCAGGTTATCTAAAGTCAAGACAAAGAAAAGAATCTTCAGAGCTGTGAGGCAAAAGCATCGGGTAACTTACAAAGGAAAACCTATCAGATTAACAGCAGATTTCTCAGCAGAAACCCTATAAGCTAGAAGGGTTTGGCGACATATTTTTAGCCTCCTTCAACAAAACAATTATCAGCCAAGAATTTTGTATCCAGAGCAACTAAGCTTCATAAATGAAGGAAAGACACAGTCTTTTCCAGACAAACAAATGCTAAGAGAATTCGCCACTACTAAGCCAGCACTAAAAGAAATGCTGAAACGATCTCTAAATCTTTAAACAAATCCTCAAAATACAACAAAATAGAACCTCCTTAAAGCATAAATCTCACAGGACCTATGTAACAATAATACCATGAAAAAAAACAAAAACAAGTTGTTCAGGCAACAAATAACACAATGAATAGAATAATATCACACATCTCAATACTAACATTGAAAATAGATGACCTGAATGCTCCACTTGAAAGATACAGAATGGCAGAATAGATATGAATTCAACAACCAAGTTTCTGCTGTCTTCAGGAGACTCACCTAACACATAAGGATTCACATAAACTTAAGGTAAAGGGGTAGAAAAAGATATTCCATGCAAACGGACACCAGAAGTGAGCAGGAGTAGCTATTCTTTTTATATATATATATATACTTTAAGTTCTGGGGTACATGTGCACAATGTGCAGGTTTGTTACATAGGTATACATGTGCTGTGTTGGTTTACTGCACCCATCAACTCAGCATTTACATTAGGTATTTCTCCTAATGCTATCCCTCCCCCAGGCCCCCACTCACTGACAGGCCCCAGTGTGTGATGTTCCCCTCTCTGTGTCCATGTGTTCTCATTGTTCAACTCCCACTTATGAGTGAGAACACACGGTGTTTGGTTTTCTCATCTTGTGTTACATTGCTGAGAATGTTGGTTTCCAGTTTCATCCATGTCCCTGCAAAGGACATGAACTCATCCTTTTTTATGGCTGCATAGTATTCCATGGTGTATATGTACCACATTTTCTTTATCCAGTCTCTCATTGATGGGCATTTGAGTTGGTTCCAAGACTTTGCTGTTGTGAACAGTGCTGCAATAAACATACATGTGCATGTGTCTTTATAGCAGCATGATTTATAATCCTTTGGGTATATACCCAGTAATGGGATTGCTGGGCCAAATGCTATTTCTAGTTCTAGATCCTTGAGGAATCTCCATACTGTCTTCCACAGTGGTTGAACTAATTTACACTCCCACCAACAGTGTAAAAGTGTTCCTATTTCTCCACATCCTCTCCAGCACCTGTTGTTTCCTGACTTTTTAATGATTGCCATTCTAACAGGCATGAGATAGTATCTCATTGTGGTTTTGATCTGCATTTCTCTAATGACCAGTGATGATGAGCATTTTTTCATAAGTTTGTTAGCTGCATAAATGTCTTCTTTTGAGAAGGGTCTGTTCATATCCTTCACCCATTTTTTTGATGGGGTTGTTTGTTTTTTTCTTGTAAATGTGTTTAAATTCTTTGTAGATTCTGGATATTAGCCCTTTGTCAGATGGATAGATTGTAAAAATTTTCTCCCAATCTGTAGGTTGCCTGTTCACTCTGATTATAGTTTCTTTTGCTGTGCAGAAACTCTTTAGTTTAATTAGATCCCACTTGTCTATTTTGGCTTTTGTTGCTGTTGCTTTTTGTGTTTTACTCATGAAGTCTTTGCCCATGCCTATGTCCTGAATGGTATTGCCTAGGTTTTCTTCTAGGGTTTTTATGGTGTTAGGTCTTACATTTAAGTCTTTAATCCATCTTGAGTTAGTTTTTGTATATGATGTAAGGAAGGGATCCAGTTTCAGCTTTCTGCATATGGCTAGCCAGTTTTCCCAGCACCATTTATTAAATAGGAAATCATTTCCCCATTGCTTGTTTTTGTCAGGTTTGTCAAAGATCAGATGGTTGTAGATGTGTGGTGTTATTTCTGAGGCCTCTGTTCTGTTCCATTTGTCTATATCTCTGTGTTGGTACAGGACCATGCTGTTTTGGTTACTGTAGCCTTGTAGTATAGTTTGAAGTAAGGTAGAGTGATGCCTCCAGCTTTGTTCTTTTTGCTTAGGATTGTCTTGGCTATGTGGGCTCTTTTTGTGTTCCATATGAAATTTAAAGTAGTTCTTTCCAATTCTGTGAAGAAAGTCAGTGGTGGCTTGATAGGGATAGCATTGAATCTATAAATTACTTTGGGCAGTTTGGCCATTTTCACAATTCTTATATCAGACAAAACAAACTTTAAAGCAAAGCAGTTAAAAAAGGCAAGGAGGGACATTATATAATAATAAAAGGACTAGTCCAACAGAAAAAATCACAATTCTAAATATATATGCACCTAAAACTGGAGCTCCCAAATTTATTAAACAACTACTAGACTTAAAAATTAGATAGACAGCAACAAAATAATTGTGGGGGACTTTAATACTCCACTGATGGCACTAGATAGGTCATCAAAACAGAAAGTCAACAAAGAAACAATGAACCTAAACTGTACCCTACAACAAATGGACTTAACAGATATTTACAGAACATTCTACCCAACAACTTCAGAATATACATTCTATTCATTAGCACATGGAACATTCTCCAAGACAGACCATATGATAGGCCACAAAACGTGTATCAGTAAATTTAAGAAAATCGAAATTATATCAAGTACTCTCTTAAACCATAGTGGAATAAAGTTGGAAATCAACTCCAAAAGGAACCCTCAAAACCATGCAAATACATGGAAATTAAATAATGTAGTCCTGAATGATCCTTGGGTAAACAATGAAATTCATATGGAAATTAAAATAATTATTTGAACTGAACAATAATAATGACACAACCTATGAAAACCTCTGGAATACAGCAAAAAGCAGTGCTAAGAAGAAAGTTAGTAGCATTAAATGCCTACATCAAAAAGTCTGAAAGAGCACAAATCTAAGATCACACCTCACAGAACTAGAGAAACAAGAACAACCCAAACCTAAACCCAGCAGAAGCAAAGAAATAACGAAGATCAGAGCAGAACTAAATGAAATTGAAACAAAAAAATACAAAAGATAAATGAAACAAAAAGCTGGTTATTTGAAAAGATAAATAAAATTGATAGACCATTAGCAAGATTAACCAAGAAAATAAGAGAGAAGATCCAAATAAACACAATTAGAAACAAAACGGGAGATATTACAACCAACACCACAGAAATACCAAAGATCATTCAAGGCTACTATGAGCACCTATAAGTGCATAAACTAGAAAACCTAGAGGAAATGGATAAATTCCTGGAAATATACAACCCTCCTAGATTAAACCAGGAAGATACAGAATCTCCAAACAGATCAATAACAAGCAGCGAGATTCAAATGGTAATTTAAAAATTGCCAACAACAAAAAATGTCCAGGACCCAACGGATTCACAGGTGAATTCTATCAGACATTCAAAGAAGAATTGGTACCAATCCTATTCATACTATTCCACAAGATAGAAAAAGAGGGAATCCTCCCTAAATCATTTTATAAAGCCAGACTAATACCTTAATACCAAAACCAGGAAAGGATATAACAAAAAAAAAAAAAAGAAAACTACAGACCAATATCCCGAAAGTAGGACATAGATGCAAAAGTCCTCAACAAAATACTAGCAAACCAAATCCAACAGCATATCAAAAAGATAATCCACCATGATCAAGTGAGTTTCATATGAGGGATGCACAGATAGTTTAATATATTTAACTCAATAAATGTGATACACCACATAAACAGAATGTAAAACAAAAAATCACATGATCATCTCAATAGATGCAGAAAAAGCATTTGACAAAATCCAGCATTCCTTTATGATTAAAACCCTCAGCAAATTTGCATAGAAGGGACATACCTTAAGGTAATAAAAGCCATCTACAACAAACACATAGCCAATATTATACTGAATGGGGAAAAGCTGAAACATTCCCCCTGATAACTGGAACAAGATAAGGCTGCCCACTTTCACCACTTCTATTCAACATAGTACTGGAAGTCCTAGCCAGAGCAATCAGACAAGAGAAAGAAATAAAGGGCATCCAAATTGGTAAAGAGGAAGTCAAGCTGTCCCTATTTGCTGATGATATGATTGTATACCTAGAAAACTCTGAAGACTCTTCCAAAAAGCTCCTAGAACTGGGAAATGAATTCGGCAAAGTTTTAGGATACAAAATTAATGTACACAAATCAGTATCTCTGCTATACACCAACAGTGACCAAGCTGAGATCAAATAAAGAACTCAACCCCCTTCCCAATAGCTGTAAAAATAAATAAATAAAATATTTAGGAATATACCTAACCAAGGAAGTGAAAGACCTCTACAAAGAAAACTACAAAACACTGCTGAAAGAAATCATGGGCAACACAAACAAATGGAAACACTTCTCATGCTCATGGATAGGTAGAGTCAGTATTGTGAAAATGACCATACTGCCAAAAGCAGTGGACAAATTCAGTGCAATTCCCATCAAATTACCAGCATCATTCTTCACAGAACTAGAAAAAATATCCTAAAATTAATATGGAAGCAAAAAAGAGCCCACATAGCCAAAGCAAGACTAAGAAAACAGAACAAATCTGGAGGCATCACATTACCTGACTTCAAACTATACTACACAGCCATAGTCATCAAAACAGTATCGTAGTGGTATAAAAATAGGCACATAGGTGAATGAAACAGAATAGAGAACCCAGAAATAAAGCCAAACACTTAGAGCCAACTTATCTTTGACAAAGCAAACAAAACCATAAAGTGAGGAAAGGACACTCTATGTACAAAAAATGGTGTTGGGATAATTGGCAAGCCACATGTAGAAGAATGAAACTGGATTCTCATCTCACGCCTTGTACAAAAATTAACTAAAGATGGATCAAAGACTTAAATCTAAGACCTGAAACCATGAAGATTCTAGAAGATTACATTTAAAAAAAAAAAACTCTTCTAGACATTGGCTTAGGCAAAGACTTCATGACCAAGAACCGAAAAGCAAATGCAACAAAAACAAAGATAAATAGATGGGACTTAACTCAACTAAAAAGCTTCTGCACAGCAAAATAAATAATCAGCAGAGTTAACAGACAACCCACAGAGTGGGAGAAAATCTTCACAATCTATACATCTGACAAAGGACTAATGTCCAGAGTCTACAAAGAACTCAAACAAATCAGCGAGAAAAAAACAAACAATCCCATCAAAAAGTGGGCTAAGGACACGAATAGACGATTCTCAAAAGAAGATACACAAATGGCCAACAAGCATATGGAAAAATGCTCAACATCACTAATTATCAGGGAAATATAAATCAAAACCACAATGCAATACCACCTCACTCCTGCAAGAATGGCCATAATAAAAAATAAAGAAATAATAGATGCTGGTGTGGATGCAGTGAAAAGAGAACACTTTTACACTGTTGGTGGGAATGTGAACTAGTACAACCACTGTGGAAAACAGTGTGAAGATTCCTTAAAGAAGTAAAAGTACATCTACCATTTGATCCAGCAATCCCACTACTAGGTATCTATCCAGAGGAAAAGAAGTCACTATATGAAAAAGATACTTTCATACACATGTTTATAGCAGCACAATTTGCAATTGCATACATATGGAAGCAGCCGAAATGCCCATCAATCAATGAGTGGATAAAGAAAATGTGATATGTGTATATATACATATATATGTATATAATATATATGTGTGTGTGTGTATATATATATACATATATATGTGTGTATATATATATACACACACCATGGAATACTACTCAGCCATAAAAAGGAATGAAATAATGGCATTCACAGCAACCTGGATGGAACTGGAGACTATTATTCTAAGTGAAGTAACTCAGGAGTGGAAAACCAAACATCGTATGTTCTTACTCATATGTGGGAACTAAGCTATGAGGACACAAAGGCATAAGATACATTTGGCTTTGGGGACTTGGGGGAAAGGGTGGGAGGGGGTGAGGGATAAAAGACTAGTCACTGGGTAGAGTGTACACTGCTCGGGTGATGGGTGCACAAAAATATCGGAAATCACCACTAAAGAATTTATTCAGGTAAACAAAAACCACCTGTTCCCCAAAAACGTATTGAAATTAAATTTAAAAAAGTGAATGTATTTATTGCCACAGATTTGTACAAGCAAAAATGATTAAAATGGTAAATTTATTTTATGTATATTTTACCACAATGAAAAAAGAATTTGTTAGAAATCCAAATTGAAATTTTAGTATAAGGGAAAAATAATAATTTAACAAAAAAAAAGCAATTAAAAATTGAAGCCTGTTTTGTGGTAGAACTAAACCAATATGGAAGTCAGCTAGATACATCTGTTAATAAAAGTTGGGTTGATAAGGTAAATAAAAAGCAATAATAGGAGCAAACACTTAGTAAGCACTTGCTGTGTTCCAAGTACTTTACAAACATTATTTAATTTTCACAACCACCTGTGGGGAAGCTACTGTTATTATCCCCAATATACAGATGAGGAAAGTGAGGCTCTCTGTTGAGACCAGGAAGTTCACTGTGTTGCCTCTAAAACACAGTCTCAGCTGGGCACAGTGGCTCATGCCTATAATTTAAGCACTTTGGGAGGCTGAGGCCAGACGATTGCTTCAGGCCACAAGTTCAAGACCAGCCTGGAAAAAATAGGGAGACCCTGTCTCTACAATTTAAAAAAAAAAAATTAGCTGTGCCACAGTGGTGCACTCCTGTAATCCCAGCTATTTGAGAGGCTGAAGCAAGTGGATTGCTTGAGCCCAGGAGATGCAGGCTGCTGTGGGCTGTGGTCATGCCACTGCACTCCAGCCTGGTAACAGAGCAAGACCCTGTCTCAAAAATAAATAAAACAATAAAGAAATAAAGAAATAACGGCCTCTACCTTTGAGCAGATCACAATCAACAAAGAGAAGCCTATAGGCAATGATAAAACTCTACAACATCATACATATTGCAAGGAATGTAGGTATGAAATGCTACAATAGAACAGACGAAGATGCAATTTCAGTTGACCCTGGAACCATATGGGAGTTAGGGTTGCCAAGCCCCCACACAGTAAAAATCAGTATATAACTTTTCAGTCCCCCAAAACTTAACTACTAATAGCCCGCCATTGACCAGAAGCAGTACTGAGAACATAAACAGTCAATCAACGTGTATTTTGTATGTTATATGCATTATATACTGTATTCTCACAATAAAGTACAATAAAGTATGCCAGGAAAAATACAATATTATCAAGAAAGTCATGAGGAAGAGAAAATACTTTTACTATACCATACTGCATTTATCAATACCGTAAGCTTGCATCATCTGTTTAAAAGATGAATCGTCTGTCTGAAATAGTGGGCCACTGCAGCTGCAGACCTCAATCTACAGTACATATCAAGCAATCAACTTTTTCTTGTAGTGTCTTGACTTTTCTCTGCTTCTTGGGAGCACTTCCAGCATGACTAATGGCACTTCGTGTGGATCTCCTGGTGTTATTCAAGGTTTACAGCATTGCACTATATGTGATGAAAAACATGTAAGAACAACAAGGATCACTTTTTACTGTGATCTGCAATTAACTGGAGAGAGGATCTGCTTACTTGAAGATGATTAGCATCACATGGCATTTTAAGGAACACTCATAATACTTGAGCTCACTACAAGAACAACAGGAGGTTGGCTACAAAATATTACAGCAGTACAGTGTGTACTACAATTAATTTTATGCAGTCATGATTTAATACTGCATCATTACATCTGCTTACATTTCTCTCAACTGTGAATGGTGCCATGTATGGTCTGTTTGTGCATAAGTTTTGATAAATTTTAACTTTTTATAATAGATTTGTGTATTTTTATGGGAGTAAATGATAAAATATATGAGTATCTACATATATTTTATGCATTCATAACATATCTTTTTGGTTTTTTTTTAAATATTTCTAGGCAACATGGTTCATCTCCGAGTTTTCTTGCCCGTGTTCACTGAGGAGAAATTTTGTGTAGAAGAGTGGTAGAGTTGATGTATGAGAATTATTGGGAATGTGTAGTGAGAAGGAAGGACAGGACTGAAAAGATCTAGAAAGCTTAAGAGAAGGGCTGCTTAGTTCAACTCAACAATTGTTAAAGATCCGATTTCCATATTTGCCACCAGAATTTTCACATGACACTCCCTTTGAGAGACTACATTAATTGTGGAGTTTATTTGGCTTTAAGATTCCAAGAAGATTAAAGCCAAAGATTAAACTACTCTATTTATGTTGGCCAAATAGATGGGTGGGTGGATGGATGAAGGGATGTTGAATGTATGGATCATAGATGAATGAATGGATAGTTGAAGGGATGTTGGATGGATGGATGGAGCTAGATGGAAGGATGGCTAGACTATTGCTAGACTGAGAAAAAGGAAAAAAATCTGAGCTTCATCTGCTTGTTTCCTGATTGTTTTTGAAGTTCAGGTAGACCTGCCTCAAGACATCATGAAATACTTCCTGGTTATTTTCCACTTCTTTAATTACATTTTAAATGTACCTAACAGTGATACAAATGCTGCATTTAGCTTAGTTTTAATACATTTGAATGATGTTAATTCTCACTGTGAAAGTTTAAGCTACATTACAAGTCGGTTTGTAGTCAGCTGTACTAGTAACTGTCTTAGAATTTGGCAACTGGCGAACAACTAACTCCACAGAACCCACCTTTACCCTTGTCCCAACCAAATTGCAGCATGAACTAGTGATGTGGTCAAAGCCAGTTGTTTGAAATGACTGATTCAGTGGAAACAAGACATTTCACTCATTAGCATATATATGCAAAACATATAAATTGATTACCTACTGCAAGACATTTGTCTCACATAGCTCCTATGTTTGGGGAGGTCACAGTCTAGTGAAATAGATATGTGGAACAAGGAACTAGAATACAGTAAGTGAGGACTAGATTGGAAGTAGGTAGAGAGAGCTAGGCAAGTCTAGAGCAAGGGGTGATGAGCTAGAGAGGGTCAGAGAAGGCTTTGTATGGGAAAGAGGTACTGGGAATCCCTGGAAACCAACCCTAAAAGATTAGGCATCCTCCTGTAGAGAAAAGGAAACAAATGAAGGGATTCTTTGAGCAGAAAACAGAAGCAACATATATTTTAACACTTTCTGGTTGATGCTGGCCCATCATCATGCTTAGTGACTGTAGTGACTAAATGTCTATGGTTAAATCAGTTCTGATTTCCAGACATTTGGTGAACAAAATCAGAGGTGGGAGCAGCTTTTCCTTTATTGTTATTTGTTTGATTGTGTACTTGTTGTTTCTTTTTGCCTCCAATACAATTAATGTCTTCATCTTTCTCAGCCTACTTTGACTTTTCAGCAGCGGACAGAACATTGTCTTATTTAGGGGTTACTATCGCAACCTCATTTTCAACTTTTGCCCTCTCTTCTTCTCAGGTGCAAGAGAACTTAACCATTTAGGGACCCATGGATGGAATTCTGTGGGTCTATGAACTGGGATTTGTATTTTTACTAATATCTAACTGAAAGTTAGCTTTTCCCTCGATTACCAATGTAGGCAACAAACAACAGTATTAGCAAGAGTTGTGATTTTATCACCAATAGAAATCATATTTTCCTGTAACATTACGGCTGTGGCTGATATCTTGAAATATCATTTGTGTGCATCACTATTTCAAAATTACAGTAGTTATGAGACCCACTACTGTAACTTGTTAATGAAGCACATAAATGACTACATCACAAATCTTTAAAAGGTATTTCAATATTGTTCATTTCCTTAGTAATCTTATATATTTAATTTTATACATTTAAAGACACTGTTTTGAGAGGGATTTACTGGCTTCATCAGGGGGCCATAGCACAAAAACGGTTAAGAGGCTCTACACTGCATTTCCTATAATTGCTTGTTCTAGAAAGTAAGGAATAACACATTTCTTTTTGGCCACCATGTTGGCAGCTTTCATTCAGAAACTTTCCCAAGCTTGCAAACATTTAGATCAATGCTCTTGAAGACCATTACATCTTGGTTGCATTTGTGTAACTATAGTTTTTTAAAAAAAGGAACAGTATGTGCAAACTCTGGTTTTCAGCCAAGCCTTATTCTTTAGGGCACCAGACCTCTGGGTGTAAGATAATCCATGTATTGCTCTACTTGCAGCTACTGTTCCTGTTATTTGCAGGGACAGCCAGAAATTGCGATTTGGGTAGCTCACCATATTGCATTTAACCATTCTTCTTCCCAGGATGACCTGTGAACTATGTACTTGTTTAGATCAAATAAAGATAATGAAAAACAAAACGAAAACTGCCCAATGCTGAGCACAGACGAGGCAGGCACTTGCAGACCCTTATTAGAAAAGAAAGAGGCATGGAAGACATGTAAATTTCATCTGATGGGGGCAATTTTGCTCCGTTTCCCTTTCTCCTGATTACTGAAGTGAAGGGAGAAGGGAGGAAGATTGGCTCGATTGTCAAGGAAATGAGGTAGTTTGGGTCAGCTCACGGGTAACTCAGGCCCTAATGAGGTAGGGTCTTAATGAGCCAGATCTTCCTCCTTGTCCTCTTCTTAAAGGGCTCTTCATAGGCTCATTGTCAGTTTGTCTCCCATACTTATGTACTTGTCTTCTTTCCCCTCATTACTAACCCGCAGGAAGGTACACTTGGGCATATATGTCAGTGTATGACTCACACAGAGGATTTGAGATGTGATATACATACACAGTTTCACTTGATTTATTATCAGCAGATTTAGATATGCTGGCCCTGAAACATCCCAAATCTATAGAGTGAAAGAGAGCCTGGTAGAGCTCACACATTTACACCCTCCCTCTCTCTGTACACACAGGGGCAACACACACACACACATTCTTTATGGCCATAGCCCTCTACACATCTGTGTCACAAACAGCTGTGACGAACCAAATCTTGCCACCCATCACCTACTTCTGTGAGAGGTGTTACTTGTCCAAGCACTCATGTCTGTGAGGAGCATGCATTTCCAAATGTGCTGTGCCCCTCCTCTCCCTCCTCCTCCTCCATCTCTACAGATCCAAACACACACGCAGGTATTCATAATGCACAGGCCTAAATGTCGAGGTCAGGTATCCTTTGCCTCACAGGCACTGTACAGATCTGAAAGATCCCACATTGACTGCACTCACCTTGCTGTCGCTGCTGACTCAATGAAATGGAACTTGCCCTAATTTGTTTTTAATTTTGGTAGACATCTGAGCTGGCAAAGGAAGAACTCAGGTGGACCCCCTTGATAAGACTTTTCTCAACATTTGGGAATGCAGCTCCCTTGGCTAAGCTAGCCAGCTATATAGTTACAGGAAAGGCTGGGGTGTCTGCTACCCACGCTTTTTAAAATGATTCCCCAACACCAAATTAGCCAACTGCGCTTAAGTGATTCCTATTTGACTAATTGCTTTTAAGGAGTCTGTTAAAACCCCTCACTTACTCCAGCCCACACTCCGTCAGACATTGCAAAACAGCACTATGGTTGGGGCAGTGGCTGGGAAGCAGCTATGGTTGCTAGGATGGAGACAGCCTGGTGTGATGGCTTGGGTGGGCCCATGTTGTTTTTATTATTATTATTTTGCAATTATGTGAGAGGAGCATTATCTCATATACTTTTAAAAAAAGAATCCCACTGTCTCATCCCTTAGGTCATTCCTGTGCCATCACTCCAGCAAAACTGTGTACTCTTTATTTCAGTTTCAAACTCTTGTCTCCCCTCTCCCTGCCATACACACAAACACACAAGTGTGTGTGCACAATTCTACCATACAGTTCTTCTTCTTTATTTTATTTCTGCATTTTGTTTTCCATGAGGAAGGCAGCTAGAGAGTGAAACTGAAGGATGGCTTATTTTCTGGGTGATAGTCACAGTAACCTACTTGAAGGGTTAAACTATGCCCAAAGGGAGAGAAGCTCCCTCAGAGGGGTTGGGGGTCGGGGAAAGAGAGAGGAAAAAAAAACAGTGAGAGATAGAGAGACAGAGAAACTGAAAAGGAAAAATCCCAGAGGAGATTTTTGAAAAGATGATCCTGAGAGCAAATGGAGGTCACCTTCCATAAGCAAGACTATGGCCCACTGCTTCAATGACCACATTGTCATTGCTTCTTCACTCATCCCCTTCTGACAGTGTATAAAATCCAGCTTTTACATAAGCTTCTTTGGCTGGTTTTTTAGTCAACCTCTTTATTACACAGTGATGCTTCTGTTTCAGTCCTTCAGTAATTCCCCAGGTCCGAACCAGTATATTACAAAGGGCCAAAGGATGGGCTTGCTGTCACCAGTTATCTGGTCTTTTCCCCATGACAACATCTGCATCCTGTCTGAGGTGCTGCACCCCCTTGAAACTGACCTTGACAGATGTGTTAGGACTTGTAGTGTAGGGGAATGACCTTCAGACTAACAGATAAGAGACCTAAGTTCAATTCCACCTCTGCTGATAACTATATGACCTTAGGCAAGTCTACTCTTCTCTGGGCCTTACTTTCTCATCTTTTAATAGAAATGGTGGCTGGGCGCAGTGGCTCATGCCTGTAATCCCAGCACTTTGGAAGGCTAAATTGGGTAGAAGGCTTGAGCTCAGGAGTTCAAGACCAGCCTAGGCAGCTAGAGATGGAGAAATCCCATCTCTACCAAAAATACAAAAATTAACTAGGCATCATGGTGTCCAACTGTTGTCCCAGCTACTTCAGGGGCTGAGGTGGAAGGATGGCTGGAATCCAGAAAGTCAAGGCTGCAGTGAGCCGAGATTGCACCACTGTACTCCAGCCTAGGTGACAGAGTGAGACCCTGTCTCAAAAAAAAAAAAAAAAAAAAAAAAAAAAAGAAAGAAAGAAAGAAAGAAAGGAAGAAAGAAAGAAAGAAAGAAAAAAAGAAACGGTAATATCTGCCTTGCCAACCTCATTGCTTTGTTGTGAGGCTCAACTAAGATGTCAGAAAACCATCCTGAAACACAAACAGTGCTGTGATAATATATGTACTTGTGGTCAACAAAAGTCAAGGATTCTGCCTCTTGTTTCAATTCTGCACTCTGCGGGGACTTACCCAAATCTCTAAGCCTCAGTTTGTTCACCATTAAATAGCCATTACAATGCCCAGAGGGAGTTGTAAGCATTTGGCTGGATTTTTCCAAACCACCTGTTGTTCTTTACTGTGGGTAGCTGATGCCATGCTGGGGACTGAATGGTGCCTGGCATGAGAGCAGGGTGGAAGTGGTGTGGTGTGCCAGCAGGCAGAGGCTGTGGTCACGGCTGTGAAACATTATTAGCTGGATGTTTCCAGGTTTTCCTAGAGAGAGAAAGAGAATAGAAAGAAAATTCTTTAAAAATAGAACTTTAAGTGCTGTGCAACTACATGATATTATGTTTTAGTCCCTCTCATTTATTATTCTTAACTCTGTGTTGGCACCATGTTAAGTTCCGTACATACCGTATGTCATTCCATCTTTGCTTCAGCCCTTGAGGGAAGTATTAAATAGATGAGAAAATTGAAGTTTGGAGAGAAAGTTTAAGTAGGCTTCTCAAGATTAGCTTGTTTAGAATTGGCAAAGTCTTACTCCAAAGTCTAAGATCATCTTGAGAGATGGATAACACTAGCCCCAATTTACAGGTCAGGAGACTGAAACAGAGAGGTAAATAACTTTCACAAAGCTAAACAAGCTAAACGGCCAGTCAATGGAAGAGACTGATGCCAAAGCCCATTCTTGTTTTCCCTACAATGTAAAATGTGGACCTTGGGCTCCCAGTGTATTGCTAAATCCATCAGTTCATCAGTCTCTAGGCAGCCATTTCCTGAAAATGTACTGCAGGGGGCTTGTTGAACACAGACCACAGTCCAATTGAGACACTAGGAATTACATGAGGCTAAGCTCAACTGTCCAAAATAGCAGCTGAGTCTATTAAGTAGGTAGATAGGCTTGTGGCCCCAACAACAGCTGTTTCCTCACACAAGCCCAAAGCACACCATTATGTGAGAAATGGTCTAAATGTGTTGTAGGCCTTTTATGCTTTGTATTAGTCCATTCTCGTGCTGCTATGAAGAAATATCTGAGACTGGGTAATTTATTTTAAAAAAGACGTTTAATTGACTCACAGTTCCACGTGGCTGGGAAGGCCTCAAGAAACTTACAATCATGGTGGAAGGCACCTCTTCACAGTGCAGCAGGAGAGAGAATAAGAGTTGGACGAAGGGGGAACCCCCTTATAAAACCATCAGATCTTGTGAGAACTCACTCTCACGAGAACAGCATAGGGGAAACTGCCCCCCATGATTTAATTATCTCCACCTGGTCCTGCTCTTGACATGTGGAGATTATTATATCAAGGTGAGATTTGGGTGGGCACACAGAGCCAAACCATATTAGCTTATTACCAATTTCTTTACAGAAATCTTGTCCAATTTATAGTAACCACGCATGAGAGTGCCCATTTGAGACTCCTTGCCATCATTTAGTCCCCCGATTAAAAAACCTCTTATTTGATGGGTAGAATTTATATCTGACTGTTGAGTCATTTTTATGTGTTTTATCACTAGGTAAAAGTTGAATGGTTTTTACATACTCATTAGCAATTTACAATTCCTCCTTTAGATATTGTTTGAATCTTTTGCCCATTTAACCATTAGAGTCTTAGGTTTTGTTTGTTTGTTTGTTTTTGAGCCAGAGTCTCGCTCTGTCACCCAGGCAGGAGTGCAGTGGCATGATCTCTCCTCATTGCAACCTCTGCCTCCGAGGTTCAAGTGATTCTCCCGTCCCAGCCTCCCGAGCAGTCGGGATTACAGGCTTGCACCACCATGCCCGGCTAGCTTTTGTATTTTTAATAGGGACAGAGTTTCACCATGTTGGCCAAGCTGATCTCAAACTGCTGACCTCAAGTGATCTGCTCACCTCAGCCTCTCAAAGTGCTGGGATTACAGTCATGAGCCACTGCACCCAGCCAAGTCTTAGTATTTTTCTTAACAAATTTATAAGCTCTTTATATATGAAGGCCATCAACCCTCTCTCATGTTGTGGTGACTATTTTTTAAAGCTTACTGACTCCCTACAAATAGTTTGAAATTGAGAGGATTTCCTTTTGGGATTTGTTTGGGTTGGTGTGAATGGCTTTTTTAGCCTTCTCACATTCCTTGTTCATTCAAAAAGTGGTCTCTCCTTGGTATTGTGGCTTTACCACTCAAAGAAAAGCAAGTGTTTCAGTTCTGGGCAGAAATAGCATGAATATTCTCTTCCATTTAATTATAGAGACTCAGCGTAACCCTGGCAAGAAACTAAATCGAGCCCATCAAGTAGCAGACAGTGAAGCCCAACTGTATTCCTAGTATAGTGCCTGTTACATAGTACATGCTGATGAAAAGTTTGTTGTAAAATTAAAGCATGCATGAATCTCTCCCCAAGAACCATGTATTATCAGTTATAGCTTCATGTCTCATCACCTCAGTTATGAGGCAAACTATCTTCTTTTTTCTCTTGAACTCTTCATTTTCAATATTTAAAAAACCTGATTATATCAGGAACAGGGTATCTATAGGTATTCATAGACCTTTAACACTAATAATTTCCCTTTCATGAAGGGGCTCATAAGGTTCCCCAGGTTTCTTGTGAATATTATGGAGAGGCTTGCAACATAGTGATTACAATCCCAGGCTTTAGTGACAAAAAGATGAGAGTTCAAATCCAATTCTGCAATTTACTGGCTGTTTGGATGTTGACAAATTATTTGACCTCCCTATGCTTCAACCTTTATATATGTGAAATGAAGATGATAGTAGCCCCAAACTCACAGGGTAGGGGTGATTCTGAGGGTTAAGTGAAATAATGTATGCAAAGCATCAGGCATGGAATAAATAAGCACTCATTTAATGGTAGCTACAATTATTATCAACAACAATGTATTATATGTTGGGGGCAGGAAGCAAGGATCAGGTTAGTATCAGGGACTATAGCATAAAGGGCATTGAATGTGAAGTCCCAACAAATAGATTCACGTTCAAATTCTATTATCACCCTGTGACTTTGGAGAAGTTCCTTTTCTTTTGTGGACCTGGTACTTTGACAGTAAGTGTCCTGCCATCCTCTGCTCACCTGGGCTGGGATACCATCCCCACCCTTCTTACAGAAGCAATGGCTTCAGCCCTTGAATCTACCTTGCAGTCAAGCATGATAAAATCCCTTCTGAGGTTAAGTATAATGAGGTGTATGGGACTCCAGGAAGAGTAGGTACTAAGGTGGGTGCAGTTTATAAGGAGGTAGACAGGTTTTACCCAGTAAAAGAGCTTTTCACAGTGTAGTGGTTAAATGCATAGTGTCAGAAGCCACATTGCCCAGGTCAGAATCCTGACTCTGTCATTTACTAGCTGTGTTGACCTTAGGCAAGTATTTTAGCCTCTCTGACACTTAGTTTTCTTACCTGTGACATGAGGATAATAATAGTATCTACATCATAGGATTGTTATGAAGATTAAATCTTTAATGTTTATAATTTGCTTAGATCAGTATCTGACATATGTAAAGCACAATATAAGAGTTTTAAATAACAAAATAGATAAAAATAAGAGCTAATTAAGAATTGGAGGGAGTTCTTTGATGGGTAGTGAGTTTCCTTTCACTCTCAGGACATCATCAGAGGCTGGAGGTATTAAATATATTCAAGTACCAAGAGAGGATTGGACAAGATAAACTTGATCATCACTTCCTGATCAAAAGTTCTATGACTTGCTTTCCAAGGTCACCATGGCAGACTTAGACCCAACTTAAGCCATAACTTTTCAGTAGATATTTTTCCTCCTCTGCTGCTGTCACCCTCATTTACACTTATGTTTTCTTGGATGACATTTTAAAATTGATCAATACAATTCACAGGTATGAAGGGCAGCTTAAACCTGCCACCCTTCCCTTGCTCACAAAGCAGCTATTACTTTGAAAGCCAGTTTTACTTTCTGCCTTTTTGTCAGATCTTAGCCAAATTTGATTGACAAGAGGCTTTTGGTGAAACTGTTTCATTCGTGTGCTGGATGTCACTTGCTGACTTACAGTCTCCTCATTTGTGAGGTCCCTGATGCTATTAAATGAGAGGAATTATCATGTCATAAAAAGAATGCCATCAGCTAGTCAGTTTTATATCTGACCTAGCTGTACTTGCATCTGCCATTTGACTTTAGCCTCTTATTTGGGCAGAGAATAGCATCCATTCATCCACCCTCCACCACCTGTCACTCTCACTAAAGACCAGAAGAAGTCTGCCTCCAGGTGAGGTTTCTCAGTGATGGACTGATAGAAAGAGTGCTGGAGTTACTCTAAGCTCAGCAGACCAGGCTAATGCTTTAATAGACCATGTAGACAAAGGGCAGTGAAAGAACTAGGGCAGAAATGATTTTTTACTTGGAGAATCAGACTAGATTGTAGCCCACACAGATGCAGCCTCCTGAATGATTGGAGGAGTTTCAGTATTCCCAGCCCCGCCCTAGGCTGAAATCCAAACCGGGAAGGCAAGGCAAGGTGTGAGCACATAGGTGAAGGAATTTCCCTCAAGCAGAGGCCCAAGCTCAGAAGGGGTCCTGTGAGGCACATAATTCCTAGGGTCTTGGCTGAGGCAAGTCTGCCAACCCTGAAAAGCCAGGGGATTTCCTGCATGTTAGAGAATGGCTGAGGCCCTGGAGTATTTTAACCACTCTGGGAAAAGTAGATGGAGCAAAAAAAAAAAAAAAAAAAGAAGAATCAAAAAGAAAGAAAGAAAAAAAAATGTCTCCAAGACACCATCAGAGAAGTAGAAGGTGGAGGTTTCCCTGAAGAAGAAGACTCAACCTGGTTCCAGAGAGACTGCCACTCAGCAACTGCAAGTATGGCCTTGGAATCGGAGAGACTTGGGTTCATGTCCTGGCTTAGCCAAGTTCCACCGAATGAGTTACTTAAACTCACCAAGCTTCGATTTCCCCTTCTCTAAATTACAGATACTAATAAAAGCCCCTGATTCATTGGGTTGTTGTGACAATTACATTATACAGAATGTAGGTAAAGCACTTAGCACTCTTGGCAAAAACTAAGTGCCCAGTAAATATTAACTATTTTAATCATTATCATCATAATGCATCAATTACTGGAAACAGACAAATATAACTTTAAGAAAATATAGATACATTTTATATACTTTTCAATGCATACTATATTTCCTAATAAAACCACTATTTAAAAAAGGAAAAAGAAAAGCAGTATGACAGAGTGGTTAAGAATGTATGACAAATCATGGTTCACACTCCCAGCTTGACCACCTATCCCTGTGAGTGTCTAGGTAAATCACTTGGCCTCTTGAGGCTCATAGGACCAACCGTGCAGGATATTGTCAGAATTAAATAAGGAAACCCCCATAAAGTGTTTAGTATAGTGCCCTTCACAGAACAAACTAAGATTTATTTCTAGTTATTATCATTATGGGTTTTCCTCTGCAACTCTCAGCCCTCTTGTGTTCCACTTGATTCTACCAGTCTTTAGCCCATTATTACAAGCTGTACCAGAGGGAAGTTCAGAGTAACACTGGCGGTTTCCTGGGTGGGGGTAGTCGAGATTGAAACTATCAGGCCCTAGGGTATAATCCAGTGGTAGTGAAATGGGGTAAAGCATTGTTAGGAACCCAGCCTATTAACTAAAGGCACTGTGGCTTTAAAAGGTAATTGTTTTCCAGTGGCCTCCCAGAGCTGAGTCAGTTCCTCAGTGGACCCTGTATCACGATATAGCTCCTTTCTTCCAGCCCCCATCACAGCAGCCAATTCAACACATACACTCCTGGCTGACGCATTTGCCACTTTCTTCAAATATTTGCTAAAAGCTTCCCAAAGCAGGAAGCCTTGCGGTTGCAGAGCATTCTCTGAGAGAAATGAAGCAATGGTTTCTATGGCAACACTTTGGCACTTATTAGTGTTTGCGTAGGCACTGAGGCAAAAGCTGGGGTCCAGACAAGCCCTTGCTGGGAAGGGATGAGGAGAAGAGAGGGCTTGGGATGCAAAATTGCTCTCACTTTGCCCTCTTGGTAGTCCTTAGGGACAGTCCTGGGGGAGTGTTTGGGGCACAATTTGGCCATATAGAGACAGTCTGAACTCTCCTGGGGCAGAGATTGCCTCACTCAGTACCACCTGTCTTTGCCACCAGGTTTAGCTTCCCCAAACACTCCTTCACTGTGCCACCCCTCTGCCCAAAAGCTTTGCTTCTTTTCCCCAGTATCTATAGATCAAGTGCAAATCATGGCATTTGTGGCCTTCCACAGACTCCTTTTTTCAGAAGCTGTAGCTGCCTCCCTCACTGTACCCCCTGTGCCTTCTACTTCAGCAAGATGGTTCAACCTCATCCTACCTCCACTCCCTGTTACACTGCAGGTGTTTCTACTTCCCACCTCTCTTCCATACCATTCTCCTTGCTTGGACTTCCTGATACCATCGCCCATGTATCCAGGACTTGCCTTTCCTTCAAGACCTGTCTTAAGCCTCAGTTTCTTCAATAAACTTTATTGGACCACCCCAACTCAGTGGAATTCCATTCTCTGAATTGAGATTGTATTACTACTCAGATCTGTCATGCATTTGACACTTAAACACACACTGCCTTGTATGTTGTTTTATTACTGCATATATATACTTTTTTATATATGTGTGTCTTTATTACTGCATATATATTTCTTTATTACTGCATATATATGTGTCTCTATTCAACAAATAGATGTCTCTGTCTAGACAGTAAGCTTCTCCCCAAAAGGGGACTTTTAAAGTGTTTTTCTGTTTTTCCACAGTGCCCTGCTCATAATAAGAAATTAATTAGACATTATATGCACAGGGTTTAACCCGGTGCCTGGTATATAGTAAGTGCTGGAGAGATGTGTGGTACCCTCGAATAGTTCTTGATTGATACCCTGTACCTCCATTGCCACTTCCACTCATGGGCTGCATATGGTGTCCCTGGACATTCATTTAGCCTTAGCCTTGGAGCCTTCATGAGCCATTAGGTTGGCAAAACTCAGTGAGTGACCATTGGTCTTATCCACACCATCTCCTGCTGCCCACCCACTCACCACTGCAGCCCTCAGGACAGGCTGTGTCATTTTTAGAGCCCAGTGAAAAACAGAAATGTGAGGCCTCTTGCTGAAATAGTTAATTTCAAGACAGTGAGAGTAGAGCATTAAACCAAGGATAGGGCTCTTCAGAGTTGGGGCCCTGTACCACGGCACAGGCTATGTTGCACACCCACAAGGCCAGCCCTGCTCGCCATCCTACTTTTCTTGTGCCGTGTTCCAAGTTCCTGGCACAAGAGACAGGGGAAATCCACATGCGGCAACCACATATCAAATGGCTCTAGACTAACTGACCAAAATCCAATGATCCAAAAGTGAATTCATTGAATGGCCAAGTGTCCAAAAAACAAATTTGTGATGTCTGTCTTTTATTTTGCCCTGCCCTTGCCTTTGCCCAGGCTCTGCCCATGCCTCTGCCTGTGCCTACATCTACACTTTCATCTTCTCACTTCCCAGGTCTTAGCAAATTAAACTATAAAGGCAAGGCTGCATCTGTTTTATGTCCCTTTCCCCTCATGTTCTGATTTCTTTTGAATCAGTCATGATTTCTTTGGGGGCTGAGGTGAGCAGCCACATGACCACTCCATACTTCACTCACGGGACAGCCAGACAGTAGAGATTAGTAAACATTCAAGAGTTAAAAGCTGAAGGCCAGGGGTGGTGGCTCACGCCTGTAATCCCAGCACTTTTGTGAGGCTGAGGAGGGAGAATCACTTGAGCCCAGGAGTTCGAGACTAGCCTGGGCAACATAGCAACACCCTGTCTCTACAAAAAAAAATGTAAAAGATTAGCCAGGTGTGATGGCACACACCTGTAGTCCAAGCCATTCAGGCAGCTGAGGCAGGAGGATTGCTAGAGCCCAGGAGTTTGAGGCTGCAGTGAGTTATGATTGTGCCACTACATTCCAGCCTGGGTGATAGAATGAGACCCTGTCTCAAAAAAAAAAAAAAAAATTAAAAGCTGTAAGCAGAGGATGTCATAGTCTTAAAATCATACTTTTACCCTGCTCATGGATAATATAAAACTGTAGGACAGTCTCACTCCGTTTCTTCAAACACAGTAAGCATCATTTTATAGTCTGTCTCTGGTATGTCCAACATCTGAAGTCTTTGAGGGTCTGTTTCTGCTGTTTGCTCTTTCTTTAGACTCCTGGTCATGGTCTCTTATTTCCTTGTGTGTCTGGTTATCTTCATGTGCTAGTTGTTGTATTTGAAAAACTATTTGTAGTAGTGATTTGAAGCCCAGAATAAAGTTATCTTTCTTCAGAGAGAGAATTTGTATTTGCTTTAGTGAGAATCCTGAGGCATTGCTAGTCTGGAGTAAATTTAAGTTTACTAATTAAGTTTTCCTAGACAGTATAAATGCAATCTGCTGCTCCCCAAGGTTCATATGTGGTTTACCCTTATTCTGCAGGTATAATCATTTGGAGCCCTAGTTTTCTGTGGGGAGCATTTCCTAGCAGACTTCTCACCTTCTATTGGATCTGGACTATGATTTCTGTCCCTCTTGACCCACAAGGTTTTCAATATTAAAGTTGAAATTTTCTGGCATGGAAAAATGCCCTTAGAGTGAAAGCAGCTACATCCATGCTTACTCATCTCTTTAGGTTCTCACTATCACTTCATTTTTGCCTAACAATACTTAAATACCTTGTTAGTAGTTCTTTATTGATTTTAAGAAGATTTTTAAAAAACAGATTTTCTGATTTCCGGTGGCTTCAACCATTATAAGAAACCCAAAGTATGTCACATGCAATTCTCTCATCATGCTTTGAAGTAGGCAGGTAGACTGGGAGGCTAAAACTATACATATTTTGTAGATGGGAAAATTCCATGAAGTTACTTGCCCAGAGCCAGACAGTGAATTAGTGACAGATCTTGAAAGAGAAATCAGGCCCCACATGTTACCATCACATTCTCAAATGATGAAGAAGTATTATTTCCCCTACTTATGCCAAATGCTGGGAGGATGGCCTTTGGTTGCTCCTACTTTTCCTTCCATCTTCTGTCATCATTTTATAGTCTGTCTTCTCCCAAGGGGAAACCTTGCTTTGTTCATTTGGTCTTTGTAGGAGACCCCTAGAAAAAGAGTTGGCAACTTTTGCAAAGCAGTGGTGTCAAGATTCCTGGTCTTCTCCTTTCCTTTATTCCCAAGTACCCTGGTCACTCCTGGGATGTTGCTTTAGAAACAGGGAGAGGGATGTGGCAGTGGGGCCTGATCAACAGCAAACACAGGTGCCTTCTTGGCTATGGTGGTGGCCTAATTACCATGAATGATCAACGAGGTCTCCTCTGCCGTCTGCCATTGTCTCCCATCTTCTAGTAGCAGTCCCTCAGGTGCAGCTTTAGAGAAGCTACATACCAGCATTCTGGAAGTGCTTTTACGCATGAGTGTTAATTTTTCCATCTGTCCTGTCATCTGTGACTACCAGAAGTTGATCTTGGAATGTGTTTAAGCAGGTTAGTGGAATAAAAACTCCAAGAAAACCTGACATTTTGGAATTGCCCATCTAAGCTGGATCATTGAAATTGTGAACCAGAGCCTTTTAGGGAAGGGGTTGGCATAAGAAACTCAGAAATGGCTGGGAGATGAAAGTTTCAGGCTATATGACCTATGACATGAAAGCTTACAGTGGTATACACAGCCTCTGCAAGAGAAGCCCAATGGACAGACATCCCAGTTACAGACCTCTCCAGACCTTTTCTCCTCCCCAAATGAAATTGACTTCCATCTTAGAGCTTAGGTACTGTTAGCTATTCTTCCCAAGTATCCTTGACAGATGCTACAGGTATAATCAGGTACAGGTGTCTGTCTGGAAAGATGCCAATAAGGGCAAGCAATTGGAAAGGTGCCCAAAATGTATACAAAATTAACTTGGATGTCAATTTGAACGTGCTAAGGTGGTTTGACACAAGTGAAAGGCAGAACCATGCTACTAACACTTTCCACTATGTTATGGGCAGATATTGCCAGGTTGCCAGAATTATGTCATATTTTTATTTTCAACAGTTATATTTTCTGGCATTTTGAGCACAGCATTTCTATTGATATTTGAGAGGGATTGTGGATAATTTAGCATATGGTTATGGGTTTCTTTTTCATTTAAATAAGAGATTTCACTAAGCTTGCTATCTCCCTGTATGTGATGTGATTGCACTCACTGTCTGATGTTCTGATGTTTTTTTCCCCAGGATAAGGAGAAGGAAGCTAATAGGAAAGTTTATAAAGGAAGGCAATTAAAAAGTTGGATTTATGAAATAGAAGTTGGATCTATTCTGTTAAGTAAAGGATGCATGTCTTGCCAACAGTCATGCCTAGTCATATACCTCCAGCAATAGAGGCTCTGTTGTCCTGAGCAACATTATTATCTTCTTCTAGGAAGTTATGGTCTCAGAATTCTAGGAAACTGCTTCCATGGCTGATTTCACTCCACCACACCTGCCGTTTCCATGGACCATGGCGAGGCTAAGCTGTGGGTCAGTCAATAACCCTCAGCTGCATTGCTGATGTTGGTCTGGGGCTCCATTGGACAGAAAATGTTTGACACTGATCACCTCTATTTGACCCTGCTTCTGAGCTATTGTTTCTGCCATTTCCCCACTAATTCCAGGTAACCTAGCCTTCTCATTTACTGATCTAAGTTTCACTCTGTAATCTCATCTCTTATTGTTAACAAGAGCCACCTGGCTATCCTCCTTAACTGGGAGCGAGAGGAGAGCCTCGTCTGCTGCTGGGCAGAGAAACTTGTATGGGGGCTGAGGCTGGGAAAGGCAAGTAAGGTCATTTTCTGAGTGCTTACTATTTGCTGGGCACTGTGCTGGGTGCTTTACACATGTTAACTCTACTCATTTGCTGTCAGCGAAAGGAAGGGTAGAAAAGGCTCAACCCTAAAGGATGAGAGGCTGAATTTGTGTTGTTGTTGTTGTTTGTTTGTTTGTTTACAATAGATGGAATGGTATTGTGTAAGGGAGGGCTTACTCCACAAAGATTAAGGAGCCTATGGTCAAACAAGAGTATGACTTAAAACAAGTCATTTTCCTTTACTGAGTTTCAGTTTACCCCCCTGTAAAATGGCCACATAGTCTTTGCTCAGCTTACCATATATACTTGTTGTGAGGATACAAGTGATATAGAATGCTTAGAAAAGTATAAAATAAAATATTGCATAATGTCATGTGAGGCAATATAGAATAGTAGTTAAGAACCAGACTACAGATGGGGTGTAGGATTGCAAATCTCAGCCCAGCAACTTGCTACCTATGTAACCTCGGACAAGTCACTTAACCTCTATATGCCTTAGTTTCAACATCTGTAATGTGAGGATATGAATAGTACCTGTTCATGGGGTTTTTGTAAGGAAAAATAAGATAGTATGTGCAAAACATTCAGAATAGTACTAGCACATGATAAATGCTGCATAAGAACTGTTTATTATTACAAATAATAGATAACTATGAATATTTTAGGCCCCTATCTTTCCCACATGCACTCTCTCAGTGTTGTAACCCTTAATGCAACAGAACTTGGCTAATGCTGCAAGTCCCGTTATATTGTACATAGCTCTCTGCATGCCAGGGCACATAACCCTGCCGTAGAACACACATAGGCCATAGCACTTGGCTATATAAGGAGGTGGGAGCTCAGTACTCCCAGTGGATGAGAGAAAGGCCTCTGTAAAACTGGATGGCCTCTGAGGTAAATGCCATAAAGGATTCATTTACATAAATTCAGAATGCTTCTTAACTTTTCAGAAACATGTTTCCTGCATTAAGTGAGATATATCTGTATATAGAGGAAGCTGCAGAGTTATAGCATCCCTCTACAACATTTATTGAGAGACAAAGAGGACTAATGCGTGAGGATGTGTGAGATAAAAAGAAGACTAAGACATAGTCCCCAACCTTAGAGAGTTGATCATTTAGTAGGGGAGATAAGACATATAGTCAAGCTCAACATGTTGTAAGACAGAACCGTGTTATCAGAGTAAATGAGAACATACATATATCCTTTATAAGCTGGGAAGACTATATAAATGCCAATGGTTTTAGGTTTTTTTTTTTTAAACAAGCCTTAAGAATTGCAAAGTGCTGTAGGAGATAGAGAAGAAAGGAACCATTTCTTACTGGGGGCATCATGGAAAGCACTGAAGCATGAGTAGTCTTTCAACAGGTAGAACTGAGGGCAAAGGGCACCAGCAAAGCCCTGCAGATGAGAACTCACTCAGGATATGAAGGGACCAGTAAGTAGCTTGTGTCGGCTTCCGCATAGAATACACACAGGAGTCTTCCTGAAGGATGACAAAGCTGGAAAGTTTGGCTGGAACTGGGCTTAAATACCAGGCTACGGAGTTGGGCTTATTTAGGAGGCCATGGGGAATTTTAGAGCAGGGGAATTGCATCATTCAAACTTCCCTTTTGGAAGTCACTCTGACAGCAGGAAGTGCCATCTCCTCTGGCCGCCTGAAGGACTTTTCTCCTGCAATGCTATCTCTTTCTCTTCTGCATCATCAATCTTTCTCCAGAGATATGCAGTGGCAGCCTGCTGCTTTCAAAAAACAAACAAATGAAAATCTTTTTTGGCTGCATACTCTCTTTCTATTTCTCTACAGCCCTGATAGCACACTGTCTAGAAAAAAAAGTCTATACTCCTTGTTTCCACTTCCTCGCTTATCAATCTCTTCTCAACTTGCTTTAGACAAGCATCTACCCCCAGGTATATCATTGTCAATATCCTCATATTTTTGTGAAGGTCACTAGTGACCTCCATGGAGTCACATCCAACAGTCCTTTTTCTGCAATACTCTTTTCTCTTGATTTTCCAAACTCAGTACTCTTCCAGCTTTCCTCATCTCTCTCTAGCCATTCCTTCTCAGTCTCCTTTGTTGACTATTTCTTCTCTATGTCATCTCTAATTGTTGGCACACCCGACGGCTCAGTTCTAGATCCTCAACTTCTCTTTATCAGTACTCTTATTTAAAGTGATTTTATCCAGTTCCATACTTTAAAAAAAGTCTGCCTGTTGATGATGCTCATATTCATATCTTCAGCTCTCACCTCTCCACTGAGCTTCAAACTTATATATTCTCCTATCTACCTAACATCTCCACTTAGGGGTCTAATAGCATCTCAAATTTTATCATGGCCAAAAACACCCTCTTGATCTGTGCACTTACCACATCTGCACCAAATTATTTCTACTGCAGGCTTCCCCTTATAAGTAAATGGTACCATTTGTCCAAGACCATAACCTAAGCCTCATTCTTGATCCTATTTTCTCCCACCCAACACATCCTCTTCATCTATCTATTAACAAGTTCTATTGGCTCCCCCTCAAAAACGTATAAAAATCCATCCATGTTGTCTATCTCCACTGCTCCCACCTGGCCCAAGCCACCACCATCTTTTGCCTAGACCACTACAATTGTCTCTTAACTGGTTTGCACACTTCTACTCTTGCTCTTCTATATTTTTACTACTAATTATGGGGCCTACAGTGAATTCTTCACAAAACCTTCAAAGTGAGGTTTTAAAAACATAAATCAGATCATGTCACTCATCTGCTTGAAACCATCCAATAGCTTCCTGTTGCAATTAAAATTCAAACTCCTTCCGATGGTTTACAAGGGCCCTGCGGGATTTGGCCACTGCATGTCTCTTCAGCCTCATCTTGTGCCACACTCCCTCTTGCTCACTATGTTTTAGTCTTACTGTCTTTCTGTTCTGTTAACAAGCCAATTAAGGCCTCTGCACTGCTCTTTTCTCTTCTTGGAATGTTCTTCCCCTAGATCTTTACATGTGACAGGCTTCTTCTTGCCCTTTAGGTCTCAGCATAGATGTCACTTCACCTCAGAAAGAGTTTTCTTCACCATGTAAAGTAGCCTCCCTTCCTTGCCATCACTTCCTAATACATCAGCCTGTTTTATTATTGTTATAGTATTTATTTATGTCAAATCATCTTATTTATGTGTTTATTACCCAATCCCCACACACAACTAGGATGTAAGCACCATTAGAGCAGGAACCTTTTCTGTCCTATTCACCCTTGTATCTCCCATGCCTGGAACAGTGCCTGGTATGTAGTAGACACACAATAAATATATATTGAGTGAATGTGGCATAAATTAATTAGCAGCAGAGTGGTTACTGCAGTGATACAAACAACAATCAATAAAGGTTTTAATTAAATTGGTGGTAGTAGTAAGTGAGATGAAGGAGGAAAAATCAGTATTAGACTAATCCCACCCAAATTGCATTTAAAGGCATTTAATACAGAAAATTTATCCTAAGTCACTATTTCTAGTACAGAGTATCAAAACTAGGACCACAAATCAATTAAGCAATAAATAATTATCCATTCATTAACCAAAAAAAGAAATGAAAGAATAAGTCAGTGGAACTTGGTGTATAGGAGTAGAAAGAAGAATGATGATTCCATAGTTTCTTGCCATTAGAACAAAATAGGAAATTTGAGAGAAAAACTGCTGGTAGGTGGGAGGGAAGAATGACAGGTTTGGTATAGAACATGCTGATTTTTACTCATCCTCTGAGGCGTCTGGGAGACTGCCTCAGTGTGAGTTTAGAATTCTACAGGAAGGACTGAGGAGAAGATAGAGATTAGGTACATAATCAGCATAGCCATGAGAGTTCAAAGCAATAGGAGTGGGATTCCTTGAGGAATAAAAATCAACTGAAGGGGATAGGAAATCTTTATTTCAAGGGATCTGTCTATCACATTTCTTAGCTCCCAGGAAGTATAACTAGAAATGTGGATTATAATAATTTCCATTTTCCCCAGGCACTTCCCCACAGTTCACTCCCTCTCTTGAATAACTCTGTGGATGTTTTTTCCCAGGTAGGGGGTTCCTGGTATGGGCTGTGAGGAAGCACCGTGATCCTTTTTGCCATCAGCCCCCATATTTATGCCTCTCACTACTAACAGGGACAGATATCAAGATAAGCAATGGAGAATGCCTCTAAAAGATTTTGTGGTCTTTTGGGGGAAAAAGCCTAGCTATAAAGAAAGTTATCACTTCTATTTTGCTTTTTCCAATGCAAATACACAGTCTGATCCCTTAAATACCAGAAGCGATGCTGTCAGCAGCAACAACTTAAAAAAAGTTCACCCCGATATGTAAAGCTTTTTTTGTAAATCAGACTTGCTCCCTAATGCTGTCAGTTGAAGAACTGCCCTTATAATTTTTACTCACTGCCAACCTGTGCCTTGCCAAGATGAAGGAGCTCATCTGAGTTAGTAGTAGAACTGGGTTGAGACCCTCAGACTTCTAGGCCCAGCCCTTCACCTCACGAGCAGCTGTTGGCAGCAATCTCAGATTGTTATTCTACCCTCTTTCTTTGCTTCATCTTGAACCCTTGGTGGGAGCCAAAAGCCTATCAGAGACTGATTGTTCTGCTGCTGTTGGCAGATTGGCACCAGCCAGTTTCAATGCTTGTGCAAAGAGCATATAATAGGTCCCTAATGAGGGCAAGACAATGAGTGTTTGGTTTTGATTGCAGGGCTTATTTGTCGTGTGTCTGTGTCTATATCTAGTCCCTACAAAGCAAACCTGTTGGTGGGACAGGGCAGGCAGGAGAGGAGGAGGCTGTGAAATAGAGACTCAAAGGACAAAGTGGCAAGTGGTCCAAGGCTCTGCAGTGGTTCATAGCTATAGGAAATGGAACCTAGAACTTAGTCCTGTGCCTTGGGCCTTGGGCTTGAGCAGAAGAGAGAGGAGTGGGTTTGGGTGGTCACAGTGGGCTGTTATATTCTGAACAAGACAGAACAGTCTGAATTTGGGTTCTGGAAAAGGAATCAACTCCTGTTGGGGGAAAAAAGTAAGCTCTATTGGAGCAGTAACTTTGTTTGTCTTCTTCACCTCTGTATCCCCAGGGTCTAGAAAAATGCCTGGCCATAGTACCTCTACAATAAATATTTGTTGAATATGAATATGAATTTTTTTCTGAATAGAAATCTCGAGTCTTTGAGATTTTATTGATTAACTCAGCTTGTCTAGCGGAAGCCTTTCCCTGGCTTTCACTGGAAGAATTTAATTTGTGTAACAGTCCAGGCAATAAGCCAAAACCCCACAGAGATTGCTTTTTAGAATTGCTCTTGTGCCCATTTGCTTTATTTTCGCTTTCCTCTAGACCTGGTCTTCCATATTGAACATTTCGAGATGTTTTTTCTCCTGAGCTAATAATCTCCATAAGCTCCCATTTTTCTTGCCCCATCACTGGGTTGCTGATACAATCTGAACCTCTGATAACTGAGATTTCCATTTGCTTGCTGATCTCTCCTTAGTACAGTGGGCCTTATGAACAACGTGTGTTACCGTGTGTGTGTCTGTGTGTGTGTGTGTGTGTGTGTAAGCAATCAGAACTGCCTGGAAAAATGAAAATAAGTAAAGAGGGCAATGGAAGGTGATGATTCACACATAAGTGAAATGATTAGATACTTCTCAGCCTGTCACTAGAGTCTTATGAATACTAGACAGGAAGATACCTTTGTTAAGTACCAAATCTCAAATTGGCCCTAAAATGGAGCTCTCCAGTTCAAGGGAATGGTTGATCTTCCAAAAACAGGCAGATGGTGAATCCACTAACTCTTATAATCTCCAAGGTCATTGTAAAGTAGGAAACCGGGAAGCCTGGAAGATAAGTAGGCCCATGGCTGTAAATAAGGCTTCCAGTTGGCCTGTGAGGAGGACTTTGGGAACAGCAGCTACTATCCATCCTTGGCCCTGCCTGAGCCTAGCTCCTCATGCTGCCTAATTCAGAAACTATAGCCATGTACTCCCAGTCCCTCTCTCAGCTTCTCCCACCATCTCCAGAAACTGCTGAGGGAGGGAAAATTAACATTAAGTTAGAACCAGCAAGCATTGAAGAAGCAGGCAAGCATCAGAGGTGAGGAACAACCTATAAGTCAATAACAGGAGAGTGAGTCTTTTAGGACAAACCTTGGAATGTTGACCAGAGTCTCAAGAAAATGTTTTACGTAGCTGTGTGCTTAAAAATAACTGAGTTTTTGTCATAGATAATACAAATAGTCAAAATTTCATCCTTTAGTCCCTCTACCTCGTGGTGTTAATAATAATGACAGCCAACATTTATTGAGTGCTTACTATGTGCCAGACACTGTCTTAAGCACCTTATGCACATCATCTCACAACTTCATTTAATTGCCACAACAATTCCCATGGTGGGGGTGGGTACAATTACTGTTACTTCCAGTTTATAAATGATAAAGCAGAGGTTCAGAGTAGTGAATGAGTTTTCCTGATTCATACAGCTACTGAGTGATAGAGAAAGGATTTGAAGCAAGGTTCTCTAACCTCAGAACCACATCTGTTAACCAATACACTGTAATAGGTCTTTTCCTTCCTTTGACTCTTTTTGCTTAAACCACAATTGTATAAAGACTTAAGTTGATGCAATAGCAATGGAAGTGAAAAATATTGTAAGTGTTTTGTCTTCTTTCATGGAACAATGGGTTTAGTAGCTGCCATACCCCTTTAACCATGTCAGAAAAGCATGAAAAAACAGCATATATTGGTGTATCATATACCGTTATTAAATAATAAGCCATATTATATATGTTATTAAACTATGAACAGACAGCAGTAGATTTTACTGTGGAAACTTTTGATAGACGCACAGCACAAGTATCTCATAAGCACAATTTTATTAGATTCACATGTTTATTCTGAGATCTGTGACATATTCAGGAATATACCTCCTGTGTAACTGAGGTAAAGGGTTTCTGAAGCCAGGCCTTCTTGTATTTTTTCTTCCAGGAGGGAACTGAGGTTATAGATAGGTGTATACTCCAAGTACACTTGATAGAGTGAGCTGTGCCAGGTTGAGGAATGAGTTTCCATTACTGGCTTAGGAGGGGGTGAAAGTGGGGGCCACAGAAGGTTCTGAAGCTTGAGGTGCACAATGCTTTTTGTCAGCTTGCTACCAGTGTCAGTGCAAATGGGGAAAGGCTTGATGTCTTCCAGGACACAAGACTATTTAAGCTTAACATCCCAGGAACATATTCAATACTGTCCAGAGACTTCTCTTTCTTTATCTGAACAGATATTTAATGATAGAAAGGTGTAGGCCAGTGAGTAGTCAACAATAGGCAACGATTCTAGAGTACTGACTCCCTATGTACTATAATTGGCTGTAATTTGCTCAAAGATTCATTCTAGGCGCAGGCACTTTCTACATACTCCATACCATTAGGCAGGATCTTGCCAAGATGGAGACCTTCGGACCTGTCTACATACAGTGGGGTAGCTGTCTGCCCAACTATGACCCTCATGATTATGCCATACCACACTGGACAGCTCCCATCCAGCCCGGAGCTCTTTCCTCTTTCCTTGACACATCCCTCAGGGCCCTTATCCACTGAATAGCATGAGCCCAGACAGCACCTCCTCAGACCAGGTTCACACCACCATACTCCAAGGCAACCCTCCAGGCACTTATCCATGCTCCTAATACCAATAAACAGCCTTTGCTCACAAGAGAAGCTATATCCTAATTGTGCATGTAGTAAGAGCTTTCTTGTTAAGATCACACATTAGCTGTGATACACACTGAGACAAGTCTGCTTTCCACTAGAGTCTACCTTGCAATTACACAATCTGGATACTGGCCTTTGTGGCCTACCCAGCCACTCTTTACTCAGTGAGGCAACCCTTGTGCAGATTAGAGCTCTCAGTGGACTCTCCAATACAACGAAGCAGGCCCTACCATCCTGCCCCTCTGCATGTTGTGTCCATCCCCACCACCAGCCACCACTTCCCACAAGACAATCAGCCCAGAGACTTTAATTGCTGGGTCTGCTGTGAGGCTGGCCTCACCAGCTCTCACCTTCACTGCAGCTTATACGGCTGTTTTGCTCACAGAAAGGCAACCATCTCCAGAGGAGGATCCACATCTCACCATATGCCCAGTGAAGCCACTTTCCAGTGCCCCTAGTCAGTGCTGCATTATCCAGAAGGCCAGATAAGTATGTGCTTAGAGAATAACACTGTGGGGGCACCAATCAAATGATTTTTAAAAGAGTTAGAAATTTGATATTTAAAAAGCTGAAGTAGATAAGAAAAATCAGAGCTGTGTTGGATTTTTTTGTCATCTGTTGTATGGCTTATAATTGTTTCCATGTGAATTACAGAGAGGAAGGTAGACACAAAAATGTTTTCATTAATTAGGGCTTCCAAAGGCCCTATTTTGGCCCTGCCCTCTTTGTTTCTCCATACACTGTGAGCCAGCCATCTGCTACCATCCAAAATTCCTCATGCTATTCCTGGAATAGTAATCCTACCACAAGGAACAATATCTATTCAGAATATACCAGTAAGGTCACATCAGGTGTTAAAATATTGAAATACTTCCATATCTATTGACGAAGAGCCATTGCCCTGATCCCTTCCTCTGCAAACCCCCTGCCTCCACCATCACCTCAGCTGCACTAGACTCTCCCTAAGGATCTCCGGGCCCCCTTATAATCTAACAACTGAAGGCATAATACTTGCTCCAGCATCCTGTTTCAATGTTTATACTGATTGGTCAGTGTCCATGCAGAATCTGCTGTTAAATATTTTGAATATCAAATATAGGAAAGGTCCTATAACTGCTGCACCAAGCATTATACAGCTTTCTGGGGCTCACTACTTACATGCATATGTCACTTGGCAAATCTCTTCCAAACCAGAGAGGATTTCTGAACACTTGGTGCACATTGTACACCAACCACTAGACCACACTACCATTCCCTATATTTACATGGACTCTTTGCCTTGAGGCAATCTCTGAATAGGCAGCACCTCAGCTGAGCTCTTCATGAGGAAGTCCTCCAGATACTTACCAATCCTGCACACCATGAGGAAGGTTTTAACTCTGCCTCCTCTTCATTTATTGACTTGACCTGCCATTCCCTACTTCCCCTATACCTTGGCAACCCATGATCTGGCCATTGCACATTGCTTCAAAACAAGGAAATGACTGACAAGACTAGGTCCACATAGGCAATACCAGTCCTTGCAAACTGAGACAACCAACCTATGACCCCGTAAGAGTCCACATGGAACATAGTGTGTTGGCTCCTAATGTGGGTCCCACATCAACTCTTCACAGAGCATTTGGCAAAACTTGAAACCAAGATCTGTAATACAATTTCCAACAATTCAATGGACTTTCTAAATAGTCAAGTCCAAAATCCCTTCTTCCCCAGGAACAATTCTCTAGCTGTGTCAAGCCTGTGAAACCACTCAGGACACTGACTGGAGCAGAACCACACCTACTTTTCACACAGCCTGAGCTAATCTCTAACCAGAACAGGATCTACATCAACCATCAACGCTGACCAGGCAATCATATACACAGCCACTCCTCATGGCCTGAAACAAACCCTAACTAGGCCAGGGAGCAAACATCAGTCTGCAAAACTTGAGGCAAATTCTGAGCAGAACAGAATCTTGAAGGAGCTGCTAAGATGACTCTAGTCCACAGAAGCAGCCTCCATTTCATGAAACAGCCTATGAACAGACCAGGCATATGGTCCCATGCCTCACATTCATCTCCTCCCTTTCCCTCCTCTTCCCTCTTTCTGCCCCTTTCTTCTTTCCCATTTTCTCCCATTCCTTGACCCTGTTATTCCCTTTCTCTCTCACCCAATTCACTGCCATATTATTTAGTTGTTATAATAATTTTGATCTCCCTAGTCACAGGGAGGGGAAAATCTAGGAAACTTCTAAGATAGTTCCAGCCCCCCAGGCAAGTCTGCTGTTGAAAGACTGGGCCTACTGTATGAGAATCAGTGCATGGAGTTTATGTTCCTGGAACCAGAATGGTTGTGGAACAAAAACCTCTTTTCTAGTAAGCAAGCCCCCAAGCCAGCTGTTATGATCTGAGACCAGTCCCCAAGTGAAAGGCTCAGGTTCAGCCAGATTGGGAGGGACCAGAGGAGACTCTGGGTAAAAAAGTCAAGTAGATAAACTCTTCCATACCTCCTGCTATTCCAAGTTTTGGTCTGCCACATTAGGATAAATATTTGCTTAAAAAATCCCTCATGTGTATGTTTGTTGTCAAGCTTTTGCATTAGATACTACACAAACTATAATTCATTGTCCCTCATGTTCCTTGAACCCATTTCTGCCCAATTCTCTCCTTTTATCACATTCCTTAAGACCTTTTAATTCATGTTTATGTACATATATAGGAACCTACACAGAGTACTATTTGTGTATGGTTTTTTAAATATATGCTATGCAGTACATATCATTTTGCAACTTGATTTTTCACTAGGCATTGTCTTGAAGATCTTGTCATATACATATAGACCTAGTTCATTTACATAAATTGCTACATAATGTGGCATATGTAATCACTCTATGTAATTATTCCTTTCTTAATGGACATTTAAGTTGTTTCCAATGTTTTGCTATTACACATAGTGATTCCGTGAAAGCCTTAGTTTCTGCTTCCTTGTGTAATTGAACTGGAGTTTTTCTAGAGTAGATACTAAGAATGGAAATTTCTGGGTCATAGTGAATGTCCCCCCTTTTTTTACTTTAATAGATACTGCAAATTGTACTCTCAAGTGGCTTTCTGTATTTACATTCCAATAAAGTGTGTAAACATGCATGTTTCCTCAATCCTTTGCATGCATTTTTTCAAGTTTTTATTTTGAAAAATTTCAAACATAAAATTACACATCTGACAAAGGACTAATATCCAGAATCTACAAGGAACTCAAACGAATCTGCAAGAAAAAAACAAACAATCCCATCAAAAAGTGGGCAAAGGACATGAACAGACATTTCTCAAAAGGAGATGTACAAATGGCCAACAAACATCAAAAAATGCTCAACATCACTAATCATCAGGGAAATGCAAACTAAAACCATGATGAGGTACCACCTTACTCCTTCAAGAATGGCCATGATTCAAAAGTCAAAAAATAAAAAAATATAATTTACAATGCATATCCATATGATCACCACCTAGATTCAATAATTAAGGTTCCATGTCTGTTTTATCTACCTATCTTTTTTGATGAACCATTTCAATGTAAGTTGTAAATATCATGATTCGTGACCCTTAAATACTTTAGCAAGCCTCTAAAAATAAGGACATTCTCTTACATAAATGCCAGTTATTTTCACACAATATCTTATCATACCTACAAAAATTAACAATAATTTCCTAATCCTTATATCATTTAATATCCAGTTAACATTCAAATTTCCTCAGGTGTCATCAATTGTCTTTTTTAATGTTTTATTTTGACAGCCAGGATCCAGTCAAGTTTAACTAATTGCATTTTTTAATGGAGATATTATTAACATACTAAAGAGTTCACCATTTAAAATAGAACAATTCAGTGGTTTTTAATATATTCACTAGATTGTGCAACCATCATCACTAATTCCAGAACATTTTCATTGCCCTGAAAAGGAAGCTTGCACCCATTAGCAGTCACTCCCCGCTCTCCCCTACTCCTGGTCACCAGCAACCACTAATTTACTTTCTGCCTTTATAGATTTGCCTATTCTGGACAATTCATAAAAATGGAATCATATAGTATGTGCCCTTTCATATCTGGCTTCTTTTGCTTAGCCATACTGTTCTCAAGATTCATCCACATTGTAGCATGTATCAGTACTTCCTTTTTAAATAGCCAAATAATATTCCATTGTATGGATATACCACATTTTGGTGATTCATGCAACATTTGATGGACATTTGGGTTGTTTCTAATTTTTGGTTTTTATGAGTAATGCTCCTATGAATATTCCTATACAAGTTTTTGTGTGGGCGTGTGTTTTCATTTCACTTGGGTATATACCTAGGAGTGAAATTGTTCAGTCATATAGTGACTCTATGTTTAACATTTTGAAGAACAGTTGAACTGTTTCTGCAATGGTTGCCCCATTTACATTACAACCAGAAACGTATGAGGGTTACAATTTCTCCAAATACTCATCAACACTTGTTATTGTCTATTTTTTTGTGTGTGTTAGAGCCATGTTAGTGGGCATGAGACGGTATCTTATTGTGGCTTTGATTTCAATTTCCCTGATGATTAATAATGTTGAATATCTTTTTGTAGTTTTTCACCATTTGTATATCTTCATTGAAGAAATGTTCATTCAGATATTTGCCATTTTTAATTGTGTTATCTTTCTTATGGAGTTGTAAGTGTTCCTTATATATTCTAGATAAAAGTGCTTCAGGAGATTTACGATTTACAAATATTTTCTTCCATTCTGTGGGTTGTCTTTTCATTTCTTGATAGTGCCCTTTGACACACACCCAAAAAAAGTAATTCAACTTATTGAGTTTTTTTCTTTGGTTGCTTTCACTTTTGGCATCATATTTAAGAAAATGATGCCTAGTCCAAACACAAAATATTGACCCCTATATTTTCTTCTGAGTTTCATTGTTTTAGCTATTACATTTAGGTCTTTGACCATTTCAAGTAAAGTTTTGTATATAAGACAGTGGTCAAAATTTATTCTTTTGCATGTGGATATCCAGTTGTCTCAGTACCATTTGTTGAAGAAACTGCTTTTCTCCTTTGAATGGTCTTGGACTCTCAATTCTGTTCCATTGACTGACATAGCTATCTATCCTTATGCCACTTGGTTACTGTCACTTTGTAGTAAGTTCTGAAACTGGGAATTATGAGTCTTCATTTTAGATCTTTTTCAAGATTGTTTTGCCTATCACGAGGCCCTGGTATTTCCATATGAATTTTAGGATCAACTTTTCCTTTTTTTTTTTTTTTTTTGAAAAAAAAGGCCATTGGAGGCTTTTGTTTGCTTGTTTGTTATGTTTTTGATACAGGGTATCACTTTGTCACCGAGGCTGGAGTGCAGTTGTTCACTGCAGCCTTTAACTCCTGGGTTCAAGTGACCTTCCACTTCAGCCTCCCAAGTATCTAGAACTACAGGTGTGTAACACCATGCCTGGCTAATTATTATTATTTTTTTGTAATTTTTTTGTAGAGACAGAGTCTCACAATGTTGTCCTGGCTGGTCTTGAACTCCTGGCCTCAAGTGATCCTCCTGCTTTGACCTCCCAAAGTGCTGGGATTACAGGCATGAGCCACTGCACCTAGTTAAAAAAGAGCATTAGAGTTTTGATGGGGATTGCATCGCATCTATAGGTCAATTTGAAGAGTGTTGCCATGTTAATGTTAAACCTTCCAATCCATGAACATAGGATGTCTTTTCACTTATTTAGGTTTTCTTTAATTTCTTCCAACAACGTTTTATTGTTTTTTTTGTGTACAACTCTTGCACTCCTTTGCTTAAAGTTATTCCCATGTATTTTATAATTTTTGATACCATTATAAAAGAAAATGATTTATTAATTTCATTTTCTGATTGTTTATTGCTAATTCATAGAAATATAATTGTTTTTCTGCTAATCTTATATCCTGCAACCTTGCTGAACTTATTTGTCTAACAGTTTTTTAGTGAATTCCTCAAGATTTTCTATATACAAGATTATGTTATTCGTCAATAGAAATAGTTTTACTTCTTTCTTTCCAATCTGGATACCCTTTATTTGTTTTTCTGGCCTAATTGCTATGGCCAGAATCCTCAGTACAATGTTTAATAAGAGTGGTGAGAGTAGACATTCATGTTTTGTTTCTGATCTTAAGGAGAAACTTTCAGTCTTCCATTATTAAGTATGATGTTAGCTGTGAGTTTTTCATCGGTGTGCTTCATCAGATTGAGGAACTTTCCTTCCCTCTCTTGTTTGTTGAATTTTTTTTATCATGGAGGAATGTTGGTCTTTTTCAAATGCTTTTTCTGTATCTATTGAGATAATGTGGGGTTTTCCCCTTTATTCAACTAATGTGATGTATTACATTAATTGATTTTCGTATGTTGAATCAATCTTGTATTCCTGAAATTAATGCCACTTGGTCATGGTGTATATTCCTTTTTATAAGCTGCAGGATTTAATTTGCTACTATTTTGTTGAGGATTTCTACATCTCTATTTATAAAGAATACTGGTCTATCATTTTCTTTTCTTGTGATGTCTGTCTGGTTTTGGTATCAGAGAGATACTGGCCTCACGGACTGGGTTAGGAAGCGTTCCCTCCTCTTCTGGTTTTGGAGGAGTTTGTGAATGAGTAGTGTTAACTCTTTAAATGTTTTGTAGAATTCACCAGTGAAGACTTCTTGTCCTGGGCTTTTTTTTAATTGTTAATTCGATATTTTTATATAAGTGTGTTCAGATTTATAATTTCTTCTTATGTCAACTTGATCTTCTGTGTAATTCATTGCATTTTGTTATGTCTCTTTAGAATCTTATGCCACAACAATACTCCCACATTTTCCACCCCAGGACATTGACTTTTAAAGACATCAGGTTGCCTTGTAGACCGTCTTGCATTCTGGATTTGTCTGATTGTTTCATCAAGCTGTCATTTAACATGTTCTTTGCTTTGTATTTACTATAACCTGAAAGTTACATATAATGTCTTGAGCAGAGTCAAATTTAACATTTTTATTGCCAATACTTGATTTTTTTAAAAAAAATTACATTTTGAAAATTGATAGATGAAGGTGAGAGCTCATGGTTAATTAGTGGTAAAATTGAATAGATTTTTAGACTTATTGGCCATTTGGGTTTCTTATTCCGTGAACTGTTGGCTTTTATTCTTTGCCTATCTTGCTATTGTGTTGATCATCTTTGTCTTATTGATTTGAAGGTGTTTATTATTATATTCTAGATAAAAATCTTATCCACATTTTTCATTTACTTCTTCAATTCACCTGAAATTTATTTTTGCAAATGGTATATTTTAGGCAAGAATGTTATTTATTTAAATGTATTTTTTAACTTATTTAAATCAATTTTATCTATTGTCCAGATAAAATGTATTGAATAGTCGGGCTTTTCATTGACTTGAGATGTCACTTTTATTATATACTAAATTCCCATATATACATGAATCAGTACTTTTTATTATGCCCTATTGATTTATTTTTGTCTAGTCATGTGAATACATTTTAATTACACAATGTATAATATGCTTTGATATCTGTAAGGGGAAGTATCTCATATATTTTTAAAATTGTCTTGGCTATTCTTGTACATTCACTTTTCTTTTGAATTTTAGAGTTCGCTTGTCAAACCTTAGGAAATATCTTTTTTATTATGTAGATTGTCATTGCATTCATCTTATAAGATTACTTTTGTGAGAATTTATATCCTTAACATAATGAGTCTTCCATCCATAAACAGGCCCTTTTTCATGTTGTTCAGTACATTTTTGTAGTTTTCTCCGTAAAAACTTTAACCATTTTTGGTCAGATTTATTCCTATTTATTTCAGAGCTTTTTTGCTGTTATAAATGATATTTGCTTTTCTATTACATTTTCCAATTGGTTATTATTGGTGTATAGGTAAACTATTAATTTTGCTTTGTGAACCTTATACTCAGTCACTTGTTTTTTTTTTAGAGACAGGGTCTTGCTTTGTTGCCCAGGCTAGAATACTGTGGCACAATCACGGCTCACTGCAGCCTTGACCTCTTGAGCTCAAGGGATCCACCTGCCTCAGCCTCCCGAGTAGCTGGGACTACAGGCACCCACCATAACACCCAGTTAATTTTTTAAATTTTTTTTGTAGAGACAGGGTCTCGCTATGTTGTCCCAGCTGAACTTGAACTTCTGGGCTCAACTGGTCCTCCTGCCTTGGCCTCTCAAATTGTTGGGATTACAGCTACGAGGAGTCACCACACTGAGCTCCCAGTCACTTTTAACAATGCACTAAGCTCTAAATAATTTGTCACTTCATTTTTAAACCTATTTTTTCTCTCTCATTGCATTGGCTAGGATATCTAGTACCACTGGAATAGTAATTGTTAATGATCACCCCTTTCTTCTATTTCATTTTAATGAGAATGTTTCTAAATTTTCATGATTAAAGTAGGTTTGCTGTAGGTTTCTAGTAGATAAGTTTATGAAGATAAGTTGGTCCTAATTTACTAGAAGATTTGTTAAACGTGAATGTATGGTATACTGTGTGTGGTACGTACAAACTTGAGACCAAATACCACATTTATTAGAAAATAATTCATAGGCAGCATGGGCCCCTGGGCTGAAGAGCACTGGCCTCAGTTGGACTGAACTCTGAGAAGATGGAATCTGCCAATTGAAGCCAGACATCTGTAGAATCTAGAAGTGAAGAATTTCCCAGAGAGAGGTCTCTGGGTATACCATACAACCTCAGGCTTACCAGGAAGTAGCATCTTGCTTGCAAGAAGAGAGGAAGAAAGGGCTGGCCTGGAGGGCGTCCAGGCTCAGCAGATCATATTCCTACTACAGACTGTTGCCTGCCCACCTGCCTGCCTGCCTACCTGCCTTAGGTTATGAAGCCAATTAGGAACAGAAGAGGATAAAGAACTGTGATTTGTTCCACTTTCCAACTCTCCATTAAACTGTAGAACCCATGGGTAAGGAAATTACTTTTTTTTTTTTTTTCTGCCTCAGAAGACAAAGAGCATTCCCTTGGAGATTGTCATCTTGTTTTTATGGAAGCCACTACCTAGAGTTGAATAGCTTTCCCCTTTCCATGCTATACTGTCAGCAGTGCCACATGACATCTTCAACTACTGCTACCTAAAAAAAAACTCTTACTTCCTACCCTAGCCTGGAATAACCAGTGGCTGAAGCCAAATGCCTAAGAGGTGCTTTCCTCAAAAGAATCTCTGTCTCCCACACTTCTGGGAAATAGGTGGAAAGCAGAATGAAACAAAGTGTTCCTTAGTCCAGTTGTAGTCAAATGGAAGAACTGAATATTTATAGACCTGGATTTCTTATACTAGCCCCTTCCCTCACTTGCTGTGTGAGTTGGGCCAAATCACCTAAACTCTCTGTGCCTCAGTGGGAGAGAGGACAAAAATACTATCTACCCCAAAATTCATTGCAATGATTGAAGAAGATTTGTATAAAATGCTTAGCAAAGAGTCTAGCAATTTAAGAGTTCACAAAATATTATTTGTTAAAATGCAAATGAATGAGATTGTGAGAATGCTCAGAGAGTGACAGGGAAGAAGAGCCCCATCTTATTCCATATCTATCTATCTCCAGTGACATGCAAGCAGATACTAAGTTATCTAAATCTAACTAAAGAGAACAAAGATTCCCCACAGATACCTTCAGTAGCCCCATGCTTTGGATTCAACCATCTCTTTTTATAGGGAAGGGCAGACACATGAAACTGGGCATTCATTGCAAAAGCAATGACTCCTTCGAGACCAGCCTGGCCAACATGGTGAAACCCTGTCTCTACTAAAAATACAAAAATTAGCTGGGTGCAGTGGGGGTCACCTGTAAGCTACTTGCTAGGCTGAGGCAGGATAATTGCTTGAACCCTATAGGAGAAGGTTACAGTAAGCCGAGATTGCGCCACTGCACTCCAGCCTGGGTGACAGAGACTGTCTCGAAAAAAAAAAAAAAAAATCAATGACTCCTTAAACATGGAAAGAAGCTCTATATTCCTCAATATTGAGGCCGCTGAAGAAAAATAATCAATGGATACCTCTACTGCTCAAGAAAGCTGGACTCCAAGACTAACTTGATTCAACCCCTGAATAACTACAAAATTATCCTGGTTTCCCAGGGATTTTATTAGCAAGAGGAACAGAACAATCAAGACTGATCTAGACTACAGACCCCTTTGTGTACCCTGAGCTATGCTACTCTGTTTACTAATATGAACATCAGAATGCCTTGATTGCTTAAAGGAGAAACTAGGTGTTATGTATAATTTGGGCTCTGACATGCTCCTACTTTAGACGAATAATTTCTTATTTGAAGAAAGAGGATGATACTGCGAATCATATATCTTTCCACAGGACTCGTTGAGGAAGAAAAGGAGATCATTTTATTTATTTACTTATTTTTTATTATTTTTAAGAATTTTAACTTTTATTTTAGATTCTGGGGGTACATGTGCAGGTTTGTTATCTGGGTATATTCTGTGATGTTGAGGTTTTGGGTACATTTGATCTCATCACCCAGGTAGTGAGCATAGTACCAAATAGTTGTCCAACCCTTGTGCCCCTCCCTCCCTCCCTCCCCCTCTAGTAGTCCCTAGTGTCTATTGCTGCCATCTTTATATCCATGAATACCTAATGTTCAGCTCCCACTTATAAGTAAAACCTGTGGTATTTGGTTTTCTATTCCTGAATTAATTCAATTAAATAATGGTCTCCAGCTGCATCCATGTTGCTGCAAAGGACATGATTTCATTCTTTTATATGGCTACATGGTATTCTATGGTGTATATGTATCACATTTTCTTTATCCAATCCACCATTGATGGGCACCTTGGTTGATTCCAAGTCTTTGCTATTGTGAATTGTGCTGTGATGAACATACAAGTGCATGTGTCTTTTTGGCAAAACAGTTATTTTCTTTTGGATATATACCCAGTAATGGGAGTGCTGGGTTGAATGGTAGTTCTGTTTTAAGTTCTTTGAGAAATCTTCAGACTGCTTTCTGCAGTGGCTGAACTAATTTACACTCCCACCAGCAATGTATAAGTGTTCCCTTTAAAGACTTTTGGTGGAGTCTTTAAGGTTGTCTAGGTATAGATTCATGAAGGTATAGCATTGTCCATGAAGATAGATAGTTCAACTTCTTATTTTTCTATTTGGATGCCTTTTATTTCTTTCTCTTGCCTAATTGCTCTGGCTAGGATTTCCAGTACTATGTTGAATAGGAGTGGTGAGAGTGAGCATCCTTGTTTTCTTTCAGTTCTCAAGGGGAATGCTTCCAGCATTTGTCCATTCAGTATGACATTGGCTATGGGTTTGTCTAGATGGCTCTTATTATTTTGAGGTATGTTCCTTTAATGCCTAGTTTGTTGTGGGTTTTTATCATGAAGGGATGTTGGATTTTACCTAATGCTTTTTCTGTGTCTATTAAGATGATCACGTTTTTTTTTTTGTTTTTCATTCTGTTTATGTGGTGAATCACATTTATTGATTTATGTCAAACCAACCTTGCATGCCAGGAATTAAGCCTATTTAAATGTGGTGAATTATCTTTTTGATGTGCTGCTGGATTCGGTTTGCTAGTATTTTGTTGAAGATTTTTGTGTCTATGTTTATCAGGGATATTGGCCTGTAGTTTTCTTTTTTGTTGTTCTGTCTTTGCTGGGTTTGGATATCAGGGTGATGTTTGCTTTGTAGAATGAATTAGGGAGGAGCCCCTCCTCTTCAATTTGTTTGAAATAGTTTCAGTAGAATTAGTATCAGCTCTTCTTTGGCTATCTGGTGGAATGTGGCTGAGAACTTATTTGGTAAGGGGCTCTTTTTGATTGGTAGGTTTTGAATTGCTAATTATGTTTCTGAACTTAATATTAATCTTTTCAGGGTTCCAATTTTTTTCCTGACTCAATCTTGGAAGATTGTGCATTGCCAGGAATTTATCCATTTAGTCTAGATTTTCTAGTTTGTGTGCATATAGGTGTCCATAGTAATCTCTGAGGATCTTTTGTATTTCTGCGGGATCAGTTGTAATGTCATCTTTGTCATTTCTGATCATACTCATTTAAGTCTTTTTCTTTCTTAATCTAACTAGCAGTGTATTGACGTTGTTTATTCTTTTGAAGAACCAACTTTTGGTTTCGTTTATTCCTTGTATGGATTTTTGTGTCACAATTTCATTCAGCTCTGCTCTGATTTTATTTATTTCTTTTCTTCTGGTAGCTTTGAGGTTAGTTTGTTCTTGTTTTTCTAGTTCCTCTAGGTGTGATGTCAGATCAGTAATTTGAGATCTTTCTAACTTTTTTAGGTAGTTGGTTAGCACTATCAACTTTCCTATTAACACTGCTTTTACTGCATCCCAGAGATTTTGGTATGTTTTGTGTCTGTTTTCATTTATTTCAAACAATCTTTTGATTTCTGCCTTAATTTCATTGTTTACTCAAAAATCATTCAGAAGCAAGCTGTTTAATTTTCACATAATTTAATTTTCACATAGTTGTGTGGTTTTGAGAGATTTTGGCATTGATTTTTATTTTGATTCCACTGTGGTCTGCAAGCATGGTTGGTATGATTTTGATTTTTTAAAAATTTATTGACACTTGCTATGGCCAAGCATGTGGTCCATCTTGGAGTATGTTCCATGTGCAGATGAGAAAAATGTATATTTTGTGGTTGGCAGGTGGAGAATTCTGTAAATGTCTATTAGGTCCAATATGTCAAGCGTTGAATTTAAGTCCAGAATTTCTTTGTTAGCTTTCTGCCTCAATAATCTGTCTAATGCTGTCAGTGGGGTGATAAAGTGCCCCACTGTTATTGCATGGCTGTCTAAATTGAGAAATAGATAATTTTAAAACAAAACAATAACAATAGTTGTACTGCAATAATGCTGCCATTTAATAAGCATATAGTCCGTATTGTGTCATTCAATTCTCTTAACAACTCTGTGAGATATGTACTATTAACTTGTCTATACAACATATGAGAAAATTGAAGCTGAGAGAGGTTAAATAACTTGCTCAGAGTCTCATACGTAATATTTTTAAGTTTCTATTGCTATTGCAAATGATATTTATTTTCCTATCATGTACCCTAATAAGTTGTTGATGATGTGTAGGAAAGGTATTGATTTTTGTAGTCTGATATTTCATTTAACCACCCTCCTGGACTTTTCATATTTGTTCTAATATTTTATCCGTTGACTACCTCAGATTTTTATATAGCCATATTGTTTGTGAATAACAAAAATTTTGTCTCTTGCTTTCGAATCCTTATTCTCTTATTTTTAAATTTATTTTATACCTTATTGCATTGGTTAGGACATCACCATGTTGAATAGTAAGTGGTAATAGTGGCCATCTTTATCTTGTTTCTCATTTTAATATTTTGTCAATAAGAACTACCAATAGCAATTCATATTTATTGAGTACTTTATATTGCCCGAGTAAGTGCCTTTATATATTTTATATCGTTTAATCCTTGCAACAATACTATGAGGAGTGTACTATTATTTTTCTCATTTTTTGTGGATGAGAAAAGTGAAGCTCAGAAAGAGTAAGCAATTTTCCAAGGTCACACAGCTTGGATGGAACCAAGATCCTAACTAAGGCAGTCTGACTCCAAAGCTTGTACTCATAATCAAAATTACCTCCTCAGAATTTTCACAAGATTTGTTGAGGAAGTTCTCTTCTAATCTTTATTGGCTATGGATTTTTAACATGGATGGACATAAAATTTTGTCAAATGTGTTTTCAACATCTGTTGAGATGATTATGTGATTTGTCTCTTAGTCTATAATTGTATTTAATTACTTTAATAAATTTGCTAATGTTAAACTATGCGTACATTCCTGAATAAACTCTACTTGATTATAGTGCATCATTTTAATAAGCTGCTAGATTCTATTTTTTCTAGAATTTTTATATTTATATTAATAAATAAGATTAGTCTATAATTTTCTTTTTCTTTCTTGTCCTGTCTGTCTGATTTGGAGGAGCCGTCCATCTTGTTGTACCCTCTGGAACTATTTCTATAAAATTAAAGTTGTCTGTGATTTGAAGGTTTGGAATTACCCATAAAATGTTTAGCCTTTCAATTTGTTCTATTATTTTTCTATGATTTTCTACTTTTTATTGGGTAAATTTTAGTAATTTTATTTTTCTAAAAATTTTCTCATTGAAACATATTAGTTTAAAATTCTATGTAGTATTATTTTATTTTTAATATTACCTTGGTACCTATATTTGTGTTCATATTTGGCTTCCTGGTGATATTTTTTCACCTTCTTCATTTTTTCATATTAGTATTTAATGAAGGTTTGACTCTTAAAAACAGTCTCGTTTTATGGATCATCTATAATTTATTTGTTTTCTATTTAACAGTTTTCTGTTTTTATCTTAATCTCTCCCTTCCAATTCCCATAGGCTTGTTTTATTTTTATTTTAGCTTTCAAGACAGAGTCTGGCTCTGTTGCCCAGGCTGGAGTGCAGTGGTGCAGTCATGGCTCACTGCAACCTCTGTCTCCTGGGCTCAAGCAATCCTCCCACCTCAGCCACCTGAGTAGCTGAGATCACAGGTGTGTGCCACCACGCTGGCTAATTTTTGTATATTTTTTGATAGAGACTGGTTTTTGCCATGTTGCTTAGGCTGGTCTTGAACTCCTGGGTTCAAACAATCTGCCCACCTCGGCCTCCCAAAGTGCTGGGATTGCAGGCGTGAGCCACTGTGCCCGACCCATGGGTCTATCTTACTGTGCTGTTTTGTAAAACTAACACCTGGACTTGATAGCTTAGTTCGTTGACTTTTCATTTGTTTATAATTTCTAATATGTGAATTTAAGGCCATGTTTTTCTCTGAATATTGCTTTACCTGCATCTAACAGACTTGGATATATACTTCACTCATCATCTTTGATTGCTAAAGCATTTGCAATATCAATTTAAGTTCATCTTCAATTCAAGAGTTATTTAAAAGTGTGTTTATGTTTTTAATTTATAGATATATATTGCGTTGAGCTTGTGTAATGGGAGTGGGGTAGTTGGTTATCACTTTACTGCTGATTTCTAATTACATTTCAGTCCTGCATAGCTGATTTCTGAGCCCGTATTCTCAATCGATACAAATGGTAATAGTCTGTCGCAGTGTGTGCCTCTATTTCCCAATCTAGAGGCAGTGTGATGTTGGCTTTTTTATATTCAGCACCACCTGAGAGTGAGCATTTAAGGATGTGAGAAATGAGACTTAATGTCAGTTCTCAGGAGTCAGTTGGTCCACTTAGAGACATGTAGTCCCTTTCTTACAGACCCCTCTTCACGTTTGGAAAGAAGGTGTTTGTCTTATGAGCCCTCTTTGTCAGTCAGGACACATCATGTTGACTTATCTAATCCTACTGGTTTGTAGCTACACTTCGGTTTCTGGGTAGTTGGTTATGGGCATATCCCATAGGTTGTGTGGCACTGAGGAAGTAGAATATTCAAAGTCCTGTCCTGGAGAAAAAACAATCCATCTGTCCATGGAGGCTAAGAGTTCTAGTTAGTTTTTCTTCCAGTTAACTCCACTGCCTTCTTGCTCTTCAAACCTACTGTTTCTAACAAAGAGGATGATGTATATATTACCTTCTATATTACTATATATTTAGATATTCTTAGCAAGATACAAACAATACAAAATATGTATTTGTCTTGCTTAGCAGTCTAGATGAATGCTTCATCTCCCTTGGTGCCTCATCTGTAGGAACACAGTATCATTGCCTTGTGACACAAGTCTGTATCTCGTATCTCATATCTCAGAACAGGGGCCTCCTTTAGACTGCTTTCATGGTCTCTATCTCCTCCCACTGCTACTGGCAATACCTTTACTGACACCTCACACATACATCCTGAGAATAGTGGGGTTTAATTTGTTTTCCAAATGAATAGGGTTGTCCCCTCCCCCAAGTGGACTCCAGAACAGTGTTTCCTTTCTGTGACACTTCCATTGTTTTTAATGTTCTTACTTCCTTGACGACCCTTAATTGGGGTCTTTTGCAGACTGAGACTGACTGCCTTTTTCATTTTCTCTTCTGTATCACTAATGACAGTGCAGAATAAAGTGGTACCTAACATTGTGTTCTGCTAACCTTTCTGCCAGATAGCCCTATGCATTGCATTATCTATTAGTTTTTTTCTGTTTTATGGTCAATTTTCTACCCATTCAAGCCACTAAAAAATGATTTTCCATTATATGGGTACAAGGTAATCCTGAGACAAAACAAACAAACAAACAAACAAACAACAACAACAAAAAACAGACCTTCAGCTGTGATTCCAGGGTAGGGTAGTTGCACCAACCCACAGCTGTTATGAAGCCCCTATCTTTATATAGCTGAATTTGATCATTTATATGGACAACAGCTGAATTTGATCATTTATATGGACAACAGCTGAATTTGATCATTTATATGGACAATGCAGGTTAGTCTTCAACTGTGTATGCTTCCAGTGAGGTTACTTGTACTCTGTGATTCAAAAAGTTCTGGTCATTTGTCTAGGCCACAGCATTCCTCAAAAAGAGACATGATACCTTTCTAAGGCTGAGCCACATTTGCTGTAGAAAAATCTTTGCAATTCCTTTGCAGCAGGGAAATTTTTGCAACTCAAGATGAAGTGGGGCAGGGCGAGAAGGCTTCTTTGACTGCAAAAGTATCTGAAACGAAGGGTAAGGCCTTTGTGTACTTGTAGTCATCATTATACTTCATGAATAGCTCTTTCAAATGAATCATATTAATAGATCTCTTAGAACTGGAAGGGACTTTGAGGCTACCTGATGTAGTTCCCTTCTTTCAGCTGAGAACGATATTTCTTTAATCTCCATTTTATAGGTGAGGCAACTGAGTTCCACAAAAACAATGCCATTCTGTAGTCTCAGGTTCACCTGAAAACATTGCATTTGACTCTGCCACTGTTCATACTTAGCCCACCTTTTGATAGTCTGTCTTATTCACTGCTTTGAGCTCATGATGCTCTCCAAAGAGCCCAACCAGGTTGTTACATGCTGTGCCCCTGGTAGGGAGAATTTTCATACCTGACTCCCATAATTGAGGGCAGATATGACACATTCCTGTTTGCCGATAGAGAATTGTATCCTTTAATGAAGCAATACTTTCCTGAGCCTCTGGAGCTGCATGTGGTTCTTTCACATGCAACCTGTCATTTTTCCAACCCTTTGATGTATTAAAATATTGTTTCCAGTGATATTTCACAGTGCACATGTAATTATCAGGTATTGGACTCTAGAATTTGTGTAAGTTGTCCCATCTAATGGGACAGTCTATTCCTTGCTTACACCATTCAGCTGGATGCTAAAACTGTTTTGGGAATTTTCACCTACACCCTTGACAAGACTAGTTCAGTAAGGCCATATTTGGTCTTTGGAAACAGAAAGAACTGGATTCAAACCTTTTCTCCACTATGAAACAGTGACCACATAAGTAGCTGTGTTACCTAGGAAACATCACTTTAAGCATTCTGTGCCTAAATTTCCTTATCTTTAATGGAATATTAGTAATGTATGTCTCATGGGTTTGTTGAGAGAATAGAGATAATGTACATATGGAATTTAGCTCACATAATGACTACCACATGTAAGGATTTAATACACTATTATTATTGTTCTCCTCCTCCTCGTCATCATCTCTCTATATTTCAGAGTTGCTATAAGATTCTTAAACAAAATGGTGTAAACTATATAGCAGTTTCTCATCTCTAGTAGAGTCTCAAAAATAGCAACTCTTATGAGTATAGTTAATTAAAGCACTGGAAATATTAAATGAAGCTGTCACATTTCTTGAACATGGCTTATTTGGTCACACAGGTGGTTTATCTTGAACAAATAGTACTGTTCAAATTTTCTAATTCAAGTCCACATGTTCCAGCCAGAGAGTAGAGTGGTAAACATCATAGAATCCTTTAGAAATTGATACTTTCTCTGAATTTTCCCATTAAGTTTCTCAGTTTTCTAAATACAAGACTAAAACACACTCCCAGAAAATAATTTCATTTGAGTGTAGAACTGTGACAAATGATATCACCAAGGTAGCTAACAAACAGATACACATAATTTTCAAGGCAAGATTTCTAGATGTTCTCTGGTTACTTGGTCTTAATTATCCTTTGATGTCAGCAACCATCTGCTCACCCTTTCACATACATAATTACCCAGCCAAACTTGTACACTGTACTGGAAATTTCAAGGGGTTAAGATTAAGAAAGACCTTGATTCTACTTGCAATCTCCACTACTTGCTAGCTCTATGTCCTTGGCCAAGTCTCCTAATGTGTCTGAATATCAGTTTTCATATCTACGAAATTGCTATAAAAATCATTTCCCAACCACTTATCCAAAATCCTTGGTGCCAAATAAGTTTTATAATTCAAGTTTTGTGGGCTTTTTATTTTAAAAATACTGCATGTTGCATAACACCTTCAGTGGGACAGAACCCGGTAATCAATCACATCAATATTTCTGCAACAAAGCATATGAATAGTTACACTGAGAGTGCCTCATGTCAATTCACAACAAGTTTTGTCACCAGGCAAGTTTTAGCAACAAACTTATGAAAAACTGTTTGGTCTTCAGAGCTTTCTAGAGTTTGTAATTATTAATGGTGGACTGAAACTTGTATCTGATCACATGAGATTGTTCTAGGGATTACATGAAATGCATTATGTGTAGCAGGGGTCCTGATGAGAGTGAATTGATATTCTGACACATCTGGGTATGTGAAGACCCCCATATGTTTATTTTCTTGAGATAATCTGCAGAAGGCAAAAGGCTTTATGCAGAGGAGGGCTGTGTCAGAAACTGAATTTGTAGGGATGGAGGAGCAATCTGATAAGATATGATGGTGTTTGTTCTCCAAGGACAGTAACCAAGTTTGAAAGTCTGAGCTAGGGTGGTGGGAGTGGGTTGTTGGGGAGATGTTGCTGCAGTAAGAAGCTGAAGATGTTTTTCTCACAGGAGCCTCACTCAGATACAGGTTAGAAGCAATATTGTTTCAGTGTCCAGGTGACAAAATTATAGCACAGAACTGAAAGGGGCATTCCTACCCTTCTATGTAGACCCATTGTTGGTTTCAGACAAAGCTGCCAGAAAAGAGGGCAGCACCATTTAAGCCCCTCAGGGATGTGTAGCTGGGAGCACTTCAGAATCCATACTCCCCCACAGTCTAGCGGGGGCCTCCATGTTCCCACAGCCACAGGTACTAGTACCATCAGTAGCTGGACTGGGTTGGAGGGGCTACCACTATCTTTCATTAGAAACACAAGCTCTGTCTAGTGAAAATGGACACATAACATACCAAAACTTATGGAATGCAGCAACGTTCCCTATTAAGAGGGAAGCTGATAGTAGAAAATGCCTACATCAAAAAAGAAGATCTTAAATAAATAACCTAACATTACACCTCAGGGAACTAGAAAAAAGAACAAACTAGGCCCAAAGTTGGTAGAAGGAAAGAAATAATAAAAATCAGTACAGATACAAATGAAATGGAGAATAGAAAGTCAGTAGAAAAGATCAATAAAAGTAGGAGTGGTTTTTGAAAAGGTATACAAAATTGGCAAATGTTTAGCTAGACTAAGAACAAAGGAGAGAAGACTGAAAATCAGAAATGAAAGAACACATTGCAACTGATGACTAAATAAAAACAAATGATCATAAGAATCTACTATGAAGTTATATGCCAATAAATTAGATAACCTAGAAAAATGGATACATTACTAGATACATATAATCTACAAATGTTAAATCATGAAGAAATAGAAAATATGAACAGACAAATGGTGAGTAAAGACATTGAATAAGAAATAAATAGTCCCACATCAAGGAAACGCTCATGGTCTGATGCCTTCACTGCTAAATTCCACCAATATTTAGAGAACTAATACCAATTCTTCTGAAACTCTTTCAAGAAATCTAAGAAGAGGGAATACTTCCAAACTCATTTTATGAGGCCAGAATTACCTTGATACCAAAAACTGACAAAGACATAACAACAATAAAAAATTAACTGCAGGTCAATACCCCTGATGAACATAGATGTAAAAATCTTCAACAAAATACTAGCAAGATAAATTCAACAGCACATTAAAAATAACATTCTTTATGATCAAAAAGGATTTATCTCTGGGGTGCTAGAATAGTTTTACATACACAAATTAATAAATGTGATGCACCAATTAAAAGAATAAAGGACAAAAACCATATGATCATTTCAATAGATACAGAAAAAGCATTTGACAAAATTCAACATTCTTTCATTATAAAAACTCTAAATACATTAGGTTTAGAAGGCACTATGATTTGGATATTTGTCCCCTCCAAACCTCATGTTGAAATATGATTCCCAGTGTTAGAGGTGGGGGCCTGTTGGGAGGTTATTGGATCATGGGGGATGATCCCTCATGAATGGCTTAGCACCAACCCTTTGGTGATAAACGAGTTCTTGCTCAGTTAGTTCATGTGAGATCTGGTTGTTTGAAAGAGTCTGAGATCTCTCCCCTTGCTCTCTTGTTCTCACTCTTGCCATGTGTCATGCATGTTCCCCATTCATCTTCTGCCACGATTATAAGCTTCCTCAGGCCCTCACCCAGAAGCTGAGCAGATGTTGGTGCCATGCTTTACAGGCTGCAGAACCGTGAACTAATAAACCATTCTTTACAAATTACCCGGCCCCAGGTATTCCTTTATAGCAATGCAAAAATAGCCTAATACAGAAATTTGATACCAAGGAGTTGCTGTAAAGATACCTGAAAATGTGGAAGCAGCTTTGGAACTGGGTAACAGATAAAGGTTGAAAAATTTGAATGTTGCAGAAGAAGACAGAAAGATTAGGGAAATTTTGGAACTTCTTAGAGACTCATTAAATGGTTGTGACCAAAATGCTGATGGAGATGTGGGTAGTGAAGTCCAGGCTGATGAGGTCTCAGATGTAAATGAGGAATTTATTGGGAGCTGGAGTAAAGATCATTCGTATTATGCCCTAGCAAAGAATTAGGCTGGATTGTGTTCATGCCCTAGGGGTCTGTGTGTGTTTGAACCCAAGAGTGATGACTTTGGGTATCTGGTGGAAGGAATTTCTAAGCAGCAAAGTGTTTAAGAGATGGCCAGGCAGCTTATAACATCCTACAATCAGATACAGGAGCAACGAAATGACTTAAAGTTGGAACTCATATTTAAAAGGGAAGCAGAGAAAAAAAATGAAAAACTTGAAGCCTAGCCATGTCACAAAGAAGGAAAAGGTATTTTCAGGAGTGGAATTCAAACAGGCTGTGGAGCAATTTAGATTATCACAACTAAAAGGGAGCCAAGTGCCAGTGTCCAAGATAATGGGGAAAAGGCCTTGAAGGCATTTCAGAAGTCTTTGGGACAGCTCCTCCCATCACAGGCCCAGAGGCTTAAGAGTAAAGAATGGCTTCATGGGCCAGGCCCAGAGTGCCAATGCCCCGTGACACCTCAGGAGGCTGCTTCTTGCATCCCTACTGCTCCAGCTCCAGCTGTGGTTCAAAGGGCCCTAGATACAGCTCGGACCACTGCTTCAGAGGGCACAAGCTGTAAGCCTTGGCAGCTTCCATGTGATGTTCAGTCTGCAGGTACACAGAATGCAAGAGTGAAGGAGGCTTGGTGACTTCCACCTAGATTTCAGAGGATGTATGGGAAAACCTGAACAACCAGGCAACAGCCTGCTGCAGTAGCAGATTCCCTGACAGAGAGCCTCTACTATGGCAGCACCAAGAGGAAATGTGAGGTTGCAGCCCACACTCAGAGCCCCAACCAGGTACTGCCTGGTGGAGCTGTAGGAAGGGGGTTGCTGCCCTCCATACACAAGAATAGTTGAGCCAGCAGCAACTCGCATCCTCAGCCTAGAAGAGCCACAAGCACTGGACTCCAACCCATCAGAGCAGCTACATAGTCTGCATCTAGCAAAGCCACAGAAATGAAACTGCCCAAAACCTTGGGAGCCCATCCCTCATACCAGTGTGCCCTGGCTGGTGGACATGGAGTCAAGGGAGAATATTTTGGAGCTTTAAGATTTAGTGACTACCCTTCTGGGTTTAGACTTGCATGGGGCCTATTGCCCTTTCCTTCTAGCCAATTTCTCCATTTTGTAATGAAAATGTCTGGTCAATGCCTATACCGCCATTGTACCTTGGGAGTGAATAAGTTGTTTTTTTTATCTCACAGGCTCATAGGTCTCCAGATGAGACTTTGGACTTTGGAGTTGGGACTTTTGAATTAATGCTGGTATGAGTTAAGTCTTGGGGGGACTATTGCAAAGGCATGATTGTATTTTGAAATGTGAGAAGGATGTGAGATTTGAGGGGCCAGGGGCAGAATTATATGGTTTGGATATTCGTCCCCTCCAAATCTCAAGTTGAAATGTGATTCCAATGTTGGAGGTGAGACCTGTTGGGAGGTGACTGAATCAGAGGGGATGATCTCTCATGAATGGCTTAGCACCATACTCTAAGAGAAAAGTGAATTATTGTGCAATTCATACACGTAAGATCTGGTTGTTTAAAACAGGCTGTGTCCTCCCCGCTTGCTCTCTTGTTTCCAGCTCTTGTGATATGATGTGTCTGCTTCCCCTTTGCCTTCTGCCATGATTGTAAGCTTCCTGAAGCCTCACCAAGAGCAGATGCCAGTACCATATTTCCTGCACAGCCTATAGAACTGTGAGCCAAAATAACCCTCTTTTCTTTATAAATTACCCAGTCTCAGGTATTTCTTGATAGTAACACAAGTGAACTAACACAGAAGGAATGTATTCAACACAATGAAGGTCATGTATGACAAACCCATAGCTAACATCATACTTAGCAGTGAAAAGTTGAAAGCTCTTTGTTTACAATCAAGAACAAGACAAGGATGTCCACTCTTGCCACTTCTGCTCAACCTAGTACTGGAATTCCTAGCCAGAGTGATTAGGCAAGAGAAAGAAATAAAAGGCATCCCATTCAGAAAGGAAGAAGTTTAAATGGTTTCTGTTTGCAAATGACATAATCTTATATATAGAAAATCCCAGAAACTCCACCAAAAAAAACTCTTGGAAATTATAAATTCAGTAAGGTTGCAAAATGTAGTACTGCTACTATACACTAATAATGAACTATCCCCCCCCAAAAAATCAAGAAAACAGTCTCTTTTATAATAGCATTAAATAACAAATAAGATATACTATTTAGGAATAAAGACCAAGGAGGTGAGAGATCGCTACACTGAAAACTATAAAATATTGATGAAAGAAATTGGAGAAGATACAAATAAATGGCAAGATGTTCCATATACATGGATTGGAAAAACTAATATTGTTAAAATGTCCATACTACCCAAAGCAATCCACAGATTCAATAAAATCCCTATCAAAATTCCAATGATATTTTTTCACAAAAATAGAAAAACAATCCTAATATTTGTGTGGAGACACAAAAGAGCCTAAAGGACCAAAGAAATCTTGAGTGAAAAGAACAAAGCTGTAGGCAATACAATGCCTGTCTTCAAAATATATCACAAAACTCTATTAATCAAAACAGCATGGTACTGGCATAAGAATAGATATATAGACCAATGGAACAGAATGAACAGCCAAGCAATAGACCCACACATTTAAGGTAAATTGATTTTTGACAAAGATGCCAAGACCACACAATGGGGAAAGAACAGTCTCCTTAATAAATGGTGCGGGCATAACTTGATATCCACAGGCAGAAGAATAAAATTAGAAGCTTCACTCATAATATACACAAAGACTAAGTCAAAATGGGTTGAAGACTTAAATATAATACTTGAAACTGTAAAACTACTAGAAGAGAATATAGGGAAAAACCTCTGTGACATTGATCTGGGCAATGATATTTGACCTATGACCCCAAAAGCACAGACAACTAAAGCGAAATTAGACAAATGGGATTACATCAAGCTAAAAATTTCTGCATAGCAAGGGAAACAACACAGTGACGAGACACCCTATGGAACGGGATAAAATATTTGAAAACCATGCATCTGATGAGGGATTAATATCCAAAATGTATAAGAAACTCAAACAACTCAATAGCAAGAAAACAAATAACCCAATTAAAAAATGGAAAAAGGACCTGAATTGAATTGACATTTCTCAAAACAAGACATGCAAATAGCCAACAAGTATATGAAAAAAGCTCAACATCACTAATCAACAGGGAAATACAAATTAAAACCACAATGAGATATCACCTCATACTTGTTAGAATGACTATTATCAAAAATATGGAAGATAAGTTTTGGTGAGGATGTGGAGAAAGGGGAGCCTATGTAAGGCACACCTTCTTTTATTGTACTTTGTTTAATTGTGCTTTGCAGCTATCATAGTTTTTTTTTTGTTTTGTTTTGTTTTTTTTTTTTTACAAATTGAAGGTTTGTGGCAACACTGCATACATCAAGTCATTCAGCATCATTTTCCAACAGCATCTTCTCACTTCACATCTCTGTGTCACACATTGGTAATTCTCACAATATTTCAAACTTTTTCATTATTCTTATATCTATTATATTGATCTATGATCAGTGATACTACTATTGTAATTGTTTTGAGGCACCATGAACTATGCCCATATAAGATGGCAAACATAATCAAGAAATGTTGTGTATGTTCTGACTGCTCCACCAACCAGCTGTCCTCCCATCTCTCTCCTTCTCCCTCTCCTAAGCCCTGCCTATTTTCTGAGACACAACAATATTGAAATTAGGCCAATTAATAACCCCAAAACAGTCTCTAAGCATTCAAGTGAAAGGAAGAGCCGCATGTCTCTCCCTTTAAATAAAAAACTAGAAATGATTAAGCTTAGTGAGAAAGGCATATTGAAAGCCAAGATAGACCTAAGCTAGGCCTCTTGTACCAGTTATCCAAGTTATGAATGCAAAGTAAAAGTTCCTGAGGGAAACTAAAAGTGCTACTCCAGTGAACACATGAATGATGAGAAAACAAAACAGACTTATTGCTAATATGGGCAAAGTTTGAGTGGTCTAGGTAAAATGTCAAACCAGCTACAACATTCCCTTTAGCAAAAGCCTAATCCAGAGCAAGGCCTAACTTTCTTCAATTGTATGAAGGCTGAGAGAGGTTAGTAAAGTGCCAAAGAAAAGTTTGAAGCTAGCAGTGATTAGTTCACGAGATTTAAGGAAAAACGCCATCTCCATAACATGAAACTGCAAGGTGAAACAGCAAGTACTGAAGGAGAAGCTGCAGCAAGTTACCCAAAAGAGCTAGCTAAGATCATTGATGAAGATGGCTACACTAAACAATGAATTTTCAATATAACAAAACAGCCCTCTATTGGGAGAAGATGCCATCTAAGGACTTTCATAGCTAGAGAAGTAAATGTCTGGCTTCAAAGATTCAAAGGACAGGCTGACTCTTGTTAGAGGCTAACGCAACCAGTGACTAAGTTGAAGCTAATGTTCATTTACCATTCTGAAAATCCTAGGGCCCTTAAGAATTATGCTAAATCTACTCTGATTATGCTCCATAAATGAAAGAACAAAGCCTGGATGACAGCACATCTCTTTACAGCATGATTTACTGGATATTTTAAGCCCACTGTTTAGATACACTGCTCAGAAAATGATTCCTTTCAACATATTACTGTTTGCTGACAATACACCTGGTCACTCAAATGTTCTGATGGAGATGTACAAGGAGATTAATGTTGTTTTCATGCCTGCTAACACAACATCTCTTCTGCAGCCCATGGATCAATGGGAAATTTTGACTTTCAAGTCTTACTGTTTAAGAAATACATTTTATAAGGTTATAACTGCCATGGATAGCAATTCTTCTGATCAGTCTGGACAAAGTAAATTGAAAACCTTCTGGAAAATATTCACCATTCTAGATGCCGTTAAGAACATTTGTTATTCATGGGAGGATATTTAAATATCAGTATTAACAGGAGTTTGGAAGAAGTTGATTCCAACCCTCTTAGATGACTTTGATTAGGTTTAAGACTTCAGCAGAGAAAGTCAGTGCAGATGTGGTAGAATAGCAAAAGAACTAGAATTAGAAATGGAGCCTGAAAATGTGACTGAATTGCTTCAATCTCATGATAAAAATTAAACAGATGAGGAATTGCTTCTTATGGATGAGCAAAGAAAGTGGTTTCTCAAGATGGAAAGTACTCCTGGTGAAGATGTTGTGAAGATTGTTAAAATAACAAAGGATTTGGGATATTACATGAACTTAGTTGATAAAGCATCAGCAGGGTTGGAGATCATTGACTTCAATTTTGAAAGAGTTCTGCTGTGGATAAAATGTTATCAAACAGCATCTCATGCTACAGAGAAATCTTTCACGAAAGGAAGAGCCCATTGATGTGGCAAACTTCTCTGTTGCCTTATTTTAAGAAATTTCCACAGCCCCCCAATCTACAGCAACCACCACCCTGATCAGTCAGCAGCCATCAACATGCAGGTAGGACCCTCCATCAGCAAAAAGATTATGAGTCACTGAAAGCTCAGATGATCGATAACATTGTTTTTAACAACAAAGTACTTTTAAATTAAGCTATGTATATTGTTCTTTAGACATAATACTATTGCATACTTAGTAGACTGTAGTATTATGCAAATGTAACTTTCATATGCACTGAGAATCCAAAACATTTGTATGAATCACTTCATTGCAATATTTGCTTTAATTGAAGTGGTCTGGAACCAAACCGTCAATATCTCCAAAGTATACCTGTACACTGTTGGTAGGAATGTAAATTAGTACAACCATTATGAGAAACAGTATGGAGGGTCCACAAAAAGTTAGAAATAGAACCACTATATGATCCAACCATCCCAGTACTGGGTATATATTTAAAGGAAATGAATAAATATGTTGAGGATATAGCTGAATTCCCATTATGTGCAGCATTATTCACGGTAGTCAAGATATGAAATTAGCCTACGTGTCCATCAATGGATGACTGGATAAAGAAAATGTAGTATATATACACTATGGAATACTATTCAGCCTTAAAAAGGAAGGTATTCCTGTCATTTGTGACAACATGGATGAACCTGGAGGACATTATATTAAAGGAAAGATGCCAGGGACAGAAAGACAAATGCTACATGATCTCACTTATATGTGGAATTTTAAAAAGTTGCTTAACTCAGAAGCAGAAAGTAGAATAGTGGTTACCAGAACCGGGGGGCAAGGACTGGGGAGATGTTGGTCAAAGGGTATAAAGTTTCAGTTAGATAGGAGAAATAAATTCAAGAGATCTACTGAACAACATGGTGACTGTAGTTAATAAGAACATATTGTATTCTTAAAAATTGCTGGCCAGGTACGGTGGCTCATGCCTGTAATTCCAGCACTTTGGGAAGCCAAGTGAGGTGGATCGCTTCAGCATTCAAACTCTTGAGCTCAAGAGTTAGAGACTAGCCTGGGCAACATGGCAAAACCCCATCTCTACAAAAAAATACAAAAATTCACCAGGCGTGGTGGCACATGCCTGTACTCCCAGCTACAGGCAGAAGTGGGAGGATCGCTTGAACACAGGAGGTTGAGATTTCAGTGAGCTGTGAATGAAACACTGCATTCCAGCCTGGGTGACAGATTGAGACCCTGTCACAGGGTCTCAATAGCAAGAGAACTAGAATTAGAAATGGAGCCTGAAAAATGTGACTGAATTTGAAAGAAAATTGCTAAGACAGTAGATTTTTAACTGTTCTTACTATAAAAAAAAGATAAGCATATGAGGTAATGCATATTTTAATTAGGTCAGTTTAGCCACTCTACAATGTATACATGTTTCAAAACATCATGTTGTACAGAATATATGCAATTATTTATCAATTAAATATATATGTTATATGTTATATATGTCATCTAGAATTTTTCCTGACAGATGATAGACATTTAGCAATGTTTTTAAATGGATGATATTCTCCTGTATATTTTTCTCCTCCTTCCTTGATACCTGACTGTGAGTTTCTTAAAGGCAAGGAGCATGGATATAGTTCTAGCTTTGTATCTTCTATGTCTAGCATGCTTCTTGACACACAATAGGTGTTCAAAAATAAAAGGTTGTTCATTGCATTTAATTGATTTTACATTTTAAAATTGATAATACATTTTAAAGACAAAAAATAAGTCATAAAAATAAGACCATCACAATGAAAAATTACGAAGAAAATAAAATTAAAAAAAATGAAAGTTCCTTAATAAGAGGAAGGCTTTTGGCTGTCGTGGTCCCCTCTGGATCCCCAGTAACTGAGCAACTGCTTGTGACTAAGAAACGTTTGTTGATCGAATTTGTTGGCAGTTGACATTCACGAAGAGAGTGAGAGTGGAAGAACAATATGAAAGGACTGTTCCTGACAACTATTAGAAATAACTGGGTAGAGCTTAAGGGGGACTGAGGCTCTCTATTACATAGGTGGGGATACAAGTCAGTGAAATTTGAGTTATGAAAGTGCATGCCATTTCATTTGTAATCAAGGTGAGGTATGGCCTGAGGAAACTTGAGGCCTAACACTTTATAAAGGTTCAAAAATGTCTTCTGTTGAGTTCTGGGTATTAGATAGCTAAGCTTCATGTAGACACCAAGTGGGTCTTGGAAAGTTTCTCATTATAAAGAAGACCTTGGGGGTGGGGTAAGTGTGGACAAACAAGGGCTTATTCTGGCAAGTTCTCATTGGGCTTAGTTGCTCCATTTGATCTTTGTGATGTTACTTTGGAAGAAGAAAGGGGCAATAGTCATTGGTTGGGAAAACAGGAAAAAGGAAACCAGTTTTACTTGGATTATTACTATTAAGGTGAATTCATTTGCACCCATGCCCTGGCTAAGCATGGGGAAATGCAAGTGATATATGTCAACTATCTAGAATTTTTCCTGACAGATGATAGACATTTAGCAATGTTTTTTAAACTGATGATATTCTCCTGTATATTTTTCTCCTCCTTCCTTGATACCTAACCATGAGTTTCTTAAAGTCAAGGAGCACGGATATAGTTCTAGCTTTGTATCTTCTATGTCTAGCATGCTTCTTGACACACAATAGATGTTCGAAAATAAAAGGTTGTTCATTGCATGAGACATGTTGATGATTAGGATATGGATTATTATATGCAAATTAGTGCCAAAGAAATATTTAAAAGAAATTATTTTCTCCCAAGGTGATTTAATCCCATCTGATATGAACACTAATAATTTGCTTAGCTAACAGTTTTTTGTTTGAAACGCAAAAGGTAAGTTTATTCCACCCTAGGTCTGGGATTATTACAAAACTGAGTTGGCTAGATCCAAATGAATGTGGTTTTCCTGTTTGGTTTTCTTGTCATGGCTTTTTACTTTCCTTTCCCATAAATCAAAATACAGCACAGAAAGTCTTTTTCTTCATAAGATTTGGTATGCCATGGCTACTGGTTTCAGTTGGCTCACATTTCCTAAGTAATCCCTTACCTCATTCTGGTTCATGGCTATTTTTAATAAGGCCTTCATGACTTGCTGCTCTCCTAAATTAGTTTATTCATTTGTCTGCAACTTGACTTTAAAAAGGCTCCACTTGAGGAGGCTCAAATCATTATTCATTCCATATCCTCTCTCACTTATGACAAGGCTAGATTTTGTTCCCTTTCTCTGTTCCCAGATTTATTCATATGAACCCTCTCTGTTCCTTAACCTCTTCTTTAAGTGGAACATTTCCTCCTTTCCTTTGCCACCTGAAATATGCTCTAAACATTCGAACTGATGAATTATATTCTTGTTTGTGTCCTTCCTTCTTCCTCTATTTTCATCTCAGCCATTTCTTGGCCTCTTTGATCTACTGCTACAAATAAGACATTGTCTCTGAATGTTTCATTCTGGAAGGTGCAGCTCTATGCTCTTCACAGTAAGCAAGGGAGAGATTCTCCACTCATGCAGTACCTACAATTGCTCTACGCTTTCCCCATTGCATGAACCAACTCTTTTCTTTCTACAGCATGACTTTCACTTGGTTCACAAATACTGCATGCCTTTTGGTGCTTGGCAGAGTGCTAGGCATTGAACAGAGAGTGGTGATCGTGGCCTTGCCAGCAAGCACTGATCTTATTTATTTAGTTTATGGACAGTCAACTCTTTCAACCATGCTATGGATAAAAGCAGTTTCAAAATTATTTTTATCTTTTTGATTGCAGATGTACTCATCCTGATTAATCATACATTAAAAATTACTTTGCATTTCTTGCGGTATAAAATTCAACAACCCTATAGTGTGCTGGAGAACTGACTGGCTGGTCCATTCAAATGTGTTCATGGAATATCCACAGGGGGCCATACAATGTTTGTCCTATTTTTCTTGCACACACATTTCTATTGCTTCCTGTATTAGCTATCTTTGTAGGCATCTGGAGGGCAAGGGCCAGGTCTATTTGACGTGAATTGTAGGGAAACTAGGTCAGAGGCACATCACTCTTTTGTGAATGTGTTATATATTCAACAGATTATTGATTTACTGGATTTAATGGATTTTCTTTTCTCTGTGCTTTATAAGGAAAGAAGTAACTGTTAAATGAAACAAAATAAGCACAGGCTATAAATGTTTAGCCCTAACTGTGAGGAGGGTTTAAACATGGGTTGCTTATCTTCTGTGTCTTCTGTCCTTATTGATTTTCATATTCCACCCTCAGCTCAAGCTATGCATTTGATATTGTTGACTTCTAGACTGCTACTTTGGGGCCTGCCTCCCTTGCTGCGATGTGGATGGATGACACCCATTTTTTTTCTAGTTAAGCAGAGTAACTGATAAGTTCTGATGTCAAGTTTGTCGATGCTTCACAACCAGGGAAGTTTTTAACTACATTGTCTGACAGCTGAGTCATCCAGCCTCCAAGCCTTTCTATGATACATTTTTCTTTCTAATTCAGAAACTTTGAAACTATCCCTTCGCCAACTCAGGGGAATGTGTGGGGCTTTATGTTTCATTTTAGTGCCTTCCTTTTTTGTGTGTGATTTGGTGCAGTAAATTATCTGAAAAACGACTACCCCTTTTTATAGGAGCTTTACAAATGACCTACTGAGTAAATGGCCTAGTCCATGTCTCTGGGCCGATATAGAAACAGCTTTGGGCTCTCAGTTCACCCAAAATGGTCTGGGGAGAGAATCTCCTTAGATGAAAATGTATTTTAACTTTTTTAGTACAAGCAGGCTTTCCAAAGGTGGCAGAAAGCATGGAACTTATCTTAAAGTACTGAGTTGGTTTTAGATGTAATTTTAAAAACAAGATAATTTGATTGTTTAAACACGACAGTTTTTTTTTAAAGTAATACGTCATAGCCAATCAAAATTCCCAAGCCAGAAAAAAATGTTTTTTTCAATTTAGCCAGTCTGCTTTAAATCTAGGATATCCCAGGGGCTTGGCTAAACTAGCCATGAGATTGCTCCCCAACCCCACTGTCACCTCCAGCCTTTTAAATCAAAAAGCATAAAAATGTATGGCAGCAAAGAAAGATGCTCTGAGGCAGGGACTAGCCTTGACTCCTAATATGGTCAGATTGCAATTAACCAGAGGATCAGCAGCTCTGTTAGGCATTTTAAATTTCTGTTTAACTCAAAAGCCTTATTTTTGTTTGAAGCTTCTTGGAGTTGAGTCTTGCTTTAAAGTATGAATGCAGAAGTCTGCCTTTGAAAACATGGTGTGGATTACTGAAAAGATGGTGTGAATGACTGAGAACCCTGGAGGTCGTGGGTATCAGAACCAACCTTGTTGGGGGAAGGACTCTTTAGCAGTGTGATTTGCAATTTTTCTTCTCCAAAATATCCCTCTTTCATCTACTCCCCAGACGCCTGCAGTGGTGTCTACATTTTCACCTCTGCAACTCATTCCTTTGATTGAAGCATTGTTGCCCACTCCAGAAAGGTTCTCCTAAAATACACAGAACCTAAAAGGAGCAATAAATGAAATCGATAAGACCGTACAGCAAAGAAGTCAATCAGATTGTCTCCTTTCTAGATACAGGAAGGAAACGGGCAGTGACTGTAGCTCATTGGGCTTTGGGGTATCTGGGAGAAGTCCTTAAAAGGAAGACTGGAACACAGGAAAGGAAAGAACACAATAAAACTAATTTCATAATATTTTTAAGAATAAGCCTGTTATGTCCATGGATCATTAGCTTAAACCGTAGAGAGAAGACTGTGATGTCAGCTTGTGTGTGTGTGTGTGTGTGTGTGTGTGTGCATGTGCACATGTGTGCACTGGGCAGGGGGGCGGTGGGGGGTGGGCACTTTTTTCAAAGTGCAATATAACAAAAAATATTATTCTTTGAGGCGCTGTTTGTGGGATTCTAGATAGTTTAGATTTTACCACAAATCTGTAAGAGAAAGTAAGGAATTTGAAGATTGTGTCATATAAATAAAACAGGATACACTCACCATCACCCTCCCCTACCAAGCAAATCCAAATAAAGCCTAGGGTTGGGGGAAGAATGATAAATCCTCAGTCCCCACCCCCAATATAGTTGTGATAGATGTCTGATAATTTCAACCGGAGTGTAGGGAGAATGGTGTTCTGTCTCTTTACCTCTCTCTTAAGAACAGAATTAGGGGATGTAAATTGCAAAAAACCTGAGTTAAGAGTTCTTTCTGGCCTTACATGGTGGTGAAAATTAAAAAGGGTCAAAGACAATCTCACGATTAGTGAGAAAGTACACCCTTCCCACCCCCTGCCATCTACCAATCCCATTTACAAAGACGCCCCATGTCTTTCAAAACAGAGCCCGCAAATTACCATGAAAATCTGCCCCAACAGACTGTGCTCAAGTAGAAGTCAGAGCTTTTGTTAGCAGGGGTTTGTGGGGGATGGCACCATAGCGAACACAGTTAAGCCTCACTAATTCCCTGAATGAGGGAAAGGCCAATCTTGATTTGTAAGAAGCTTGAATTTGAAAATATGTTTAAAGAAATGCCATGTTATTATTTCTAAAAACCTGCAGTCAAACTGCTGGCTGGGGTCTGTGCTCTGAGCTGCCTAGACTCTCAAGGCCTCAAACAAACAGATAAGGACTATAATTAGCATATTGGTAATTTGAATGCAAAGTGCACTTAGAGTGGCGCTTTAAAAACGTGTGTTAGCGTACTCTCCTAGCAGGCTGTCACTTTTCTATGTTTATAGTATTAATTTGCCTAGCAACTTGCCCCCTTTCCTTTTTGGCAGTAAACTTTAGCCTCACATGTCAGAATTCGTTAAATTTTCCATATTAGCAGCTGGAATGAACAAGTAAGTGTGTGTGTGTGTGTGTGTGTGTGTGTGTGTGTGTGGCAGGGTTTGCTGTGGGAGAGAGGTGGTGAACCACTTTTTAAAATAATTATGAACATATTGTAAACTTCTATTCTGCTGACCTTTAAAATTCATCAGTTAATTGATATTTATTTATTGAGTAGGGAATGTATTCTCTTGGATGATTAAAAAGGGTAGGAGGGGCAAGCTGTTTCAAATGTCCTTCCCCTACAAGTGGTCGTATCAAGTGAACATGAGAGAACATTGACTGTAAGAAGTTCTTGCATTATTACAAAAAAAAAAAAAGGATTGATTATGAAGTGCAACAGGTGCTTAATTATATGAAACAACAGCACACTGAGATCTGCATCTATCAAACACATCTTCCATGGTCAGCCAATCCTGTGTGCACATATTAACTTTGTTTGTAAATTCACACTTGAGACCACTTAATTTGAAGTGTGACTGAGTTCTGTTTGGGAGGGGAAAACAGAAGAGAAGATTAATACAGCTTCAGTTTTACCCAAATATTCAATATCTTCATCATTTTGCTGTGGACGTGGAAGAAAAAGGGGATGTTCATTACCAGAACGAACCATCTGGTAATCAGGACAGGGACTGCAAAAAAAAAAAAACAAAAAAAAAAAAAACAGAAGACAAAAAGCAAACAAACAAAAAAACCTGGGTAAAGCCTCCAAGAAGATCAAATTTAATGCCTTCTCCTTGAGAAATTCCCCCCACCCCACCCCATTCCACTTCCTGGCCTTCTTCAGACACTCAGAGACATCAGACACTGAGGGAGATCAGGAGAGAATAACCACAAGCCTGTGGAAGAAAAATAGTCCTTAAGTAATGAAATCCCTAATACAGTGGTTCCCAAATTTTGCTGCACATCGGAATCTGAGATTAGAACCTGAGGAGATTTTTTAAAAATCCTAGTGTCCAGATTCATGCTATCCAATTAAGTTAGAATGTCTAGGGGTAGGGGCCAAGCACTAGCATTTTATAAAAATCACCAGGTGGTTCCTTGTGCAGCCAAATCGAGAACCACTACCCTAATGCTTTCCCACTTTACATGCATTTAATTTATATTTAACCTTCCCAATTACCCTAAGAAGAAGGTGCTGTTGGATCCCTCATTTCACAGATGAGGAAACTGAGGTTCAGAGGGACTAAATACGTTGTCCAAGGTTATCAAACTATAAAATAGTGAACCTGGGATTTGAAGGCCAGCGGTTTAATTACAGAGACTGCATGCTGGACGTCTATGTAATAATGTCCCTCCTGGCTTTTGTCCTTGTATCCAGTACCATTACACTAAATTTGATATAGAACAATCCCACATCAATGTGGTGAGAGTTTATTAGACATCTGTTATGTATATCATACCCATTTTAGTCACACTGTGAGCCTCTAGGTAGATTCTAGGAAATATGGCTAACTTCTGATCATTCAAGGGGTTTTCTAGGTAACCCTGGCTTGGTTACCATTTGTTATGGTAAAGCTTAATTAGCCAAAGACTGTCAGAGACAAGACTATAGTCCCACAAACTCAAATTTATTGTGTGGTTTAAGAACTGAGTATCTCCAGTAATAAATACAAGTAGCAAAGCAGGTTTAAGGCATCACTGGTAAGAAAGGAGTAGTCACTCAAAGTAGGCGGTGTAGTTATGGCCTTTTACAACTGCCGTGTGACCTTGGGAGAAAGTGTTTTCTATTAACTTTGCAGCTGGCTTTATCTGTCCATTCTCCCAGCCTGATTAATGGCAGGGCTGCTTTTTCTTAGCTCAAACTGACTTTCACTCTTTCAGTTCTGGGGAAGTTTTGACTTTTTCAGGTTTTGGTCCTTTTCAGAAAGGGATGAGCCCGAGAAAAATATTGACATTCAGATTAACTATTAATAATGTTGCTCCTCTTCAGCCAAGTTGGTAAAATAGTTAATGGAAAAATGTATGTAAAAACCAGGCAAGTCTGAATAAAGTCAGTATTTGAGTTAGTAGTCATATACTAATGTCAGTTTCCAGGGATTTGTCAATGTACTGCGGCTGTGCAAAATAAAATCAATATAATATATCAAAATATTGGGGGAACTCGGTGAAAGATAATGGGAACTCTCTGTACTATTTTTGTAACTTTGTGTAAGTCTTAAACTACTTCAAAATAAGAAAGCTATAAAAGATGTTTAATGGGAGAACAGGTTTGTGTTGATTATCTAAATAAGACTTTTCTAAATTAGTCTGACTTTAGGCTTTTCCATGAATAACCCAAAATTGGTTGTACCAGTGTTCTCTTTTATGCTTCTAGATTTGAATATTGGGTACTGTAGTGATATCAGTGGATTAGTCAACATCCATATCCACCAGGTACAGATCCCTTTGGGATTAGAAATATAAGACCAGTTTGTTCATCAACAAGATGCCATTTGAGTAGAGTCTGGAAATATGTGTTCAATATCATTGGGTAGGGAAAGGAGGGAGAAAGTTGTGGTAGGCAGAGGGAAGATCAGGAGGAAAGGCACAGAGATATGAAAGTCAAGGCACATCAAGGAAACAGAGGAAGTTTGATACGGCTGACCCTCGGGGTATAAGGAAGGAGTGGTGGGAAAAAACCCTGGAAAGATGAGTTACAGCTGGAGTGTGACAATCTGGATGTGATTCTCCTCTCTGTGAAATTAAAGAATTTAGACTTCTTTTGTAGTACTTACTACATCTGTCTTGTGTCATAGTTTCCTGGGTGTATATTTTCTCTTCCCAACTAGATTCCAAGTTTCTTGAGGAGATGCCCCAAGTTTGACTCACCTATGTAGCGTCCGTAGCACCTAGATGTGTGTTTTGCACTTAGTAGGAACTGAATAAGTCTGTCCTAGGAATTTCTAATGTACCACAAAGACGCCACTGATATTCCCTCTCAAGAACATCTGGAGCCCCACGAGAATATAGAGTGAGGTGTTTACCTCCAGGGAAATGAAAGTCGCAAGCAGAAAAGCCCACAACCAATCTCCCTCAATCTCTCTTCATGTAGGGCTTTGGGGACTGGGTTTGGCCATGCCCTACCATCTTTGACACATAGCCCTCTTTTCCCCGGACCATGCCCATAATGAAGCCCCTTGAAGAGAGGTAATGTGCTTTGCCTTAGTCAATTTGGCATTCCACTCACACCTCCCTCTATTTAGCTTTACTGGAGGGTTGCAGAGGTTCCTCACTCCTTCACCACCTGTTCCTCATGTCTCTGGATTATAGTGGATACATGAGTTCAAGAGGGACCTGGAGAGGGTAGATATGGAACTCTTCAAGATTGTTTCCAGGATTTGCCTGACATAAATTGTCTGAGAGGATCTCCACCATTTGCCTTTTGGTGATTTATTTTCTCTTCGCCTCCTGAGAGAAATGTTCTATTGCTCACCATTTCAGATGGTTGGGTGTGGGGATGGGGGCACTTCTGTTCCTGACAACCTCATTATGTGGTTATCAGGAGCAGACACTGCCCAGGTTGTCACGACAACCAGCAATGATTCAAAGCTTCCCTGAAAGGTCTGTATCTCCGGCAAATAATCAGCCTTTAGCTCTCAGCAGATGCTGAACTGAGCAGCCAATCACAGGTGAGCTGGAAAAACATGACATCATAGTCCAGCCGGTCCAAAAAAAATAAAAATAAATAAGATTTGGTTTTCTCTTTACTTCCTTCATTCTTTATCCCCTAGATTTTGTTTTCTACTTTCTCCTTCTCTTTTTCCTTCTTAGTAAAATGGGGAGAGCAATGAAACCAACTTTCCAAATTCAATTCACTCTGCAGGTTGGACTTAGGTTCCAGTAGTGCAGTGATTGAGATCATGTAAGGAAGGAATATATAATATGATCCACTTGGGAGAAAAATCAAACAGAGCATCAGCTCAATTAAACAATGTGGTTTGATATGTAGGACCATGGTGGAAGCAGGGCTAATTAAAACCAAGTCAGAGGAGAGGAACTTTCTAATTCTCATATTAATTCACCCAGAGCCACCTGGATTTAATTGTCTTCTGCTTTTCCTTCACTAACTCCCTGGTGGAAGGGAACAGGGCAAAAGCTGGGGGCTTCAGAAAGCTCGTAGGTTCTACAGGGCAGGTCTCTAATGGGGGATAATTGTAGTGAAAGAAGGTCAGGAGAAATCCTTCATTCCCAAGCTGCCACCATTTAGGGAGCATATGTAAATGCGACTCATCAAGTCTATTAAGGAGATGTATAGCTCAGAAATCTGTTAAATCTGCTTTTGTTCCATTAGCTGTTTGTATCCATACAACAATCCAAGGAGAGAGGCAAGGCGAGTTCGACAAAGGAGAAAACTAGTGCCCAGCGAAATTTGAGTCTTGTTCAGGATTTCCTCTCCAGAGGCTGGAATAGAACCTGGGTTTCCTGATTTCCAGGAAAGAACTCGAAGACCCAAGAGAATGGTAACTTCCCAGCCATGGGCTTTCCTCTTTCCCTCACCTCTGATTTTTCAGAGACCTAGGACAAGACCTCTTGGCATCTCTGATGCTCCTTGCTCTTTGCCCAGCAGGTAACCCACAATGCTGCCTGCCACAGAAGAGCTTGAGACCCCTATGATGGGCATGGGGAGGCAGGAAGGAAGGGGCTCCATTGCACCAGACTGCAGTAATGGCAACGGGTTGTAGTGAGCGGCCCTGAGTGAAGGAGGAGTAGGCACTGTGCTCCTAGCCAATGCTGTGCACCAGCTGCCAAACCCCAGGTTCTTTTGTATTCAAAGAGTGGGGACACTTTTTTTTTAGTGCAGCTGCTGTAGCAAAAGATGTGAAGACTGAGATCCAAACAGACCCAGAGTCCACTACTGGGAACAACTTCTGGCTGTGGGACTTGAGGCAGGGGTGGGAAGGGAGCAAGGAAATCTGGGTTGCTTTTGCCCAGTGGGTTATTCATTACTGCCTTGCATTCAGTGCCTGCCCAGGTATGGCTCAGCTCAGTCTGGCACACCATAGCCTTGATTGCTACACCTGAATCATTGACCTGGCATTCAGACCTCTTTCAGGATAGCAGGGGTAGTTTGCTTGCTTTTGTCTTAACCAAAATAAGACTGTATTTCCTATTTCCCCTTTTAATGATGTTTCTTACAAGTAAAATATAGCATATGCTTATTGTAAAAACATACAAACAAGACAGTAGTATATAAAGAAAAGGGTTAATGTCCCCCATCATATACACATACCCACATGTCTTTCCTACCCTCTTTTATTCCCAGAGTGTCCCCTTTAGCAGTTAAAACACACACATACACCCAATTTTTTAAACAAAAATAAAATCATAATACACGTGCTGTTCTGCATTTTTTCACTCAAGAATGGGTCAAGGAGTATTACTATTTCAGTACAGAGGGGTCTATATACTTGGTTTTTTAAGCTGATGCATAGTAGTCCAAAATATGTATCTACCATAATTTATTTAATGATTCACTTACTTGGGCAGGAGAAAACTTTGGGAGGTGATAGATATGTCCATGCCTTGGATGGTGGTGATAGTTTCACAGGTGTATACTTATTCCCAAACTCATAGAGTTGTATACATTAAATATGTACAACTTTTTACATGGCAATCATATTTGACAAAGTGGCTAAAAAAACAACAGTTCCCTTACTGAGGGACATTTAGGCTACCTTTCATGTAATATTTTTCATTCTTATATAATATTCAGCATAACATATTTCAACATTTCTTGACATGTTTTTATGAATATATTCATAATCAGATTCCTTGAGTTGGAATTGCTGGGTCAAGTGGCACATGCATTTTAACATTTCCTAAGTACTACCCACTTGTGCTCCCAAAAGGTTGTGCCATTTACACTCCCGTCAATTGTATATGAGAGTGAGCAATGTTCCTTTTATCCAGGATTTGACTGAAACAGTTTGAAGATATTCATTTCAGTTTACTTCTGTTATTAAAAGCCCCATCCCAGCGCTTCTCACTTCTCATGTGAATCAAGGGGCTAGTTGGGTTGGTAAAGACCCAGAGAAGATATACAACTCAAGTGGCCATATAGGGTGGCAGAACAAACATAGAACTGAGAATTGGAGACCTGGTTTCCAGGACCATCTCTGTGAAGCACTGGACAGGTAACTTCAAACCCCTGAGTCTCCATTCTCTCATCTATGAAATGCAGATCATAATAATTGCCATAGTAAACTGTTGTGGTTGTTGTGAGGATCAGATGGGGAGATACAAAAGTGGTTTGTAACCTGAGAAGTAGGATACACATGCCAAGTGGTTATGATGGTAGTGTTGTAATACCCTTAAATCAAAGAGCTCCCAAGCAAGAGAACAGTGAGTTGGGTGGTAAAAATGGTGAGTTGAGGGGAAAAATTACACAGATGAAATCTTTAAGATATTTCAGATTGGAATCCCTTCCTGAGATCTCCCATGCAGTTGCCCTATATTCTTGGAGAACAAACCATGTTGACAGTAAAGACTGCTTTCTCGTATCAAGAATAACATAGGTTATCACCCTTTCATAGGAAGACCCTAGGCTTGGGTCTTAAGTCCAGTCCTCTTTCTATGACATCACTATGCTTTGTCAGTCACCTAATAGGATTTTGTCCACATGCTACTTTCTACAATCACTAGGGAGAAAGGAAATACACCCATGAAATGTTTAAATAACCATGTGTGGTGACTGCATAAATAGCTCTGAGTTATAGCTGAGGTATATGGGAGGATTAGAGTGAAATCAAATACCTTCTCATTACAAGTTAAATCAATAGCCTAGAAGACCCAAGTTAAATCATTAGCCAGGAAAATCCAGTTATATTTTTCTATTTCTTAAAAAAGGTTCTTGTTTAACCCAAATAAATGCATTTTACAAATCAGAGATGTTAACATTGAATAAATTACATTCATTTTGATTTGTGATTTTTTTAGATTATTTTTACCATGGTGTAGAAAAAAACCAGTGGGATGTGGTTGCTTTTTTTTTTTAACTCCAAAGTTAGTTAAAAAGATATCTGTAAAATCACTGGAGTCAGAACCATCCTGATTCCAACTTATTAATGAAGGATTTGAGAAAGAGTGTTGTATATTTTTGCATTAAAGACAACCACGACACCAAAAAAGCTATTTTTAAAAATGCCTGATTTTTTAAAAATGCCAATCTTATATAGTCTGTTTCTTTTAAAGCAAGTATGTATTTTAACAAAACCAGTAATACCACATTTAATTCTTAGCAGTAGTAAACTGTATCATATTAGAAAAAGCATGGACTTTGGACTCATTTCGATACAAATCCCAGCTCTACCACTTTCTACAATGTTAATGTAATACTCATATATGCATTAATATATATATTTTGAATTTAGGAAAATAAAATGCAAACTGACCCTTAAAAATGGTCTGGATTACATCGTTTACTTAGTCTTTGCCTCCCTCTTTCTTGTTTTGGCATAGAGTGGATCATTGTTGTTGTTTTTCTCAATTCCCTGTATCATCACAATTTAAAATGAATCAGTCCAAAAGAGGCATCCCATTCTTCAACTGCCTGAGATGTTTTGTCTGGCGAATCTGTAGCTCTTTTTTTTTTTTTTTTTTTTTTTTTGGAGACGGAGTTTTGCTCTTGTTGCCCAGACTGGAGTGCAGTGGCGCAATCTCGGCTCACTGCAACCTCCACCTCCTGGGTTCAAGTGATTCTCCTGTCTCAGCCTCCCAAGTAGCTGGGATTACAGGCGCATGCCACCATGCCCAGTTAATTTTTGTATTTTTAGTAGAGACGGGGTTTCATCATATTGGTCAGACTGGTCTTGAACTCCTGACCTCAGGTGATCCGCCCGCCTGGGCTTCCCAAAGTGCTGGGATTACAGGTGTGAGCCACCGCGTGTGGTCATCTGTAGCTCTTTTGTACGACTTTTACTAAAAGGACCTGGGCAGATATATTAGTTCACTCTTGTTCTTGAAACCTATTTTGTTGGCATTATGGAGAAATTATTGCTGGATGTTACACAGTGTGGAGAAAATTGAATAAAAGTTCACTGGGAAGGGTCATGATCTATTTTGGCCATTTAAGTATGTGAGGATATATTTATCTTTATGAAAATAAATTTGAAAGTAGAAAGAAAAAGTTACTCATAATACTACTAGTTTAACCCAACGGTTACAATTTTATGTCCTCTTCTGATCGTTTTCTGTAGGCATATTTTACATCATTATAATTTGAATGTCCTTATTGTTTTGTATTATTTGACTTTTTATGGCAGCTTACTGTCGCCTTGCTGGGATTCACCATAATTTACATAATCTAGCCAAATCATGGGGAGTATGGATTTTGGAGTAGCAAGAGATTATTTTTGGAGTTAGATTTTATAAAGCTTTGGCCATCTGCAAAAATTTGAACCGTATCCTAAAGACAAGAGAAAGCTTTGAAGGTTTAAGGGAAAGGATGGACAGAGAGAATCGCATTTAAGCTCCATTTGAAGTAGAGTTATTTTTATTTTTTGTATAATTCCTTGCTTTTTGGAATGTGTGTGCTTCATATGCAGAAAAGTAGTTTCCCGATCTAGACTGCCATCTCTTTGAATTCCACTGCCACATCTGTCTCTCTTAGTTTTCTGTGTATTTTAGAGATTCCGTCAGTTTAACCTGCCTGGCTGACAGGTGGTGTCCCAAATCGAAACCGTTTTTTCCCCCGAATAAAGTGTGCCCGTGTAGCTGTACAGATTTCGTCCCCTGAAAATTCATCTGAAATCTCAATTCTCCTGAGGGGAGCAATTAAGGAAGATACATGAACTCTCCCCTCCTCTCCATCCTGTCAGGTGCCCCTCTTTTTTGATGGCCCCACCTCTGTCTAGACAACCCTGACAGTGTAGAAGTTTCCATCTCCTTTCCCTTTCCCTCTCCATGTTCCCTCCCCTTCAGTTTTTTCCCCCTCCCAGGCGCTTCCTGCCTGGAAACAAAAGATTGGTCCCCAGTAGCCCACTCAGGGCGATTTTAGTTTTATGCTCACCATCTGATTGGCCTAGGTAAGGTGCAGAGCTCGGGTGACGTAATAGCAGAGAAGGGCTAGGGAGCGGTTGCCGAGCAGGGGCTCTACCGCGGGCGGGCAGCTGTGCCAGCTAACCGTCTGGGATCTCGCACTGGGGGCTGCAGCTTTTCCCCGCCTCGAGCCAGTGTGCGGGGGCGGGAGAAGAGCCAGGGGGAGCGGGCTGGGCCCGGGGCTGCGGCTGCGGCCGCGGGGCTGCGGCTCCCCAGCCCCGCCAGCTGGAGCGCTCGGAGGTAGAGGAAAGGTCTTGACGGGGTGGCTGGATCCGTGGCAGGTAAATCCCGCGACTAACTGCACCCGGGCTACCGCGGGGGAGGGGGTGGCTGTTGGATGATGCTTTAAGGCTGCTGGGCAGATGTTCTGCCTTTCCGGACCCCCCTCCTGTCCTGTTTGTGCCCCAGCCTCGAGTCTCCTACGTGGCTCCCCGGAGCCCTGAGACCAAGCGAGCAGTTTGCATGATCCCAGTTCGCGGACAAGTGGGTGTGTCAGGGCCGTTCCCAGAGGGCCGGGGCTCCTTCGCTTGGTCAAACCCTAGACTCGTTTACTGGGGCCTGGGCCGCTTGAGGCAAAACCCGCCTTGAAAGCTACGTCAGCCTGTAAGTCTTCCCTTTCACCCCCCCGCCCGCCCCCCTACCCAGCCCCAGTAGCTGTGACAGCAGTTCCCTAGAAAAGGGGAGGGGGTGTGGCCACGGTCTGGCCAAGTCCGGGGTAGAACCCCCCCGCCCCTTACACACACACACACACACACACACACACACACACACACACACGAGGAAAGAGAAAAAGTGACGATTTTCTTAAACGGGCGCCTTCCCCTCTTTCTTTTATTTTTCTTTATCCCCCTCCCCTTTTTTTGGTGGGGGGATGGTAATAACAGGGGGACCCTTTTCTTCTCCTGTGGGGATTGGAATGATGCAATAACGCCCCCAGAAAGCTCAGGGTCCCTGGATTGGCCCTCTCTTTGTCTGGGGAGCAGTGTCATTGGGTCCACTGCCTCTCCTTCTCTCCTGTTCCCCTTAGCTCGCTGGGGGACATTGCCCTCAGTTTGTGAACTGGCTCTGGCAAGATTACTGCCGCACTTTTGGGTGAACTGAACATTTTAGATTCTTACTCTGGCAAGTTTTCCTTCCCTAGGTGGTGGTTAAGGGGTGGGGTGGGGTGGGGGATGGTGGGAAGAGGGGGATGCAGGCAAGGAGAGAGATAGAGGCCCCACTTGTTTTTTTTTTTTTTTTTGGTCCCACCTTTCAGAATCCAGTTCCAGATTCTAGACTTGAGGGTTCTGGGCTGTTGGTCTGTAGAAGCGAAGGAGAGAAGGGTGAGTGGCTTGGCTTTGGGAAGCATGATGGGGGCGGTTGCAGTGCTATTTTTAAAAAACGGCTTTCAGCAGGGAAGCCTTTAGCCATGTTAGTCTTGCTCCCCTCATGGTTTTGCAGACTCAAATCCAGGCCAAGTGTATGGCTGTCTGAGGTATTGGAACAGAAGGAGGTCCATTCCTGTTGGTGACAACACCGTGGCCCTGTTCTGGGATGAGCAAGGTGTAAAGGTCAGTGCGGTTTTCACTGGGCCATTTGCAAAATTATAATTGGGCAAGATCTGTGATTTGGTACTTGAGGCCTCCAATCAGGGGCAACTTTGGGCAAAAAGACTTGATATGGTAATGAATGACTAACAGGCAGAGGCTTGGAGAGAGAGCCATTTGTAAGCCTCTGTTTCTGGATACAAGTGTCATATCCCCCAGCCCATGCAAGAAGCAAAATGGGAAGAGACTAGGAGGTAGCCTGGGCAAGAGCTGACAGCTGAGAATCCTGAGGTCAGAGAGACCTTAGGATGTCAAGGAGCTGACCCTGCAAGTCTCCGGACAGGCAGCTGGGCCTTGTAGGAGAGATCTGACAGGAAAAGGAGGTTCACATGCAATAGGGTTATAAGCTAGGGGACACAGGACCCTAGGGACATTCTCACCAGCTAACCATTCCCACAGGTTGCAGAATTTCCTGGTCAGAGGTGGAAATGGTATATAGGGCAAACAAGTTTGCTGAGGTCTTGGGAGAGGGTGAGTGGTGGACATACCAGGTGAGGGAAACGAGAAATAAAAAGAACTGCAGGGATGGGAAGGTGCTGACATCCGAGAGTTTGCTATTATGTGTTCAGAGACTAAGCTACTAAATTAAGGTTAAAGAAGGTGGCCAAGGCAAAAAAAAAAAAAAAAATCAGGTGTACAGATCAGATGTAGTAGGCAGGAAGGCAGGAGCAAACTAGAGAGAGAGAGAAGAAAAGTCGTGGCCTTACCAACAACCCAAAAGCCCTGAATTCTCTGGTGAGATAGGCAACTCTGGAGGTTGAGGCAGCTGTAGCTCAGCCAAGAATTAGAAGGATGATTCTAGATATTTAAAATCAACAGCATCCCCACCCACGTAACCCACCTTCAGGAACCAGTAGCTTTAACCAAGAGAACAAGAAACTCAATGAGCAGCAGCCTCAACAACTGGCTCTTTCCTCCTGGGTAAGGAGAGGGCAGTGGGGAAGGACGGTGCCTCAAAGGGAAGTGGAGGCGCTATCAATCTGGCCTAGACAGGTAGGTTGACTGCTTTTACATGGGTGGGCTGGGGCCTGGTCTGGGACCCCTGCTCAAAAAAAAAAAAGAAAAAAAGCCCTCCTTCTCAGGATCCCTGGGGACCCTGTGTGCGCAGGGAACTGTGTAAAACCTTTACTTCGGAAGGTAAGTGCAGCGTTCTAGGCATCTGGGGCGTACTTAAGCCTCCGCTACGCGTCCCCCACCCCCACCCCCACCTGCCGGGGGCTAGGCGTTTCCCTCTGCAGGGCCTGGAATGGACTCGTCTGCCAAGTCGGCACTACACAGCTTCTCCAGCAGGGGGCGGAAAAGGGCCTGCAGCGACGCGCAGGACCCGAGTCCTCCATTTCAGGTGTGATGCTTCAGCCTCGGATCAAATAATAGCCACACATTTAAAATCTCATTTAGGGTTACCGGAGAACCAAATGAACCTCCGGGTGTGGCAGTCTATTTCCATTTCCTCCCAGATATGCGTCGCTTCCTACCGCGCTCTGTGGCTTTGGAAGGCATTTGCATTTACCTACGCGGTGATTATTTGAGTCACTAATACACACAGCCTAACCGGGGGTTTAATTGGAAATGTTAATCAGTGCAATAGATCTGTGTCTGATTTCCACATTTGGTCAGTTATCTGCAGGTTGGAGCAATCTGTGCTAAACCCAGGGGATGCAATGAGGAGCAAAACGGTGCAGCTACAGCTGGGTCTAAGTCTGGGAAACATAATGGGGAGATGGACCTTGAAAACTGGAAAGAGAGTAACAATTTACTGGTGGGAAGAGGAAATCATTAGAAAGGTGTAGTCACAGAGAGGCCTGATTGCTGAGATGGAATAGGATGGCCTTGGAACCCACATGGTGGAGAGGGAGGCCAGAGTTTTTCTTTGAGGTTGGAGGGGGCTGAATTTGGAGAGTGAAGTTTTTTAGGGGCCAAAGGACCAGGAACTGGGGTGGAATGAACCCTGGGAGTCAGAAGTCAAGTGTTATGGAGGGCTAGGGCCTGGTCTGGGACCCCCAAACACACTGTCCCAGACAGTGACAGTCTGGGACCCCTGTTGTGTTTGGGGGTCCCAGACAGTGTGTTTGCCCCTCTCTAGGCCTCAGTTTCCTTGTCTTTCAAACGATGAACTTGGCACTAGTTGTTCTATAAGGTGGTCCATTTATTCTTGGTAATGAAGACAGGTCCACTAAAGTATAGCCCTCTTCTTCCCCTGTCAGAAAAATTACCCCTTCTTTTTTTGTATGCCCTCCAGTTTTAGGGAAAACAATACAAAACAACCCCACAACCACATATATTTCATCTCTTTCAACAGTGTGGCTTTACTTTTACTTCATGTGAATGGGGAACAGGAGGGAAAAGAGAAGTCCAAGTTAATAATCTGCTAGGGACCCTATAACCAAGCCCCTGAAAGGTTCTGTGTGGCTGGGTCTCACAGACCTGAGTGGATGGGTGGGTGGCGTATATTCACTAGTGGCCCTTACTCCCTAACTCAATCTCAAAACAGAAAGTCTTGGGATGAAGGTGAAGGAAGGGCCTGGCTTAGGGCGTATATCCTTCTCCTTCGTGCCCTCCTCCCATATCTCACTGTGAGCCCCAGGCACTTTTTGGAATTCAGCACCCTAAAAGAAACACTATCCTTAACAATCAGCACAACAGTGCCCTCTAGTGACCTTAATGGGGACAATTTTAAGAGCTCCCCATGCATCCCCGGTCCCAGCCTGGTCACCAGTGCCCTTGTGCAGCGGTTACTCCTTGTGGAGAAGGCTCCCAGTCCTTCCAACCAGCCTGACAGAGAAACTCAGCCAGCCACCGTTTCCTGCAAGTCCTTCTCCTTGCATATATGGATGGGGCTGGGGGTTCACAGAGGGAGTCAGCTCCCCACAACTTCCTCTCCAGCGTTGTTTCCTTTGGGCCTGAAAAAGGTTCCAAACCTCCTTTCCTAGACAGCTTCGGTGCTGAGCAAGATACTTGGCATGGGAAGGCTCTGTGGTAGACAGAGTAGTTGTCCATAGCTTCCACCTACCCCCACCGCCAAGGTGGCAGCCCTAGTCCCCAGACAGAGATTCTGTCAGGAAGTTGGAATGCAGCAAGGTGGCTGGGGGTGGAGTTGGGTTAGTGATGGGTATTGGGTATGTACAAGATGTGTGCACTGATTTCTACCTCAGTCTCCAACAGGAGGCTGAGCCATAGGTGTACAACAAGGCGGTATAGGCATACAACATGATGTAGGCACACAATGCCCACAACACTATACAGACACACAACATGGCATAAAGATATGACACAATACGAATTAGACACATTGCACATACACAAAGGATGGAAGAGATGCAATTCACATGCAACACAGTACAGACACATAGCACTCACACAGTAGCTTATTGACATGATCACGTATACAACATGATATTAACAGGACACTGTACACACACACGATATGATGCAGACTCAATACATGCATGTCATGGTAGATATGACACAGCACACATACACAGACATACAACATGGTACAGGGAACTGTGCAGATATACATGACCCAGTATGCACATGTGCTCACACACAGGATATCTCCCCTTGCCCTACTCTCAACACAACACACCCCCAGGCAGGTGAGAGGAGTGTGGCTACCAGGTGGAATACTGTGTCCTGTCAGTTGATTCTGCACTGACTCAAGCAAGTGGTGAAATAAAGGCAGGTTGCCATGGAGTTAAAAAGTGGTGCTACAATTGAGGCTGGGGGGAGGGGGAGGTAAGCTTCAGGAAAGCTCTTGATCTTGCTCTAAAACATGGAGGTTCTTGGTAGTACAGGTTGGGGGTGTGTTCTCCTTCTCTTACATCCTCTAGTATTGTTTCCCACCCCAGTGGGTGGATGCTGCCTCTGCTGTCTGCCCTCATCCCCAGAGATGGGCAGGGGGCTTCTTGAGGCCATTCTTCCTGTGTCCTCCTTGAGCCCCACCCCTCTCTGGAGCTTTGGCAGCTTGCACCCCTCTCCCCCTCACCCCACCCTCTTGCAGGGTGAGCTCACGTAGGGAGGGAGGGGGCGAGTACACCATTCAATGGTGCAGTGGGTGGGATTTGGAAAGGCTGCCTGGAGTGTGCATGTGGGAAGCACACATGGAATGCCAGGGATGCTGGGGGACAGACATGCTCTGGAGTCTTGCCCAAGAGCAAGAGGCAGACCCAGAGTATGGCTTGGAGTTTTAATTCCAGAAGGGGGAATTGGAGATCATGGGGCTTTTCTTGGCTCCCTAAGGCTTCAATTTTGCAATCTCCGTGTTTAGATATCCATCTAGCCATCTCTTTGGATTAGGACCCTGTTCATTCTGGTCTGTAATAAATAGGTGCTAGCCTGAATCATGCCTCCTTGAGAATTAGCATGTAGTTTCTGCTTTTCTTTGAGGACAAACACCACTGTGGGAAGGGGAAAGGAAAGCAGAGTAGGAAGGATTGCAGAGCTTGGGGTTCTACAAAGAGAAGATCAGCCTCTCCCTTGAGAGGCTCAAATGATTGTGGGAAAAGGCAGAAAGGGAGGGGTCAAAGAGACTCAGTCTCCTTCATGGTTAGACATGGAAACCTCTGTGGGAAAAATAGGGTAAATTATCACCAAGCAACAACAGTAAACAGTATGTATTCATCCTAAGAAACCTGGGGAGTACTGTGGAAGACTTACCTGGTGGAGACAGGAGAAGGTAGAGGGAAGCTCCAATTAGGGTCAGAGGCTGGGGCCTTCAGCACCTGTGAGATGGTAGCAAATTAGGAGACCTCAGAATGCTGTTGCCTGGCAGACAGACTTTTTTTCCACTTCTCCAGTGAAAGAGGTTAGTGAAAAGGGGAATGGAAATGGAGGTGGAGACTTAGAGTTGAGGGATGAACTGAACTGAACTGAATGCAGTGCCACAACATCAGGAAGCTCACATATTCACAGAGCCAACCTTCATTGGCCATTGTCTCTCAGTTTCCTTTTGTCCACTGGACTCTACCACCTCCTGTGATTATACACATTGCTCCATAATTATGCAGACTATGTAAATATTTCACATCTGTCCTATTTGATTTAGTTCTTCCAACACTTACCCAAGTCAACTAAGGCAGGCCTTTTCACTTGATACTAAGCAGGCCCAGAATGATGAGGTGACTAACAGCAATTCTCAGCTTGTAACTCCCAACTCCTGACTCCCACTTCCGTGCCCTTTCTGGAATCCTATGTAACAATGCCTTTTTACACTTCTTAGCCCTCTGATTTTCTAGCTTTCTTAAGAGATATTCTGAAATTCACCAGAGAGATTGAGAAAGAGAGAGAGAGAGTGTGTGTGTGTGTGTGTATGAGAGAGAGAGTATGTGTGTGTGTGTGAGAGAGAGAGAGAGAGAGAGATGTTTGGTGGGAGTTGGATGAGGGAGCAGTAGCAGGTGGGGAAAGAGGTTCCCTCTCCCCTACAATGCTTCTCTCAGCAGGTTTCCCCCAAGAAAGAGCAGCTGAGTCCTTGCATCTTGTGGCAGCTGGTGTGCCCAGCACTGAGTCTGTAGGAGCTGAAGCCAGCCCGGACCCTTCTCATGGGCAGTGCCCACCTGTGCTGAAGTCCTGCAGCGGTGGCGGTGTGAGGTGAGTAATGGAGTCCAGGGCAGGGAGTTAGGGATCTCCAAATCCAGGCAAATGCTGCTTTTCCACCAGATCTCCCAATATCAAAGACTCTGCCTAGACCTCGTGAGCTAGGCCTCAGGGCATGACCCCTATGTTCTGGGGAATTTTGCCCAGTACAGCTGCCTTTAGTCTCTTGCCTCCCTCCCATCTCTAATATGGGAATGACAGCCTTGACCTACATTTTGGGGTGAGGAGGAGAAACAACATAACAATCGTTGCCAAGTCCGTTGCAGATGTCAAGCACCATCTAAGAGCTTCAGTATAACACAGACATGCTTCCCATCAAGCTGTCATTTTCTTTTCTCCTCCTTTCCTGGTGCCTGGGTGGCTTTTCAGCCACATGCTGCAAATTTGCCATTCAGTTCCTATGATTTCTACTGCCCCATAACCTTAATTTTACCTTCCTGTTTGAAGTGTACCCCCACCCCTTCCATCCCTGCTTCTGGGCCTGTCAGACTTAGCTTAAACCTTCCCAAACCTTCCCTCTGCTTTCCCACCCAACCAAGATGCACTTCCTCCACCAGGTCTCCAACAGCACTTGAGTCTGTAGCGTGCAGGGTAGCACTTGCTGCCCTACTGCCTTAAATAAGTCTTGCATGGTTTCTGGAGTATTCATCTTACCAGGAAAACTAGATTGTAAGCTCTTCAAGGGCAGGGACTAGATCTTACAGATCTCTAGTCTCCCTTAAAAGGGCTCAAAAGTTCCCCAGCAGCTTTGCAAGTTGGGCCTCTCTCTCTTCCTCTGCATTTCTTTCAGGTTTCATGGCCTGTCTCTCCGATCATCTATTTGTTTTTTTGTCTGCCTTTCAGGCAGGCATTATAACTTCTTCTGTCAGCTTCTCCATCTGGCCTCTGTTGCTATTCCCTGCAGTCCAGCTACCTGCTTGTAGCTTGCTGTCCCTCTGTCTGGTCTTCTGTCTATCAGTTGCTTAGGCATCTCTCCTATTACCCAAATCAAAAAACAACCAACAAAATTAAAAAAAAAAAACAGAAAAACTAAACAAAAAACAAGCAAGGAATAAGCAATGTAGTTCCCTTTCACACTGAGCATACAATGCGCCTACAGACAAGGTAAAACTGCAGCTCAGCAGCAGGTGTTTCTGTGATGCCTTCTTATGAAAGGGAAGCTCCAGAGTTTCAGCCATGGAATTGAAGGTATGAAATTACAGCCTTGTTGATACTGATGCATTCAACTTTCTAGCGATGTTCTGGTAGGGGATCCTCTTTAGGCCTTGACGGACAGAAGGTAACTAGGACTGACTAAAATGAGAAGCCCCTGAATCGCTCTTTGGTGTTCTGTGACAGATGCAATAATAACTTGTATTTATTGTCTACTGTTGCCAGCTCTGTGCTAGGCTCTTTACTGGCATGATACCATTTTCTCCTATGATAATCTTGCAAGGTAGGTATTTTTTTTTCTAATAGTTATTGCTGTTTCTGATTATACAAGTGATACTAGCTGAAGTTAGGTATTATCATCATTACTGTTTTACCAAGGAGGAGATAGAGGCTGAGAGAAGCTAAGTAACTTGCCTGTAACAGAAGACATGCTGTGGCTTTGGGAAGAAAGAGACTTCCTGGAGAGAGTTTCCCAGCATCCAAAGTTATTTTGGTATCTTTAGTTCATGCACATACACATACATACTCTCACAAGCACATTCTTGTACTCTTGTACATTCACACAGTCACATCATCCCCTGGGCTCACTCACTTTTCATACTGGAGTCATTCAAAATGATGATCACTCTTATGCCCTCACCCTCACACACAATCATATTTACATACATGCTACATTTAGGTACATTCACACTGCCACAAATTCACATTCACGTATTCACATTTTCATATTGATGCACACAACACACTTACCATACACCCCACCCTCATGTTCACAGACACTCACACCTTTGTGCTATTAATATCATATTCTCACACACACACACAATCATACACTTTCACACTTACATTCACACAGAGGATACAATCACCTTTGCCTGCCCAAATTCCTGTATAGTCATACATACTCTATACACAAATAATACATTGACATTCCCCCTGCACACACTCCAACTGTTTCTTATACTCACAGCCATTCATACACTCAATTTCATACACTCCAGTGTACTTGCATTGATGTCATCACTGTTTCTTCCTCACAGTCACAAACTTATCACAGGGACACAAACGTGCATACATGCTCATATATCCACGTTTATATTTTCTCACATCATAAGCACCATCTCACCCACTTGCACTTTTACACTTAGAATTACACACTTTTGCATTCACATACACAGAGCTAAAACAACCTCCCTACTCCTGATACATTCACACATAATCACATTCATACATAGAAACACACATTTTGCCACACATTCACACTCACACACTCACTTTCTTCACACTGAGACATCATCACACTCTATACCAAACTTGCAGGCACATACACTGAAATACAACCATACACACATATTTTTATAAACTCAGCCATTTTCACTGAAAACCGTCACTCTACCCTCTCAAACTCAAGCACAATCACTTACACACACAGGTATAGTCACATTGACTGACACATATATAGGCTTATTCACATTCAGTACTCATACAAATTCACATAAACATACATACTGCACATGTACTTAACACTCACATATTCACTCACTTTCACATTCACGACTGTACACTCAAAATTATACACGCCCTTATTCCCACAGACAAGCACTCCTCCACATTCGTGTACATGCACATGTGTACCCCCTCACACACCATCCCCCACTCGTACATCACACATTTTCACACTGGCCCAATCACACTTACCACACACTCACATTCTTATACATTCCCACTCTTCTACTTTCATACTGACACACCCTTACTCACTTCGCTACACACGTTTGCACCAGTGCACATATAATGACATGCACAGTCACTGACTTGCATTCATGCTAGCACATACCACACTGACATACACAATTCACATTGCAATAGTTGACTGTGCTTCACACAGGCAATTACTGATACCACATATGACAACATAGACTCACACTCACAATCGCCATGCCACATTCTCACTTACATTGATACACTTACACTGACACACCTGTTCAGGAAGTCAAACACTCTCCCGTAATCCACCATGTACTCTTACTCAGACTCTCACATGAACACGTTGACACTTAACTACCACTGAGATAATCACATTGACCCACATCTATTCACATTGATTCACACATACTGCTAGTGACCCACACTCTCACTCATACATACTTTCCCAAACTCTTACACATCCCCCTCCCATCCCAATAGCCCTGCATTTATATACTTTCTCACTGACACACACACACGGATACATCTAATTGCAAGAAATAGTTTATATTCACAGTTGTCTCTTTTTTCTTTGTTTGCCACTAGTGCTCTCCTCACCCCTGCTGAAAGGTTATATTGGCAACCAGTTGCCAGAGGAAAAATGTTGGTCTCATCCAGGAGGTCAATGAGAAATAGATCCTTTCAGAGCAGAAAGGAGTAGAATTTATGTCTAGGATTAAAAAAGAAAAGGCTCAAACCCACAGATCAAGTTTTCCTTATCCTTTCCACATACTTTTTCTTTTTTCAGAAATCATCTCCAATACAGCCTTAGCCAGTCCTGTCCAACACAGGTTGGAGTTTAGATGGTGTGTTTATTTTCTGGAAGTTTATGGCTTAACTTGCTACCTCATTTCTTTCCTATAGTGAAAGGAAGATGAAGGATGTGTTTCTTTATGTGCTGTTAATGGTTTCTTATGCAAAAGTGCATGTCTCTGGTTTTATATTTATGATCTGGAATTGCCTGCTGATTACACACATGGAAAGGGCAGGCCTGCTTCCACCAGGCACCTCTAATCTAGCCAGGTATACTTAATACCCTGTTAACCCTGGAACATGGCACTCAAGGAAAGGAAAGAGAAGGTTAATGAACTAGCTGGATGATAAGGTAAATTTGTACTGTAAGTGTTCATGTGCGATAGTAGACCCCACTGAAATTTCAACAGCTGTTACTAACAAGTTACAAGAGGAGATTTTTCAGTAGGCGTGGATAAAGACAAGCTGAAGGAAGTTTCTTGCACTTCAGAAAGACTGTAGATTTCCCTGCAAGTGGATAAAAAGAAGCACAAACCCAGGAGTGAACTAATGGATCAGGAGCCTGGTGCAAGAGTCATGTGCCAACAGAGATTTGAAAACACAAGAGCATCTTGCAAGGGTGTCTCTAGTACATGGCTTCTCCTGCTGGAGTCACCCTGGAGCAAAAAATGAGTTCAGAATATACCCAAGCTGCCATTTGGTATGGGTTCTAGCATGCCTTAGGGAAGAGCTTATTCTCTGGAATATAACCCAACTCCCTGCCATTAGATTGAGAACTTCTTTGATAGCAAGAACTATATTATCTTACTCATTTTGGTTTCTTGATGCCTAGTGCAATGCTAGGTCCAGAAAAGCTACTTGTGAGACTCAGTTAAGAAACTAAAGGGGATACCTGAGCAGGAACATCTTATCAATACAGACCCAGTGTCTCTCTTCTTCTCTTCCTCAATCCCAGATTTGCAGTGGCATTACCAGCTCAGATTGAGGATTGTCTGTAGGCCCCACATAGAGCTAGGCCCAGAGATTCAAATGGGTGAAAGACACACCTATTGCACTCTAAGGTACTTTCATTTGTGTGGGAAAGATCAAGTTGCCATGAAACAGTAGTATGAGGCAACAGTCTGGAAGCTTGGGCATGGAGGGATCTTTATCATGAAATCCAGTGGTCTGTAGGCTCCAAAGGTCTTGACGGTTCATAAGTAGTTGGGGACAGCAGTCAGAATTTAGAGAAGTCACTTTCCAAAGTAAACTTCCTTGTAGATAGCTTGCTTAGCACAGGGCTGTGCCATATTCCCAGAAGATTGTATAACAGAGTACTCTGTTACTGGGCCTAAAGTGGAGTAATAAGAGTGATCTGCAGACCTTAGTGAGATTATTGTACTTATTAAGATCTAACCACCACCTCCTCCAAGAGACAGCTTAAGACAGGGGTTCCCAAACTCTGGACTGCAGACCAGTGCTGGTCCACAGTCTGTTAGGAACTGGGCAGCACAGCAGGAGGTGAGTGGTGGATGACAAGCATTACTTCCTGAGCTCCACTTCCTGTCAGATCAGCAGCAACATTAGATTCTTATGGGAGCGTGAGCCCTATTGTGAACTGCACAGGCAAGGGATCTAGGTTGTGTGCTCCTTATGAGAATCTGATGCCTGATGATCTGAGATGGAACAGTTTCATTCCAAAACCACCCCATTGCCCCATGTCCATGGAAAAATTGTCTTCCACAAAACTGGTACCTGATGCCAAAAAAGGTTGAGGACTGCTGGCTTAAGAGAAACAGCTGGGCAATTTTACATTTGGAAATTTTTGGCCATTACTTCAAGATTCACCAAAGGCAATTTATATAATTTGCAGGACTGGCTGAATATTAGGAAGAGAAAAATGCACCTGCCTGAGTGTGCTTGAATTCAGTGAGAAGCACTGAGAAAACCCATTCCCAAACCCATCATGCATTTATATGATATTTTATACTTTTAAAAATGTTTAATAACCCATTCTTCCATTTCAATAGAGGTGTTAGGAGCACCAACTCTGGTATCAGCCAGACCACCATTTGAATCCCAGTTTGGCCACTTCCTAGCTGTGTAACCTTGTTTGAGAAATTATCCCCATTGCTTCTTAGGCCTTTTGGCTAAGATCAAGTGAAGAGAAATTACTTATCCCCCTTAAGCCTCAGTGTCCTTATGTGTAAAATGGGAATGACACTAATGTCATCTACCTCATGGAGTTGTTAAGAGGATGAAATGAGATAATATATGAAAGTGTTTAGCAAAATGTCTGGCTTATAGTAAATGTTTGACACAGTATAGAGCTTATTATCTTTACCATAGCCCTTTGAGGTAGGCACCTTCAAAGGGACAGATCCTTGACATAACAGAGAAACAGTATGGTTCTTTGCAGCCAAAGATTGATTTTCACAGGACTTGTTGCCTGTTTTCCTTTAAGTCTTTATTTCTGCCTAGCCACAAGCTAGGTGTCAGTATTCATTCCCACTCAAGACGATGAGTGAAAAATAGGATTAGTCCATGGAGTTTCCTCAACTACTGTGTCTCTTTAGGACATGTTTATCTTGCAGAAATGTGTCCTGTTCATTTAGCTATCCCCTCTAGTCCTACTTCCACCCTTGAAATCAGTAAAGCCATCAGTGATGCCACCTTTATTTGCCAGTACCCAAACTTGTGGGGGTGGTGAGTAGAAGAGATTCCTAATGTAGGTGGAACCAGCAATTGGTTCTCTTACCATAGGCATTCTTCTGTCCTTGATTCTGATTGTTGAAATGTCTGTTTTGTGGGTGGAAGATCTGCTCATTTTCAGGCTTTCGTCCCAAACGCCACAGTGGAAGCACAGTTTACTTACGACAAAGCCCTAAGAACATTCATGTTCATGTAAAAGCTGTGAGTAACTGCAGAATTTAATATGAAACTTTCCGTGACTTAGGAAACAGAAATAAGTGCACGGGCATTGATGTCACATAGACATGGGATGGTATAATCTTACTATTACATTTACTAGTTCTGTGACCTTGGTCAAGTGACTTAATGAATGTGCTTCTTCATATGTGGAATGAAAATACTGTAATAACACCTCAGGGGTTATGCAAGTTATGTGAACTTGTACCTAAGTAACTTTTAGCAGAGTGCGTGGGCCATGATAAGATTTCAGTGAATGATAGCGATTTTGTTTATGGCTTGTGAAATCTGTGAAAATAAACTGTAAACATCTATTGGTAGAATGTCTTGAATTACTTCAAAGCAGTTCCCAAATGTGGATATGTGATCCTCACAATCTACTGGTGACGTGATCACCCTTTCTAGATGAAGAAATAGCTTCAGAGGGGTGAAGAGATGTACCTAATGTCACGCAGCTTGTGAGTGGCAGTACTAGGCTTAGAAAGCACCAGTTCAGATGATTGAATATTTGCACCTTCACTTGGTAAAGCCTTTGGGGGCTACAGTTAGCAAATAAGAACAATTTGAACTGAGCATAATCCTTCTTGTGACAAAAATATCTAAATGTGAGCTACAGTTTATCTACAAATCGAACCATAGGTGTTTCTCTTTGTATCTTGTGCAATGCCCAGAATGTTGCAAGAGTGAAACAAATGTGACATCATAAATGTTTGGAAAGCAGTACCTTTCCAAACATAGCTGAGTGACATAGGGCCACAGTAGTACCATTCACCACCAAGAGGAAAATCTTTCTTGAGGCATAAATACTGTGTGGTTCTGCTCATGTTGCTCCAGTAACACCAAATGTTCAGAGTCTGGGAATTCTTAAAACATACGGAGACACTTCAACAGACCTGTGGTGCCACTTGGCCATTTCTGTCCTGACATGAGAATTATAAGACATCAAGCTTAGTAAACGTTAGGGAGAGGATGGGAGGACAAAAAGATAGGAGCACTTTTGGCCTTTTTGTAACATTTTTCTCATAGCCAAACATTCACCTTGAAGCACTCTTCTCTTGGTTTCTATGACAACATATCAGTTCTCCCGCCTCTTTGACCATCTTTCTCAGGGATCATTAGTCACTCTTCCTCTTCCAACCTCTAAATGTTGGTGTTCCACAGAGATCTGGTCTAGTCCTCCTTCTCATTGTGTATTCTTCCTGAGCAATTGTGCATATTCCCATGCTGATGGCCTCCAAACAAATATCTTCATCCCACATGTCCAGCTCTCCATTGAACAGTTTCATAATGCCAAATGAATGTGTTAGAACCACTGCTACAATTGTATCTGTCTTAATATTGCTATCTCTGTTATGAGGAATAGATATAGCTAGAGATACAGTTTTTCCACCACATGTGAATTGATGTTTCCTTCAATTATTTTATTACTTGCCATGTAGATTATACTTTTCAAAGACAAGATGCTTAGATATGTGTCTTGCTTCCCACTAGATATTTCTAGTTAAGTTTTTACTGATATTTCTATTGTGTCACTGGTTTTATCCTCTTATCTTTGCCTGTTGTAGTCTTGATAGTATTATTATGTTTGTTGGTAAAGTCTGGATAAAAATTTAGATGAATTTTCTATAAAACTTATTATAAGTGCCGTTCTATTGGCCAAAAATATTATAATAATTTGTTCTTATTCTCTTTAGAGTGCAATTATTACAGGTGGTCTAATGGTTGCTAATACAAGGGACTTCCAACACATTCATATTTGTTATCAGCACACTAACTTCATTAGTTATTTTTCATCTCCATTCTAAGCTATTCGGTTATTTTCATTTCACAAACATGGAAACTGAGGCACGGTTCTATTTGGAATCCCAAATGTAAACTAAAGCTTGCAAAAACCATTAGGCCATTAGGCCTCCCATACTCCTCTGGGCCTCTTGGCATAGAAATATATCTCTACCCTGATTTCCATTTGGGGTCCTGAGAACAGTTAATCCTATCAAGGCTGGCATCTCTACCATCTTTGGCCAATGTCCACTGTAGAGACCTCTCTTGACATCTCTCTTCTCCTGTCTTCCTATTCCCATGCTGCATGTGCTTTCTGTCTCTTGACTGATTATCTTAGTGTTGTCACTTTTCAAAATGATTTCCATGTTCCTACCTGGAACATCTGACTCCATAGGAAAAACCTTTCCCAAGTCTTCAACCTTAGACATCTGCTACATTGTCACCTGAGTAATAGTTCTGAAATTCAAAGTTAATCATGCTATCTCACCACTTGAAACCTCTTCATATACACAAGAGGAGTCCAAACCTTGTAGAAACGCATATTAAACCCTTCTTAATTCGTCTCTATGGATCTTATTTTTTTCCATTCCTCTTTTTTGTCCCTAATCTCCTTAATACACGTTGCTGCTTGACCTGAAAAATGGTGTGGTTAATTGTTCTTCCTAATTCAACTCGACTGTACTTCCCCTGTGAAGCCTGCTTCGTCAGGCTCCAGGGAGTCTCTGTCTCTGTCCTTCTATAGCAACCTTTTCTCATCTTTGCACTGAGATGTCATGGCTGACATCCATTATATTTTAAGTCTCTTCAAGGGCGGGGTCAACTTTGTTCATCTCTCACCCTAGAACCTGGTGAACTCCTACTTTCCTTTAATACCCTGTTCAAGTGCTATATCCTCTGAACCCTCCAGGCACCATTAGCTACCCTTCTTCCACTGTCCTTTCAAAGCATCCAATGCCTACCTTAGCACATAATAGACACCATATAAATGATGAATAAATGAATAAATTTAAGAAGGTTTAATGATTTCTTCAGGATCACAGAAAAATCCAGAAGTAGAGCTAGAGTTAGTCATTCATTCCTTCTGTTAGAAACAATTCTTTTGGGTTTATAAAAAATCTACTAAATAAAAATCAACCCCCCAAATTAAGTCTGCCTAACAACATGCAACTTAGTTCTTAAATGTAACATCGAAGGTAAGTTTCTTTTTCCGAGTGTTATGTGCCTAATAAATTTCCCCAAAGAGATCTGTCCTGCTTATATATGGATACAGTTCTAAAAATGCTTTTAGGTCTTACACATATTATTTTCTTCCAGAGTTTTGAGATCTATTCTTTTACTTATACAGCACCAATATCATTCAGTCCAGCAGAAACAGGCCCAAGGCTAATAAATCTAATCTAGCATGCTTGAAGTATTCATTGGTTGAAATATACTGTTGAATAATAATACCTTATGCCAACCTAGTGCTTCCTACCTTTCAAATCCTATTGAATTCCTGCTCATCCTTCCATACCCTGCTCAAGCGCTATATCCTCTGAACCCGCTGGGAATATTAGCTATCCTTCCTGCTCTGTCCCTCCAAAGCATCTTGTGCCTACCTAGATTGTATCACACTGTATTCTTATTGTATATATGCATGTCTGCCTTCCTCACTAGACTAGAAGCTCTTTGAAGATAGAGATGTGTCTTTATTCTTCTCTCTTTGTATGCTTCCTGTACCTGACATAATACCTAGTATATATGAATGTTGGTGGTGGGAGGATGTAAGGCCAGGCAGCTATGTTCCCTGGAACAATATCAAACACATTCCTTGTGTGTGGTAGTATGATTTCTTATATAGCAATAAGATGAAGAGAGTCTTGCCCTTTTCTGAAGTGCTGTAGCTCCTCTTTTTAAATTTTTACTCTCATTTTGCAATGCACATATCCTTACTTGTTTTGTAGTTCTATTTTTGTCTGTATATGACATACTTTTTTTAAATTATACTTTAAGTTCTAGGGTACATGTGCACAACATGCAGGTTTGTCACATATGTATACATGTGCCATGTTGGTGTGCTGCACCCATTAACTCGTCATTTACATTAGGTATATCTCCTAATGCTATCCCTCTCCCCTCCCCACTTCCCCCACCCCACGACAGGCTCCAGTGTGTGATGTTCCCCACCCTGTGTCCAAGTGTTCTCATTGCTCAGTTCCAACCTATGAGTGAGAACATGCGGTGTTTGGTTTTCTGTCCTTGCAATAGATTGCTCAGAATGATGGTTTCCAGCTTCATCTGTGTCCCTACAGAGGACATGAACTCATCCTTTTTTATGGCTGCATAGTATTCCATGGTGTATATGTGCCACATTTTTCTTAATCCAGTCTATCATTGATGGACATTTGGGTTGGTTCCAAGTCTTTGCTATTATGAATAGTGCTGCAATAAACATACGTGTTCATGTGTCTTTATAACAGCATGATTTATAATCCTTTGGGTATATACCCAGTAATGGGATGGCTGGGTCAAATGGTATTTCTAGTTCTAGATCCTTGAGGAATTGCCACACTGTATGACATACATTTTACATATAATGTGTGGCCAGGAATGAAACCCACTGCTGGAGCCTATAACCTCACTCAGAGCTAGACACTTATTTATCTGCTTACACCCATCACTTAGTATGATGCCTAGCACATAGGCACTGGTAAATATTTGTGGTTCAAGTAAATGAATTCATGCACAGATGGGTTACTTAAGGGGCCTCAATAATATATTCTCAGTTACTATCTGTCACCTCAAAGAGTAGTACCTCTCTGTTTTGGGCTCAGGATTTTTTGAAATGAAAGTCAACCAGAAATGAACAAGGATAAAGCATTAGTTGGTATATTTTCCTGTAAAAAGGAATGTTGGGCTGACATAAGATCTTTTCCTCTCTTTATGCAGCTGTGTGACCTATAGACCTTCATTATTAAGCTGTGCAGAAGAGTATAGGGCATGCCTAGGTGATCTGCTAAAGGCCACAAAACCAACTGGTGATTGACTGGCATAATTGGGAGTACTATGACGTAGAGGATTTGTCAGGCTCAATCTTGAAGAAAAAAGAACACTCTAAGATGAGCATCATTTGATACAGAGTTATATACATTTATTATGAACACCCGAGTTTCCTCCCCTTTCTCTCTGCCCAGTGCCTTTGTCAGAATGTGCTCTAGGCTACACTGCAGTCTCCGCAGGAATGAGTCAAGAACTACTGACTGATTTACCCTCAGGCCTGCTGATTACAGCTCCTTCCACCAAGCCCTGCTTCTGTTTTATCTGCAGTTTTCCTCCCAAAATACCCTAACTTCCTTCTTGTGTGGTAAGGGCTGGGCCCTGTGATCTCAGCTTGGGGGCTTCCCAGGCCCACAGAAAGACTTAGGCACACAGCAGTCTTTGCTTTGTATGTATATGAGCACTAGGGAAGTAAAGCTGATCTTGTGCTGTGGTAGACATCTACTCTAGCATGAACTAAAGATGAACCATATATTCTATAAGTGGACAGCAGCAGCTGCAACCAGGTAGTAAAATAATAAGCATTGAGCCACTTGCAAATTATGAACTTGTATAAGCTGGGCATGGAAAGGCCATGGGAAAACCAACATACTCAATCATGAGTTCGTCCTTCAGATCAGGCTTTTAATTTCTAAAGAGACTGCTTTGGGTGTATTATAATCTTTTTTAAAATACCCATGCCAGTTTTCTTTAATGCAAAACATTTGTCTGGTGGGCTTGAATATGGGGAATTCCTACAAGTAAGGCCCTTGTCAGCTAAATGTTTATCCCCCACCATTGTGAAGTGGGATGGGTAGAAAGTAGGTTTTGTCATGTTTCATTCTTCCTTCAGTATTTAAGAAAGCCTGTTTTTAATAGATGTTATTTCCTCTTCCTTAACCATAGCTCCCAAATGAGATGTTTAAATGCATGCTCAGTATAATAATAATGAAATTAAAAAAAGTATGGGCATGTAAACATAGGTCAAGGGGCAAAAACTTGAGGAAGTGTTGCTGCATTTTACACCAGTTCAAATTCTTTAACTTCCATTTCTGGCAAGAAGTCACTTTTTTGGTGAACTGTGAGATTTGCTAAATTGATCTAAGTTCCTAGTTTAGAAATAACACCAAATCTCCATTGCCCCAGGTAGCTCTTCTCTTCAGATGTGAAATGGACACCTTCCCTGTAGAAAGCTGATTTGGGTACAGAGAAATTGGGAATAGAGCAAGGACCTAGGATGATGAGCCATGATGCACAGTTTGAAAAGCAACATTCAGGCACCTCTGTGGTATGCAAAAATCTCTAGGAAATTCAGGAATTGAATTTCCAAGCTTAAATTTGAGGACATTTGTTGATATTTCACTGGGGTGGATCAATAAAGAGTATAATTATTATCCATGCATAGTAACAGAGACAATCGAGACCCCCAGAGACTCAAGACATTGGTTTGCCATGTCCTGCTTGCTTGGGATGTTAATCTATCTAATTTGTTCCATCTGAATGCTTCCAAGGATGTTATGTGCTCTGAGAACTAGGAAATGTTTTCTTACTAAGTTTTGCTTCTCTTTTCTTTTTTCCACCAATTTCTCTGAGGCATCTCTTAGGGTAATTACTTTTGTTTTTTATGCTTAAAATATTTCTACCTCTATTCTTTATGGATCTTATTTTCTCTTTTTAGAAGCATCAATATTGGAAACAAAAAGCTGAAACCTGTAATAATGCATCGGTTTGCAAATATAAGTACATGTAAGATAATCATTAGCATTTTCTGGGCATTAGCTCATGAAGCACACACAATGAATAATAAAGTATGGTGCTGCATATGTTTAGAGGCTTAAGAAGTCATTTGAAAAATAACTATACTTAAGAAAAAGAATGATTTTTTCCTTATATGCAGTATATGGAGTCTGGATGCTGGATTATACCTATTGACTTCCTATTTGCAACCTGACGTTGAAATTTGCAACTATAATATGCTGGCTTCTTGGACTCAATTAATGTCAAGTTCCTGCTGAAAACAATGGAAGTCACTCATAAAAATGTTAGCAGACAACAATACTACAGCAGAACTGACCTCATTTGCTTGTTTGTATGAGAGAGAACATGAATGTATGCTGTGTGAGTGTGCTTGTATGTATGTCAGCAGTGAGCTATCTCTTACATGATCTAAGATTGAAACTAGGTGGCTGTAAAAAGAGCTAGTGCCTCTCTTTCTTGTCTGGCTGCTTTTGCAGATCTCCTGCCTAACAAGTAGCTCAGCTCCTTCTGATCAAATGATCTTAGAATTGGCTTCCCTCCATTACACACTGTAATGGTATCTCCCTAGTGAGGCTCTCTGAAACAGCACACCCCTGTCTCTGATAGCAGAGTTCCCTTGGTGAGTGCTCCAGAAGAGGCGAGCTCCAAAACGAGGCCATCTAAGAATTGGTACAACTGGCCAACGAAACTTGTTGGAGTGTTGTCAGTAAATCACCTAGCCTTGTGTCTTTAAATGGGAAAAGCCATTTGAAATAAGTAAGTACCAGCATGAAGTGGGTTGAAATGAATAGGGTAGACCTGTCGTATGAATATTTTAAGAGGATAAAAATGTATATATGAAGAGTGTGTTTGTGGGTTTACTTGGATATGCGTTGTATTGGTGTACTGGAAAGGGAACTGATGAGTTTAGGAGCTGAGGGATTGGATACTATTCTCAGTTTTTTCATTTGTGACCTTGGGCAAGTACTTAAACTCAAAGCTTGTAAATTCCTCATGTAAGAAATGGAGATGATACTTTCTTCTTCGCAATGTTGATGTCAGGCTCAAAGAAGAGCAAGACGTGGAAGCCCTTTGGACATTACAAAGTCATATGTTTTTAAAATGAGGTGTTGGTAATCAGATGGTAGCTGGCTTTGAAATGATGCCTAACTACTTGGCAGTTAGACTAGTGCTGATATTTCCAAATATGCTTTCTTGTCTCTGACCTGCTACAATTAGGTCTATAGGCTTATGTAACATTATGAAAAACTTACTCCAAGCTGTAACAAATACATAGGATGTATAGAGTTCCATTTTGTTACTTTACACATGTATTTAATGCCTGTTGGTAACAAGAGACTGTACTAGTAGTATGAAAGTGTATAATTACGACTGAGGGGCTCTTACCCTCATGGAACTTATGATCTAATGAGGGGAGTGACTTGGATAATGACTGTGCAATTTGAGACAAGATGATACAAATGGTAATTTGGGCCCATCTAGCTGGCTATAGTTAGTGGTTGGGCTGCCCCTTTTCCACCTAGTTTGGGAATGGTAGTGTGGGTTCAGAGCTGCTAGGAGACCCAGATCTGGTTCATTCTTCTCCCTGTAAAATGCCCGCTTTGGCATCTTAGTATATTATGGGCATTAATGTCTGAAAAGTCACTAGAAATCTTCAGATGCTAGTTGCTGTAGAAATGCAAGGCAACGTATAATATTTCTTTCAAATCCTAAGACATTGTCTCCTTTGTGGAAGGCTAGATGATTTTTTCTTTTTTTGGCAGTTAAAAATGTTCACTACATCTTCTTACATTATCAGTCATAAGTGAGGTGGTTGGTTCTTTTGTAAATAACGCATCTAAGATAAAGTGGATTTAGTATCAGCATAGGCTAGTTAGCAAAGCATGGTTTGTTTCCCAGTCAAGTCTATGCCTGAAAGCTCAGCTAGCCATCTCGAAAATGTATGCCTTTGGTTAAAAGAGAGCCCAAGAAAGAGCCAGCAGTTGTAACTCTTGGATTTTGTTGCCCACCACCAAAAGTACAATTCAGATATATATATATATGTATATATATCTCAGATTAGGAAATTCACCTTGGAAATTTCTCTTAGTGAACAGCTCAGTCCTGTGTTTGATCCTCTCATTTGCTATGAAAAGGGCGTTAAACAGCCTTGGTGTGTGCTCAGATTTGTGATAATAGCCTTGTGTGGCTGGTGGTTTTGGAGATTTTCTTCTGGGTTTGTTAGATCATGACTGTACATTGCTAACCTGGGGTTTTGTTTTTAAAAGGATGGCAGTGTTAATTTAGTTTTCATTGGAAAAATATAAAAATAAATAGTTATGTCTAAATATGAAATAGTTATGTCTAAATATGAAAATAAATAGTTATGTCTATTTTGAAAGCAGACAGAATAATACAGACATTATTATTCTACAGTTTGCAGGACCATCTATTAAGCCATGAGCAATTGAAATAAATATTTTTATCAGATATCATACCATCAGAGAAATAGGGCTTTACTGCAAAGCATTTTAGAGAAAAAACTATTACCAAGATGCATGGCAACTATAGATTAATAAAGCTCTGTGTCAAGGCAAGTTAATGAAGGTCACTCTGTATGTGTTCTTGTGTGCCCCTGTGTGTACATGCCTTCAAACTTGTGTGGGGAGTGGGGAGAAAGGGAGAGAGAAAGACAGGGAAAGAGAGAGGTAATCTCTCCTAGTACTCTGAAGAAAAGGGGTATTTAGGCTCTTTGCCTATCATGAAACAAGAGGCTTATGTCTTATTGCTGATGAATTGCAAGTGTAATTACAGAGCATTGCTAAACCACATTAAGTCCCAAGGGCTGAATAAAAAAATATACACCATCTACAAAAGCCATTTAAATTATCTCTGAAAAACCTAGTAGTCAAGTATGAAATCAGTCTGTGAGCAGATATAAACCATTGCTGGTTATCCATTAAAATTAGCTCCACAATGCTAAGGGCCAGTCTCTAAAAGAAAAATGAATGGCCTGTGGCTATATCTAATGTGCTACTCACAAGTTTCTGTACTGTTACAGAAATGAACAACAACAGTTGAACTTTAAAGATAAACAGTTTTTTTTATCGGATTCCTAGAGAATAATGGTGCTTATGTACAATTCTTGAAATAGAGCCTACAGCCGCCCAAAATAAAATAGTCTCTTTCAAGATCTTGGAAATAATGACATCATAGGCAGATTGAACCAGCAATCCATTAATAGTATCCTTTATAGAAAGCTGTCTCAGGGGAACACATGGCTAAGTAGATTGGCATTGTTTATAAACATAACATAATAAAATCCCTTTTTAAATATGTTTGTGGAATAGTAGGAGATACTTCCCACTTGGGAAACAAATACTTTAACCACAAGGATTCCTTGCAGGTCCCTACCCTTTCTCCATTGGTCTTCTAAAAGTGTGCTTAGAGGCACTTGATTTGAAGGTGAGTTAAAATACCAAGGACCTCCTGTACTATTCTTTCAACAGCAAAGCAGAATTATCTGGAATCATTAGCAGAGGATGATTGGTTGTGCCTTGTAATGGGTAGTAAAGAACCAAAGTAATATCAAGATAATTAAAACAAAACCATATCTGAACTGTCTAGGAAAATGGTTTGGTTCAAGCTTTATTAAGTTCCTAGTGTGGACCTGGACATAGGTTCTTCAGTTTCACTTGTGTCTTTGTAAAAGGTGTATTCCAGCTCCTCTTATGATGCCTTGATTAGTTGAATGACATTGAAACACTTCCAGTTTGGTGGGCAATAGGAATGTATGTCACATAAGCTGAGTCCTTTGCAGAATGTCTGTGATACTGACCATGGCAAATGTGTGTTATTGAATTTTTGGTCAGGGATTTTTAGTGCAATATAGAAGAGTTTAGTTTGAGTTTTAGATCCCAAGTATTCCTTTCTTCCCAACCCATATTATACTTGGTCAAATAAAGTCAGGGTAATCAGGCAGCCTGAAAGGAAGCAGGGCATCTACCTGCCTCTCTGGTCAGATGGAGTAATTAGGAACAAAAAAGGCCACTCTGTTGTTAGCCACACCTATTTATCAAGAACAAAGGAGCATAGCATTTTAAATTCATTTGAGCTGAAACCCTGGCTGGCTCAGACTCTTACTTGTCTTATCACGCAAGATCAGCTTTGTATATCATTTTAAAGAGGTCGTGTGGCGTGTTTTCCTGACTTCTGTCATCTCAAGTTAAATATGTCATCAGAAAATATATATCATCCAGAAAATGGTGGCTCTCTCTTCCTGTGAGACACTCTTTTTAGAAATTTGTCTTCTAGGTATTTCTATTTTAAAATGTTCAGTTTCTCTGCAATAACTTTCAAATTTCATTATTTTTACCAAGCTAGATTTTGTATATCTGTATACATATTTATGTAATAATCACTTCATATTTGCACATAGTTTTTGAACCCAGAAAAGTAAAAGAGAAAACTAGTGACTTGTCTCTGGTGGCAAATTTTCTCTGTGACTAAATTAAAACCATGAACCTGTCCAGTACAGAATAATGCCACTGGTGAAGTCAGTCTTAAATTCACTTTAATTCTAGAGAAACTGTGAATTTAGAAGGACCAAAAGTCAAAATGCAAAAGATAATGCAGACACATTAGCACTGGTCTCATATTCCAGTTCAAATATTTACTCTAGTACCGATAGTATCTCTGAATATACTTTATCCTTGACATCACAATTACTTTTTCATTGTACCTTGTTCTGTAGTTTGACCTAAATAGGAAAATGTAAGGTTTATGAAATTGTTGGTGATAGTGACAAACCATTTATTACTTAGTATTTTCACTATCATTATTACTGAAAAAATATAGAATTGGTCTTAATTCATTAAGATAATGCAAGACATGACACTTAGCAAAACAAAAGCGATCTCCCGTTCAAATCAAAATCAAACCAATTGTTAGTTGTCAATCACCTGTGCAGATGGAGAAGCTATTAATTGATAGTAACCTATTCTTGAGTAATTACAGACTGTATATGTTTGAGAGAATTTAGAACAAAATAAAATTTTTAAAATTCTCTACCTAACATGATGTAACTTAGAGTGCATTACTGAGAGTAATAAACATACTATAACCACTAAAGGGCCGGAAAGCATTGATAGATAATTTTTCAGCACAACAGTTAATGAGTAGACCCCTGTTTTTGTTTTTATTGTTCTTAGGTTTGTTCATAGTAAATGTTGTGGAAACAAAGTGATAATGCTAAGTCATGTTTGGAGAGTTGTAATGTTCCTAAATTAGTACCAGGTAATACTTGATAAGTTTACAGAGATATAGTTTTAAAGGGATTTGATTTTCCTTGAATTCAAACTGGGGATTCATTTGGAAGGTACTATTAGTACCTGACTTGTGCTGGGGTCAGGACCTTATGGAAGGACTTGAATTAGAGTAGGAAAATACCTGGAGACAGAAACATTCCCTTGGGGAGTTCATGCTTTTCCAGTTTACTTTATCCTCCCAGGGGAATGAAAACCAAATATACTCAGATGTAGACACAAGATACTAAAGAATAATGAACTTGGCCAGGCGCAGTGGCTCATGCCTGTAATCCCAGCACTTTGGGAGGCCGAGGCAGGTGGATCATGAGGTCAGGAGATCAAGACCATTCTGGCTAACACAGTGAAACCCCGTCTCTACTAAAAATACAAAAAAAATTAGCTGGGCGTGGTGGTGGGTGCCTGTAGTCCCAGCTACTAGGGAGGCTGAGGCAGGAGAATGGCATGAACCTGGGAGGTGGAGCTTGCAGTGAGCCGAGATTGCGCCACTGCACTCCAGCCTGGGCCACAGGGTGAGACTCCATCTGAAAAAAAAAAAAAAAAAAAAAAAAAGAATAATGAAATTCAGAGCAAATAAGCTCCTAAAACCCAGACTGGATCTTACAGCTAGCTACCTCTGTCACCTCCCTTTTTCCTTCTTCCAAGACGTAAAATGTGGCAGGGAGTAAGGTTATGGTGTCTCCTCGGGAACTGGCCCTCCAACATTTGCCCACCTTTATCTTCTGCCTGCTTGGGAGAATATGGAACATTGTTTACCCTAACAGCACACTCCAACTCTGTTGAAACTGCCAGATCTATGGGATGGTTTCTCGGTTAATTATCATAAAAACAGGAGAGTGCATTTTGTGACTGAGGTACACACATGTAAGAAATAAACACCAAGGACATCTCGATGTTAAAGCAGCTAACAAGTCATTGTTATGGGCCATTAAAAATCAACAGCCAAACCTGTGTCAATTCCAAACTCTGAGGAGGCTGATCACCTGACCACTACAATCATCAGGATAGAATTTTAAAATAAGATTGTAAATTGTTCACTAAAACACTGTTAGTGGGGAGGAGAAAATAGAGTTTCAATGTGGGAAAAGCAAAGGGACTTACATATTTTTATAATATTTGAAAAGCCATTAATTACTGCCTTCACTTTCCTTTTTTGAAAATTGCATCAGGGTTTTTGGGAGGTAACTTCCTTCCCTCCAGAAGAGAAACCCCTAAAAACGATCCTCACACAAAACCTGAGAAAACATGAGAGCAATGCTTTTGTTTCTAAGATGTTAGAATCCACATATTTATTAGGTTTTTAGACCTCTTCTCCCTCAACTCCTTTTTTTTCCCTCCTTTTCTTTAGGAGCTGTGAAATTAGTTGTAACTGAAAATGTCTGACGGTCTGGATAATGAAGAGAAACCCCCGGCTCCTCCACTGAGGATGAATAGTAACAACCGGGATTCTTCAGCACTCAACCACAGCTCCAAACCACTTCCCATGGCCCCTGAAGAGAAGAATAAGAAAGCCAGGCTTCGCTCTATCTTCCCAGGAGGAGGGGATAAAAGTAAAGTATCAGTGGCCGGGCATTGAAAATGGGCTAGTTTATTCTTTCATTTTCACTTTCTTTCTTAGGTAGTTGTTTCTTGAGGATTGACTGTTCAGGGCCTGCCGGCCCTTTACATCTACGTCTTCAGAGGTTGCATTTTGTCAGAGAATAATGTTTGATTGATTTACTGTGGGCTGACAGAAAATACATTTACACTATGTTTGCTTTTCACATAAAATTAAATTCATAGTGTTAAGCCAAGGGTAATCATAGCAACAGTACTGTCTTGAATATATCAACAGTGACTTTCTTTCTGATAATGTAGAGTAGAATTTACAATAATCCCTCCCTAACTATAAGTTGTTCTTTTTGGAAATTTGGGTATAGGTAGGTTTACTTCTGTATACCTTTTTGATAACTGAAAATTTTGAATTCAGTATATGAGAATCAGTCCACGTTGCCACAATATTGTCTCTCTGACTATATTGTAAGTGGGAAGGCATTTCTGAGTCATTTGTTTCCATTATCATTCTTCAACCTGTTTTCCCCTAGACAGCCCCATGTGTACTGAGTAGCACACCAATATATTATAATTTATCCTTCTGGTGTTTGTAATACCATTTGGTGCTTAAATGTCATATGCTAATGCTTTGTGACGTGCAGGGATATGAAATCTCTAGTAAGTAACTTTCAGGTTACATTAATTAGCATAAAGCTGAAACATGGCTTCTACAGATATGAAGCAAGTACAAGGGCACTGACACCATAGAAACTTGTCAGAAGGGCAAGAAGGGTGATGTCTTTAGAAGAGAAACAGGACATTCTCAATCTACTTCTTCAAGGTAAAATAAATAGCTTTGTAGGTCACTTATATAGTGTTAATCAATCTACAATTCATACCACAAAGAAAGCTGAAACTATTAGTATGGCCAGTACTGCCACTTGTACACCTGCATAACTTAAAAGATGCTTTGTTCTTCATGACCCAAGGATGGAAAAGATGGAAATGAAGTTAAATCTCTGGATTGAAGATAAACTGAAGAATAATGAACCACATTCCATGCAAGAGATTTGTGACTATGCAAGAGGAATTTTCAGAGACATGTCTTTAGACACTGAAATGAATCCAGAAAAAAATTTGTTGGGAGTAAGGGATGGTTTGAGGAATTTAGGGTGTACCATAATGTGGAGACCAGGTCTTATTTGACAGTTATGCCAAAGAACAAACAGTTCCTGCAGCTCTCATGTTGTATTCACCACAAATTCAGGAAGTGGCTGAAGAAGGGGATTACATGCCTGCACAAATCTTTAGTGCTATCGAGAGTGTCAAGCTTTGAAACCCTTTGAATACTTCTGAAGAGCAAGCGCCCACTGATGCTGAGGTCAACAAAATCAGAGAAGCTGACATTTCCATTTTTTGCCAATACTTCAGGTGACCTCATAATGAAACCCTTGCTGCTCTACAGAAAATTGTGCCCAAACCCTCTCAGGGGAAATAAATGAGCCAAGTTTCCAGTGTACTAGCAAGCAAACAGAAAAGCCCAGATGAATCTTCCTCTCCTTAAGGGATGGTTTGAACAGTACTTTCTTGTGGATGTTCAAGACTACTTAAAAGAAAAAAAAATACCTTGAATTCAAAGTCCTGCTGATTCTTCAGTCTATTTGGTGCTTCAGGTACATTTGCCAATATGCATCCTCATGGTAAGGTTGTCTTTATAACTAGCCACATGTCTGAGATTCTTGAGCCTTTCAGTCAGTGTTTGATCTGGCCATTCAGGAAGGCTTATTATAAACTAATGTATAACTTTGTTCACAATCTCGCAAAGTTTCCACTGTCTGAAAATCCTAGTGCATGAGACTCCTACATCGTTATTAATGGCATATCCTTAATAAAAGTTTGGCTTTTGATTTTTAATGGGTTTTCAGGAGATAACTTCCCAAAGAGGCATTAGATAGTTTAACAGAGCCTGTCATTAATGTGACCTGTGAGAAGACTTGGCTAGAGGTGGTGAAATATCTTTCCTCTATCCCTCCCAAAGACAAGAAAAACCTATGGATGAGGATGAAAATTTGGCACAAGAGCAATCATTGGCGGAAGTTGAATCTGAAACTGTTGACACCAATTCAAGTTAATGCTGCTAGAGGCTGATCCTCAGGAAGCTTTCTTGTCTCCAGAGGTTATTATCATAAGTGATGATGAAGACAATTAGGAGGCTGTGGGACTGGAAACAAATACAGCAATAAGAAACAGGAGCAAAATTTTTAGAACAAGATTAAAACCTCCCTAAGAAGGTAATTAAAATTGGCATCTTTACATGTGTCAGATATTACCTGTTCAAAATTTGAGTGACTTAGAGTTCTATAAAGAGGTGCTATGATGCCATCAAACATAATCATATTGGACAGAAACAATCTTCAATAGAACTTAAATCATGTGCCATTTAATACTGTTGCTGGACAGCTGATAAAACTACCTTCTGACAAAGTTTGATTTAATTAGACTCTAATAAAAGGTCCTATGAGACTTTCTAAAAGACTATATTGGGAAGAAAGAAACCTCAGAAAAGTCTAAATTATCAAGTAGTACCATTTAAATACTCTTACTGGACAGCTAATAAGCTACCTTCAGACAAAGATTGAATGATTAAATTGAACTCCATACAGAACTGCTAAGGTGTCTTCAAAAAGGACTTGAGAAGATGAAAGCATCTTTAGAAGGGCCACTTAAATTCACTTGCTTGATAGAAATAAAGCCTCAAGCAAGTTGTTATAACTTCAGGATTCGACTTCACTGACTCTAAGAGTATAGACATCCATAATTTGAACTAATGAATAGTCCACTTCTGTTCATTGCTTCTCTGTCACCCCCATTTGCCACTACCATAATGAGTGATAGATACATCTTCATCACCTCTGGAAATCATCTCAGGATCTAAATGGAAACTGTATAAAGCCTATCATTTTTACTGATTTAAACTATGTAAACTCATTATTCTTTTTATGTAATGTGCTGTTGTTATTGTTTACCTGCATAAAAATATTTATGAGGGTTTTCAACAGTTTACTTGAGACCTCATTTTTGCCCATTTTTTTCCTTCCCGATATCATGATCTCCTCAGCTGAACTTTCTTACCTTGGGGGTTGTTCAGGAACTGACTCTCATGGGGAAAGAGGGATTACTATTTCTGTGTTCCTATCTCTTGGTAACTGCTTAACCACAGTCAGTCTTGAACTAATGGAAGGAGCACTGGACTTGGGTTCTTGAGACCTGGGTTCATGTTCAGTTCTGCCACTGATTATTGTGACATTGGGCCAGTCACTTGATTTCTCTGAGCCTCAGTTTCATCACCTGTTAAGTGAGGATAGTAATACCTGGCACAAATATCACAATATTAGTGATAATTGAATATAATTATAAGTACCCAATGGCTATTAAAAGTAAAACTAGGAAGTGCTGAATAACCATAATATCATTATATTTGTAGCATTTTGGACCTTATCAATGAACAACTGAGAAAACTAGGTTTTTGAATTCTTTTACTTTTTAAAGTAACTTCCTCCCATTTTTATGTCAATTATAGAAAATTTTAAAAAGAAAATTAAATGTGCCTATAATTTTATAAGCCGGAGGTAACTAAGTTGGTATTTTTCTTCTTAGTACCTCTTTGTCTCATCATAAATTGTTCATCAATGTCAAAAACTTGGAAAATAAAGATAAGCATATAGAAAAAAATAAAAACCACCCATAATCACAAATCCCAGAAGCAATGTTAATATTTTGGTGGATTTATTTCCAGTCTTTTTCTATGGCTATATGTGCACATATATAATTTTTACATAGAAAAAGTCATAATGCATACAGCTTTGTTGCTTTTAGCATTTTTATCATGAATATTTTCCTACATTTATGCAAAGTATTTGTAAATATCATTTTCAATGGTGTATAATATTTCATCATAGGATGACATCATGGTTTAGTTAACCATTTTCTTTTGTTGGATATTTGAGGGTCTTTCCAAATTTGGCCATTGTAATTTCACAATGTCTTTTTCATTACCTAACTGAAAATATTTGCTTTGGTGAAAGCAGAGGATTTTTTGTTGTTTGTTTGTTTGTTTTTGAAGAAGTCCTTTTAATAGCTACATTTCATTGACTAAGTGGAACTTCAAGAGACAGGTAGAAGAAAAAAAAAAAGAAACAGTAGATGTAATTTCAAGATTGAGGATTTATTTTGTTAGTGACTGTTCCAGAAGCTGAATTTTGGTGTTAGAGCAATTCAGGAGGGACAGTTTGCCACCATTTTATGATACTTTACTGTAGAAAAGTTTTCAGGATTTAGACCAGGAAAGAGACATCCTAACCATATGGGTTGATTTTATTTTATGGACCCTGTGAAGTCTGGGACTGATCAGGTTTCTCTTTTGTTGGCTACTAGAAAGCTTGGAGTCAAATGTGTGGTCAATGCATAGCACTTGTAATGGGACTCTACGGTATGTATGCACTTTGTATTAGCTTTCTGCCAGGCTCCATTTCGTGTTCCTATCTTTATTGTTTTTGTTTTTTCCTTTTACTTTCTTATCTACTTTGAATTTATGCTATCATGTTGTATTTTGTGTATTCTTGTAAGCCACCTGACATCCATCTTGGAACATGGTGGGGAATAAACACACTAATAAATAAATACATTAATAAATACATGAATAAATAAACCAATAAGGAAAAAACAATGAGGCAAATGAATGCAGCCAGGACTCTGAAAATTGCATAGTGCCTCCAAGAATAATCAATGTTAAGGACTTGAAGCTTGGAAGAACATATTGGAAAGAAGCAGGTGAGGCTGCGAGGCTGCATTTAGAGGTGACGTGTTCTGTGTGACGTCTGTGTCTACTGAAGCATGCTTATATGTCTTGTGTCTTCTGCTGCACTTGAGCATTAGGTGTGTTTCAGAGGATATGCAGTGCTGTGTAATGGACTGTGTCTTTAGAGGGCACAGTTCATGTGCATTTTATTTGTGGGGAATCTAGAGAGATTTGGGAGTTGGTGAGCCTGGGAATGATGTGATGATCCTTTTTCATGGAGGCATAGGAAGGAATCATTGTATATAAATCAAATCAAGACAAATAGGAAGTTTCCTACCATTTACTAACTAGTTACTGGGTGCCAAGCTATGTGCCAGGCACTTTACATGTATTGATTTAACACTTAACAGCCACTCTATATTATTCCCTTTTTACAGATGAGGCAATTTAAGCTCAAAGCATTTAAGTAGACAACCAACCTAGAATCACATAGCAAATGACAGAAGCCAGAGGCCTCCCAAGTCTCTCTAACTCCAAACCCTATGCTTACTCTACTATATCACACTACCTTGCAATAGGACAAAGGGAATATGTGGTAAACTATGTTCCCAGCATCTAAAAGCCAGGAGTGGTTTTCATTTTTCTTTAAGAAGATGATAGTGTGATTTGAAACATATCTGAATTTCAGAAGAGGGGACTTTTAAAAATTGCCACTCATAAGGAAAGAAAGAACTTTTTCACATATTTTTGAAAGAAACGATGGTGAGAAGATATTCTTGATAATAGAGATATGCTAACATTTGCTTTGGGTGTTTTGTAGGTTAGATTTTTTTGGTGTGTACTTTATAGGCTTGCATATTGCTTACTTTAAACAGCTGAAGTTCTAAGTAAGAGTGTTCATATATGTGAAAGAGTTCTTAAAGTACTATATAGTTTTGTTATTGTATTGAATATATATTGTTCTAATTCCTAGAGTATGTCATCTTCTATATACTCTATACAGCAGGAATCCTTGCTGTACAACAATTATATTAAAGAAAACTCTCAGTTATCCTTTATGGTCTTGTCAATCAAATGTTTTGGTCAATGCATATTACTAACTTTCATCTAATTAATGCACAATAAAATATACTTAGTGTGATAACAGTATGCAGTCTTTCTTTGGTGATACTGGAGACCCTTTGGATCTTGCAGTAGCTCAAAGTTATTATCACTGCACCAATAATGTGTAAGAGTGTCAATTAATTCAGGGTTCTGTTATCAGAAAGCCAGGTATCAGAGACTGCTACATCCTGAATGGTGCTTACATTCTTGGTTCTGCAAATGTAGCCCATCCAGCTTAGCAAAGAGTGTTCTTTGGAAATCACTGCCCTGCCCTTTTGGAAACCTGAAGGACATGGCATCTTGCTTGTCCTCTAGGGTCAGTGCTATGCCCCAATAGAAGAGTCTCTTGTACTACTCCTTTACTCCTAGGAAACCCGTGTTGAAATGGGAAGAAGGTGGAATAAGGACACACTCTCCCTATCTACCAGGGTCTGTGCTTCCACTTTAAGGCCAATGAATGGGGAAACTGGGCACAAATATGGTAGCCCCGTAAAACCAACAGACAGTCAAATGCAAGAGAAGTATGGAATGTAGGGTTGGGAGATGTTTACACTAAGGTAAAGAAGCCACAGGGAGAAATAAACTGAGAGGAAGTAATGACTGAAAGGGAGATTAGGAGGTGGAGAAGATACAGAGGATGGATGGAATAAGAGGGGAAGACAGAAGAGTGCTGTATCAAACACGCAGTTTGATATGCTTTAAAAAATGGAGTGTTGCAAGAAGAGGAAAATTGACAAAGGCTAAGGGATATGAAGTTGCTTTCCCCATTAAGGCAAATGAGGCCTCCTTTTTCTCCTCAGACTTTTACCCTATATAATTATCCACATGATCAGAAGTGTCTAGTTAGGACATTGCCTCATCTTTGCTTTTTGTTTTCAAATGTTTCCCATCAAAGTTGTTGCATATGTCAATTGAATGCAAATGAAAGTGGAACCAGTATGTGTTGCCTAGAGGGAGATGAGTAAGAGGTAACTTCCTAATGATTTCCCAGAATAATCACTGTTGCTGAATGTTTTTGAAGATGATACCACTGAAGGTGCTAGCTGTTTGCATGTGTGAGTGGGGGTGACTTGAAGGGCTCACATGTGACTATCATTTTACTTCCCCCATCCCATCATCCTCACGGAACATCTGACCTGTGAATTGGGCTTGTGGTCACTCTTGCAGAATCAGGTACCACATTGAGTTTTATCTGTACATTAAAGCCTGCTAATTTGTGGAGGACATATGTTGTTTTCCATAGCCACTGAAGACCTAGCAGGAGAAACTGGGCTTAATATTCCACCAGAGAGAATGGAACTAGACATAAATTCCAGATAGGCTAATTGGATGCTATAGGTTACTAAGAGTGACATTTTCTAGAATCTTCATTAGATATCTCATGGCTTTAGCAAGTTCTACATGAAGGCAGGAGAATGGACCTTCCACCATGGGCCTTCCCAACTATATGCTTTTGAGATTTGCTAATATAATAAAAGATATTATAATAAGAGCAGTGAATGTTTAAGATGGCCCAGTTTAATCCTCTTTTCTCAGTAGTTATACTTCTAAGGATATCACTCATAAGATGAAAGTGCTAGGTCTAAACATAGTCACCCTGTTACTTAGTATATTGCCATAAGATGATGTATTTTGGAAAGCCGTTATAGGTGTATTACAATGTTCAAAACCTCTCATATCAGTTACCTTCTTCAAACTTCCTATGATGGAGGTAAGGCAGGGATTATTCCCATTTTACAGAGGAAGGCAGAAGTTCAGAGAGGTTAAATGACTTCCACAAATTTGCTCCACTACTTAATAACAAAGCAAGGCAGACCTAGAATTTGGATCCCCCAACTCCTAGTCCAGTGGTAGTTGAAGACTATACTGCTTACATAAAATGAGAGTAGCTTGTTTTGTAAACAGGTTTCAGCCAATGGAATATGCAAAAATGGAATTTTTACAGAAGCAAGTAGAACCCAGGTGCCTCAGTGGTTACAACAGTAGTCATACCTTTATCCTGACAAGTTTTTCCTCCTGAGGGCCTAATTTGCTAATAGGAAGTAACTAGCTTTTGTAAAAAAGAAAAATATGGAATATTAAAATAGAACACAGGAGTGGTGCACCTATCATCCCTCCCCTTAGATTCATTCATGATCCAGAATGTAAAAGATATTTGGGCCGTCTTACTCATTTAATGAACACCTTCCTTTTCTGCTCAGAATCAATATGTATTCGCCCAAGATGCTAAGTTTATGCCAGAAATATGTATGTTATGTGGAATTTCTTTTAAAATTCTTATTCAGCGTGTACTGTCAGTTGCTTTAAATACTTACTGCCAACAATAAAATCTATTTTTATGCCTATCTTTCTATTGTAGTCACCACATATACTTTCACATATTTCCAATGCAAAAAAAAAAATAAATTTGTAGGCCCACACAATGATAGTCTTTATACCAAAAAAAATTTTAGGTGTAAACAAAAGAACTGATCTCTCCCTGTGTACAGGGAAATGTACTTCTTGTAAATCCAGGAGTTAAGAAATTCCTGTGGGTTCCCTCTTGTAATATGCCCCCAAACAGGATGTTTGTTTACAGAGCAGATGTCTCAGGGATTAGAACATGCTTTGCAGAAATCAGTCCCTCTGGAACTATTGCTCTCACAAATGAGTGCCTGCCTCTTTGAAACCTGCAGGGCTGCTGTTGTCATAGGAAGAACTATTCTGAGACACTTACTGTTACCTAAGTATAAGGAAGGCTTCAGAAGGCTTCCCTAAGGAGGGTTATGGCACAGTGTGCTCTGTGACCCACAAATCAGAGGATGAAGCAAAATGGCATTTTTTTTTAATAAAAAAAGGAAAAACCACAGTACTTAATTCACTTTCCTGGTAGCTAAGTAGACAGTAAGGCATTTCATTTCTTACAGGCCAAAGGCAACATTTTGTAAATGACTTGTTTGGGGCACTAACTGACAGCCTTTTAGTAACAGATAAATCAATGGACCACCGAAAGCATCTATCATCCAGCTAAAGAGTAACGAAGTCACTAAGGATCATTTGTTAGGGAAATGAAGAATGTCACCCATAGGAGGTGGATGGCCCTTTAATAAGACTTATATATCCTTTCAACATGGATTTCCCAAATCAAGGCTCAGGAATATTGAGATGAAAAATAGGCCTTTAAATATGACAGATCTCTAACCTAGCCATCTCCACTGTTTCTGCCAGAAGTGGTCCCTGTGACTACAAAAGTTGCTTGGCTTTAGGAATATATAACACTGAATGAATACAGATTGCACCTGGGCAGGGTGAGGGGGACAAAGGGTGGAAAGAAGGACAAGGGCTTCTGGTGTCAAGCTAGGGATTATGAGATAAGTGCACCTCCCAGGAGGGCCTCGACCCCAGCAACTACACTACAAGCCTCCTAACGGAATGTTTTATTAGGCTTCCTTTATCTCAAAGGACTTAATGGAAGACCACAGGATAGAGACATATGGGTATCCAGCCAATGCACAAATCTGGGCTGCATTCTGACTTTGAGCACAGATTTAATTTATTAGCTATCTCAGTTTAAAAGTTAGATATAACAGAATCTGGAGCATGTTTTTAACTGCTTATATACCACTCAGAAAAGAGTTGTGCCTACTTTTTATGTGCCTAGCTCTGTGCTGATTATTGTGAGGGATACTACATATGAGACAAGGTTCCCTATCCTCAGGTAATTTTCAACATAGTTGCAGAAATCATACACACACACACACGCCGAGTTTGTGGGAAATGTCCAGTAAGTGATCTTAGAGAAAACAGATACAGTGGTGGGGAGGTCCTCCCCATTCCACTCCCACCATTCATTCTTCTTTTCCACCTGAGTGAAACAGCAACCATCTGGAAGCCTGCCCCCACCATGGCATGTGTACCTTTAGCAGCACACAGCTATCTAGCTTGTCTTCTCACACCTTTTTTTGTTGTGTCATTCAACTATTCAAAAACCTTTCTCAGCATATTTTGTATTACTACCTCCGATTTCATCTTTCTTCCCTTCCTGATTTCCAAGGCTACACCCTACTTATTTATTGTGTCTTCTCATTTCCTCATCAACATGCAATATGCATCCCTACTTCCAACCTTTTACCTCTACTGTTCTTCCTCGTTGAGATGACTTACCCTTGCATCTAGGTATCCAGTCTTTAAGGCCCATTTCTCAAAACATACCTCCTCCAGTAAGCCCTGACTGTCCACCACAGATTTCTGTGATCTTTTCTTTTGACATGCTACTATCCTATATTCTGCCCAACTTAGCACCTAATTTTCTTTGGTAGTTTCTGTTGCTATTTCTTGTTTATTAAGGTTATTTCCCCAGTTAGATTTCAAGTTCAGAATATTACTGAAGTTTCTAATGAATCACCCAGAATAACCTGTCACTACAGTGATCCACAATTCAATATAGTTGCTAACTGACTCACTGATTCAAAGGAAAGGAAGCTGGGACAGTAGCAGGAGGAAGTTGTGTTTTAGAGCCAAGGTTGTAAAATGCTTGCCTCATAGAACTAGTCAAACTATGTGTTTATTTTTCTTTAGAAAAATTATTTCTGCAGTAAAAATGCTTTATATGATATTTTGCTTTTAGCTTTCTGTATTAACAAGGCTTCAAATGTTGCTTTTAAAATTATGACATGTACCATAATATTTTGCATGCTTTTCATTGCTTTTAAAAAGATGATTATTGTTTTGTGCTTTTAGGCTAAATTTATGTAGGAAAGCATTTCCCTATGTCTGTCTTCTGCCATCCTTTTTCTTTTCCTGCATGCTCTGTTTTCAAGAAGCTAGAAAGAGTTCTAAAAAATAAATCTGAAAATGACCATATGACATCCAGTGAATAGGCCCAACAAAACTTCCAGGAATTTTAGGGGAAGATAACAAATGGAACTCCTACAACAAGGAAGACTCAGGTGAGAGCTTTCTAAATTGCTTTCAGAAGGCAGCCATAGCACCATCCAGGGATTTCATCTTGGGGGAGAATTGGTTGCTTTGCTCAACCTTGAACCATGCCCAGCTATGTTACCATATATGCCTTTGGCCCCAAAGTGGTACCTGGCAAGAGGTGTGCCTGAATGAATAGAGTCATCCCCACTGTTGGGGGAAAAACAGCAACAATGCCACCAAAAACAACTTCAACTACAAAAACAACTGTAAAATATACTCCTCACCCTTAGGCCTTCTTGGCAGACATCGATCATCTTCTCCTCTTCTATGAACACATAACAGCAAATAGGCATGACCTGTCCCCATATACTGGGCCTTATTTCATATAATGAAGGTCATTCATTCATCCATTCATTTTTTGTTCATTTGCTTTTTCATTAAACATTGAGTCAGATGCTGTGCTAGATAGGTGCTGGGGTACAAAGGTGAAAAAGTCCCAGTCCCTGGCCTTAAAGAACTGAAGCTCTAGTCAGGGACACAGATAAGTTATTCAATGATTAGAGTTTAGTGTGATAAGTGTAATATGTAGGAGTGAGAACTGAGGAGAGGCAATTATTCAAGACTGAAGGAAGGGGTGGTTAGGGAAGGCTTCCTGGAGGAGAGGATTATTGAACTGAGGTGAGTCTTAAAGGAGGCATAGAACTAGCCATTAAGGAGTGAGTGGCATGCCAGGTAGAAAGACCATCATTTTGAAGGCAGCAGGCATGACACGCTCTTAGTTGAGCTTCTATGAATACAACTACAAGTAGTTCAGAAAAACTGGTGCTCTGAGAGTGGGAGAGGGGTAGAGAAGAAGCTGTGGATGTAAGTGGGGACCAGATCCTGGAGGGCTTATCTATGCCATGCTAAGGGCTTTAAATTTGATTCTGAAGGCAATGGGGGAATATTGAAGCAGGGCAATGATATCAGATTTGTGTTTCAAAATATCACTCTAGCCACAGGAGGAATCGGGAAGAGGGGGAAAGAGACCAGTCAGGTTGTTGGAGTCATACAGGTGAGAAATGAGAGTGGCCTGGCTTAAGGGCCACTAATAGCAATAAAAGAGGACAATGCAGAGGGACTATTTAGGGAGGAGAATTCATAGAACTAGGCAACTAATCAGATGGTGAGAGGAAGAGCTGGAGAAGGTTGAGTTAGGAAACAAAAGAAGAGTTGTTATTTCCTGTTTTTGATAGAGAAAAGCACTTAATTAGTTAGATAATTAATGAAATAATTAGGCTTGATTTTGAAAATATTTAGTGTGGGGGTCTGTGAGGCACCTAAATAGAGGTGTTCAATAGCCAGTTAACTACATGGGGTTGGGGTGCAACAGAGATGTCATGGCCGGAGGTATATATGGAGAATCACTAGTGTCAGTGGGGATTGAAATCATGCATGTGGATGAGATGACCCAAGGGAGAAGTGTGTTGATGAGAAGGGATGAAGAGCCTTCTGCAAATGAGGCTGAGAAAGAAAACTGAGAAATGCAGAAATAGACTCTAAGAAAGAGTTGTATGAAAGAAGGTGGGGGAAATGTTAGCTTCAAGAAGTTCGTGGTCTCAAATGTCAGTTTTGACTGAGAGGTCCACACTTGTAAGGACAGAAAAGTAGCCATTGGTCAAGGAGGAGGCTAATTTGTGACTTCAGGGGAGTCATTACACTGGTTTGAGGAGTGAGAGCTAAGGAAATCTAGATTACCTTTTCAAGAAGTTTAACCTAAAGAAAGAAAAGCTAAGACTATAACAGCTAGAGAAGTATGTGAAGAAGCAGAAGCATTTTAATTTTTAAGGACAATAGTGATCTCAGCATGTTTTTTAAGCCAAAAGAGAAGTGCCAGTAGAGAGGGAGAGATTGAGGATACAAGAAGAAATAGAGCATAATTGGTGGATTCACTTTAGGTAGAAGGTGGCAGGAGTGAGACAGGAGAAGAGAAGAAGATGCTACTGCTGGAGATAAATTCATAGGGGCGGGAGAGAAAGTGAAATCAAAGGAATAACTGAAAAAAAAGGAGTCCCTCCATTTATCTCAGTGAAGTAGAAGGAAGGTCATATGCTGAAAGTAAGGGAGGAGGGGGTAGAGCTGAAGTTAGAGTGGAGTTCTGAATTTCTGGAATATTGGGTGTGGTGATTGGAAAAGGAAGTTGGCAAGGGGTGACGAAACTATTGTCAAGCACCATTAATGACCCAGCTATCATAAGCACCAACCAATCTGCATGGCTGTGTGATTTCCCTCCAGCAACTCTTGGCAGCCTTGACATAGAAGTGGAGAGCTTTCATGGTTGGATTCTATTAGGGTAGGGTTTCATAGGACAATTATAACAAGAAGTCAAAGAGTGAAATTTTCCAGGACAGAAGCATAAGAGCAATTTACATGCTGGACGATAGAGTCTCAGCCAGAAGGAAGCTGAGAAATTGGCTAAAAATGGCAGTGACTAGAATGATATTTTGAAACTCAAATCTGCTATTATTGCCTTGTTTCAATATTCCCCATTACCTTCTAGAAATGGAGGTCTTGTTGAGATCAAAGAACAAGTAAAATAGGAGTAAGCACTTGAAACAATTAGCAGGTTAGCCAGATGGGAAGCTGAGCTCAGAGAATGAGATAACAAGGTTGAATATTGCAGAGAAAGGGTTATTCTGGATAATAAAAAGATCTGGGGCAACTATGGTTCTTCACTCTGGCTGTGCATTATCTCTGGAGTTTTAAAAATTCATTTGCCCAGGTTTCATCCCCAGAAATCCTGATATAGTAGGTTATTGGTGGGCTCTAGATATTGGTATTTTATGGAACTCTACAGGTTATTCTGATGTGCAGCCCTGCTTGAGAACCAATGGTTTAAAAGATGGCTGTGGGAATGATTGCAGAAGTGGAAGGGAGGTAAAATTCATTAGAGTTGAGAGAGATCAAGGATCCATAAGGAAAGGGTATGAAGGAGGTGTCCATTAATACCCTGTTTCACACAGTGGTGGCAGCACAGAATGTAGGAAGGAAGACTGGGAGCCAAAGTACTCAATGGAGAACAACGCACTTGGCCAGGAGAACTAGGTGGTGATAATCTCAAAAGAGAGGATTTTGTAGGCAAGTGTAGAAGTACTGATCTCAAATCATTTGGAGTAAAAAAAGAGAAAGTCTGCCTTCTCCATTCTCTCAGGACTACAGGCTTGGGATGAGAAAGGGTGAGCAGCCTCCACCAGTCTTATCTAAGGAAGCGGTACCCTCACTGGATAGTAGAGTCTAAAGTCATTGTTCTCAGTCCCAGCTAAGTAATATAAATACCTGAGGAGTTTTAAAAAATAAAGATGCCTAAGGCTACCCCAGACTAACTGAATCTGAATCTCTGGAGATGGCATCTCTCTTTTTTTTTAAGTTCTCAGATGAAAATGATGTACAGTGAAGTATGAAAACCTAAGGCAAGAGGTGAAGGAAGAGGTAGAAAATGTAGAAAAAAAATGTTTCTGATAGGACAAACTCTTGCAGGTAAAAGAACTGCAGAACATTGGGGTGGGCATATAAAAGGTGATAGATGACTAGAGGGACTTCTCATTCTTTATGAAGTAGTAGAATAGAGAAAGATGTCAGGATGAGAGATTCTGGAGAGATTAGCTAGCCCCAGGAATTACAACCAGAACTCCCAATAGATCTCAAGGCCAAATGCTGTTTGCAGTTTGTGGTCCAGGCAGCAATTTGTAGCCTTGTTCTGAGTTCCAATAGAATATGGGAGGTACACTTAGAAAGTGATACTTTTTTGGACTTCTGCTCTCTGCAAATATCAACCCAGATAGCTGACCAGGTTGAGCTTTAAGATAAATGACAAATGCTCACAGAATTTTGCAGGGTGATACAGACATTTTAGTGTATCTAAAAAACAAAACAAAAGAAAAACTGGTTTTCATCTAGGGTCTAGTTTATTGCTAAACACTTACTGAAAGCTAGAGCTCAAATCTTTTTTTTTTTTTTAATGCCACTGAGTAATAAATAGTTTAACTGTTGAAAACTTTGGTTCTGGAGACAAAGTGGGGACGTAGATTCAAATCCTGGCTCTGATATTTGCCAGCTGTGTAACCCTGGGTATATGATTTAACCCCAATGAGTCCCACTTATCTATAAAACAAGAACAAGACCTGCCTCATATGACTGTTGCGGAGATTAAATGAGATAGCCCCAGATACTTGGCACGTGGTGAGTGTCCCATTCGTGATAGCTATTAAGTCTGCAGGTACAAGCTAGTTGCTGGGGAATGTGAGAATAAATAAATTACACTCTTTACTGTCAAGTATCTCAAATTTTAGATAGAGAGGTAGATATGTAAAAAATACCAATCCTATGCTGATGGTACCAAGCTCAAAGTAGACACTGAGTAGTTCTATGGGAGCATGAAAGGACAGGCATTTAACTTTGTCTGCAGAGGGGAGATAGGAAAAGACTTGCCAAAAGTGAAAAAGCCCAAGAGTGAGTCTTTAAGAGTAAGGACTAATAGGAGTGATCCCCATAAATTTGGGGGAGAGGGTAAGAAGTAAGACTTTCCAGGCATAGGTATAGCATGTATAAAAGCTTGGAGGTATGAGAAAGCCTGGCAGTTTAGGGAGCATTGAATGTGTATAAGTAGTGGGGCACATGGCAAGAATAGAGAGGTTGGAGTGGTAAACTTAGGAACATATCATGCAGGCCCTTGGATATCATGCTAAGAAACATGAACTTTTAACTTATGGGTAATAGGGGACAGCATTTAAGCATCTTAAAGTCAAGAATGTTATTCAGGAGGCTGAGGCAGGAGAATCGCTTGAACCCGGGAGGCGGAGTTTGTAGTAAGCAGAGATCACGCCACTGTACTCCAGCCTGGGTGACAGAGCGAGACTCCACCAAACAAACAAACAAACAAACAACAACACACACACACACACACACAAATGCAAGAATGTGATCTAGCCACAGAGTAGAGAAATGAATGGAAGTGGATAAAATTGGAGGCAGTGATGCTAAGTGAGAAGTGATGAAGCCTTGGACTAAGTTAGTTATTTGTGGGGATGAAGAGAAGAGGATGGATTCAAGACCAGTTTAGGAGATAGAATATACAAAACTTGATGATGAATTAGCATAGAAATAAAGGAGTGAAAGATGACTCCCAGATTCTTGGTTTGGGCAGCTGGGCCAGTGCTGGATTACTCAGGAGCCAGAACAAGCATTTGTATATGGCATCTAGTAAATCTGAAGTACCCAAAATGTGGAAACAGTTTAATTTTGAATATATAGCTTAAAAAAAAGACTCAATCACCATAGGAACATCAGAAATTTTGCACTTCCTTAATTGTTTATGCCTTAGTATTGTTTTTATTTGAATTGCATATTGGAGAGGAGGATCATAATTTTTTTTCATTGCTTAGAGCCGCCTAAAGGAGGAGGAGCCTAAGGCCTTGCTTCTTCTCTAATCTGCGTGGTTAGTGGTATCATTTCACTGTGATAGAGAACACCAGAAGAGGAGCAAACTTGGGCTTCCTGCCTTTGTTATGCTTAGCCCTGAGTGAAGAAAATTGCATAGTTAGGCTGATAAGGCATTGGCAGTCTGGTGGCCTTCTAGGAAAACACCATTAATCCAATTCTGCATGTAACTCAGCCCAAGTGGAGTGTTGAGTCAATTTGCTACAAATATTTTGCCAATACTAATAGAAAAGTTGGGAGAGTTTATTTGCTGACAAGAGGGGCCATGAATTCAAATTGATATAAGATTTGGAGGTACAGATTAAGGTAGGGGCTCTTAACTCAGAGTCCAGGAGAATTATGAACCTGTGAAAGTATATGTATATAGTACATTTTTATGGGCAGAAGTTCCATAGCTTTCTTCAGATTTTTCAGAAGATTGACCCCAAAAAGCTTACCAAGAGCTAATTACTGTGAAGTGAATGAAACTGCTCCTTCAGAGTTACTCACTTGCCTGGAACCCTTCCAGGGCCCTGGAGGGGCCCCGGTACATTTGTATTTGTAATTTTATAATGTCTTTTACTTAAAGGGAACCTTCCTCTCAAATTACATGAAGTATTTGGTCCCCCAACATGTGGATCCACCCCTGCCAACCACAGATTAGGGAATTACCTAACATGAGTTAGTATTTGGGAGTGGAGGCAATCCAATAGAGAAAGAAATGTAGAAGGCCAAAAACTGTACTAGCAAAGGCAAAAGCAATGACAATCAAAGAAAGAAAGGTCACTGAGAAAGGAGGAATGCCAGGCCACATTGTCAAGGAAGTAGAAAGAGAAGTAGCTAGCCATGGCCAGCATGGGTGGGACATCATGAAAGAGAAAAAGTAAGAAAATGATTACAGGAGTGGCTAGGACACCTTCAATAGAGTGATGACACCAGAGTGCCTTTCTGAACAAGTAAAAAATGGTAGTTGAACAAGTATAAATGTTAGCTATAGTTCACAAACATTCAGGGGAAGTAGAAGTACCAACAGAAAACTCTAAACTTCACTGTTAGGATAATATTCATGAATAAAGTAGGCTCACTGTAAAAATGGAATCTGTAATGAGGGTAAGTTATATGGCATATATGTATTTTTTCAAAATGAATCCTAAATGTGCTCCATGGCCAGACAAAGGCCTTGGGTGACTCTTGTTCCCCTGCTCCCAACCTTTCTTTCCTGATCCTGTATAGTTCCTCTCACTACTTCAGTTTTCTTATTTCTGCCCCATATCTCTGTCCTGTGGCTGGAGATAAGGAACAGTGAGAGAGAGTGGAATGAGACAAGAAGCCATAAGAATAGCCTTTGAACATGAAAAGTTTTGAATTTAAAATTTATCATGGGTAACCCACAAAACCAATAATCCATATACGGTTGAATGTTGTCTGTAATTCAGGCCAAGGCAACATCTATTTGAACCAGAATGTTCTAAATTGACCGCCCTGGCAATTCTGAAGTTGATTGGTCTTAACTGGGTAAACCTGGTTCATGCTGACTTGCCCTGTATTAGGAGGGTGAGTACTATTTTTTTCAGTGTGAAATGCAGCCTCACCAGAGATACATGCTCAGATCTGCTAATAAGTGTGTTATGGAAGCGACTAGATGCCATTTTAGAGTGTTTCCACAGTGACTTCCTCCTGGGAACTATTTCCAGATAGACTATAGTTCTCAACTTAGTTTATTCAGTGATTATATCTTTATAGGCTTTTAAATTATGAGCTACTGATACATTTATTTATAATTATGTAACTATGAAAAATCTGCTACTTGAAAAAGACAATGATTTTTGAATGGCTGATATGACAAAATATAATGGAAACATGGACAAATAACTACAAACTAGAAAAACTAAACCAAAGAATGGCTTTAAGTTTTCTGAAAACTAAATAAAATTAATTCAGTAAAAAAAGCAGCAATTTGTAGCTTTTTACTAGCAAAGTGCTGGGTAGGAAATGATTGAAATATTTTTAATAATAAAAAAGGTTTGTAACATAATTGATTTGCAGTGGTATTCTTGTTAATAGAAGAGTCTATTAAGATATGGTTAATAATAGAAACATGTTAAATTAAATAAGTACCAACCACTTGATTATTAGCTATCGTTAACATAGAAACAATTCACAATATCTTTATTGAAAGCTGAAGTGCTTTTCTATTCTTTCTAATAGTATGCCTTAGCTTGACTTGTATATGATGAATTTCTTCCTTAGTAAGTGATATTTGATTCAACAAAGCCAGTTAAACACAATATCCCTAGATATCTCCTGGTTACACTGGTAAAAGGCATAAATCAGTTTGAATGAGAGATTTGTTTCAAATGAGTTTTGGAAATTTTGAATTATTTGGATATGACATTTGTCATCACCCTCTTAGCTACTTCTGCAAATAATTGGAATTTCTGGAGTTAAGTGTTGTTAAAATTGTGTTGGAATCAATTGTCTTTCAACTTTGTAATTGTTTTGATGAACCTAATTGTACAACTTGTGGATGCCAAAACTATACCCCAAATAAATACATGTTAACATTTTGCCTTTAGCCAATAAGAAGAAGGAGAAAGAGCGCCCAGAGATCTCTCTTCCTTCAGACTTTGAGCATACGATTCATGTGGGGTTTGATGCAGTCACCGGGGAATTCACTGTAAGTAAGCTCCTTGTTTTGTTTTGTAAGCCACGAAAGAATTCCTTTGTGAAAATAGTTTTCAAGCAAGAATTGCCATGTCCCAAAATGTCAGACTTAATATTTTTGATGGTTCCAAATAAGATGGACATTGCCTAGGCAATCATAGATGGAAATAGAGGATGGCAACAGCATTGACCAAATTATTTTGTCCATCTTTTAAAAAAGTTTGATCACTGTATAGTCTCAACTTGGTTGAAAATATTAACTAACCATGGCACAGAAGATGTACTCCTGGCAGACAGATACTGCCTGAGCTTTTTCTTTATCAAGTGAATGGAATCAGAGAATCATCTACTCACCTTGGCCAGTGAAAATAATTCATCTGAATAATTCAGGCTTTACATTAAAACCTAGAATACCCAGATCAGCTAACTACGCTAACCAAGAATCTCTATGGAACTGACCTGTTTTTCCCTTTGATTTCTAGAACATAGATAAGTTTTACAATTTTTAGTAGGTATATTTTGTAGATTTTCAAAAAACAAACCTTATATTTCAAGAAGAAATATTGATGGATATATCATGTATGTTCTAGTTGTTTTGGGCATCTCTCTCCTCTCTCTCTAGATATCTCTCTCTAGAGATGTCATGCAATCCATAGTACATACCAATAAGAATTCGCTGGACAGACCATAGCTATAGATCAAGCCTTTTGCTGAATATTTGTAGTGCTCAAATAGCACAAGATCTCAGATCTATGGAATTTTATACTTTTCTTTTTTAAAAAAAAAGAACTGGTATCTTTTTTATTTTATTTTATTTTAGCTCAAGGAGAGAAAAGATGTGGCTATTGCTAGAAATATGTCCCCAGGAAGGTCAACTACCTTTTCCCATACTATTAGTGAACTCCATCAAAATGTACATTCTGAAATAAGGAGTAATTTTGAGGGCATTTCAAAAAAAATCTTTGATAGAGCCATCACCATCAATTCTTGGGCTGTTAAACCAGAGAGAAATTTACATATTAAGTAGTTGAGTTTTTTGTTTCATAACATAGTAGTGAATAGACTGTGTTATATGATTAAGCGGAAAAAAAGAAGGAACAAATTAATCTATGTGGAGAAGCAAACAATGTTGCTGAATTGACAGTCAAATTATCTTATTTCTTCAATTCTGGAAGTAAGTGATAGGAGAATGGAAATGGAAACAGTAAACACCTTGGCCTCATAAAGTGGTGTAAGCTGATTATTTCTGCGTTCTCAGTAGCAAGCAGAGGAGAACGTTAAGAAATATTGACACATAAAGTGGAGATAGGTAAGATTTAACCAATTTCATCATTAAAGTCAGAGACATTACTCAAATGGCTTTGAGTGTGAACCCATTCTTTACTATATTTGCAGAATATTCTCTTAGCCACACTTAGATACTCCAACCTTGCTATTATGACTACCACCACCATCATCACCACCAGAAAAAAACGTAATTTGTATAACCTGAAAAACGTTCTATTTTTAAAAAATTACAAAAAGATTGTAACTATTTTTGCTGACACTTGAAACAAGAAGATCCCTTAAACTTTATAAAAATTTTGCCTAATAACTCTTCCCTTTTTTATTAATTTTTCCAGCTTTGACATTTTAATGTTCTCTGTGCTTTTCCTCATTTAAACTACTATTGTGTTTTATTGTTGTCATTCACTATTTTTCTTTTCTTTTTTCTTCCTTTTTGTTTTCTGATGTGAAAATTTTCTCATCCAGTTATCTCATGTGATATTCTAGTTGCTCTCCAATATTTTATTCTTTCCACTTTTCAAACTTACTTGTCATCTTATGATACAGTATATCTCTAGCTCTTTCATTTATCATTCTGGATTCTGAATGGAAATGAAAGAAAGTAAATCACCACCATCTTGCTGACTGCAGCACCAGTCATTTTCAATTTGCTGTCAATTAGAACCCAAAGAACCCAAAGTGATGGACTATCTTTCCAATGATGAAAAACAGTTGGATACAACCAAACCATATGAAACAAATACTCCTCTCCCTACTAAAAATATCCCCAATTTGAAATAAGATAGCTGTTCGGAAGTATTCCATTGTTACGAATCCATTGAATATATAGAAAGACATAGGCTAAATTTGGAAAATGGAAGTACTTTATTGTCATCCTGATGATCTTTTGTAACTACTTGTTCATACATTATTCTTAAAGATGCCAAATTCTGCCCTTTTTGGTACTTTTTTAACCTGTGATTTACATTTACTATATTATTATGTTTATTAAATGTAAACATGCCAAATTATAAAAAGCTTTTAAGAAAGTCTTTTTATTGGTAGGATTTAGAATTGGGTCCTAATTGTCATAGCACCACTAATTTATTGTGTGTTGGGAGGGGATCATATTAAGTTTGATTATCGTGGTTGTTGAGGTTGAATTTTGTGCAATTTGCTGAACTATCTAATCCAGTTGTCTTACAAGGGCTTGTTATTTTGAATATTTGGACACTGATTTGCTGTGTTGCTTGGTGATTACTCTTTGGCTAATTGGCCCATATGACCTTGTATACCTGGTCATACACTTGGACCCTGAAGCTAAAAGTAGGTTGGGAGGTGAGATTTTTGGTATTCAATGATTATAAGTCCTCATCCTTTATATTGCCATTTTTGTCCCAAATACTTCAGAACTCCCCTTTCCAGACCTCTAGACCTGTGACGGTCGCTTCAAGTCAATCAGAGGGAAAAATGGTATGAGTGATATAAATTATCATTTCTTATGATAAGATAAATGCTTGGCCTGTTATATCGTGCTGCCATTCTCCTGGGCTACACTGGACAACCCCCAGCTTAATTTACTTCTAGTTGGTATCCTATACACAGTCAGACATTGATATGTGCTCCTGCTTCTGATGCTCAAACTCCTAGGTCTTCATTAGCTGTCTAACTTTTGGGATTAGTTCCTCAACGTGGCATAATGAGATGGCTTTATGACTATGTGCCTTTGTGGCATACATTCAAATTTGAATGTCGGGTTTTAGTGATAATTGGATTTGTCTCAACTTAGAAAAAAGAAATGTCAGCAGTGTAGTCAAAATTATGTCAGCAGTGTAGTCATGTGGTAAGTATAGTTGTCTGGAGGATTTTCTGCTATTGGCAGCATTTTTTCCTGCTGTCTAGTGATCATAAAACTATTTATCACAAAAGTTTAGAAGTGCCATGGGAATGTATAATAACTGCCAATATTCTAATGATTATGGTAATGATTATGCCAGTAATGTCTGCTCTAGTGGTTATGTGCAATGCATACCTCAATTTGTAACACTTAATAACTCCTTTGGCCATTACGGTATTAACAAATGCTATTAATTGCACTTAGAATCATAACTGGGATCATGCATGGGCTCCTGAGTTCAAATTTTTGGCTTAAGGCTTTAGCATCTAGCTGCGTGAAAAATGCATGTAAAAGTGTCGTTTCACTGTGCTTGGAGTAACCCTAAATACCAGGAATCAAGGACATATATACAAAATCAAGCCAGTTGGGTCAAGCATGTTTCTGTAGCATTTGAGATATCTTTATTTAGGCAAAGCTGTTACCTTATATCTTGTCTTATTTTGTGGGAAGTGGGATTTTAGAACTGCAGCACTAAAATGGAAATTATATATATATGGTTTGAAATGGAATTGTTCCCCTTTCCCTGGTCTAAATATCTAAGAAACTTAACATATAGAGTCTGGCTATGTGGGAATGTTCTTTATCTAGTTTTCTCTAAGCCAGCCATGACTTTAGCTACAAAGTGCAAAAGAATCACATCAATGAGAATAAAATTCAATGTTTCCATACAGCCATCCTTTGAATTTTAGCCACATACACACTTTTGAAACTAAAATTGGTTAACCAGAATTGGGAACTGAAATTTGTAAGTTTATCACATGGCCATTGGCTACCTGTGATCACCCAGTTATAAAAACAACTTACAAATTATTGTCAAAGCTTTTCATGATGCCATCCTTCTTGCCTCCAAATTCATGTTTCTGCCTTTTAATAATTTCTCCAATCATTTAATGGTAATTCTTATTAATACATATTTATGGAGGAAGCATCTTGCCAAAAGTGGAATTATACATCCAAACTTTGAAGCATCGTCGTTCTCTCTGTTCTCTTAAATCTGTTGTCCTGTAGCCTGTCCTGTCCCTGATTTAGTTAAAACCTCCCTATTTTCATAACTGCCCCACTTTAGAAGGGACTCCCCCCATTCAGACCCATTGGTTTCATCTCCTCCCACCTTCTAAGTTGTCCCACATTCTGTTTTAACTTTCTTTTCTTTCTTTATTTACGTCCATTACAGCCAGATCTCTATGGCTCACAGATGTGCCCAGGGAAGCTCCCAGAGGTGCGTCACAGGCCCAAAAGAAGCTTGCATCAAAGTGCTTCTTTGAGATGTCATAGCACTGCAGCAGCAGGTTCATGTGTGTGCAGTAGAGTTGTTGCTTGGCTTATCTCACTTTTTTTGTTGTCATTCCCAAACTCTGGAGGCCCACGTCACACATTGTTTTGCCGAGACTTCATAGGATAAAGCCACATAAATTGTGTCTGGATGCACTTCAGGAATAGTGTGTCTGTTTCTCTCTCCAAGTTGCTCTTGGAGGTTGGATAATTATGAAATTGGGACTTCTGTAGGCTGGACATGTAGGAAAGAATGTTGAATGCTCAATGCAAAGCTAACCTCTAATTTTTGCAATTCTCCTTGGTTAGATTTCCAAATATTCCCTCCTCTCTGCTCTAAATGCTTCAGATTATTATAAATTATCACAAGGCTTTGTCGTGGTTTTCATAGTCCCCAGGTTCTATGTGGCCTATAAATGAAGTAAGGAGGAAGGGAGAGAGAGAGGAGAGGAGAAGGAGGGCATGCCCTGGAGAAAGCTGCAGGGGAAATGCCCAAAGCAGCATTAATGTTACTGTTTAGCATCTCAGTGGTTCTTGCCCCTCCACAATTCTATTTTTGTCTCCTACCAACCTGCCTTTATAGTAAAGCGCTAGACCCAAAAAATTACATTTTGTAATCACAAAGTATAACCTGACCAAGGGTGATCCTTTCCTTTTATTCTAAAATATATTCTGATTACAACATGACCAGAAACAGCTTGTTATTCCAGTCATAAAATCCATTGATCTGCACTTTACTATGCTGTGCACAAATTTAGAGAAGTCTTGCTATGTCTGCCCTGAGTCGCCAGAAAAAAAATAAGCTAAGCCGTAAACATCATTTCATGGATGAGCAGAGTCAATATGGAGGTGATTTTCATGCGCTTTTTTTTTTCTATCACAGTCATACTCCCACCCACCCTTTTTAAGTTGGATCCTAGTTTTACCTATGTGTTTTAATTAGAGAAGAGAATGATTGCATTATTAAGTTACTAACTTTAAATCTAGAATGTAACTTCAGTTTCCCAAGTGTAATCCTACAGGTAGCATGGGCTTCTTGGTGAAGAACTTTACTGGAACATAAAAATGCTGCTGCAGAATGTTCTGAGCTACCATTCTTTCCCTTTGGTTGTCCACAGGGAATTCCAGAGCAATGGGCACGATTACTCCAAACTTCCAACATAACAAAATTGGAACAGAAGAAGAACCCACAAGCTGTTCTAGATGTTCTCAAATTCTATGATTCCAAAGAAACAGTCAACAACCAGAAATACATGAGCTTTACATCAGGAGGTAAGAGGAAGTCTGTGGTATCAAAGGTGAAAAAGTAATTTCAATTTCAGAGTGTCATGTTGAGAACAAAATGTCTGTGGGACATTTGAAATCGATTCTAGTACCTTCTTCAAATGACATCAACATAAGGAAACCAAAAAATGAGTTGGAATTTGAGGTTGATGTTAAGTTATATAACTCAAGTATGTTTAGAATCAAAATAAGGTAATTATTTAGTGAAGGAGTAGTTGTGAGCTTGAACTGGTAGTCACAATTGTTGTCTCTTTACTGTCATAAAGACACTCAGTCACTTACTGGGCTTTGTTATATGTTCATGAAGTAAGAGTTGTATGTATGAAACCATGCTCTCTGGAAATTTACTTTGTCCCTTAGATTCATTGATTTACACCATGATGACACAGCACACTGTTTTTTTGGTGTCAGGTTATTTTGCTAAGACCCCCAAATCAGACTGAAAAGAGAAAACTATGTGTGACTATTTTTAGAAACTGAAATATCCATGTTACTGCCAAATCTTGACCTTATTTGCTAGTGTGTAGATTTAGTCTTTTCTTGGAGCTTTGATGTTCAAATTTGCACTATAAGCAACTGTATTAGTCCATTTTCATGCTGCTGGTAAAGACATGTCCAAGACTGGGAAGAAAAAGAGGTTTAATTGGACTTACGGTTCCACATGGCTGGTGAGACCTCAGAATCATGGTGGGAAGTGAAAAGCACTTCTTACATGACAGCAGCAAGATAATATGTGAAGGAAAAAAGTGGAGAACCCCGATAAAACCATCAGATCTCATGAGACTTGTTCATTATCATGAGAATAGCATGGGAAAGACCAGCCCCCATGATTCAATTACCCACCCCCGGGTCCCTCCCACAACATGTTGGAATTATGGGATATACAATTCAAGTTGATATTTGGGTGGGGACACAGCCAAACCATGTCATTCTGCCCCGGCCCCTCCAAATCTCATGCCCTCACATTTCAGAACCAATCATGCCTTCCCAACAGTCCCCCAAAGTCTTAACTCATTTCAGCAGTAACTCAAAAGTCCACAGTCCAAAGTCTCATCTTAGACAAAGCAAGTCCCTTTTGCCTACGAGCCTGTAAAATCAAAAGTAAGCTAGTTACTTCCTAGATACAATAGAGGTACAGGCATTTGTTGAATACAGCCATTCCAAATGGGAGAAATTGGCCAAAACAAAGGGATTACAGGGCCCATGCAAGTCCAAAATCCAGCAGGGCAGTCAAATCTTAAAGCTCCAAAATGATCTCCTTTGACTCCAGGTCTCACATCTAGGTCACGCTGATGTAAGAGGTGGGTTCCCATGGTCTTGGGCAGCTCTACCCTGTGACTTTGCAGGGTCCAGCCTCCCTCCCGGCTGCTTTCACAGGCTGCTGTTGAGTGTCTGCGGCTTTTCCATGTGCAAAGTGCAAGCTGTAAGTGGATCTACCATTCTGGGATCTGGAGGACGGTGGCCCTCTTCTCACAGCTCCACTAGGCAGTGCCCTAGTAGGGACTCTGTGTGTGGGCTCTGAGCCCACATTTCCCTTCTGCACTGCCCTAGCAGAGGTTCTCCATGAGGGCCCCACCCCTGCAGCAAGCTTTTGCCTGAGCATCCAGGCATTTCCATACATCTTCTGAAATCTAGGTGTATGTTCCCAAACCTCAATTCTTGACTTCCGTGCACATGCAGGCTCAACACCACGTGGAAGCTGCCAAGGCTTGGGGATTCCACCCTCTGAAGTCACAGCCCAAGCTGTATGTTGGCCCCTTTCAGATAAAGCTGGATTAGCTGGGACACAGGGCACCAAGCCCCTAAGCTGCACACAGCACGGGGACCCTGGAGCTGGCCCAAAAAACCAGTTTTTCCTCCTGGGCCTATGGGCCTGTGATGGGAGGGGCTGCTGTGAAGTTCTCTGACATGGCCTGGAGACATTTCCCCCATGGTCTTGGGGATTAATATTAGGCTCCTTGCCACTTATGCAAATTTCTGCAGCCAGCTTGAATTTCTCCCAAGAAAATGAGTTTTTATTTTCTATCGCATAGTCAGGCTGCACATTTTCCAAACTTTTATGCTCTGTTTCCCTTATAAAACTGAATGCCTTTAACAGCACTCAAGTTACTTCTTGAATGCTTTGCTGCATAGAAATTTCTTCTACCAGATACCCTAAAACATCTCTCTCAAGTTCAAAGTTCTACACATCTTTAGGGCAGGGGCAAAATGCTGCTAGTGTCTTTGCTAAAACATAACAAGAGTCACCTTTGCTCCAGTTCCCAAAAGTTCCTCATCCTCCATCTGAGACTACCTCAGCCTGAATTTTATTGTCCATATTGCTATCAGCATTTTGGACAAAGTCATTCAACAAGCCTCTATGAAGTTCCAAACTTCCCCACATTTTTCTATCTTCTTCTGTGTCCTTTCAAACTGTTCCAATTGCCTGTTGCCCAGTTACAAAGTCTCTTCCACATTATTGGGTATCTTTTTAGCAACACCCCACTCTACTGGTACCAATTTACTGTATTAGTCCGTTTTCATGCTACTGATAATGACATACCTAAGACTGGGAATAAAAAGAGGTTTAATTGGACTTATAGTTCCACATGGCTGGGGAGGCCTCAGAATCATGGTGGGAGGCAAAAGGCATTTCTTACATCGCAGCAGCAACAGAAAATGAGAAAGAATCAAAAGCAAAAACCCATGATAAACCCATCAGATCTTGTGAGACTTATCCACTATCACGAGAATAGCATGGGAAAGACCGGCCACTATAATTCAATTACCTCCCACTGGGTCCCTCCCACAGCACGTGGGAATTCTGGGAGATATAATTCAAGTTGAGATTTGGGTGGGGACACAGGCAAACCATATCTGCAACTGAAATATATATACCAAATAATACTTTCACATTTTGAGATAGATGATTTGAGTTCTCTCTCTACAATAATTTATTAACTTATTAACATCTAAAGAATGAAGGGAGTATTATCATTAGTACTACAGCTATAAAGAGCCCTTACCTCTTCGCACTGGATTTAGTATAAGCAGGCTTTAAGTTTCTTTGAGAATGATCCAAGGATACCCTTGGAAAGGGAAGAGTGTCTGATTTGGCCATATCAAATATCAAAGCCCAAACTGCTAAATTGGACTATTGCTTAACTGCTGTTATCCAATGTTGAAAACCTAAAAAGAAAGCCATCAAGGGAAACTTTTTACTATATTTAAGCTTCCACATAGAATAAAATATCTAAGAGATCCTGGTGATATATCAAAAAATGTTTCATGTGAGAAAATCAAGAGCTGTGCTCCAAGTTAGAACCATAGGCAACCAGAACTGAAAATGTATTCAAGAAATCATTTCACTGTAACCAAGAATACACTTTAGAGTATCAGAGTTTGTTCTTTACTCCAAATAGCCATTGCTGTTTAACACTTAGTTTTATATGCCAAATTTCTCTCAACTTACAAAGATGAAATCCTGACAACTATATTAAAACTCAACTGTACAGTTGTACTGTACTGAGCTGAGTGTACCTCATCATAGGTTTTCTGAATGCTCTGGTATTGGGACTGACTAACTGAATAGGAAGAGAAGATGAAGATAGCACAGGAAGGTGGAAAGAAGGAATGGAAAGGAGGTAGGGAGAGAAGAAAGTGGGAAAAATCCTAGATTTAGAGTAGTTCTCCACTTATCCATGTGGAATATATTCTAAGATCTCCAATGGATGCCTGGAACCATGGATAGTACTGAACCTTATGTATATCATGTTTTTTTTCTATACCTACTTACCTGTGATAAAGTTATAAATTAGGCACAGTAAGAGATAAACAACAATAACCAATAATAAAGTAGAACAATTATAACAATATGCCAGCATCACTACTTTTGCTCTTTGGGGCCATTATGAAGTAAAATAAGGGGTACATGACTACAAGCACTGTGATAGCTCCGCAGTTGTTCTGATAACCAAACTGGCTATTAAGTGACTAATAGGCTGGTAGTGTAAACAGAGTAGGTACACTGGACAAAGGGATGATTCACATTTCAGGTGGAATGGAGCAGGACCGCGTGAGATTTTATCATACTCAGAATGGCATGCAGTTTGAAACTCATGAATTGGTTATTTCTGCAATTTTTGATGTAATATTTTTGAACCACAGTTGACCACAGGTAGCTGAAACCACAAAAAGTGAAACTTCAGATAGGGGGGACTACTATAGATGTACAGAATCATACCTGTTAAGAGTAGGTAATCTTGTCATTCTTCCATATAAATGAGATTCACTGGAGGCCTTCATTAATATCTGCAAAATGACCTGGTGAGAATATGGTGAGGATGTAATGGTGTGAGCTATTTTAAGAAAAGCTATGTCATTAGTCATAATATCTAGTTAATACTAAATTGGAGCATTTCCTTCTAGTTGAAATCATGCAGTTTTTTAATTTTTATTTTTCTGGTGTGGTCTCTGAATGAAACATTCTTTATGAAACAAAAATGACCTCTCTATTCTCACTTTGCAGATAAAAGTGCACATGGATACATAGCAGCCCATCCTTCGGTAAGTGAAAAATTGAAAACTGTTTCACATGATTGGTGTTTCCAAAGATTTAAGAGAATATAACTGCACAGATCCAGTTTTTAGATATAAAGTCTTTTAAAAACAATTTTAAGGTATAATTCAGTTTATATAAAATTCACCTATTTTCAGGTAAACAGTTCAATGAGTTTTGGTAAATGTATATACCTATGCTACCATCACCACAATTGAGTTTTAGAACAAGTCCATCACCCCAGTAAAATCCTTCATACCTACTTACAGTTAACTCCACCCACCCCACCCTAGTCACAGGCAAGAACTAATATGGAATCTGCCTTTATGGATTTGGCTTTCTGGACATTTCATGTAAATGAAATAATACAGCGTGTGACTTTTGAGGATTGGCTTTTTTAACTCAGTTTATTTATTTTAAGATTAATCCAAGTTGTTGTGTATATCAATAATTTGTGTTCCTTTTTATCTCTGAGTATTCCATGGTATGATTGTACCACTGTTTGTTTAACCATTCAAACATTGAAGGCTCTCTAGAAAATTTTCAGTTGCTAGCTATTACAAATTAAGCTACTAGGAACATTCTTGTACAGGGTTTTTATGTGGACAATGTTTCTGTTTCTCTTACATGTAGAACTTTGAGAATAATAATCATGTTAATAGAAATTTCTCTGAACACCTACAGTGTACACTTATAATATAAACTGTAAGATAATTTTATTTTTATAGGTACTTAATCTTTCCTACAGCCCAGTTAAGTAAGTCTTACCATTGTCCCCATTTTACAGGTGAGAAAACTGAGGTTTGGAGAAATTAAATAACTTCTCTAAGGTTATAACAGTATACGTTTTGTATGTCACTTGTTCCAACAAACTGAGATACAGGGAGGGAAGTGCCTTTGTCCAAAGTCACATAGATAATTTTTATCAGAGAAGTGACTAGAAAATAAGTAACCTAGTTGTTGAAAGTGCTATAGTATCTGAAAGAATATTTGTACACATTAGACAGAAAATGATCTCAGATAAGGCTTCCCTTTCTGTGATTTTCATTTTGATATTCTGATAGAAATTACTTCCTGCCTCATTTGTTTTTTTAGGGGTGAAATAATTTGCATTACTGAAAGTCTCCTAACCATTTATTCAAACAGTCATGGATGGCCAACCTGATTCTTCTTCCTTTTATAGCAGACCAATGCCTTTTATAGTGGACAGATGTCTGCTTGACATCACCCTGGGTAGCCAGTATGACACCAGTAGATCTTCTTTAGTTGTAAAGAGTAAAGGTTCTGAAATATTATGTCAGTTTCTCAAAAATTAAAAATGGTATTAACCATATGATCTAGCTATTCCACTTCTGGGTATATACCCATAATTGAATGCAGGGTCTCCAAGAGATATTTATACACCCACGTTCATTGCAGCAATATTCACAGTAGGCAAATGGTGGAAGCAACCCAAGTGTCCATCAACAGATGAAGGGGTAAACAAAAGATGGTATGTATAAACAGTGGAATATTATTAAGCCTTAAAAAGAAGACAATTCTGACACGTTACAACATGGATGAACCAGGAGAACATTATGCTAAGTGAAATAAGCCAGTCTCAAAAGGGTATATACTGTATGATTCCACGTATGTGAGGTACCTAGAGGAGTCAAATTCATAGAGACAGAAAGTAGAATACTAGTTGCCAGGAGCTGGGAGCAGGGGGAGTGGGCAGTTGTTTAATGGGTACAGAGTTTCAGTTTTACAAGATGAAAAGAGTTATGGAGATGAATGGCTTTGATGATTATACAACAATATCCTCAACAGTACTGAAATACATACCTAAAAATGGTTAAGATGGTAAATTTTATGTTATATATATTTTGCTACAATTAAAAATAAAATGAAAAAAGAAAGAATGAAGGCTCTGGATGTAGGTATTTAATCTGATTTCCCCATTTACTAAGTATGTGACATTGGGAAACTAGCTTAGCTTCTCTGAGCTTCTTTCCTCAGCTTTAAGAGGGAATAAAAATAGTACTTACCTCCTACGTCTTGTGTGAATATTAAATGTGATAATGTACATAAAGTACTTAGTATAGTACTTAGCACATAATATATATTTATTAAATGTAAACTACTATTATTTTTACATGACAACAAGAGGAAAAACTCACTCTCTTCACACATGAAGCTTGTACTTGCGCTTTGCTCAGATTCCCCAAAACAGAACAGAATATGGCCCTCTCATCTGACTGGCCATTTCCTTTTCCTCCTTCTTTGCCATGACAGCTTCCTGGGCCACACTGAAAACAACATGTGAAGGGAGGTAATAGGAAAATGGAAAGGACAAAAATGACAGCCTTCCATGATCAACACATACTTTACCTCCTTTGACTTCATTAATATCATGCTTGTGCAATCTTGACTGGGTATTCTGGCAAAAAAAAAATAGTTATTATTTTTTTAGGTTGGTCAGTTATTTGAAACACCAACTTGCTAGGATAGCCTGTGTATTGGTTTTTGTTTTCTCCTAAGATATTAACTGTTTCTTTTGAGATTGGTTCTATTGGTTTTGCTTGTAGAATTAAAATGAAGTCTATGTTATGGCTAAAATATTCCATTAAGTTAGAAAAAAAAATGATGATCTCACTGTCTGGAGATAAAACAAATAGATATTTACCTATTTAACATATATTTACCAACTGCCTCCTTATAAGCTCTAGGAAGTTTGGATATCAGGCTGGTAGGGGAAGGTAAACATGGACATAAAGAAGTACAATACAGTATGGATAGTGGCTGAGTATAGTGGTTCATGCCTGTAATCCCAGCACTGTGGGAGGTCTAGGTGGGCAGATCGCTTGAGCCTAGGAGTTCAAGAGCAAACTGGGTAACATGGTGAAACCCTGTCTCTACAAATAATGCAAAAACTAGCTGGGCATGGTGGTGCACACCTGCAGTCCCAACTACTTTGGAGGCTGAGGTGGGAGGATCACTTGAGCCCTGGAGGTGGAGGCTGCAGTGAGGCGTGATTGTGTCACTGGACTCCAGCCTGGGTGACAGAGCAAAACCCTGTCTCAAAAAAAAAAAAAAACCCAACAATATGGATAGTATTACATATCATAAAATATGTTGACATGCTATGAGATTTCAGAGAAAGTAGATTGCTTTTAGCTGGGGAGGGAAAGGGAAGCAGGCCCTTGTCTCCAAGGGCTGAAGCTCAGTGTCTGGTACCAAATAGATACTTGGTATGTATTTGTTGAATGTTAAGTTAGAAAATGCTTCATATAAAAGTTGGCATTTGAGCTAGATCTTAAAGGTCAGATGAGATTTCGATCTGTGAAGATGGGAAGGGCATTTTAAGTAAAAAGAAAAGCATAAGAAAGGGTGTGTTGGTGAGTAGAGCAAGGAAACAAGGAATATGGGGTTGAATGAAAACTGAGATGCGAGAAAGGGAATCAGGAAATAAGTCTTGAAGGTTAAGGCGGAACCAAATCATACAGGCCCCTAAATGGTACTCCAAGGAATCTGGCTTTCCAGTATTCAGTGGGAAGCTTTTGAAGTGTTTTGGAGCAGGAGAGTTAAGTGATTAACACTTATACCTTGGGAAGAGTAATCTGACGGCAAATGTCCAGAATGAATTAAGTACAAATGGTGAGACTGGATGAAGGGAGACTAGTAGGGAGAATATTGCAAGCATCCAGGTAATCTGAGCCAGAAATGAGGTAGTAACAGTAGGAATGGGGAGATTACATTCAATTTCTAGAGGTATTTAGATTATTAATTGGATGTTGGAGGAAAGGGTGAGGTCAAAGATAAACGCAGGCTTAAACTGATAGGTCGTGGGTAAAAAGATAATGATGCTGTCTTTCAGGAGAAGCCAATTTCTGTGGGAAGATGCTGAGTTCCTTATTGGACAGTTTGAGTTTGAAGGGCTGGCAGGACTTTCAGGTGAAAATAATGGATTGACTGCTTGATGAAGGCTAGGTTTCTATTGATTGAATGAACTGAATTGGACCCCGACATTCTATTTGAATTACTTCAGTGGGACTCAGTTCCTTAGGAATGGATAACTGCACCTTGTGTTTTCCTTATAGTTCTAGAGGAGAGTATGCTTCGCAATGTGTATGTCTTTTTGCATCATAAAAACTCCCAGTAGATCTGGCTGTCTACAAAATCTGATTTAATGGGTCTGACAACCCCTTGTAGACATAGCCTGAATTGATTACAAGTTTTGCATCCTTTAGTAGCCTGGGTGAGAATTAAAACAGAAGCAATGTTGCATTCTCTAAGTGTTTTAAACTCATGATTCTGTAATTAATATTGAACTCAGGGATAGATCTCATAGTCATATAACACCTGCTTTACTGCTTATTTGTGGTAGCTTCTTTGATATTAGTGTATTCAATTTCAAATACTGTTCAAGTCTCTACTCTTTAATTTGAGGCTAATTTTAAAATTTCATATTTTTATCGTACTGTTGAAAATAAAATGACATATTTAGAATCCTAAGTTAGTATTCCAACTGGAAGGTAACAGCAATAATATGTCATTATTGTTTTGTCATATTGAACGTGCCATTATCTATGCTTAGAGCAACTGGATGTGCAGTTGACAGATTGCTCTTTTGTGATTTGCAGTACTGGTTAATTTTTTTTAAACATAGTTTAAGTAATTCTTTTACTTCAGTGTGCATCAGAATTTCATGGGGATTCTGTTAAATTGCAGATTCCAGGGCTCCACTCCCAGAGTAGATCTGGAGTAGAAACCTAAAATCTACATTTTAAACAATCACCAAAAGTGGCCCCCAAACAGCATTTTATATTATCTAAAGCCTCTAAGTTCCTTACTTCTAAGTTCTTTGACCTTTAAAAATTAAGCTCAGAGAAAAGGAAATTTCCTAAGGTAGCTACTCTAGCTGGTGTATTCTCTAGAGCAACGTTCAGAACTTGGAGTTCATGGGTGGGCTTCAGATCTATGAACTGTTGAAGTTATACATAAGAGCATGTGTCTACCTGTACCTTTCCGGGGAGATAGACCAAACCCTAAGAGTCCGGGACCCAACTCAGGTTAAGAACTTCATTCCCGACCAGGCGCGGTGGCTCACATCTGTAATCCCGGCACTTTGGGAGGCTGAGGCGGGCGGATCACCTGAGGTCAGGAGTTCGAGACCAGCCTGACCAACGTGGAGAAACCCCATCTCTACTAATACAAAATTAGCTGGGCGTGGTGGCACATGCCTGTAATCCCAGCTACTCGGGAGGCTGAGGCAGGAGAATCGCTTGAACCCAGGAGGTGGAGGTTGTGGTGAACAGAGATCGTGCCATTGCACTCCAGCCTGGGCAACAATGGCGAAACTCCATCTCAAAAAAAAAAAAAGAAAAGAAAAAAAAGAACTACATTCTCTGCCCCAATGTCTAGCAAAATTAGAGTGTCAAAAATATCTAATTTGATAAGACAAAAATATTCCTTACTTGTTATCCATCTATCTATATTTCTGTAAGTTTAGAAGTTTTAGATACAGTAATTCTCAGCCTGGAATGAAGAGCATGGAAACATTGCACCATTGACTCCAAAAATGATCACCAGGAAAACCTCTAAGTAAAGCTATGTTTATTAAACTTAGAGTGACATAAAAGCATTACTTTGATAAAGTCTTTGTGTCTTAAGAAGGGGATGTCAGGAGGGAATATTTATAGGGTTTTAGGGCTTAGACTGTTTGATTTTAAAGCAGGTCTTGCAAGGCGAGGAATGGGTTAAGATTATGCAGTGTTTATGATAACATAGCTTTGTATTGGTGAATATAGCAAAGGAAGGGGCTTGAAGCAAGTTTTAGTGAGCAAGCTGTTAGTCTCAATGAGCAAACTAGTTGGTTCACGGTATCTTCTAGAAACAAGTATTTCCTAAAGTAAGAAGCTATGTTATTTTTGCTTATTCTCACTATTGTTTAATATAAGAACATTAAAGTATGTCTGTCTTGATATTGACTAACACAGGGAAAATAAAATATGCCCAGTCCCAGTACTATTTACACAGTGATAGTAAAGTACGCCTAATCCCAGTATTTTTTAACTCAGGGACAGAAATTGTTAATTTCAGTTCTCAGTACCAAAGATTGCTATCCTTGGTGGATTGCTGGGGATTTAATGCTCTCTGGCCCAACCATAATTCAAAACATACTATCCACTCAATGCCATACATTCTTCCAAGTCAACCAACCAATATGGCAGGATAGTGTTTGGTCCAAAGTAAACAGAAATATCTGTCTTTTTCTTTTCCCACAAACCTTCAGAGGACAAAAACCTTCAGGTTTTCTAATAGTCCCTTAAGTCTATCCTTGGAGATGGGGAATGGTTTCCACTGGAAGTTAGCAGTGAAGATAGTAATGAATGTTAACAGTCAGTGAAATCTTGCAGGTGGATCTTATCTAGTGAAGTATTAAGACTTGAAATGTGTAAGGCTGCTCCTTGCCCCAGTAGGCAGACTGATCTTTGTACCAGTTTAAGGTTTGGGCCAAGAAGACTAGACCTTGAATCATTCTTTTTGCCTCTAGGGCCGTTTTTAGAGCCTAATAGACTGTATATACTCTCACTTGTAGAGGTCACATCATGCATTGCTTTAAACATATTAAAGGGCCCCCATACTTCACTTTATATTTTTGCTGTAAATTTTTGAAATTATTTTTGACATATTAATTTTGAAATTATTTACTTACAAGTAACTTTTAAAATGTATGGTTAGGTATAATTTCTTGTTAAATCATTGTAAATACTCAAGAATTTTTGCTAAATATGAAAATCAAACCTACAATTTATATTTAATATAATGAAATTTCTTTAAATGCTAAACATAAGAGACTAGTTAAGTTGGCATATTGTTATACTTAACAGACATTTAATTAAACATTAATTAATTTTGACTTTATAGTTTTCTTGTGGCTTTTTGGAGCTGATGATTTATTTCTGATGGCAAACACTTTCACGGGCCCATGTAAAACTTATCAACCCTGGGCAAGGTTCGTATTGCCTAATAGATAAAATAGCACCATTTGTCATATAAAAAAGTACTCAGCTTCCATCCTTCTACAAAGAAACAGTGATTAGGTACATTCTTGAACCCAGCTGGTGTAAGATAGGGCAAAACTTTCTGGAACATAATATCAAAGCAAATTTCGATAACCCAAAGCCCATTTCTCCCTGTGCCCCCTGAAATGCCCTGAAGAATTAGTGTTTTGCAAGAAGAAAGTGATTTTTTAAAAATCTGGAAACTTAATGTCATTAACAGATGTTGCTATCCACATAGCTATACAATATAATAGCCCAGTTGTTATGGCTAAATTAAGAATAAATATAGGTGCATAAATAAGAAAACCAATATTCAGTAAACATACAAACTTCAATCTATAAACCACTTAGCATTTATATCAGGGCAATAAAATATTCTTTCAAATGCTTGTTTATAAATTCTAGGTTGGCTTTCTTCTCACAATTGGTAAGTCTTTCTGGCTCCTATCAGATGTGTGATTACACCTTATTACTTCACCATAGGTTTATACATGATTGTAGAAAAGCCACATTGAATTTTTAATCACAATTGAGGTCCTTTGATGTAATGGTCTATTAATAGGCTGCCTATAACTGCCTCAGGAGCTTTGTCCTCAAAGAATGAAAATTCATTGTCGGATTATGTTAGGACAGTATACCCAGTGGCATAAACAAAAACAAAATAAATACACAAAAACAAAACAAAACAAAACACCTATAATAGCACTGTCCAACAAATATATAAACTATAGTCATAACTTTAAATTTTCTAGTAACCACATATTAAAATGTAAAAAATAGGTGAAATAAATTTTAATAATATATTTATTAAGCCAATATATTCAAATTTTCAGCATTTCAACATATAATCAATATAAGAAGTATTAATCTAACATTTTACAATTTTTTGATATTAAGTATACAATATCTGGAATGTAATTTACACTTGAAACACATCTCAATTCAGGCTAGCCACATTTTATTTTATTTTATTTTATTTTATTTTTTATTATTATTATACTTGAAGTTTTAGGGTACATGTGCACAACGTGCAGGTTTGTTACATATGTATACATGTGCCATGTTGGTGTGCTGCACCCATTAACTCATCATTTAGCATTAGGTATATCACCTAATGCTATCCCTCCCCGCTCCCCCCACCCCACAACAGTCCCCGGTGTGTGATGTTCCCCTTCCTGTGTCCATGTGTTCTCATTGTTCAATTCCCACCTATGAGTGAGAACATGTGGTGTTTGGTTTTTTGTCCTTGTGATAGTTTGCTGAGAATGATGGTTTCCAGCTTCATCCACGTCCCTACAAAGGACATGAACTCATCATTTTTTGTGGCGCATAGTATTCCATGGTGTATATGTGCCACATTTTCTTAATCCAGTCTATCATTGTTGGACATTTGGGTTGGTTCCAAGTCTTTGCTATTGTGAATAGTGCCACAATAAACATACGTGTGCATGTGTCTTTATAGCAGCATGATTTATAATCCTTTGGGTATATACCCAGTAATGGGATGGCTGGGTCAAATGGTATTTCTAGTTCTAGATCCCTGAGGAATCACCACACTGACTTCCACAATGGTTGAACTAGTTTACAATCCCCCCAACTGTGTAAAAGTGTTCCTATTTCTCCACATCCTCTCCAGCACCTGTTGTTTCCTGACTTTTTAATGATCGCCATTCTAACTGTTGTGAGATGGTATCTCACTGTGGTTTTGATTTGTATTTCTCTGATGGCCAGTGATGATGAGCATTTTTTCATGTGTTTTTTGGCGGCATAAATATCTTCTTTTGAGAAGTGTCTATTCATATCCTTTGCCCACTTTTTGATGGGGTTGTTTGTTTTTTTCTTGTAAATTTGTTTGAGTTCATTGTAGATTCTGGATATTAGCCCTTTGTCAGATGAGTAGGTTGCAAAAATTTTCTCCCATTCTGTAGGTTGCCTGTTCATTCTGATGGTGGTTTCTTTTGCTGTGCAGAAGCTCTTTAGTTTAATTAGATCCCATTTGTCAATTTTGGCTTTTGTTGTCATTGCTTTTGGTGTTTTAGACATGAAGTCCTTGCCCATGCCTATGTCCTGAATGGTATTGCCTAGGTTTTCTTCCAGGGTTTTTATGGTTTTAGGTCTAACATGTAAGTCTTTAATCCATCTTGAATTAATTTTTGTATAAGGTGTAAGGAAGGGATCCAGTTTCAGCTTTCTACATATGGCTAGCCAGTTTTCCCAGCAAAATTTATTAAATAGGGAATCCTTTCCCCATTGCTTGTTTTTGTCAGTTTGTCAAAGATCAGATGGTTGTAGATATGTGGCATTATTTCTGAGGGCTCTGTTCTGTTCCATTGGTCTGTATCTCTGTTTTGGTACCAGTACCATGCTGTTTTGGTTACTGTAGCCTTGTAGTATAGTTTGAAGTCACAGGCTAGCCACATTTTAAGTGTTCTGTAGCCTTATGTGGTTAGTTACTGCCATGTTAAACAGTGCAGACCTAAGCCATAGTTGATGGTTTTTAAACTTGAGCTTGCATCAGGATCACCTGGAAGGCTTGTTATAATACAGATCGCTGGGCTCCACTTCCAGAGTTTCTGATTCATAGGTCTGAATGGAGCTTGAAAATTTGCATTTCTAACAAGTTCCTTAATGATGCTAATGATGCTGATCTGGGAACCACACTTTGAGAACCATGGCCACAGTTCTTTCAAAATCCAACTTTGGAACCATTTTACCACTGTATTAACATGAGTGATCAAGAACTGTCCCTAGGTATTGTTGCTATTGTACCACAATACTGTCGTATTATTGCAGTTTATAAAATATTGAAAATCTCCATTTAACTCATGGTTAATATTGAGTAATTATTCATGTGGATGAGTAGTTCTTAGATCTTCATGTCTATTACTCTCTGAGTGCTTCTTTCCAGGAGGCTGGACAGGGAAGAGACATTTATTGGCTTGTTTGTTCTTAGTGAGTATTTACAGAGCTATATTAATACCATATGTATATGCATGCTCTGATCCTTAGGTAGAAAATAGTTCTTTTCAAGTTGACAAACTGTCAATCAATAAATTGATAATCTGCCCAGTATAGATTCAAGGCTCTAAGAGCAATTAGTTTGATTTTTAATGTATTTCAAAAACATTGAACTTTAAAATATTAAGTGAATAATAGTCCACTGTTTTTGAGCTCAGTGAGAAGTTTTTTAAAAAATTACACTTCATGGTTTTTTAAGCCATGACATGAATTTATCTCTGAATAAGTTCAGAGATTGTATTCAGGTGAGCAAGTCCTGGCCACCAAATTGTTGATGATTCTGATCATTTGTGAAAGATGTAGTTTCCTCCTATCCCTACATGCTTAAATATTTCATTTCCCTTGTTTTATTTCTGAAGAAAAACAATGAGGAGTTAATACCTGATCTTTAAACTTTGTTTTTGTCACAAGAGTACAAAAACAGCATCTGAGCCTCCATTGGCCCCTCCTGTGTCTGAAGAAGAAGATGAAGAGGAAGAAGAAGAAGAAGATGAAAATGAGCCACCACCAGTTATCGCACCAAGACCAGAGCATACAAAATCAGTAAGTCACAAAGGACTATTTCCAAATGATTCAAAAGATGCCCTTTGGAATAGTCATAGAGTTAGAATATAGTTAATCAGCTAGTACCTATTAAGCATCTTTTATGTTCCAAGAGCTAAAGTATAAAATATGACCAAGGTTTTGAGGATACTGTTTGAGGATACAAGGTTAGCACATTAAACAATTAGAGAATAATACCAAACAATACATAAATAACTGCTAAGTAATAAAAATGTTGGAGAAGTTAAGGTAAGGAAGGAAATCCATGTAAACCAGGTAGGAAGAGTTGCATAAACAGAGATCCTCAGACCAGAATTAGCAAGGCATGTATAGGGACATCCAAAGACTAGCTCCCATGATCTTTCAACAGTGTTGTACTTTCAGCTACTCAAAGTCCTTTTTTTTTTTAAGAAAATACCACTTGTCTTTAAAAATTCATTGATATTACAATACATTGACTCCACACTCTTTCCTTGGCCTGCTGTTTTAATTGCAGAGCTTTTTGGTTTTTTTAGATCTATACTCGTTCTGTGGTTGAATCCATTGCTTCACCAGCAGTACCAAATAAAGAGGTCACACCACCCTCTGCTGAAAATGCCAATTCCAGTACTTTGTACAGGAACACAGATCGGCAAAGAAAAAAATCCAAGATGACAGATGAGGAGATCTTAGAGAAGCTAAGTGAGTACTTCTTGCCATGATTACTTTCTACACGGGAGTGTTTCTCATAAGCCATTTAAAATGGGAATTGATCCTTTGGAAGTTTTAATCTGCTTATATGAACTCCAGACTTCCCAAAATCATGAGATGAAAAATTTGAGACTCACTGCATATGCCAGAACACTTTCTCCCTTCCACTCCTAATTTGACAGGAACTAAATATTTTTACTTGAAGGAATCAATTGAGGTGAAAATTGATAAGACAAATTAAGTAGCAAGTTTTAAGATTACATCTTCAAAAGAGAATAGTCTGATAAAATATGTTATGATCATAACCCAAGGGCTCTCAACTAATCAGTGATGATAGATATGTCAACCTCAAAGCCCAACACAGTCAATCAAAACTTGGAACAACAAATAATATAGCTTTTTCCCTTAATTCAGAAGCATTTATATGTGGCAGGAGAGACAGAACTAGCAAATGCTAGTAGCTTCCTTCCACAATGTCATTAGTGTGTACATGCTCGTGTGTACACACTTGTTGCCCCAGTTTTATAAAACACTTACCTTCTAGTTACTTTTCTGGGTCAAGAAGATAAAAAAAAATGGATTATCTGCTGAAAAGTCAAAGGTTTGTAAAGCATATTCATTAAACTCATACTATAAAAGCATCTAACAAATTGCTAGATATCAGCAATAAGTGCCCCCCCCAACCCCAGTTTGACTAACTCCTACTTATCCTTCAATACTCAGCTCAAAAGTTGCCTCCTCAGAAGATGTTGCTTGTCCCTCCCAGTCCATGTTAAGGGCATCTCTTCCTTACCACTTTTACTGGAGCAAATATCAAACCATATTAGTCTGACTTCTTTACTAGACTGTGAGATTCTCAAGAGCAGGGACTGTGCCCTTTTTTCCCTATATGTCCAACCCCTAGTTCATACCCATTACATAAAGGCATACAGCAAATGCTTGTTGAGTGAGTGAATGAAAAAAATAAGTAAACAAATACATCTTTACTGAGTTCCTACTTGTCTGTTCTGTGCAAGAAACCTTGGAGGACACAATAGAATGAAACTTTCCTGTCATCAAGAAATTCAATCTTTTTTGGAAAATACGATTTAATAGTATGATACAATTAGAGCATAAGATAATCTCGTTTCATGCATATTTTTATTTAAAAGACCTCAGAAAAGGAAGACAGTAATTCCCACTATAGGCCACAGGGAGGCTCTGCAGAGGTGGTGGTAGGATGATTTTGCCCTCCAAAGGACATTTAGCAATGTCTGGAGAATATTTTTATTGTCCTGATTCAGAGACTGCTAGTAGCATATAATGGGTAGAGGCTAAGGATGCTTCTAAAACCCCAACAGTGCACAGGACGGCTGCCCTCCATCCACTTTACAGTAAAGTATTATTCAGTCCAAAATGTCAACAGTACTGAGATTGAGGCATTTGAGTTAGATGCATTTGGAAAGGCAAAGGTCGGAGTTGCAGCTGTCAGTTAAAACTCAGAACTACAATTGCTAGATTTTTGCTGACTTTACTATTCATGATTAAATATGCCACTAGCACTGATACTAACCATTTGCTGTAATAACAGCAGTAATAATTCTCATTTATTGGGCACCTTCTGGGTGGGCCACTTTACATACATTATCATAGTTTCACAGTAATTCCTTGCAGCTGATTCTAATATCCTCATTTTACAGACCAGTGAATGAAAGTAAGCTTTAAAAGGCTTAACTGACCAAGTCACCAAACCAATGTGTGGCACAACCAAAGTTTGAACTGAGACCAGTTTACCTTCAAAGCTTACACTTTTTCCATTACCTACCTACTTTGCTTCTGCATATCCGAACTGTCTATTTTTGTAAAAAGGAAGAACTAAATGAAAGAATTGCCTCGATAATTTAAGTTCAATTATTCAGACAATTGGCACGTTTTTCTTTATTTTGCATATGTAGACATGACCTATGTGATTATATCAGATTTTAAAAATCTAACAGCCTTGCCTTAATAAAATGACTCTTATTTGGTATCTGTTTCAAATCTCAATAGATGTATTACAACAAAAATGCTTGTATAGTTTTGTTAGCTGACAGAGAAACAAGCATTATTTTCTTGGACCAAAATCTTGTTTTGCTTGTAAACTCTAGTGGTGCTAGAGCTGTGTCCTTATTATTTTGTTTATTCTGCTCTACACTGAGCAACATGGTGAAGAAGGGGAAGCTAACTTTGATTACATTTGAATTAAGAATTCAGTGGGGTTTTTTTTTTCTCTACTGGACTTCATGCTTGGGCATAGAGAGAGTCATTTTCCCTCTAGCCAGCAGGCCACTTGTGACTGCCAACCTTACATTGGATTTGTAGATTTTGGCAGGGTGAACCTGCTGAGAAGTGGAGCAGTGCTTCTCATGAAGCAGATTCAGTGAACTATACTCCAAAGTCCACAAAGGCAGACTTTCCTGCTCCTGCTCCACCATTACCCTCTCTGTGCCTTCTCTCTGCCATTACGCCTTTGTCTAAGGAAAACTTCAGACAAGTCACTTAACTCCTCTGAGCCTCAATTTTTAACCTGTGAAATGGAGATAAGAATCATAACTACATTTTTGTGAGAGATAACGTCTGGCTCTGTTACCCAGGCTGGAGTACACTGGCACAATCATGGCTCACTGCAACCTTGACCTCGTGGGCTCAAATGATCCACCTCAGCCTCCCAAGTAGCTACAATTTTAGGTGTGCGCCACCATGCCCAGCTAAATTTTTTATTTTTTGTACAGATGGGAACTTGCTGTGTTGCCCAGGCTGGTCTTGAACTCCTGAGCTCAAGCAGTCCTCCTGCCTCAACTTCCCAATGTGCTGGGATTACAGGCAGGAGCCACCAAGCCTGGCCCATTACTACATTTCAGGACTCTGTCTATAGGATGGATTTTAAGGAGCTCATCCTATGGTTAAGGGAGTCAGAAGGATCTACATTTAAATCATAGACCCATTGCTATTAGCTGTGTCACCTAGGGCCAGTTATTTAAATTTTCTGGGCCTCCATTTTCTCATCTAAAAAGTGGGGATAATGATAATATAAAAACCTCAGCAGCAGTATCAGGCACATCATAGGGGCTCAATAAGTGGTAATTGTTATTACATGGGTATAAAGCCTTCATAAGATAATACAATGGGTCAAGCTTTGAAATAAGTCATCACTGGGTCTGAGTCATAGACTTATACTAGCTGTATGTCCTTAGTCAAGTCACTTAACATCTCTGAACATAATTTTCTTCATCTGAAAGATGGAGATAATAATTGTACCCATATAATAGGGGTTGTGTGAGGACTAAATAAGTTAAAGTATATAAGACATCTAGCACAATAAACAGTAATATAAAATTGTTATTATGCTATTTTTACAGAGTGAGAGTGATCATATTTTTCAGCATAAAAATGGGGGTTTGGGGTCTTACAGTGTGACAGAATGATTGAAACCAGGAATAATCCCAGGTGTATGATTACTGTACAGAAGCCATCAAGTATCTTGGACTCAAAGGCCACATTGGAGCTTGGGGAAAAAGTAGAGCAGCCTGTGCTGAGAGGCAAAAGAGAGGAAAAAGGGAAACAGGCAGGCAGAAAGATGGCCAATATCCCATACCAGAGTGGACCTCATAAGCATGGTGAAGAGTAGATGGCAGCCTCTACTAAACCATCCTTACCTTCAGTGTCAGGGGTCCAGTTACTAAGAGGTGGGCAGCCCAGACCACAGAGCTATTCATCTTCCATGCAGATGCTGATTGTGGTGGCCAGAGCAAGAGGTCATTATTGGGTGAAATGAACAGGTCATCTTTCAGTTTTACACAGACAAATAGCCTGGGTCTGGCTTGTTCATTGTGGTCTGTCTAGATCTGTTGAAAAATACAGAAACAAGAACAGAAAACCAAACACTGCATGTTCTCACTCGTAAGTGGGAGTTGAACAATGAGAACACATGGACACAGGGAGGGGAATATCACACACCGGGGCCTGTCGGGGAGTAGGGGGCTAGGGGAGGGATAGCATTAGGAGAAATACCTAATGTAGATGACGGGTTGATAGGTGCAGCAAACCACCATGGCACCTGTATATCTGTGTAACAAAACTGCACGTTCTGCACATGTACCCCATAACTTAAAGTATAATAAAAAAGGAAACCACCACATTTTAGTGACAAATTTCAAAAGCCATTACTGTCAGTAAAGTTGTGTAATACAGGAAATTTGTCTTCAACCTCCTTCCTCTGGGCCCCACTATCACCTACTCCTTGCCTCTCACCTCCCTCAGCATTCCCCACTCAAAACCCTTTTTCCTAATTCACCCTCATATAGAACTGATATCAATTTAGAGAATCTTTTTACTTTTTCTCAGAAATCAAAATCTTCATTATGCTAAAAGGATAATCTTTTAATGGTGGGAGTTCACCTTAGCTTAATATGTCAGAAAATATATTGATGGGCTTTTCTGTCACTGAACTCATATCATGAATGCTATTTTCAAATACAAGTATTTAGCATTCTTAAAACCTGCACTTTAAAATGAATAGTTTATTTCTTCTTTAGGAAGTTCTGGTAGGAAATTGTTCTGGTATTGCTTTTTTTTCTTTTGATTTTGATTTGCTGATTTTAAAAAACTTTCTCCCTATTGTGTCACAGTGTTTTTTCTTTATCGTAATTTACAAAAGCAAATTATAATAACTAATGGAAAAGATCACTTTAAAAGCTTGTTTTGTGATTGAGAATGGTAAACAAGGCCTCTAGTATACTTGCCTAACATCAGTAGATGGCAGCACACACTCTCCTGTGAAGGGCGATGAGTGTGGAGACACCATTTTATTTGAATAGCAGTTAAGTTCAGAAGTGGAATCTCATCAAAATGGTTTCTTTTGGTAATCTTCATGAAAGGATTTATTTCCAGTTTTTTTTCCCCCTGCATAACATGGAAATAAAGGTTGAATAATTTATTACCATAAAGCCACATTAACTGAACCCCACCATTTGGAATGGGTCATAATTCAGAAAGTGGCTTGGGCTGAAGCTTTTTCTATATGGAAAAAAGTTGCTTAGCAACTTAATAGTTAAACTTTTTTAGAAGACTATAAACTGCTTAATAAAATTATGGCTTCAAGTGACTTTAAAATCGTCATTTCATTAAAATAAAAAAGTCCAGGCCCTTGCGCATTAATAGCTAATTTGAATAAGGATGGCTCTCAGTTATATAGAAATCTGTTAGACAAGTTGAAAAATAAAAGACCAACTCAGAAATTGCTAAATTGGTGGCATTCTATAGATATAGCTCAAGTAAAATATATTCTCCAACCCTTGCCTTAAACCATGGAGCATTTACAAAGGGAAATAACTAATTGTATTTTATTGTAATTCAGCAAATATATCAATATATTCTACACACGGCATTGTGTGAGGAGGCACTGAAGATACAGAGATGAATAAGACATGGCTCCTGTACTTAAAGACATAGTCTAAAAGGCAATATCAAATACCATACACACACAAAGGAACCTATGCAGATGACTGTTTAGTACAGAGAGTAACTCAGCACAAGTGTTACATTGTGACCAAGACCTTAAGTGAACCAGGAAGATCTGTGGAATTCCCGTCATGTATATCATGTACATTTCTAGCCATAGATACAACATTGAATGGATGCCAGATGATTATGAAACCCTTCAGTTCTAATTCTTACAAGTCAAAGTTCCAAATAGATAGATATAGACATCTGATATATTAAGTACAGAGAGAGAGAGAACAAGGGCGAGAGAGAGAGAGAGAAGATACAGTAGTAGCACAGAAAAGTGAAGTTGTTAATTATTCAAGGGATCAGAGAAAGCTTCCTAGAAGAGGGAACATCTAAGCTAAGTTTGGAAGCATGAATAGGAACTTGCCACAGAGAAAATATGGGAAGGACATTTCAGGCAGCGAATGGCATGTAAAGAAGACTTGAAGCATATGTCCTGGAACTCTGACTTATTCAGTGTTACTTTAATAAAGAATTGGTGGTATATGGTGATACTGGCATTGTAGAAGAGGAAACTGAACTTTTAAGCAGGAGCTGATCATGAGCTACCATTAGTTTGTTATGCTTAGAGCATAAAGTTCTAGTGGGGAAGTGGTAAATGATGAGAAGAGAATGAAGCAGGAGCCAGATTAGGAACCTTGCATTGCCAAGGAGTTTTGGCTTTCATCTGTAGGTGTTAGGGAGCTATCAAGTAATCCTGAACCAGAGAATCACATTATCAGGTCTGCACTTAGAGGATCCTGATAGAGATGTAGAGCCTTGACTAAAGAGGGCAGCAGCTAGACTAGGAGTCCAGTTAGGAGGCTGTTGGAATAACCCAGGAAAAAGATGATGGGAGCCCAACTAAAGCAGTAGTAATGAGGAAGGAACACATTCAAAAGATGTCTAGGAGGTAACAAGATATAGGCCCTTGGTGGACAACTGCACGTGGTAAGTGAAAGTAAGAGTCAATGATGACTTGCAGATTTCTGACTCAGGCTACTGAGTAGATGGATTGGCAGTACTACTGACTGATAGTGGAAATACAAAAGAAAAAGTATTATAACAACCCATATATTAGCTAAGTCTTATTTAACTTAATTTAAAAGTGAACTTTCATTAAAAAAAAAACCAACAACTTGATGAGTAATCTATGAGTGAAATGTTTAACTGATTATTTTTCTCAAGGTATACTATCTACTGCTGTTAGGTCTAAATTATGTTGTATACTAGCCCAGAGAATAGACTGTTGTGTAAATTAGCATGAAGTATTATCTGTAGCATATAATTGAGCACTTAAATACATATTTTCTTGTTCTCATTCATTTAATCAACAAATATTTGTTTAGTAGCAGCCACTGTTCTAGGCTCCAAAGTTACAGGGATGAAAGGACAAAGTTCCTGCCCTCAAGAAGCAGCATGTAAGTCTCAGTGAAATGATCAGAGAAGACTTCATAAAGGTGGATAATTTGAGATTTTATTTAAATGACAAATAAGAATTCATGGGTTAGATAGGAAAGGAAAAGGGGGAGCACATGCAAAGCCCTAAGCACTAGATAGTGATAGCATTACTAGGATATAAAGTAGTAAGGGTGGAGAAAAAGAATAATATAAAGCTAGACTGGTTAGATAGGAGCCAGATGATGCTGAAGGGTGAAGGACCTTCTCTGTCTAACTACAGAAATAGGATTTGATCCTGCAGTGGGCAGGAGCTTTTAAGGAATTATGAACAGTGGAGCAAAATCACTCTGATATAGGGTTATTGTACATCTCAGTCTGTCCAGGACAGACTCATTTTATGAATAGTATGGTCCCCCTTTTCCAAAGGCATGGTGTAAGAGGAACTAGAGAAAGCAGAGTCTATGAGTAGGTTATGACTGGCACAATTGTTTGAATAAGAAGTATTGAAAGCCCGAACAATAGCAGTGGCCATGGGCATAGAGAGAAGAGTATGAATACGAGTGACAACTAGAAGATAGAATTTACAGATCTTCTCTTGATTAGTTCATATGTGAAAATCTTGCCTTACCAACCAACTGTACACTTCTTTGTACCATGTGTTAGTAAGATATAACTCAAAGATAATAATACTGACATGTTTGCTTCCAGAAAGAAAGGTGGGCCAGAGGCCTCCAAATAAATGATGCCCTTCAAAGTATACCCTTGAGAAGCTGCACCCTTATTCCCATGATTGTTCTATAACCCCAAGATTTTTCTGGACCTATTTGAACACTGCATTGAAGAGTCAATGCCACTTCTGTGGTATTTATTCTGAGTGATAGCAAGTATTCATCCTCTGAGTGATGGACTGGATTTTTTTGAAATAGCAAAACTATTATTTTTAAAGAGCCAAACATGATAAATTAATAGTTTTCTTATGTAGCTTATAAACTTACTAAAAAAATGTTTGGAGCAATCTATAGAAACAGAAAGTAGATTAGTGGTTGCCTAGATATGTTTTGGGAACTAAGGGAAGATGGGGAGTAACTGCTAACAAGTAAGAGGTAAAAGGTTTCTTTCTGGAATAATGAAAACATTCTAAAATTAGATCATGATGACATTTACACAACTCATTAAATATGTTAAAGACATTCAATTGCACACTCTAGGTCACTGAACTTTATGGCATGTAAATCATATGTCAGTAAATCTGTTCAAATCTTTGGAGCACTAGCAGTGTCCTAGGTTTGGAAATATATGTTTTGAACATGCATGGGTCTCATTACTTTATGATCAAACTTTGTTCTTCATTAGACTCATTTCCATCCCCACACCCTTAGCACTGTACTAGGTACATAGTAATTACTCAATAGATATTTGTCCAGCAGAATTGGATATAGCATAGTGCTTAACTTCAATTCAGAGAAGACAGTGATTTTACTAAATAGTGTGGATAAGTTCTTAGATTGTTTTTTAGCGATTATACCAATTTATGTACCCACCATCAGTGTACAAGGGTTCCAATTGCTCTACATCATTGATATAACGTTTGGTATTGACAACCTTTTTAATTTTAGCCATTCTGATCGGTCTGTAGTGTTAACTCATTCTGGTTTTATTGTATATTTTCCAGAATGTTTATGAGCCTGAGCACATTTTTGTATTTTATAACTTCAACTTTTGTTATAGATTAAAGGGTACACATGCAGGTTTGTTACATGGGTAAATTGTGTGATGCTGAGGCTTGGGACTCTAATGATGCCTTCACCTAGGCAGTGAGCATACTACCCAATAGGTAGTTCTTCAGCCCTTCTCCCTCTCCTCTCCTGCCTAGTGATCCCCAGTGTTTATTGTTCCTATCTTTATACTCGTGTGTATTCATTGTTTAGCTCCCACTTATAAGCGACAACATGCAGTATTTGGTTTTCTTTTCTTGCATTTGTTTGCTTAGGTTCATGACCTCCAGCTCCATCCCTTTCTTAGATTTTTTTTATATCCTAATATATAGTATTATGAGAACTTTTTATAGATGTTGGGTTGTGACAAGTTTTTTTTGTTTTCCAAATATCAGTAATTTTGAATATAAGCAAAATGGGTTATTATTACTACTTTAATTACTATAAAACTATTTGTTATTTTAATAAGTAGAAAGTATCATTTTTATGTAAATTATAGAAATCCCATGGGAGTATTTGTCTAATGTTTTATTTGTCACTGACTCTGGCATCTTAATTTTCATTATTAAATTAAAAAACAGTCAATCAATTTCTATTTCTCTCTCTCTCTCTCTCTCTTCCACCTCCTCCTCTTTTCTTCTCTCCCCACCCATCTCTTAGGAAGCATTGTGAGTGTTGGGGACCCAAAGAAAAAATACACAAGATTTGAAAAAATTGGTCAAGGGTAAGTGATTGTTATTTGAAATATAAAAAGATGAGTACAAGCAACATACATTAAAATTAAAATTCAGTAAGAGCTTGGGTTTCTGGTAAATTATGCTTCTCATTTCCTAGATTATATTTATGTCTTGCATTCTCAGTATTGGCCTTTCAGGGGGAGTGCTGACAACAGTTACAACATTAACCTAGGAACACATCCTGCTGAAATCTTCATTATTGTTGGGCTGACAGTAAATTCTGTGTGGACATTTTGATCCTATGTAGTTAGAAGATTCAAACAGATTTCTCTAGAAAAAGCAGTAGGGTTATGGAAACTTCTAGCTTACGTAAAAACCCCCTTTATCGCAGTTCCCCCTACAGCCACATGGATGGTATGATTAAGATCCTGTTTTATTGTCAAAATGTGGAGTGACAAACTGAGGGTGGGGAATGTCCTTATGGAATGATCCGGAGGTAGGCAGAGTTGACTATCTGAGTATGGAGGAAACAGACAATAATCCCTAAATGAGACCTAGTGCATCATTTTCACTTAATATACTTGTTAAAGATAAAGATTCCCAGGCCCCACTGCCAAAGATTTGATTTAGAGTCTGGAGTGGGGTTCAGTGATCTGAACTTTGCAAAAGTCCCTCAGATAATCCTGATAATCAGCAATACATGGGTACCATTGCATTAGATTATTCACTAAAGCTGAAGGCAGGAGTCACCAGTTCTGCAAGTCAACTGTACTAATGCATGTCTCTCAGGCCTCAAAGTGAAACTAGGCAGGTGGATCTGAGCAGGCAACAGCATTTGAAACAGGGAAAAGTTTTATTTAAAGGAAAATGGAATATTCTTAAGGGACATCCTTAAATGAGGAGTGAGACACATATTCAGGGACACCAACTACTGTATGTCAGAAACAAAGATGGCACCTCAGACTTTTCCTGGCTGAGGCAAGGGGCTGAAGACAAAGGGTTACAGCCAATATGCTTGCAAAACTGTGCTAGCCGATCAGCCATTAGAATCTAATTATTTTAGGGTAAGAGAAGGTAGAATTTCTTCAAGAACCACACTGCTTTTCCTGGCATACTTAGGTTCAAAAAAGTATACATCATATATAAGCTTGACTATTTTTCATGATTTTATATTTTCTTTGTTTTTCCCCCTAGCTTTTGTACTAAAGTTTCTTTTGAAATTGCCAGTATATCTCAGGAAATAAGGGAAAGCATTCATTAGACGTTTGGGCTAGAGAAAAGGAGAGGCACTCATGGAAACTGTGCCTGGTGGGAATCAAGATGAGAAGACCCTAAGGGGGACAGAAACTCAGGAAGAAATGCATGGCCAAGTTTATTCTTCCAGTCAAAACCATAATGACATTGTATTTGAACTTTCCAGGGGGCTAAAATATATTCTCATTTGCTCACAAAAAAGAAGAGTTTTATGGTCTCTAGAAGCTTCCTGTCACCGAATGGGTCAAATTAATATTTCTACTCATTGTTCTAAAACAGTGATAAACAACAGAACTTACTGTGATGATAGAGATGTTCTATATCTGTGCTGTCTAATATGGTAGCCACTGGCTATGTGTGGCTATGGGGCACTTGGAATGTGGGTAGTGCACATAAGAAACTGAATTTATGTGAACTCATTTATTTGTTTAGCAGATATTTCTTGAGCACTAACTATGTTCCAGGCACTATGCTAAGTGCTAGAGAGACAGAGATGGGTAATGATGGTGTGGGCCCTCAAGGAACTTACAGTTTACACTGATAAGTGCTTGACAGAGGGATACAGGGTACCAGAAGAACCTAGAGGCAAGCTTACTCAATTCAACCAAGTATAGAGCAGGGCCAGCTTCTAGAGCCGTTTTCTCCCACCGGGAATTTTCCCTGTCTACTTCTGGTGGACTTGTTGTTTTGCTTAAGTAAGAAACCTATACCTTCCCAAGTCTATATACAGACCTCAGCTCTCCTTCTTCATGCCTAAAGGGTAAATACCACCAGACAGATTGCAAAAAGACAGTATTATGTACTAAAGGGACTTAGAAAACAAAAGTTGGCTTTTAGATTTCATTTTCATCTGGATGAGTCTCAGGTGGAGCTAACAATAGGAAGGGAAGGGATATTCAATCCACTTAGAAATAGCACTCCAAATCATTGTTGTCCAGTATGGTGGCCAGTAACCACATTTGGCTACTGAGCACTTGAAATGTGGCTAGTCCAAATGGAAATGTACTTAAGTATAAAAGGCACACCTGATTTCAAAACCTTAGTATGAAAAAATAATGTAAAGTATCTCATTAATATATTTTTTATTGATTACATGTTGGGAAATTTTGCATACATTGGATTAAAGAAAATATATTATGAAAATTAATTTCACCTTTTAAAAACTTTATGTAACTCTAAGAAATTTTAAATATGGCTCGTGGCTCATGTTATATTTCTAATAGGCAGTAATGCTCTAGTTGTAGCCTTAACTGGGAGTTATTTGTTTATTAATTCGTAAAGTGTTTTTCCATGGTTGTTTTTTGGAGAGTGGGAGATGTTATAATTTTGTCTTGATTGTTCCAACTAAAGGCCAACTGAGCCAAAAATAGCATTGAATTTTAAAAGGAAAAAGTACAAGATGGTTTCAGATACCTCCCAGATACTAGGTAATGAAACAAGACTAATTTTGCCAAGAACAAAGATCAGGCCACCAAGCAACTTTGTGTAACAAAGAGATTTCCTCTCTTGGCTATTATTTATGCCTGTGACTTTTAAAGATGAAAAGGAAAGTTCTCTATCTCTGAGTCTCTTTGTACAGTCTTCACAACCTAAAATGAAAAAATCGAAGCATAAATCCTGCTTGCCACTGCAGAAAGGTCTATTTTAAATTCCCAGCAAGTTCATCATTTTAAAGAATGATAAAGTAGCAGATAGTTCACTCATAGGCCCAACACAACTTTTTAATACATCCTTAGAGGGTATGGAGTCAATTGTATTCCTACTTTTGTCTTCTTTAGTGTTTAGCACAGTGCTTTTGCACTTAGTAGGCCCTCTGAAATAATTTTGTGCAGTTATGATCAACAGCTGGGTTCACTTTGGCCAGATTCAAAGAACTGCAAAGCTGTCTGCCAACTCCGTCTCTGTGGGTCTGTTTTTGCCTCAATAAATATTTGTTGAGCTAATGAAAATGTTTGTCTTTCCACTGCATCTTCTCACTCGTAAGTGGGAGTTGAACAATGAGAACATATGGACATGGAGGGGAACAACACACACTGGGGCCAGAAGGGGAATGGGGGGCGAAGGGAGTGAGAGCATTAGGACGAATAGCCAATGCATGCGGGGCTTAAAACCTAGATGATGAGTTCATAGGTGCAGCAAACCACCATGGCACACATATACCTAAGTAATAAACCTGCACGTCCTGCACTTGTATCCCAGAACTTAAAGTAAAATTAAAAAAATAAAAAAGAAAATGTTTGTCTTTCTAGCTATCTCTTTCCTCTGTCCTCTGTATTTACATGTGTATATACATGCCTATCTTGCTCCTCCTGTGTCTGTCTTTCCCTGTTTTTCCTCAGTGTGTCTTCACATTTTTGTCTTTCACAATGACTTGATTGGCCTCACCACATCTGATTCCTTTATTCTCTGGGTATTTGTGTGTGCTGCATATCTGTCTTCTTCAAGCATGTTGGCCTTACATTCTACTGCCCATTTTCACACACACCCCACAACCCAAATTGTCATAATATAAAATCAAGATGTATTTAAGATATAATCTGCCGGCTTAAATCTATTTACTATGATTTTATCATTTACTTAATTTACTAATTTTATTTTTTTGATCTTAGTAGATTGTTTTTCCTCAGTTCTTAATTATTAAAGTAAAGCAAAATATTGACTTTTTTCTTTCTGGACCAAAAAAAAAAAAAAAACCCACCTCCCACTTATATTAACTTTCTTTTTACTTAAATGGCTTTCAACTGATTTTTTTTTCATTAATTACTGGCCTAAGTTATATAAACTAGTAGTCTCTACTCTCAATATGTAGAGTTTTTTAAAATTAAATCTGTGTTTTTAATTGTTTTTGCCTTACCTATTATTACAGTGACATTCAAAATTGTTGTCAATAATCATTTGGTGTTAGGGATAATCAGCCCCAGTATTTTATTCTCAGCTCCAGAGAGCACAACAGTTCACTCACTCTCAGGAGCTGGATTTGAGAAGAGCTTCTCCATTAATCACCTTCATTTACTTGGAAAACTAAATTTTTTCTCCAGCATGGGTTTCTGCCATCCCAGCATTCAGGCCTGGGGCCAGAGAATTGGGCTCCATCTTCCATAAATCAAGTTCAGAATCACATGTCTAATCGTTTGAGGCCATATCTGTGAGTTGAAGGCTAAAAATGACATTGTTTCACTGGGTTTGCTGTGAAAAGTGTTCTATAATTGGCTACCAAATCCAGACATTTTGAGCAAATTTATGCAAAGTTAAAAAATAAGGAAAGAAAGAAAAAAAGTCAGGTACCCCAAAATTATCATTAACTCAACAACATGAGTTTGTCAGAAATATATCCGGTGCGCACTTGAGAATCTTCACTTTCTAGAATAGTTATATAAAATAACTTGTTTAATAAATGAGGTAGAGTGAGACAACAAAGTCAAATATTTATTTTCAGTCAACAGCTATCAATAGCAACCCTGTGTAATTCCTGAATAAGCAATAGCTATGTAACAGAGGGCTGAATTTACAATGTTGGCAGCTGTCCTCACAGATTTCTCATTAATGTATTTGAATTCATGTTAGGGTCTTTCCTTAAATGAGAATGCACTGAAAAACAGGCCTTTTTTTCTCTTTCAGGTTCATATTGTCTTTTCTCTTCAACATTATAATAGAAAAATATTTTTGAGGAAGCAGCTCAGAGGATCCAGTTTAACAAGTATATTTTTAACATCAATGAACCTTTAATGAGTGCCTACTATGTGTAATGGAGAGTAGCAGTTAAGAATCAGGTTCTCAGAGTTCACAGTGACCTCTATACTTGTGGTCCCCCTGAATACTGGACATGGAGAAGAGTTATATCAAGAAATAAGATGAACACCTACCCCCAATAATGTACCTTTCCTCTATATTTTATTCATACACTCATCTTCACTGTCATCTCTCATATGAATCACTCTTTGGCTGGCCTGGTCCTAATTGACCTTTTCTGTCTTTTGTTTTTCTGAATCCTACAGATTATATCTGTGCCGGCATGTATTCACCACTTATATCTTAGCTTGTCTAGACATGTAAAATTGCTTGAAACTTTGAGGAATGTAGAGGAATAAAGGGAGAATTTTTGAAAAACTTGAAGAAAAAGAAAGAGACAGGATTCTGAACTCAGGGCTGTAGAAAAATTATTTAATTTCTTTAAGCATCAGTTTTCTCTTTCATAGTAAGCAGAATGCACGTATCTCATAAGGTTGTAAAAATAAATAAGAGAAGGCATTTAAAGTCCTTAGCACAGTACATGGCACATAGTTAATTGCTCAGTAAATGCTAGTTATTATTAGGGATGAAAGACACACTCATATGTTGCTATTATATAGAACAGAATATAATAAGTATTGTGAAGAAATTACAAAGATCTCTGTGGACAGAGAGGAGGGACAAATTATTTACAGCCAAGGAGTGGGTATGATGGATTCTTAGAAGAGGGTACACTTGAGAGTGACATTAGAGGGTATAGGAATTTAACAAGTAGGGTTTATAAGAAGTTTTGTTTGAATGCTTACTTCAGACTGTAGGTTTCATTCACTTTGGTATCCCTAAGGTCTGCAACACTGCCCCAGCATATATGCTCAAATATAAGGTAACACAATAAGATAATTTTAAAAAGTTTTTTGATGCACCTGCATACATAAACTGTTTTATATATATATATATATATATAGAGAGAGAGATATCTGTATATCTATATATCTATATATATATATATATATATGGTTGAAAGTCTACTTATGATGTTTGTTAATTTACTTTCATTTTCATATTTAAAACCACTTATATAAAGTATTATTTTGTAGAGATTTTTCTACTCTCATATTTCACGAGTGGTATAATTCAAAATCTTCTTATGTGTCTTTAACATCATTCTTTTTGTAATCACTAGAGATTATTTTTGAGTCTTCCAGCAGTTACTCAAATATATTACCTGACTTCCATCTAAGATATTTGAGATTTTGAACCCACATATAATTCTGTTCGTGGATATTTATTCCTAGTCACAATTACCCATTCATATAACATTAAGACTATTGTTTTTTGAATTTGTCCTGTAGGTGTATATTTAGGTCTTCATGACATATATCTACTATCTACTATATGACTTTTTAAAATTTCTATTACAAATTGTCATACTTACACAAAAATAGGGAAAATAACACAGGAACTACTGTATTCTTATCACTCATATTAAATATTTATCAACAATTTTTAATAAAATCACAATGCCATTACATCTACAAACAATTAACAATTGCTTCATATCATTTAACTCCCAGTCTATAATCAGAATTCTCCACTTGCAACAAAACGCTATTTTTATAATTGATTTGTTCAAATCAACATCCAAAGGAGATCTACATATTGCATTTGTTGTATATCGTAAGTCTGTATACCCTGAAGCAGTCTCCTTTCTTTTTCCACTACCATTATCTTGTTGAAGAAACTGGTTATTGCCTTGTAAAATGTGGCACTTTCTGTATTTGTCTGTTAGTTTCATTAGCTGTCATTTAACTTGCTCTTCTAACTTCCACCTCTGGGATTCAGGGGATTCTCTTGCCTCAGCCTCTCGAGTAACTGGGATTACAGGCGTGTGTCACCATGCCCGGCTAATTTTGTATTTTTAGTAGATACGGGGTTTCACCATGTTGGCCAGGCTGGTCTTGAACTCCTGACCTCAAGTGATCCACCCACCTCAGCCTCCCAAAGTGCTGGGATTACATATGAGAGCCACCATGCCTGGCCAGATGCTTGCTTTTTTAATTGCCAGCTTTCATTGTAAAGAGTTAGCATGGAGTTACATACGAAAGTGTTCAATGAGGGGTATTTTGATATTTTTAGTAGGGAAATTTTATTAAGTATCTTTATAAAGTCTTACAATTTTACATTGTCAATATGTTTCACTGAGTTGCATCTATTATTGTTTATGGTGGTCAAACTATTCCATCTTTAGCTAATGGGAGACCCTTTCACTGCATTAGTTTTGACAGAGGTCTTTTAATAGCTTGTTTACGACATCCAACACTTGCAGTTATGTGGTCATACCCTCCAAAATAACTTATTCACATCCTTTCTTTGTAATTCTGACAGGTACTCTCTATGAGCATCCAAAACTAGCATTAATTGAGAAGATATCAACCTAATATGTCCTTTCCAAACTGTATTTTATAGTTAAAAATAAATGAATATGGATAAGTACCAATCACATGAAAGATTTTTATAAGAACTTGCATATAAGGCAGCTCCATTTTTATGAGGAAAAATTGGGAGGAGAAAACCCTTATCTTGTATTTGGGTATATATGGTGCATTTCTGTGCATGCATGTATGTTTGTTGTAGGTATATTTTTAGCACAAGTGGTAACATACTATATATCTCCTTTTTTATTGTGTTTCTGTGTTTTAGAGATGGTTCTATGCTTGTACCTCATACTTTTTAAACAGATGCAGTGCTTTGTTATTTGAATAGTACCATAATTTATTGAACTAGGCCCTAAATGGACATAGACATTTAATTTGTTTTTGATGTTTTGCTATTATAAACAAGGCTTCTGTGAAGATCCTTACAAATAAACCATTTTATACAAAGTTATCATTAGAATAGATTCCTAAAAGTGGAATTGTTATGTAAAAGGATATGTGCATTTTTCTTTCTGAGTTACCCTCCTTAGAGGTTTGTTTATTTAACACACCATCAATAATGTATGAGAGTGCCGGTTTGCCTGCACCTTTGCCAACACAGCTGTATTCACTTATTTGGGATTATAGTCGTATAATAAAAACACTCCCACACTGACTTTTTTAAAAAGGAAAATAAATAAGAAAGGAACTCTAACAAGAAAGCATGTGGCAAAACAAAAGGCTATCCTGAAGAATTAATTAGCCAATGTAGTCCATGTCTTTATAATGCCAAAGTATCTTTGTTACATGTTATATCTCTCCATAGGTTAGATTAGCTATGCAGCTATGTTTGACAGAAAGTGACAATGAGAGCATTTCTTGAAATCATTTTTCTCTTACACGTAGATATATATCTGGGCAAAGGAATTTTGTCTAACATCTGGATCTTTGTCAATCATATCATTATATAGAATGATGATATGTTCAATTCATCAATAATTGCTAACAAATTTTGCTACTAGCTCATGCGTAATCAAGCCCTCAGTCCCCCCCGTCTCTCTAAATTAGTTTTAGTTTTAAGACTACAGAAACTAAGTATATAATGTTAGGTATTTTTCAGACTTATCTCTGCTACTCAGTGAGAAGCCCCTTTCTTCTTAATCTAACATGAAAGTCTCATATTGAAGATGAATAGCTTTGAAACTTATTTCTTAAAAGACTTGTTGAATAACAGTGTCGTTTAGAGAACCTGACAAAGCAGTGTATGCCATGGAACTCAGAGTGCTGAGAATAAAACCTCTGATTTTTTTTTTTTTTTTGGTTGTTCAGGAAACTATGGGCAAGAGTGGTGTCTAGTGTGCTTATAGAAGTGATTCTTTGGGTAGGACCACCCACCCCAAAAGTATTTGCTTCTTCATCGGATCTATTTTGGGCCACACAAGGTAGAACGCTGCTATGAAGCACTAAATAGATGTAGTCTGAGTTCTATAAAAGGCTTTGTGATGTAGGAGATTGGAAATACATTAGCATTTGTGAAGAACAATGTTTATGGAGCAATGGAAGATGCTCTTTGTTCTACTTAATGCTCTTAAATGCACTGTGTTGTGTGCTGTCCCTTGTAAAGAAAGATGATGCCACTCAATCAAACACCATTAGCAGAGTTTGCACGTTAACTTGTTTTTTCCAGCCACAGTAATGAGCTTGTTTTAAGCCACCTGCCCCCCTTTCCTGTCCAGGCCTCTTGAATCCAATGGCACACACTGTGAAACAGCTGCTTAGATTTAATGTTGGAGTGAGTAGCCGAGAGTTATCTGGCCTTTCCAGGGATTAAGCCTTGTAATTGTGGCCTCATTATCACTGGACTATAACCCACCGAGCTCCCTGGCCCCACACCCATAATGTGTTACAGCTCTCTTTAAAATTAGATGACCGTGAATACTCTGAGAAAAGTCATGCCCTAGCTAAAGAACAGAAAATTCCGTGTTCTGATTTATAATCTTAGTAATTAAAGACTATACCATCTGGCCCCAGCTACATTCTGTGTACTTAGAGCAGTACTGAGATAACATGATTTTTACATAATTTTCTTTTTTAAATTTAGGGATGCATTTTTTAGAAGTAAATTACACAAAGGAAAACGCCAGAACTCTGTCTTTGGAAAAGTTATTGCATGTGATGGTAACATCATTCCTGAGCCCCAAAGAACACATCTCTCAACAAAACAAGTAACTATATGGTAGTATCAAACTATATATATACAGATATATATAGATATATAATCTGTTTTTATGTCAGGTGCGTTAGTATAGTGAGACAATATCTAGATAGGAGCCTACAAGTAGTAACTTTTTTAATATTCAGCAAAAGATAAAGTCTATTTCTAAAAACTAACAGCAGTTCATTTTCAGCCACATGATCAATCTTAATTGAGTCGGCAAACAGAACAACAACTTGTGTGTGGTTATACCAAAGGAATAAAACATACCATGTCCTGGTACAAACTAAATGGCTTGTGGACAAAGTGAGTAGAAAATTAAAGGCAAGATAAACATTTTGGGGAGGCGGCTTAGCATAACAGGTACAAACATGAGCTTTGGGAAGTACCACACTTGCACTTAGCACTGAGGTAAAAATGCTAAAGATCTATAGCAAAACATGAAATGGTGATTAAGAGCATGGGCTGTGGAGAGAAAGTAATGCATTTTTAAGCTCAGCTGCTGATTGTGCAACCTTAGGCAACCTACTTAACATTTCTTTGTTTCAATGTCCTCATTTGCAAAGTGAGGAAAATCTAATTTATCTCATAGAGTTGTACAGGGTGGGCATTAAGTGAGATCATTACAGAGAGCTGCAGAGAGTATGGCTCAATAAGTGAAATAGCCTTTTTATAGCAGCAGCAGCAATAGGAATACATGTAAAAAAAATAACCATTCTATATGGGGTTTAATCCTTGACTATGACCTCATTAGCACCAGATTTATATTTGTAAAACCTTAATGGGAATTTTGCCTATCTTTCTGGCTCCCTCATTCTTATTCCTACCAGATTCTTCTTGGACTTCATTGAGCCTTTAGACCTCTTGCCCTTTTTGTTTTCTCCCAGTATATGAGCTTCTTCCTAGGCTCACTTCTTCACCCTTCTTTTCCTCTAATCCATTTCCATGCTGAAATCAAAGTGACTTATCTAAATTATTAGTCCTACCATGTTGCTACTTTTACAACTACTCATGATTATGGCTTGACATTGGCACTTGGTGGGAAACATCAAAACCTGGTCAAGATTCCTGATAATGAAACTGACCTGCTTTATGAGGAAAAGGGAGAATTGTGAATTGTTTCTTTCTGGACCCTTCAGGCTAGATGCCAGTGTTTCCATTTGAGTAGTAAGCGCTTGGCCATGTCAGGGAGAGACTGTTGACAAAGCATCTAATGTGATGCCAAGAACCCAGATGTACTTATCGCATTTTAATTGATGATGGGTCCCAATGGTTGAGAAATCTGTTGGTTTAGTATTCTTTAATCATAGTATAGTTAACTGAAAGATCTCTAACTTCAAGTTAGGAGACCTTTGTTACTTACTTGCTATGTTATCATGGGCCTATCCTTCCTGCTTTCTGGGCTTCAGATTTCTCATTTGTAATGAGGAAGTTAAACTGGATGTTCTCTATTTTCCTTTGAGTCCTGATAATGCATGATTACTTTGTACTATCTGAGGGATTGAGATTTGGAATAAAAACAATACCTATCATAAAAGCATGTTCTTCCTACAGGAATCTGGCTTTAATATAACTGGAATGGAGTGATAATAGGGATCAATGTAATTAAATGTTTAGCATAAAAATCAAATTGACAGTGTTGCCCATTTTAGCACACCAGACCCAATACACTGGAGAATTAGGAATTTTAACCCCTATCTTTGTTAGTTTGAGTTTTGGCATCTTTACATCCTATAGTGCTGCGTGACACTGACTTTTTTTTTTTTAATTATACTTTAAGTTCTGGGATACGTGTGCAGAACGTGCAGGTTTGTTACATAGGTATACACATGCCATGGTGGTTTGCTGCACCCATCAACCCATCATCTACGTTAGGTATTTGTCCTAATGCTATCCCTCCCCTAGCCCCCCATCCCCCAACAGGCCCCGGTGTGTGATGTTCCCCTTCCTGTGTCCATGTGTTCTCATTGTTCAACTCCCACTTATGAGTGAGAATATACGTTGTTTGGTTTTCTGTTCCTGTGTTACTTTGCTGAGAACGATGGTTTCCAGCTTCATCCATGTCCCTGCAAAGGACATTAACTCATCCTTTTTATGGCTGCATAGTACTCCATGGTATATATGTGTCACATTTTCTTAATCCAGTCTATCATTGATGGGCATTTGGGTTGGTTCCAAGACTTTGCTATTGTGAATAGTGCTGCAATAAACGTACATGTACACGTGTCTTTATAGTAGAATGATTTATAACCCTTTGGGTATATGCCCAGCAATGGGATTGCTGGGTCAAATGATATTTCTGGTTCTAGACCCTTGAGGAATCACCACACTGTTTTCCACAATGGTTGAACTAACTTACACTCCCACCAATGATGTAAAAGCATTCCTATTTCTCCACATCCCCTCCAACATCTGTTGTTTCCTGGCTTTTTAATGATCGCCATTCTAACTGGCGTGAGATGGTATCTCATTGTGATTTTTGATTTGCATTTCTTGACCAGTGATGATGAGCTTTTTTTAGTATGTTTGTTGACCGCATAAATGTCTTCTTTTGAGAAGTGTCTGTTCATATCCTTTGCTCACTTTTTGATGGGATTGTTTTTTTTCTTGTAAATTTTGTTTAAGTTCCTTGTAGATTCTGGATATTAGCCCTTTGTCACATGGATCGATTGCAAAAATTTTCTTCCATTCTGTAGGTTGCTTGTTGACTCTGATGATAGTTTATTTTGCTGTGCAGAAGCTCTTTAGTTTAATTAGATTCTATTTGTTAATTTTGGCTTTTGCTTCCATTGCTTTTGGTGTTTTAATCATGAAGTCTTTGCCCGTGTCTATCTCCTGAATGGTATTGCCTAGGTTTTCTTCTAGGGTTTTTTATGGTTTTAGGTTTTATGTTTAAGTCTTTAATCCATCTTGAGTTAATTTTTATATAAGGTGTAAGGAAGGGGTTCAGTTTCAGTTTTCTGCATATGGATAGCCAGTTTTCCCAACACCATTTATTAAATAGGGAATCCTTTCCCCATTGCTGTTGTAGATGTGTGGCATTACTTCTGAGGCCTCTGTTCTATTCCATTGGTCTATGTTTCTGTTTTGGTACCAGTACCATGGTGTTTTGGTTACTGTAGCCTTGTAGTATAGTTTGAAGTCAGGTAGGATGATGCCTCCAGGTTTGTTCTTTTTGCTTAGGATTGTCTTGGCTATATAAAATTTCAGGCCAATACCAATGATGAATATTGGTGCAAAAATCCCCAATAAAATACTGGCAAACTGAATCCAGCAGCACAGCAAAAAGCTTATCCACCACAATCAAGTCAGCTTCATCCCTGGGATGCAAGGCTGGTTCAACATACAAAAATCAATAAACGTAATCCATCCCTTAAACAGAACCAATGAGAAAAACCTGATTATCTCAATACATGCAGAAAAGGCCTTCAGTAAAATTCAACACCCCTTCATCCTAAAAACTCTCAATAAACTAGGTATTGATGGAGCATATCTCAAAATATTAAGAGCTATTTATGACGAACCCACAGCCAATATCATACTGAATGGGCAAAAGCTGGAAGCATTCCCTTTGAAAACCAGCATAAGACAAGGTTGCCCTCTCTCACCACTCCTATTCAACATAGTGTTGGAAGTTCTGGCCAGGGCAATCAGGAAACAGAAAGAAATAAAGGGTGTTCAAATAGGAAGAGAGGAAGTCAAATTGTCCCTGTTTGCAGACGACATGATTGTATATCTAGAAAACCCCATTGTCTCAGCCCAAAATCTCCTTAAGCTGATAAGCAACTTCAGCAAAGTCTCAGGATACAAAATCAATGTGCAAAAATCACAAGCATTCCTATACACCAATAATAGAGAGCCAAATCATGAGTGAACTCCTATTTACAATTGCTACAAAAAGAATAAAATACCTAGGAATGCAACTTACAAGGGATGTGAATGACCTCTTCAAGGAGAACTACAAACCACTCCTTAAGAAAACAAGAGAGGACACAAACAAATGGAAAAACATTCAATGCTCATGAATAGGAAGAATCAATATCGTGAAAATGCCCATACTGCCCAAAGTAATTTATAGATTCAATGCTATCCCCATCAAGCTACCATTGACTTTCTTCACAGAATTAGAAAAACTACTTTATATTTCATATGGAACCAAAAAAAGACACCAACTTTTAAAAATTAAAGTGAATTAAGGTTTTATTTTGTAAATATATGCATGGAGATATTTTGATATACCCCAGGCCGTTGCAAAGCTCATCTTTGGGAATCAGCACAACATGGTTGGCATGAAGATTGTTTCTTTGGGAGTATACACTACTGTGCTTCAGTTATTACAAGGAGAGTGCTTCCCAACTTCACCAAGATCCCTTCAATTATTTGTCTTTGTAAACCCTGGGTTATAAATAATTTTGATGATTGAACTGTATTTATTAATAGTTTATTTATTGTACTTTATTAAGCAAAAAATACATATAACTGCTAATTAAAGCTTTTAATCATCATGTGATATCCAACATAATTACAAGTTGATATAATTCTAGCTAAAAGGAAGTATATGTGATATTTGAATTAGCTGTTCTCAGGTAATTGTCAATTTTTTTGTTATGAATTTTGAAACATCAAATATCTTGAAAACTCCCAGATACTTACAGAGCTTCCTTATGATTCACACACTAGAATTTGAGAATGTAATGAATATGTTAGGAAATAATCAACCAAATAATAATTATCATTACTGCTAATATTTATTGGGAAATCACTGTATGCCAGAACTATATACATTTAATCCTCCTTTAATCCTAAATCACAAAGAAACTAAATTACTTACCCAGAGTCTGACAACTAGGAACTAGTAGTACTTGAACCAGGGGAGGTTTGAATGAATGGGAGTGAGGACTACTGTTCTCAACCCAGCAGTGAGCAATGAGAGAGCTTTAATAGATGAATCTTGAAGGAAGTTGAGATCTCTTGAAGGAGAGATTCATATTTATACCCGTTGAATTTTAAATTGTTAGAATATGTAAAAGCATCAGAACTGGGGTGCAGAAATATGTTGGGAGTGCTAAGACAGAGCTGGGGAAAAGGTGGTAAATTTTAATTTGCAGGTTAGTACCTGAATTTGTGCATTCGAGTTGAAGGTTGTGCAAAGGCTAGAAGTTGCACAAACCAATAACTTATTGGTCAGAGCAGGGAGTTCCAACCACCTAACAACATGTTTGGTTTGAGGGGATTGGTAAGTGTGGTAGGAGAGGATATTACCATTTTATGACAAGAGAACCAGGGTACAGGGTAGGGAAATGCATATATATATATATATATATACACACATTACACAATTGCATATATGGAGTAAGCGGGGAGGGGAGGGGAGGAGAAAGGCTCATTTTTAGTTAGCAGCTGGTGCTCTAGAGTTTCAGGATATTTAAACCTCTGTGGATTAGTAATTTGTCGCAATTTTATACCACTGGATGCCATAAATCCCAGGATATTGAGATTCCAGGGTTAGAACTCTAGCAATTTTAATACAATTAAATGCTGAGGGTGCTGGAGGACAAAAAAAAACAAAACCCACGAATTTGAAAGGTAAAGCTCTGAAAATGTTAAACATGAATCCCCACTTGCACTCCAAGTCAATCACAATTTTAGCCCTCAGGACAGTGGGAATGGGCTTGGGGGTTAGGGAGACAGAGGTGTTGAATAACAGAAAGGGCACCTGGGCAGGTATTTTGGGCCCCCCTCCCTAGCTTTAACTGGGGCAACTCCCAATTTATTTGTTTAATATATTGAGGGTTTCTTCATACAGTTTCATTTGATAAAGGCGTTCCAACTTTCAAAGAAAAGGGTAAAACCACTTCCCTAGGGGGGGAGAAAGGATGTGGAACCTCTAAAACGTGTTCCAATAGTTTACCTCAGCCTCTGTCCTTTTGGAAATAGGGGCAGATGTTAGCAAGGATGCTTTGGCTGGGAGGTTTGGATGGGCCAACTAATAGTTCGGTGTACCAGTCATCCCCTACTGTGAAACCAATAACAACAGCGGCAACAACAAATGATGATAATAGCAGCTACCATATAGACATCAACTCTGATCTGGCACAGGGCTAAATGCTTACATAGATTGTGCCATGCACAATCTCTACATGTAATTCTCTACAGCCCTGTGAAATAGGAACTATTATCTCATTTTGCAGATACTCTCACTCTTTTGCATCTAAAGGAATTGTGCATGCGGCCTAAATACATGTGAATAAACCAGAGTCACTTTTATTTATTTATTTTTAAATTTTATTTTAGATTTAGGGAGTATATGTGCAGGTATGTTACCTGGGTATATTGCATAATGCTGAGGTTTGGGGTACGAATTATCCCATCACCCAGAAGTCAGCATAGTACTCAACAGTTAGTTTTTCAACCCTTACCCTCCTCCCTCCTTCCTCACTCTAGTAGTCCCCAGTGTCTATTGTTGCCAGCTTTATGTTCATGCGTACCCAATGTTTAGCTCCAGCTTAGAAGTGAGAACATGTTGTATTTGGTTTTCTATTCCTGCATTAGATCCCTTAGAATAATGGCCTCCAGCTCCATCTATGTTACTGCAAAGGACATGATCTCATTCTTTTTATGGTTGCATAATATTCCATGGTGTACATGTACCACATTTTTCTTTATCCAATCCAGCATTCATGGGCCCATAGGTTTTTTCCATGTCTTTGCTATCATGAATAGTGCTGCAATGAACATACAAGTGCATGTGTCTTTTTGATAAAGTGATTTATTTTCTTTTGGATACATACCCAGTAATAGGATTGCTGGGTCAAATGGTAGTTCCGTTTTAAGTTCTTTGAGAACTCTCCAAACTGCTTTCCACAGCGGAAGACCTAATTTACATTCCCTCCAGCAGGGTATAAGTGTTCTCTTTTCTTGGCAGCCTTGCCAACATCTGTTGTTTTTTGACTCTTTAATAATTGCCATTCTGACTGGTGAGAGATGGTGTCTCTTTGTGGTTTTGATTTGCATTTCTGTGATGATTATTGATGTGGAGCATTTTTTTCATATGTTTGCTAGCTGTCTGTATGTCAAAAGGCATTTTTAAATCATATTTTGCAATTAGATTTAAGTAGTTTCTCAGGACTTATTGCGGCTGAAATATACACCAAGTCGAGGTGATCTATTCCTTTGAACTCAAATAAGTTCAGAAGGACAAATCACACACCGGGCTCTGAAGTCAGGAATGTTTGTTCGCTTATTCCAAGAGCAAAGTGCTTTATTTAGATTTAAGTAGAAGAAATGTTTTCTTCACAGAAAGGAAAAGTCATATTGGCATTGCATGTTTGCTTTAAAAGATTTTTATTAATTTGTTCATTCAACAAATATTTATTGGGAACTAACTGTGAGCTCTGAGCCCAGAATCTCACACTTACAGAAGTGAGGAAATGATTTGTCTGATATAAGCCTCAAGCCTAAGAAATTTCTAGAATTATCAAATCCCGGTTTAGGTGGCACCTATTGATTAAGTGTGATTTTTCAGCCCAGTTCCAATCGATATTTAGAAACACAAGCAGAGTGAGGAGGGTAGTAGAGTTGTAGATTATAAATCATAGAATTAAAGAACCTTAGAAATAAAGTAGCTCATTTCCTGTACTTTAAAAGCAAGAGAGTCAGACAGACACGGGTTGTTAACTGTGTAACCTTGGGCAGGTAACCTCTCTGAACCTCAGTTCATCATATGTAACATGGGAATAATAGCATCTGCCTTATAAAAATATGGTAAGGATTACATAAGATAAATTATCTAAAGTTCTTAGTGCAGTGTCTGACATATACAACATACTCAGTACATGTTTACTGTTATTGTGATACCTGTTTTCCATGTGAGGGGACTGAAACTCAGTGAAAGGAAGTAACTAGCGCAAAGTCACATAGCTTGATGATGTTAGGACAAATATTAGAACTCAGATCTCTACTAATAGTCAAATATGCCTTATACTACACACCGAGTTTACTCCCTGAGAGCCAGGTCATATACACTTCCTGGACCTGTGAGAAATATTTGGGCTAATACAAGGAGAAGGGAAAAGAATGACAAGGAAGTGCCTGACATAAGAAAATAATTCCTGGACTCAGAAAACAAAACAGCAAGGATGAAATAAAGAACAAGAGAAATAATTACCAGAAAGTTTACAAAGCAATGTTGGAGTATTATAACATGTAGTCAATCACAGGACTGATCTCTATTCTAACTCCTTTATTCACTAAAAGCGAAATTGACTTTTTTTCTTTTTCTTGAAGGTGTTGGTGGGAGGTGGTTTAGAATGCATTTGTGATTCATAGAAGGTTACTGTGAATGCAGCTTACTATACAATTTCTATTTGCAAAGCAAGGGAACCCCATAAATGAAGTTAGAATGGAAGCAAGAGTACTGCTAAGATATAAAGAATGATACATTATTAATTTTTTTGAGACATGGACTGGCTCATTATTAATTTTTTTGAGACACCAGGCTGGAGTGCAGTGGCACAATCACAGCTCACTGCAACCTCGACCTCCTGGGCTCAAGTGATCCTCCCATCTCAGCCTCCTGAAAAGCAGGGACTACAGGCATGTGCCACCACACCTGGCTAATTTTTAAATTTTTCATAGAGACTGGATCTCACCGTGGTGCCCAGGCTGGTCTCAAACTTCTGGGCTCAAGCAATCCTCCCGCCTCAGCCTCCCAAAGTTTTGGGGTTACAGGTGTAAGCCACTGCACCAGGCCCAGAAATGACAGATTTTAAAAGAATATTGGGCTGGAGTGACACCTCAAAGTAGAAGTTGTTGAGAAATTTAGTAAAAATAAGAAAACAATGGCTCAATAATAAAGTCATGTTGCTATTGCTTCATGTAGCTATAGTACAGTACAGCACTGAGAGAGATTGGTCTTTAGATGAAGATAGTCTTAAAAATTGGAAATATATGAAAAGAACCACTCGGTTTCTATACTAAAAGGGAAGGTTAATTTATACTTGCCTAAGCAAAAGATGATATATTCTTTCCTAAACTATTCTTCAGTTTAATGAAAGGCCTGCAATGTTGGTTATTACAAAATTCAAGAAATATTTAGGGGATTCCAGGAGTTTCCTAAAAGAAGCAAGGCCATTTTGCTCAATTTATTACTGCATAGTGCATGACACTCAGACTAGTGCCAGAAAATCTGACTGGAGTTCCTAGTCCACCACAAGGGATACATTGTGATTGTTTCAGGTGCATATGCTGTATAAAAAGATTGTTCCAATACTGTACACTTAAAAATTTGTTAAGAGGGTAGATCGCCTGTGTTTTTTTTTAATCACAATAATAATTTTTTTAAAAGGTTGTTCCTTTTCTTACCTCATAATTTTGAGTTTGCTAATTTTCCTCCCCTCAAAATAATTACATTTTATTTCAAGTAAAATATATTGGTAACAGCTTGATTGCTTATTCTTTTGATAATTTTCACCTTCACAGGGCATCAGGTACTGTTTATACAGCACTAGACATTGCAACAGGACAAGAGGTAAGTGCTAACGTTCAATCCTGATTTTTATTTTCTTTTATTCATATTTAACAGTTATCTTCTTCGATGGCAACTTCGCCTAAAAAAAAAATGGGTAGCACTGGGTTGACATAGGTGTTTACTTCCTTGGTGCCCAAAGCCTCTGAAGTGAGTAGTTTACCCATGATAACCAAAAAATAAAAAAAAAAGTGGGGGGCATGTGTTTGTGGCACAGGGAAAGAGCTTAGTAAATAAAGAATGTGTATGTTTCACTCTATGTCCCCCAAAATATGAATATTCATGTTTATTATAATGATTGTAATTCATTCTTGTATTTTAATTGCCATTCAGGTGGCCATAAAGCAGATGAACCTTCAACAGCAACCCAAGAAGGAATTAATTATTAATGAAATTCTGGTCATGAGGGAAAATAAGAACCCTAATATTGTTAATTATTTAGATAGGTAAGTGTTTTGTCTTATTATGTACTTATATTCTTTGTGGGATGTCATTTTTTCTTGGCAAATTACTTTATTTGGGATTCGTTCATTTAACATTCTGCAAATATTTCTCAAATGCTACAGTGTAGTAGAGTATTAGATCTATTGCTAAACTTGCACTCACTTAGCTTTGTCCACATATCAGACACTTGAAGAAACATTTTATGGTCTTGGTTGTAAATTTCATTTTGAGAATCATAGCTCCATTTTGGCAGAAAATAGACCATTGCATATAGGAGGGAGTAGTGGTTTAAACATTACATCAAGTGTTTGTCTGGAGCCAGTACAATTTCTGGGAGTCTAAGTGAAGAAGGCTGACTACAATGGCTTTAATGGGTGCTTTGTGATTAACTAACAGTGAGGTCTAGGGAATTCAGACTTTAATCTCAAACCTTTTTCCTAAACCTGGTAATTAATGTCTCTTTATCAGTGGTATTAACAGTGTGTTATAAATAGGTATTTAAAGGCAGCACTAACTCTTCACTTGTGGTTAACATCTGTCTCATTCAATTTCAAAAAGAGTTTGTTTAGTACCACTGTGCGGTGTTCTCTGGAGGGGATACAAAGAAACTAAATCTAGGTCTTCAAACTCAATAAGCTTAAGATACTGTTTTCTGCTTTTTGGGCCAGGTAGACCAATGTTACAGAAGAAGGAAAAACTGGGAGGAAAAAAGAGGGTTAAATTTTACAGTCCTTTTTTTTTTTTTTTTTTTTTTACAGAGTCTTGCTCTGTCGCCCAGGCTAGAGTGCAGTGGCGTGATCTCAGCTCACTGCAACCTCTGCCTCCTACGTTCAAGCAATTCTCCTGCCTCAGCCTCCCAAGGAGCTGGGATTACAGGCGTGTGTCACCATGCCCAGCTAATTTTTCGTATTTTAGTAGAGACGGGGTTTCGCCATGTTGGCCAGGCTGGTCTCAAACTCCTGGCCTCAGGTGATTCACCCACCTTGGCCTCCCAAAGTGCTGGGATTACAGGCGTGAGCCACTCCACCCGGCCGCAAATTTTACAGTCTTGATCAGTGTCTCCTAAAGTGTAACTTAGGAACCACCTGCAACAGAGTAACCTAAAGTCATTCTGTGTTTGTAATTTTGCAAAAACAAAAAACAAAAAACAAAAAACAAAAACAAAAAAAAACAAAAAAAACAATGCATTTGCACTTATAAAAAATTCAGAATTCTAGGCTGCTTTCCATAAATAATAAGATGAGGACTGTGAATTTTTGTTTTTAACAAGCTTTCCAGATGAATTTTATGGACACCACAGTTTGAGCACCACTGGATAGAAAATCTTGCTTCACATTGATATGGGTCTTAGGGCAGGGTGGGAACATTGGGTTCATTCCATTTCCTATAATTCATCTTTCTTGATAAGCAAGGTTTCAGAGAGACCTGATTGTACTGCTAAAGTGCCGTCAGATGGTGTCAGGTGATTTGAATAACCTCATGCTCTCTTTGCCTGAATTATAGGGCTCTGGTGACCCTTGGCTCCATATTATGATCACTTGGAGTATGTCCCTCAATACCTTCTCAAAGGTAATGGGCATAGCACAACTCAGAGTTGACTTCTATCAGAACTGAGGCCTGGGAATATCAGAGTCCCCAGGTTTTTTAGCGTCATAAGGCAAAGTCTTTTCTTTTCTTGTTATAGCTACTTGGTGGGTGATGAACTATGGGTAGTCATGGAATACTTGGCTGGTGGCTCTCTGACTGATGTGGTCACAGAGACCTGTATGGATGAAGGACAGATAGCAGCTGTCTGCAGAGAGGTAAGCAAATAGAGCATTTCTAGCTGAGAAGACCACCGAAATTGGCAGTTCTTCATTTCTGATTATTCAGAATGTTTGTATCATCAAAGTAACAATAGTAGAACTTTTCCACTGAAAACAATTGGAGAGGCCAACTTCAATTTAAATTCTGTCCTAATAGCACTCCCCAGCATCACCCTCCTGAGCCTCTTGTTTATTTTAGCTGCCTTTTGTGAATCTTTTAGTTCCATTATGCCATTTGTGAGGTGCCGTATCTAAACCCACATGCTGTAGTTTCCGTGAACATGGGAAACAGTGATATTGGCATAGCACTTCTTTCTAATTTGGGGAAGTTTTTACATGATACTTATTTTATCCTGCATGTGTAATATGAGCCATGTAAAATAAATTATATTTTCATCATTTTTAGAAGGCAATTTAAACAAGGTCCTCCCTCAGGCCAGAAAGCAGTTGCTTTCACAGTACAATCTGAACTTCCCTTACAGCCCCCAAGTGGGCCTGACGGTCTGTCTCTTTTCCAGTAAGTGTCATACCCCTAAGGGGTTTCAAACTAAATTAAAGAGATGTTATTATATTTATTTTGTTGAATATTAAAAAACACACACACTTTTTTACTGGAGTCTCATCTTAGGCATTATAATCTATCCCATTTATTGTGGTGAGGTTTTCTATCAACAAAAGTAGGAACTCTGACTCACTGAAACTTGAAAACCAATGATAGAAAAACAAAACTAAGTGATATCAGCTAATCTCTGCTTTTTTTTTATAAGTTGTTCACTTAAATTTCCTCCTTCCTTGCTCTCCTCTCATTATCATTTTCCCCACCCCACATATCCACCAAACATATATGTTTTCTATTCATTCAATACATTAAACTTACTACCCTGAGCCTGTGGTTTCCTTCTTCCAGCATTACACTGCAAAGGCATTTCCAAACAAGTGCCTATAGTTACTTCATAGCCTAGGAGTGGTTCCCAAACCTGGCTACCCATTAGAAATAGTTTGGGGCACTTGTTTTAAATGCAGATTCCTGGGTTTCATGCCAGAACTTCTGAATCAAATCATGCCATCTACAATGAAGCTTACCACAGCTATAGAAGACCAAGCTGAATCCTCCAAATAACTGGGCCAAAGTATATTAATTGGTTAATTTGACTGTATTATTGATTGGTGCTATTTATCACATTATCATTCTTAATGTCCTAGTCTGATGTGTCAGCCATCATACTTAGCATGATAATGCTAAGTGGCATCATTGATGTAAATGGTAATGTGACTTTAAAGTGGTGTTGTTAAAGCATTCAGTAATCGATTTCACTTGACAATATAAAGTTATATCCCTGCCCAAAATTTATCTAGAAATAAAACTTAGTATTAAAAATTATTTGTGATATAATTAGAACTTTTTTTTCTGATTTAATAGTGCCTGCAAGCTTTGGATTTCCTGCACTCAAACCAGGTGATCCATAGAGATATAAAGAGTGACAATATTCTTCTCGGGATGGATGGCTCTGTTAAATTGAGTAGGTATTTTGGTTCAGGTGGTATTAGAGTATCAGGGAATTTCTGTTCTTTCATTGTATATCTTAAGAAGATAATGGTTACTGAAAGTGATTTATTTGAAAGAAGTTACAGCCCAGTTTGAAGTAAAGAATTTTTCTAACACTGTGTTCCTGAATATTGTGACCACATTTTTTGGATTTAATATTTCAGAATTTCTAGTGACTTGTGGAATGAATAAATGACAAATACCTAATTAGGAAACTGAAAAATTCTGTAAGTTTGAGAAAACAGTGATGAGAGGGAATTAGATTGAAGTCTAGTAAAAATGACATCACGTTAGTCAATTATTTCAGACCTTCTTAAAATCAGGACCAGCTGAGACATCAGTTAACAAAAAGGTATGAGCTAGGCAGTTGTGGAAACTCAGTGTGTAGCAAAGGAAGGTACAGCCATATCTGAAAGTGATATATTGTAAAAGGAAAATAATTTGGGCTTATTTTAACTGGCTTTTCTTCTCTGCAGCTGACTTTGGGTTCTGTGCCCAGATCACTCCTGAGCAAAGTAAACGAAGCACTATGGTGGGAACCCCATATTGGATGGCACCTGAGGTGGTGACTCGAAAAGCTTATGGTCCGAAAGTTGATATCTGGTCTCTTGGAATTATGGCAATTGAAATGGTGGAAGGTGAACCCCCTTACCTTAATGAAAATCCACTCAGGGTAAGTCAGAAGAGAAGTCAGGTACTTTATTCCCAGGAAAGAGGAAAGGCCAAATATCATTTCTGGCTTCCACCAAAAGTGACCAGAATGGGCTCTTTTCTGAGACCAGTAACATAGAAGCACCAAGTTATAATTTTCAAATTTACTGTAAGCTTTTTAAAGTTTATCTTACAATGTCTCAACAGTTTTCCTTGTCTTTTTCTTTCTTTCTTTCTTTTTTTTTTTTTTTTTTGGAGAAAGAATAACTACCCTTTTTTTCTCTTTTTCTCATTTAATTCTTTTTTCCTTCCAACTTTCATTTTAGGTGCAGGGGGTACATACGCAGGTTTATTATATAGGTAAATTCCATGCTGTTGGGGTTGGTGTACAGATTATTTCATCTCCCAGGTAATGAATGTAGTACCCAACAGGTAGTTTTTAGGTCCTCAGACTCCTCCCACCCTCCACTCTCAAGTAGGCCCCAGTGTCAATTGTCCCCTTCTTTGTGTCTGTGTGTACTCAATGTTTAGCTCCCACTTACGAGTGAACATGCAACATTTGGTTTTCTGTTTCTACATTAATTTGCTTAGAATAATGGCCTCCAGCTGCATCCATGTTGCTGTAAAGGACATGATTTCATTCTTTTTTATGTCTACATAATATTCTATGGTGTATATGTTCCACATTTTTGTTATCCAATCCACTGTTGATGGACATCTAAATTAACTCCATGTCTTTGCTACTGTGAATAGTGCTGTGATGAACATACACGTGTGTATGTCTTTATTGAAGGACAATTTATATTCCTTTGATTATATATCCAGTAATGGTATTGCTGAGTTGAATGATTTATATTCCTTTGGGTATATACCCAGTAATGGGATTGCTGAGTTAAATGATTTATATTCCTTTGGGTATATACTCAGTAATGGGATTGCTGAATTGAATGATAACTCTAAGTTCTTTGAGAAATCTCCAAACTGCTTTTTACAGTGGCTGAACTAATTTACATTCCCTCCAGCAGTCTATAAGCATTCCCTTTTCTCCTGAACCTCGCCAGCATCTGTTATTTTTTGACTTTTTTTTTTTGAGACAGAGTCTTGCTCTGTTGCCCAGGCTGGAGTGCAATGGAGTGATCATGATCTTGGCTCACTGCAACCTCTGCCCACTAGGTTCAAGTGATTAGTGCCTCAGCCTCCCAAGTAGATGGGATTACAGGCATGCACCACCATGCCTGGTTAATTTTTTATATTTTTGGTAAAGAAGGGCTTCACCATGTTGGCCAGGCTGGCCTCAAACTCCTGGCCTCAAGTGATTGACTTGCCTTGGCCTCCCAAAGTGCTTGGATTACAGGCATGAGCCACCAAACCTAGCCCCTTTTTGACTTTTTAATAATAACCATTCTGACTGGTGTAAGATGGTATTCATTGTGGTTTTGATTTGCATTACTCTAATGATTAATGATGTGGAGCATTTTTTCATATGCTTCTTGGGCACATGTATGTCTTCTTTTCAGAAGTGTCTGTTCACGTCTTTTGTCCATTTTTTAATGGGGTTGTTTGATTTTTGCTTATTAATTGAGTTCCTTATAGAGGCTGGATATTAGATCTTCGTCAGATGCATAGTTTGCAAATATTTTCTCCCTTTCTGTAGGTTGTCTGCTTACACTATTGATAGTTTCTTTTGCTGTGCAGAAGCTCTTCAGTTAAATGAAGTTCCATGTGTCAATTTTTGTTTTTGTTGAAATTGCTTTTGGAGTCTTCATCATGAAATCTTTGCCAGGGCCCATGCCCAGAATGGTATTTCCTAGGTTTTCTTCTAGGGTTTTTATAGCTTTAGGTTTTACATTTAAGTATGTAATCCATCTTGAGTTGATTTTTGCATATGATGAAGGGAAAGGATCCAATTTCAATCTTCTGCATATGGCTAGCCAGTTATCCCAGCACCATTTATTGAATAGGTAGTCCTTTCCCCACTGTTTATTATTGTTGACTTTGTCAAAAATCAGGTGGTTGTGGGTGTGTGACTTTATTTCCGGGTTCTCTCACCTGTCCTATTCATCTATGTGTCTATTTTTTTTTTACCAGTACCATGCTGTTTTGGTTACTGTAGGCTTGTAGTACAGTTTAAAGCCAGGTAATATGATGCCTCCATCTTTGTTGTTTTTGCTTGGTATTGCTTTGTCTATTGGGGCTTTTTTGGTTCCCAGTGAATTTTAGAATAGTTTATTCTAATTCTGTGAAAAGTGTCATTGGTATTTTGATATGAACAGTATTGAATCTGTACATTACTTTGGGCAGTATGGCCATGTTAAAAATATTGATTCTTCCTATCCAAGAGCATGGAAAGTTTTTCCATTTGTTTTTGTCATCTCCAGTTTCTTTCATCAGTGTTTTGTAATTCTTGTTGTAGAGATCTTTCACCTTCCTGGTTAGCTGTATTCCTAGGTATTTTATTTTTTAGGGCTGTTGTGAATGGGATTGTGCTATTGATTTGGCTCTTAACTGGACATCGTTGGTGTATAGAAATGCTACTAAGTTTTTTAGCATTGATTTTGTATCCTGAAACTTTGCTGAAGTTGTTTGTTAGATTTAGAAGGCTTTGGGCAGAGACTATGGGTTTTCTAGGTATAGAATCATATCATCTGGGAAGAGAGATAGTTTGATTTCTTCTCTTCCTATTTGGATGCCTTTTATTTCTTTCTCTTGCCTGATTACTCTGGCTAGAACTTCTAACATTTTTCTAACATGCTTTGATTGTATTTTTAATGACAAGGGTCTTTAAGATTCCTTAGTATAGCTTTCTAATGTAAAATACATGTAGCTTTTTTTTTAAGTGAGATGTGGGGAGAAAGTACTTTTATTACATGACATGGTTAAATGATCAATCTAAAAAACACTTGCTTTATAATTACTTTAACAAAGTAAATAAATGCATTTCCAGAACAGCTGTAATTTTTAAATTGGATTTTCCTTCATTATCAGTAATGATTTATTGATTAACAACAGCTTGGTGGGTATTGAGTGGAACACAGAGATAGACATAGTGCCAACCTGGTGAAATCAGAAACTTAATTAGATTGTCAAGTAGAAAATGATTGGAAACAGTTTCCGTTTGGTAACTCACTTTGCTACCACAAAATCAGAGATTTGATCTTCATGTGATCTTGTTATCCCTGCAAAGAGAAAAACTTCATTTCACAACCTAATCCTATCATCTTATTTCGGAGATGTGCTGTTGATCATGAGGAGGAAAGGAAAGAGGTATGAAAGAAATGCTTACTCAGTGCAGAAGTGAGCCATAGGTATTTTGTTGTGTATAGCCCAACAGTGAGCTATTAATAGAAGCTGTGTTTTGTGTCTATAACAGGCATCACATTGTTTAAAAAAGAAAATATGCACAGATTCAAATTCTACTCTCAAAGTTCAAGCACAGTGCTAGTATCATAGGCATCTTGTATACTGCCTGCATCATTACCACTAGGAGTCTAAAATTGAATTGTACCCTTGGTATGCCAAAAAAAAAAACCATTGTTCTTAGTAAATGGTTAAGTGTTTTCATATAAAGCTTGCAAAATCCATGTTCAAACCAAATATATGTGGCTTTCTATGCATGTAAAGAGACCTATAAACTAACTGTCTAGTTGTTTTGCAGTTAAACATTTTGTATTTGGGAACTGCATTCCCTGTATATGGAGAGGAGGACAGCTTCCTCCTGGCTCTCTCCTAACTCCTCTCTGGTACTTGGCCTCTTGTTTTATTCCCTGTGCTGATTAGAAAACAACAGATATGAGGGAATGCCCTAATGAATGCTATAGGCTATTTCTCTGATCTCATGCAACAATCTGGAAATGAGATGTGCACATTGATTAGCTGCCTTCAGGGCTGAGTGGAAAAGAAGGGGCATTTTCCCACCGTTTGTGGGTTAGCCCTCCATGGATTTAATCAAGTCCACACCTGGCCTATGGTCCAGCGCATCAGGATAATTACATGGGCTTTTCCTTATTGTTTAACCACCTTCACCCATTAAGAAATAGCAGTGAAAGAACACATCGGACCTCTTGTTTCTATGGATTTCCTCCCCTAAGTCTTTGGAGTTTGGAGGCACTAAATGGATTATGGCTATTTTGCTTTCTGCCTTCTAATGAGTAATTTACAGCCTGCAAATTTTAAGGATTAAACAAATGGCTCTGTAAAACAACTAGTCTCAGTAATGGATTTATTACCTTCTTCAATTCCCCAATTACAATTGATCTCTCTTTAGCTAGGCTGCTAATTATTAGAAAAAGGAAACAAGTTTTAATCTTTATAGGCATCTTCTAGCCTAGGATTAGAACTCACAATTAACAGCTTGTATCTTAGATGCCACCGCCTGATATCTAAACAAGTACTTGCAGATTAACAAACCACAAGGTTCAGGAAGCCTACATTAAGTCTGCAACAAAAAGACCTGTGAGAAAGACCACCCTGTTGAATTCCACTGATAAGGATTTACTCTAACTTTGCTCATTACTCTCTGTATGTGTGATCAACCTTCAATTAATCAATCAACAAGCCCATACAGAGCTAGCTTTATTCTAATTTTGTCTCTTCTAGGCATCAGGAGTACTTTTTTGGTTTCGATTTCAAATATGTTTTCCTAATGTTCTCTTGAAGGAAACACAATGTCTCAGGCTATATGCCCTTATTTGGAATCTTTAAAATGTAGTCGCTGAAACCATGGGGAGATTGGAGAGAAAAAGGATCTAACATGAGCCTATAGGGAGCAGCGATTTCTTGGATCCTGGTGCCCAGGCCATATGTGGGGAAATAGAAAATAATCCAGAGCTTTAAGAGGAGTATAAAAGAGTGCCAGATTAGTCTTCTTTAATATCCTTCCAACACTACAACACATCCACTATTGTGTGCTTTGAGGTGGAAAGAGGTAGAAGGAAGGAAGTGAAATAAGTGTAAGAAAGACAGAGTAGTAGAGTACAGGGTAGCATGTTGATGTGAAAAATTTTGGTCCTGTAGTCAGGCAGATCTGGGTGTGTCCTGGCTCTACAACCTGCAAGCTCTGTGACCTTCTGCAAGTTACTTAAAACCTTTCTAAGCCTGCTTCCTATCTGTAAAATGAGAACTATGTCTATCTTACAGAGTTAGCATGAAAACTAAATGAATAATATATGTAAATCACCTAGCACAGTGTCCAGTTCACTGTAGGAAAAAAATATATATGTATATATTTATATATATGAAATGTATATATGGATAGTAAAGTAGTAAGATAGGAAAAACAGAGAAAGGATGTTTAGAGGGTTTTTTTTACCCACTCATGAAGGGAGGTTGGATTCAGCACTCTCCTAAGAACATATCCTTCATGAGAGTGGCACACCCATCTACTCAAGGAATGGAGGGTTTTGCACAGTTCAGTACAATTACCATGAACAGGTAACACTGAACAGAAGAAGTTCAAGGTGAAGTCTGGGGCTATACATTTCAAGGTCATTTATGTTTCACTGTGAGTTTTTCTGTGTCTCTGTTGTATCAGTTCCAGCTGAGCAGACCCTTTATGAATATTGCCTATTAACATATTGTTAATGCAATGAATTAACTACTTTTCCCCTTAGTTAGAAAGTGGCTGAGATTTTTTAATGTAAATGTTGCTATACTAATTGACCTAATTTGTTCATAAAATGCCTTTTAAAGGTCAGAGAGTTATTAATTGTACTGATGTTATGAGGCTTGTACCCTTCCAGAGAGAGAGGACACAAGCTTCTTACTGTCCCCCACTGCCTGAAGTCTTTGTACTCAACATAATTGGCCTTGGACATGTTGTTCTGTGACCTATAGACAGTTTTAGTGCAGCCTCCAATAATTAAGTACCTTGTTCCTTCTCTTTGCCAAAGTGACTGGGGTTAAAAATCTAACTTTCCCTGTGGATATACAAATCAAATGTTACTGTTGCTGATATCATCAACTTTTTTGTTAATTGAAGACTTTAAACAACTGTTATTATAATAACTTGATGCTAAGTAAGGAGACACAATCATTTTTGTCAAACAAAACTTTGGTCTATTTTCTCAGCACCCAGAGAGTGCCCCTTTATTAACTTTGCTTTTACACGTAATGGGGCTATTCTTATCAACAGGTTTTGATGGAATTTGTTATTTGTGAAATGTAAAAAAATGACATCCACTTGAAGTCCCTACTAGACTCTTTGAAACACCTTTTATGGTAATGTTCCAAATCTTTATCCAAGTTAAAATAGATTTTAAGTGTTCTCTTTCTACCCCTTACTTGAAACATCTGTGAAGCTGTATCGAAGATTGGATCGCTGGAAGACAGTTATTGGTATCACTGCTAAAAACAATATGTAGTATAGTATGTGAACCACAGATCCTGTATCAGTGGATCTCCTTGGTTGCACATTGGAGTCATCTGTGGAGCTTTAAGAACCAGCGATTCTAGGCCCCCATCCTCAGGGAAAAATGGCAATCAGGAAATGTCAAATATCAATGTGGCAAGCCCTTTATAGAACACTGTCCAGCCTGGACAACAATTCGTCATCACCCCTCTTTGAACATGGTCGTCCAACCAAAAAATAACACTATCATTCTACTCACATTTATCCATTTTGTCTAAAAACTTATGAGTAATACTATAAAAGCCTAATTGAAGTCCTGATGTGCTTTATGTCATTCTCTGATTTACCAGTTGAGTAGCACTATCCAAAAAGAAATGACATTAGTTCAGCATATGCCTCCATGATATGCTATTTTCTTTTGCAATTTTGCTTCTTCTGAAAATGGAGTTCATCATTAAAATGGGCTAGCTGCTGACCGAGTAGCTAGCATATATTGGTGCATAATAAACCCATCAGTCTGACTACTCATGATTAGGAGTGCATTACCTATATGGCAAGGGGGAAAGGAGGACAGAAATCTAAAATCAGACCTCTTATCTACACTAGTAGGCTTCCCACTTCCCTTTTCCTGCACTTAAAGCACTACAGAAATGTTAGTTGTTCTTATTTCTTCTTGTGGGAACAGGGAAATTATAATTGGCTTATATGGCTAGAGAAGAGAGTTAAGCAGAATAAGAGAATCTCTAGTAACTGAAAAGCAACTAAAGGCTAAACTGTTTCTAAATCCCTCCAAGCACTGGGACTTTGCTGTGGATTGGAATGTCTGGGTTTGATGGCGTGTGCTCATTTGGAATTAAAGTCAGACATAAACTTCCTGAGTGCCAGAGAAGCAAGCATACTTTGCTAGCACTCAGTCAATATTGTTTTGAATGTATTTCAGGAAGAGCTGGGAGCATTCCCTTCATTTTCCATAAGCCATGATGGAACAGCAAGGTTTATTGATGGTTTGTTGACACTCCTCCTATTTTGAGGGCAAACCTATGCCTAAAAGGAGGGGGAAGTTGGGATCACTACAACTAAAATAATTACAGAAGAATAACAGGGTTCCTTTTTAATCAGAAAAAAATATTGCCTGTCAAAAGATAGACAGCTCTTAAGAATCATTGGTTGTTAGGAATTCAGCATAGGAAAATGGGACTTAGCCATAGGAAAGCTGCAAGTCTCATTTAGAATGTAATTCAGAAGCAGACAGCTCAAACTGGTGAATTATGACCCAGAAAACAGCCAAAGGAGAAATTGATTCCATAGCAAACTAAAATCCACCAAGAGAAAATGAGAGAAAGAAAGTTTATGCTACTATTATGTTATAATTTCTCAGAATCCTTATAGCATGGCTTGGGAGTAAAACAAGGATGCATATGCTGATTGCCCTAATAGGTACCATACCTATAACTAAGTAGTTAAGTCCCTCCAGATCAAAGTTAATTCTAAAGAGACAAATCATGGAGTGTGATGATCGGCATTTGCGCACTGAAATGCCCATGCACGTGTTTTATCCTATGGCTTTTGAAATCTGTGTTTTTGCCAATGAAGAATTATTTTACCAAGAAAGTTGGAGTTTTCTTAATAATTAAGATAATTTCTGACCTTTATTGTCATTTTGATTGATACCTTTTCCAACCGGGTTGCAACATCATTGTAGAAAACCCTTTGCATTCTAATAAAACAGTACTCTGAAGTGTCTTAGATAAGACGCTCTGCAGAGAAAGTTAAATCAATTAAGGCAGTGTAAGAATTGTAGCTGGGAGAGTCAGAGTTCTAACATTATCCCAATAATCAAACTGACCTTTCTGTTGTAGCTTTTTTCTTTCTTTTCTTTTGCTTTATTTTTCTTTTCTTCTTTCCTTTGCTTTGTTTTTTTTTTTTTTTTTTGTAAAGAATTACCCTCACGCTCAGATGGCAAAGTTCATCAGCACATTTTTTTTTTTTTTTTTTTTTTAATCTAGGAGGGGCCAATGACTGTGAGAGATCTAGACAAGGAACTTTCTAGTGTCTCTACCAACTGTTCGCATTATGCGGGTTAAAGAGTGAATTGTATTCCGATGTCTGTCAGTCAAGAAATCCATAACCTTGTGCAGGTTTCTTCTTGCTGAGCCTACATTTCCTTATTGCTTCAAAAGAGTGGAATTTCACTAGATTTTTGTTTACCAGTAGGCTCCACAATGCCCTAGAATACCATAGAGTTCCTTGAGGGTATTGAAGGAGCCAAGAGGGAGGTAACCAGGATAGGGCTCTTGGTTCCACCAGAATAGTTCCTTTTTAATTCCTTTTCTGTCTTGCGCCATCACATGAGATTTTCTTAAATAAGGCTAAAAACTCGTGAGTCCCTTACTCTGATTCTGTGTCCTTTAGCTGTACACAGCCTACAGCCTTCCCCAACTCTGCCAAAAGGGCCATGTTTTGTGTGTTGTCTCTATGAGTCTCTATGAGTACTTTCAGAGGAGTGGTATTCAGAAAGCAGCTTGGAGACATTTATCTCATCATCTCTGGAGTAAATCTGTATCCCACAGAATGGAAAAATCCTCCTTTTCCCACCAAGCAAAGACACTTGATCATGATGTGAAATATACTGTATATGAGACTTGGTAACTTCATTCTGATAATAATCTTGGGAAGAAGCCAGTGAAGAACACTGCAGTAATAAAGCTATTGCAGGGACACAAGGTTCCTCACTCTGTAGTAGTATTAAAAGAATTGTATATTATTATGTACGGGCCTGTTCAGCTGATTAACTGCATATAAAAATAGAAGTTGAAATCAGTTTATGTGACTAGTAATGCATGTTTCACAGATCATATCACAGTCAGCCTGTTTTAATCCTAATATGGTAATTTGGAAAAGCCCAAAAGAATAAGAGTGCTAGTCCCTTCTTGCACTAATATTCTGAAATGAAACATGAACAAATGTATAATATTAAATATTACCTTAGGACTAGAAATTTGTTGTGTGTTAAAGAGAAAATGGGAGGTGAGGAAGTTGATAAACCAAGTATACACAGTATTTTGAGAAGTTTTGTGGGAAAAGGACCAGGAGCAATGGAGCAGTCACAGAATGGGACCTAGGATCCAGGTCCCCTTGGTCTCCCAGATTGTCTAGCCCTTATCTATCTTCATTTCTCTTTGTCCTCATTCCACCAGCGATATTCTCCTCCCATTGTCTTTTGGCCCCTGTTTTTGCCCTAAAGTTTTGTTTTGCTTCCTCTGCTTCTCACAGCTTCTTGCCTCTACCTTTTGCACCATTTTGCTTTCCTTCCTTTCCTAGCTCTGTACCTACCCACATCCCTACTTCCAAATGCCCTATAGTTCCAAACCTTGGGTACTGCTTTGAGTGCCCAGGGTTGCTTCATAAGCACAAGCAGCCCCCTCTGCAATTCTTAGCAAGCATTATTAGTTCTGAGAATGAGCACACATATTGTTGGAGTTATCTGTAATTTATTTTATGGCATTGGTCAGTCCTTTGTGCTTGAAAGGAGCACATTTAAGCTAGGCTAACAGCCAGTGAGTCAGCCCTACCTAATTACCTTTTACTATCAACCTATAAGGGGATAGATCTATAATAGGTTCATTTTAAATAGCCTTTTAAGGATTAAACAACAAAACAATAACAATTGTCCCTCATAATTTAGTGACCAGTGAGAACTTCTATGTAAGACAGGTAGGAAGCTAAATTAGACCACATTGCTCATTCAGCTATCACACTGAAGTTTTGGGTTGAGTAAGCCCAAGTATGGAATACAGCGTTCATTATAATGTGATTATTTCTTTTTGTATATTTGGCCCTCATTACTCTCTTCTAAAAAAGACATGGCAGACACTTTCATGATATCCATAAACACATCAGAGGCAGCAATATACTCTGGCTTTTAAACTGTGAAATCCCAGGTCACGAGTAAACTAAGTCATAAGGTGTTAAGTCACTTGTTGGCAAATATCTCTCATAAAACACTCAAAGTTAGTTGGAGATTCTAAAACAACAAAAGAATCAGATTAGGAGTCAGTTGCAGGCAACAACCAGCTGCATATAAACCTTCAATGTAGATAGATATATACGTGTGTGTGTGTGTGTGTGTGTGTGTATATATATATACATATATACATATACATATATGTATGTGTGTATATATACATATACATATTTACATATATATGTGTGTATATATATACGTATATGTGTGTATATATATACACATATACATATACATATACACATACACACACATACATATATATACACACACACACAGTTGAGCCTCTGATCCACGGGTGTGAAATCCATGGATTCAACCAACCACAAATCAAAAGCATTTTTTAAAATGATGGTTTCATTGTATTAAACATGTACAGACTTTTTCTTGTAGTTATTCCCAAAACAATAAAGTATGACAACTACAGTCATGTGCTGCATAACAATGTTTTGGTTAATGATGGACTGAATATACAGTGGTGGTCCCATAAGATTATAATGGAGCTGAAAAATTTCTATCACCTAGTGATGTCATAATATCCTAATTCAATGCATTACTTACATGTTTGTAGTGATGATGGTATAAACAAACCTACTTCTCAAGAAGAGCTTCAGGCAGGTCCTTCAGGAAGTATTTGCAAGCAAGGTATTGTTATCCTAGGAGGTGACAGCGCCATACAAGTTATTGCCCCTAAAGTCCTTCCAGTTGGACAAGATATAGAGAGGGGACAACAGTGGTATTGATGATCCTGACGCTGTCTAGGCCTAGGCTAATGTGTTTGTTTGTTTCTTAGTTTTTGGGGAGGTTTTGTTTTGTTTTGTTTTGAGACAGAGTCTCACTTTGTTACCCAGGCTGGAGTGCAGTTGTGCTGTCTTGGCTCACTGCAACCTCCAACCCCCAGGTTCAAGCAATTCTCATGTCCCAGCCTCCCTAGTAGCTGAGATTGCAGGTGCCTGCCACCACACTCAGCTAATTTTTGTATTTGTAGTAGAGACGAGGTTTCGCCCTGTGGCCCAGGCTGGTCTCGAACTCCTGACCTCAGGTGATCCGCCCGCCTCGGCTCCCAAAGTGCTGGGGTTACAGGCGTGAGCCACCACGCCCAGCCTGTTTGTGTCTTAGTTTTTAACAAAAAAGTTTGAAATGAAAAAAGGAAAACATTTTTAAGATAGAAAATGTTTATAGTTTATAGGATAAGGATATTTAAAAAATATTTTTGTACAGCTGTACAATGTGTTTTAAACTGTTACAAAGGAGTCAAAAAGTTGAAAAAATAAGTTTATAAATTTAAAAACTTACAGCAAGCTAATTTATTATCGAAGAAAGACAATTTTTAAATAAATTTAGTGTAGCCTAAGTGTACAGTATTTATAAAGCCTATGGCAGTGTATAGTAATGTCCTAGGCTTTCACATTCACTCACTAGTCACTCAGTGACCCTGAGCAACTTCTAGTGCTGCAAGCTCCATTCATAGTGAGTGCCCTACACAGGTGTACCATGTTTTATCTTTTATACCATATTTTTACTGTACTTTTTCTATTTTTAGATACACAAAGACTTAAACACACTGCACTAGTCACCTACAGTATTCAATACAGTCACATGCTGTACAGATTTATAGCCTAGGAGCAATAGGCTGTACCATATAGCCTAGGTGTGTAGTAGGCTATTCAATCTAGGTTTGTGTAAGTGCACTCTATGATGTTCACAAAACGATGAAATTGCCTAATGATGCATTTCTCAGAATGTATTCCCCATCATTAAGCAATGCATGGCTGTATTTACATGGCATTTACATTGTATTAGGTAGGTATCATAAACAATCCAGAGATGATTTAAAGTATAGGGGAGGCTGTGCATAGGTTTTATATGAGGAACTTGAGCATCCATAGATGTTGGTATCTAAAGGGGTTCCTGGAACCAATCCCCCATAGATACCGAGGAATGACGTGTGTGTGTGTGTGTGTGTGTGTACTAGACAGTGGGCAATATACAATACTGTATGAAACCCCTCTACCTCTCTGAGTGGGTACCTGCCCTTTGTTCCCCATTTCCAAACAGGTAGAGAATGATTGACCTCAAGAGGACCCATTTCTTCTGTACAGGCAGAGGTGGATCAATTAAACCAGTAGCTTATACACAGTGTGCTTCACTCCTTGAAAAGCCCTTGTCTGCCTTTTCTAGGAGCACTCCCATAACAGAGACTGGGAACAGTGAGACGTGGTATTGTGCAGTGGTCAAGAGCATGAACTCTGGATTCATACTCCCTGGATTCAAATACTAGTTGTGTGACATTGGGCAAGTTCTTCTTATCTCCACAAGCCTCAGTTTCTTCTCAATTGGAGATCAAAATAGAACTTATTATAAACAGTCTAAAATAAATTTCAAGGGTTTATATGTAAATTGCACAAGCTAATAGTATCATTCAGTAAAAGTTATCTATTAATACTTTCCATGGATATAACATTTATATAGATATCAAGGTATCAATGAATAGCCCTCTTATAGTTCAGTTGCATTGTATGTTAAGTCGACTTTTAGGGCTGGGCTGGAGCCCTGTCACCATGTATCATATGATTTCCATGGTAAAATGTGTTTTGCATCTCAAATATTCAGCCTACAAAGAAATGTTTGTACTGCACCCTATCCTCTTTGTAAAGTGAGTCTTTATATTGGTGCTGGGGCCCCTCATGGTTGCTAACACGTTTCCATGTAAGTCCTCTGGTTTGTTTTCTAATTTCTTAACTTAAACTTTATAAACTGTTGTAATGAACTGAAGTCACAAACTAAAGCTTTTTAATTAAGTGGTTAGTCCTGTTGCAAAACTGCCTTAATAACAATTTATTGAGTACATATGGATTGTGTGGGGACTTCTTTGGAGAAATGTGGTAACTTCTATGATGACTGCTTTGATCTTTTTTAACTGAGGAAATTGTTAATATAGTAAATTGAATTATCCCTTAAACTTGGTAACCTAGTTTTCTCTTAGTACTTAGGTAAATTCAGTTGCACATCAGTGTCAGTGGAAACTTTGATGTTTGTGTGTTATTACCAAGATATTTAGAGTTATTATGAAGAATTCGAGAACATCAGAAACTTCTAGGTAATGCTTATATCACAAGGAAGAAAGCCACCGTTTTTCTGGCCAAAGGTTGTATTTCTAACATTATAAATAAGGTCCGTAGGTTATGGGGCCTATATTGCCTCACCTCAGGAAGAAAGCAGATCTTGTTAAATGATCTAATAGATTAATCAAGAGTACCTTTTCTGTTCAAGAACAGCCAGAGAGAATAAGTTTCTGAACTATGTTTCAAGTTCCAGAGAACACTTTTTTTCTTCCCTTTCTCTATGGGTCTTTCTGCATTGGCCATGTTTTAGTCATCTTTTTCCAGTTTTCCCTCCCTTTGGTGATGACATCCCCTTACATACACTATTCATACAGCTCTCTTCCTTCTCCCACACTGAACAGTGGGGTCATCAGAAGTTATTACATGCCAGGCCTGTTCAGCTCAGAAAAGGTGCTATTTTTCATTTTCTGCATATCTTCTTAGATTTTAATAGGTCACTTTTAGGTTCTGAGCTTTAATACTTATGTATATAAGTCTGTTATAGTCTCAGCTCAGTTAAATTTAAACATTTTGGCTATTTTGTCCAGCAACAAAAACATTTATTGATCACCTATTTTGAGCAAGTTGTCACAAAATCCACAGTTGGTTATAACACAGCTGCTACCTTCCATGGGCTCACAATCTAGGAAGGAAGACAGACCTGTAAACAAATAACAAGTGTTCATATATAATACAATGTAAAAATAGACATATAAACCAAGAACTCTCAGAGTTCAAAGAAGGAAATGGCTAATTCCATCTGCAGGGTGACCATAGAACTATCCTGGTTTGCTTGAGATTGAGGGACACAAAACCTTCAATACTAAAACCCAGGATAGTCCCCAGAAAACCAGAGTGGTTGGTCACCATGTTTACCTATCTAGGAGAGATGGAGAAGACTTCAAAGAGGAGATGGCATTTTAACCAGTGCTTGAAAAGCAAGTTTACCAGGCACTTAAGGCAAATGAGGATAGCATTTTAGGCAGCAATGAAAGGCATTTCCTATTCAGGGAATGATGAACAAATTGGTGTGAGTAGTATGTGAGCTTCAGCCAGTGTGTATGTGTGTGGCGGGGCGGGAGAGGAGTTGGGAGAAGGGCCCTAGGGTGAGAAGAGAACAGATGGAAACTGGAACTGGAAAGGTGGGCAGGGGGCAAATCATACAGGACTGCCTAAGGAATCTTTACTATGTCCTGTGAATCAGTAGTTTTCAAACAACTATAATGATCCTCTGGTTCCAGTGAAACCTTGCTTGGAAGCACAAATAAATGGAGAAAAATGCACAAATTTTCTGATTGAAAAAGGTATGTGGGCTGGACGCGGTGGCTCATGACCTGCACTTTGGGTTGCTGAGGCAGGTGGATCATGAGGTCAGGAGATCAAGACCATCCTGGTCAACATGGTGAAACCCTGTCTCTACTAAAAATGCAAAAATTAGCTGGGCATGGTGGTGGGCGCCTGTAATCCCAGCTACTCGGGAGGCTGAGGCAGGAGAATTGCTTGAACCCAGGAGGTGGAGATTGTAGTGAGCCATGATCGCACCACTACACTCCAGTCTGGCAACAGAGCAAGACTTTGTCTCAAAAAAAAAAAAAAAAAGAAAGAAAATGTATGTGTTGGGGAGAGTCTTAGAGTATCTCCTCCTCTTTCTCCCTGTTCTTTTCCCTCTTAACTGCTCTTAAGAGGAATTTTGGGGAGCACAGTTTGAAAACCACCTCTGTGGACCATGGGGAGTGACAAAAAATTTTAAAGCAGGAAGTGAATGACATGATGAGACCTGTGATGAGATAAGATTGTTAAGGAGGATGGACTGAAGAATAAAAAAGCTTGAATAATGGAAAAACGGTTAGGAGGTTATTGTAACTTTGGAACCATCTGAAAGAAGCCCGACTTTAAGCAAAGACAACAGGGATAGAGAGAAGTGGATGGGTATGAAAGACATTTCTAAAGGTTGCATTAATAGAACCTGGTGGACTATTTATAATAAGGGTGTGGAGCGGGGAAGATTGCTGGGTGAGGAAGAAGGGGGAAAAGATGATTATATGGTTTCTTACTTAACATTAGAAGCAACCAACTAGTATATGGGAAATCTGTAGTCTAATTTCTAATAGCCACCTTATTTTCTTTGAGTTTTCATTAGCTCAGATAAAACCAACATGTTATCACTCACACCCAGAACTATTGTCCTTAATCTTTCTTCATCTAATACTTGACTTTGCTAGTAAAACCCTTTTTGTTGTCATTGTTTTATTGGCTACAACTGTATTTGTCTCTCATTAGCTGGGTAGTGGGTAGCAATTTTCTTTTTTTTACTAAGAGAGTCCCCAGCTTACTCACAGGATGTGTTCCAAAAGTACATTTTTAAGTTAATTATTTGGACCTCAGAGTACATTTTCCCATAGAAGTGGCATTATACATAGTGATTAGGTTCCCAGGCCAGTCCACAAAAG